>NC_000005.10:134909807-135558785 GCF_000001405.40 Homo sapiens
CCTGTAATTCCAGCACTTTGGGAGGTCCAGGTGGGCAGATCACTTGAGCTCAGGAATTCAAGGCCAGCCTGAGCAACATGGTGAAAATCCCTCTCTACCAAAAATACAAAAAATTAGTTGGGTGTGGTGGTGTGCACCTGTAGTCCCAGCTACTTGGGAGGCTGAGGTGGGAGGATCATTTGAGCCCAGGAGGCGGAGGTTGCAGTGAGCTGTGATTGCACCACTACGCTCCAGCCTGGGCGACAGAGCGAGACCCTGTCTCGAAACAACCAACCAACCAACCAGAGAAGCTGAATTGTGAAGTTTGAGGCAGCAGTAAGGGAGCCAGAGGTGACATGCCATGGAGGCAGCTTATTTTGCACAGAGCTAGCCTTGCTTTGGTCTCTTTAAGAGAACAAAGGAATGAAAGATGGTTAGAATTTGTTGCCTTTCAGACTTTTCTACATCTCTGCTTAAGGTAAGGAGCCATAAGTTTGAGTTTGAGTAAACTTGTACATTTTCAGATATGAAATGTGTTCTCTTCATAGTCATCAGGTACTCACAGGTTGACTGCAGAGGAGAGGAACCAAGCTATACTTGACCTTAAAGCAGCAGGATGGTCGGAATTAAGTGAGAGAGATGCCATCTACAAAGAATTCTCCTTCCACAATTTTAATCAGGTAATTGTTATAAATTCTTGCTAGGGCTGTGGTCTATTTTAGTCACCTTAGGCCATAACACTTTCTGATTCTGCCAGTTGTCTGGTCCCATGTAGATCTAGGATTCAACTCTTCCCTTCTTTAAGAATTCAGTGATAGAGTGACATCCTTGTTGACAGTTGCTACCACCCACCTGGGTGGTGTTTAGCTCTGGGGGAAGAGGGTGGTTTGTGTTACTTGGAAAACAAATTCTGAAACCACTATTGCTTTGGTATGGTGTTGGTTAGGATATGTAGTTTCTTTTGAAATTTCAAATAACATTAAAAGAGAGTGTAAGCCTTTTATTATTGATTATTATTTTTTGAGACAGGGTCTTGCTCTGTTGCCCAGGCTGGAGTACAGTGGTATGATTGTGGCTTACTGCTGCCTCGACCTCCTGGGCTCAGGTGATCCTCCCACCTTAGCCTCCTGAGTAGCTGGGACTACAGGCATGTGCCATGCCCAGCTAATTTTTGCATTGTTTGGAGAGGCAGGGTCTGGCTATGTTGCCCAGACTGGTCTCAAATTCCTGGCCTCAAGCGATCCTCCTGCCTTGGCCTCCCAATGTGCTGGGAATAGAGATATGAGCCACTGTGCCCAGCCTGAGCTTTTTATACTTATCAGAAAGGGGCATGAATAAAACTGGTTGAGGAAGATGTACCTGCTTGACTTATTTTCCCTGACTTTTTCTGGGCCGTTGGTAATTTTTCTTTCTTCCTGCAGTTAAATTTCTATCTCTCAGTCATCTCCCAGGCTGCACCCTTTTCCCTGACTGGCTTATTTTTCTCCAGCCCAGTAGCCAGATCCTGAACCTTTTCTTAAAACCTGACCTCCCCCTTGGAAGTCAGCTTTAACAAGGTAACTGTTCCATTAGGGACCCACCCTGTTTAGAGAGTCATCTCCCATGACTTAACCTTCAGTTATTACACCACTGCATTTGTAAAAGGTAAATGCTTTTGACTATTTTGTTTGTTCAGTTAGTTTGGTAATCCTTTGGACAGATTTATTGTTTTTATTTATATTGGGTGTCGGCATCTAGAAGTCAGAGACCATGTTTGCTTAAATAACTCTCTATTGTACCCAACACAGTTCTGGGTACAAACAGGCATTTGATAAATGCAGACATTGATTACAGTGTTTGCTAGTTTCTAGAAGGGTGTGTGAGGACCAGATTTGCACCAAAGAAACCTTCGGCATGTTTTCCTAGTAAATGTCATTGGCTCCACTGAGCTGCATGCCCGATTCTGTTCTCTATCCATCTGGCTGCCAGCCTCTGCTGTGAGTCTCCAACTCCTAAGGAAACCTGGACCAAGCAGACTCCCTGTCCCCGCTGCCCCACGTGCTCAACAGCTCTTGTTAGGGGCTTAGCACGCTGTGGCTGGTGGCAGGGAATCCCATTGGTACAGTAAGCCTGTGCATAAGCTCTAGGTAGCATTTTCCAAGCTTATTAAAATTCTTACATATGTACAGCTTGACTTCTTTAAACCTGGCCTAATTTATTGGGCTTGAACATGTGGCTTAAAGTACTCGAATGGTGTTGCCTCAGGCCCTGCCTATGATTCAGTCCTCCAGCACCATTCTGACCTTGCGCTCAGGGTGACTTTCAGCAATGGTAGGGAAGCATACTGGATTGATTGTAACATTATTCACTGGGGCATTTAATTAAGTAGACTTTTTTTTTCCCATTCACCCAACTTTTAGGAAAAAGAGGCAGATGACAAGAAAATCAGCTGATGTCAGGGAATGTATTCAGAGAACCAACACTGAGATTATATCCGGGGGTCAGTTTTCCCACTAGGCTCCTATGACTTCTGCGTGTACCATGGCCTGTAATGGTAACTGGTGTCCTGACAGTTGTCAGTGCCCTCCAGCGAAACACAACTAGGAACACACCTACAGTCGAACAAGTTGAGCTTATTGCTTATTGCTGTGAGGGAGAGTGCACACCAAAGGGCACCGTGGGGTGAGCCCATATAGGATTTGGGCTGTGGTAGTGATTTGGGGACTTTACTCTGGATTAGATGCTGTCAGGAAATGGGCAACTCTGTCATTTGGTATTTTAATAAATCGTATCTATAGGGAGAGTAGATTAAAGCAGTGCCAAAGCTGAAACTGAAGAAGAAGCAATAGTCACTCATTAGCTGGGAGAGGAGGATGTTTGGTATTTTGTGGCTTGGACAATGTTCATGTTTTGTCTGTGTTCAGGTATTGCAGAGTGGTCTTGTTTTTGTCTTCATCCATCATGGTCACAGAGTGGCCTTGTCTGGTGTTGATGTTGATGTTCGAAAGGAGAGCACCAAGGACTGGTTGATAGTACCAGGCCAGCGCCCAGGTGTCAGGAGTTGGTTTTCTCTTGCTCACAACTCGTGAGTAGAGTAGTGACCCTCTGGCGCTGATGGGTCCTCATTCATCTTTCATTTAGGACAGAAAAGCCATTGTTTTTTATTGTAACAACAGCATAACATTAAAATAGGATGGTGTAAGTAAAAAAAATTTCCAATCGCAACTACTTTTATTTTTCTCTGTTCTCTTCTGGTCTTTCTCCATGGGTATGTTTGTTTGCCAAGTATGCCAGAGCATGCCAGTTATACATGTGGTTACATTTAAAAAAATTTTTTAAATTTTATCATGAAATATTTATTAATTCAACAAAGATTTATTAAGCATTTTCTGTGTGCTAGGTGCTACTCTAAGCTCATACAGCTCCCATCCCAGTGGGAAAATAAACAATAAACAGATGAATAGGAAATATAATTTCAGCTAGTGATGAGTACCCTGAAGAATAAAGTAGGGAATTGGAGTGGAGGGGGACAGAGGCACTCTTGGAGGTAGAGTGGTCTGGAAAGTCCTCTCTGGGGAGGGGATCTCTGAGGCCTGAATAATGTGAAGGAGCTCAGCACATGGTGATCCAAGGGAAGAGCTTTCCAGCTGGAGAACAGCAAGCACAGAGTTTCCAAAGCAGAATGACCTTGGCATGATTGAGCCAGAAGCAGAAGGCCAGTGTGGAGTGGAGCAGGCGAGGAGACGAGGGGAAGGGTCAGAGCATGGGGGCCTTCTTGGCGTGGTGAGGAGTTTGGATTTTATTCTGTGAAGGAAAGCTAATGGAGGATTTCAGGCAGAGAAGTGTCATCCTGTGGCTGTGTTCTAAAAAATCACCCTGGCTGTTCTGCTCAGAATAGGCGGTAGGAAGGTCAGAGTGGAAGCAGGCAGACTCTGTAGAACACTGTTGCAGATGTCTAGACCGGGGATGATGGGGGTCTTATGGAGGTATCAGTGGGGATGGAGAGAAATGTAGGGTTCCACATATTTTGAAAGTAGAATAATCAAGACTTGCTGAATGATTGGATGTGTGATAGGGGAGGGTCAAGGATGGCACCAAGGTTTTGGTTCAAGCTATAGTGTAAAGGGTAGTGCCACTGGAGCCATTTACTGAGCTGTGGAAGATGGGGTGCAAGGTGGGGGGCAGGGGTATGGAGGTGAGAATCCTGTTTTCACATGTCAGGTTTGAGGTACTTATTAGTCATCCAAATGGAGTTATTGGGTTAGGAGGTGGGTGTAAGAGGCTGGAGTTCAGGCTGAGACAGCAGTTTGTGAGTTGTCAGAGGGGATCACTGTGAGAGCATGGTCCAGTTAGGCAGGAGAGGACAGGATCAGATGGGCAGTGGAGGCACAGCGATGATATGTCCATTGTGGTTTAGATGCCAATAGGCCGTTACATTCATCCTGGGAAAAAGAGGGCCATTCTCTCCTGATTGCTTTTGTTTTTTAGTGAGATCATCAATTGAGAGCAAGTAGGGGTGGAAGGGAAGAGTGTTGGAGACCTGGGGAGATAAGAGAAGGAGTGGAATAGTCATTTTGGAGACTAAGATAGTGAAAAAACTTGAGAAACGTGGCTGGTTGCTAAGCAGTTCTCAGTGTCACTACAGATTTGGGGTCAAACATTTAAAGTGAACATTTTGTATGTTTTTTTTCCTGCTGTGTTCCGCTGCTGTGCACAAGCTGGAGTAGATGCAGAGTTGGGCTTAACAAGGACTGAACTTTTGCTAAATGAATGCAATGGAGGAACAGAGGGACAAGGGAAAAAAGGGAGGGACAGAAACGCTGGCCCTTGGAGTCTCGGCAGGGTAGGGAAGTACAGTTGTGATGGGGAGGTGATAGTGATGAGCTGAGAGTGTCATTTGACATCATCTATTTTTTTTTTTTTCAGATGGAGTTTCACTCTTGTCACCCAGTCTGGAGTACAATGGTGCGATCTTGGCTCACTGCAACCTCCACCTCCCAGATTCAAGTGATTCTTCTGCCTCAGCCTCCAGAGTAGCTGGGATTACAGGCGCCCGCCATCATGCCCAGCTAATTTTTTGTATTTATAGTAGAGATGGGGTTTTGCCATGTTGGCCAGGCTGGTCTTGAATTCCTGACCTCAGGTGATCTGCCCGCCTCGGCCTACCAAAGTGTTGGGATTACAGGCATGAGCCACTGCACCCAGTTGACATCATCTTTTTGAAGGGAAATTGAGCAATGCCTATCAACTTTTAAAACTCACATACCAGAGCCGGGCGCGGTGGCTCACATCTGTAATCCCAGCACTTTGGGAAGCTGAGGTAGGTGGATCACGAAGTCAGGAGTTCGAGACCAGCCTGACCAACCTGGTGAAACCCTGTCTCTACCAAAAATACAAAAATTAACCAGGCGTGGTGGCGTGCGCCTGTAATCCCAGCTACTCAGGAGGCTGAGGGAGGAGAATCGCTTGAACCTGGGAGGCGGAGGTTGCAGTGAGCCGAGATCACACCATTTCACTCCAGCCTGGGTGACAAAGCGAGACTGTGTCTCAAAAAAAGAAAAAAAAGGACATATCCATTGTCCTAACCTAGAAATTTATCTTCTAAATATTGTTCTGCATGTATGCAAATAGGATGTATGGGGATGTCTATTAAAGCCTGATGGGCCTCTAATTTTTTTTTTTTTTTTTTTTTTTTTTTTGAGACAGGGTCTAATTCTGTTGCCCAGGCTGGAGTGCAGTGGTGTGGTCATGACTCACTGCAGCCTTGAACTCCCTGGGCTCAGGCGATCATCCCACCTCAGCCTCCTGAGTAGCTGGTACTACAGGTGTGTGCCACCATGCCTGGCTAATTTTTGAATTTTTTTTTGCAGAAAGGGGGTTTCTCCATGTTGCCCAGGCTGGTCTTGAACTCCTGGGCTCAAGTGATCCTCCTGCCTCAGCCTCTCAAAGTATTGGGGTTATAGGCATGAGCCGCTGCACCAGGCCTCTAATTTTTTATTGTGAGCAGCCATTTCCATGAGCATATGCACACCATGGTGAGAACATATCTCCCTTGCTGCAACCCTGCCCTCAGTGGGGTTTAAGGGAGGCCTGTTGTGCTCCATATACTCATAGCAATGGCAGCACCTCTCCTGGCCTGAGCTCTACAGACTGGACAAAGCCACAGTCAGAACTAAAGACACCCTCTCCCTGAAAGAGTGTGACCCACACTTGGTGGTGTCATATTGGAAAAAAATTTGGGGGCCAGGCACGATGGCTCACGCCTGTAATCCCAGAACTCTGGGAGGCCGAGTTGAGTGGGTTGCTTGAGCCAAGGAGTTTGAGGCTAGCCTGGGCAACACAAGGAGACTCCATCTCTACAAAAATAAAAATTAGCCAAGAGTGGTGGCATGCACCTGTGGTCTCAGTTACATGGGAGGGAGGCTAGGGTTGGAGAATCATTTGAACCCAGGAGGTAGAGGCTGCAGTGAGCTGTGATTGCACTACCACACTCCAGGCTGAGCGAAAGTGTGAGACTATCTCAAAAAAAAAATCTTTGCTGAATATAGGGTTAAAAAATTCATTTTGTTTGTATTGCTCAATAGGTTATGAGCATTTTTCAGTTCTTTAGTCTTTTTATTTTTAATACAATTTTCAGGAGTATGATTTTACTTGGTTGGGTGTCACAGTTAAATGATTTGCTAATGTAGTTTGTGTACAGTGGTATCACAAGTTTGCTTTAGTCTTCATTTCTTTTGCTGCTATGAAAAATGAACTATTTTGGAAATATTTCAGTGACCGTGGATGAAAAACCTATTTCTTGAAGCTTTGAGTTATTCCAGGTTTACTATAAGAATAAATAGCCCCCAAAACACATTTGAACTTCTTTTCTCTCAGAGTTTTATTCTAAGGTATGGTTAGTTCCAAATAATCCAAATTCATTGGATAGCTCAGATGGATACAAATACTTGGAGATTATAAGTACGGAGTTTTCAAGGGATTCTCCTAGCATAGGTGGATGAAGTAGCCATAGGTGTCAGTTGCTGTTAGCCTCCTGTTTCCACCCTTGGTGGTGGTACATGGGCTCTGCAGTGCGTCAATGGACAGTATGTTGGTGACAGACAGTGACTCTGTGAGCAGACAGAGCATGGCAGTGGTGGGACTCGAGGCAGGGAGTTTCCACACTAGGAGTGCTTGGACCCAGACAGGGTGGGATTGGCATTTGTAAAGGAACTTTGCTTTTTTGTTGTTCCTGTAGACAGAAGGTGGGAGAGGTCTGCAAGTGACATATAAACTTAGGTGTTTGGTAACTGCAGGATGTCTGTGTTGAAAGAACAAAATGTCAGGTAGAAATGTGGGTGTGAGAGTCCCATAAAGACAGATTTTGTTATGCATTGACATGTATGGGATGAACTGGAAGCTTACAAAATCCGAGGAGATTTTAAGTTTAAAAGTAGGTGCAGAAGGTGAGGCTTTGGAACCTAGGAAATAGCTACTACAGGTGCCAGCAGGTGGAGCCCTCCAGGGCAGGAGCCCAGCCGGGCCAGGCGGCAACACCCCTTTCTGCCCCCCAGAAGGCTGTCCCTGTTCTTTCACTTCTGAATACCTGGGGCTACCCTTGTTCAGCATGGAAATAAGCTCAGGATCAGGAACAGGTAAGCGGCAGTGGCTGGGCGCTTGGGTGAATGATAAATTTTGTGTGTAGGACATGAGGAGTTTCCAATGGTGATTCAGGAGGAAGGGACCAAGCTTTGTGAGAATCAGCGGTGGTTCTCTGCGGAGGAGCTCCTGGGCCCTGTCTGTGCTTTCTTCGGTGGGCCTGCCCAGCAGGGCATTCAGTCATATTGGATGGAATCATATGAGCTGGTTGATATTCAGGGCAAAGTCCAAGCTTTATTGGTTTTGTATCTTGTTCATCACCCTCACCTTTTGGTTGCTGTGCTGCTGCCACTGAAGCTTTCTGGAGCTGCAGCGGGAGGGAGGAGGAGTTCTCTGGGTGCCCAGGCTGGGTTGGTGGTGCTCTGCACATCCTAGCAGCAGTAGCACCATATGTGACTTTGGGGTTCGTAAAATGTTTCTTTTCCTGTGTCCACAGAGACTCCTGTGTAGAGCAGTTCAAAGTTACTTTTGCTGCCTTACTTTATAAAAATGTTTTATTGAGGAATTTGATAATAGGCTTATGGTGAACATTTTGAAACACTTAGTGAAGTCAAAGGCTTGATGATACCAGAAGAAAGACAACTGCTGATGAAAGTCTTAACAATCCTCCACAGAATATTGGTGGAAGTCTCGATAGCTCTCATTGTGAATGAATTAGTTTGGGTTTGATTGTTCTTTGTTGTGCACATCAAAGTTATGAGTGAGTAATGCATCTGTGCACTCTTTAAAGAGGATATTCTACCTGTGGAGGATAGGGAAGCACTCCCAAAGAGGATGCCTGTGGCCTGGGCATCATATAGGTTAGAAAATGTCATTTTGTGCTGGGCATGGTGGCTCACACCTGTAATCCCAGCACTTTGGGAGGCCGAAGCAGGCGGGTCACCAGAGGTCAGGAGTTCGACACCAGCCTGGCCAAAATGGCGAAACCCCTTCTCTACTAAAAATACAAAAATCAGCTGGGCGTGGTAGAAGGTGCCTGTAATACCAGCTACTTGGGAGGCTGAGGCAGGAGAATGGCTTGAACCCGGGAGGCGGAGGTTGCAGTGAGCAGAGATCACGGCACTGCACTCCAGCCTGGGCGACAGAGTACTCCATCTCAAAAAATAAAATAAAATAAAAATTAAAAAATGTCGTTTTGATTTGAAAGTATAAGCTAGTGTTTGTGTGTCTGGCACCAGGTAAAGTGAAAACTCGTATGGCTGTCACACACACTGTTGCATTTAACATGTGCTCATGATTGGCTTTGTAACCACAGCAGACTAGAAACCTGAGAAAGTGTTCATAGTTTTCATTGGAATAGAATAGAGACACTCATATTTTAGCAAACTTTACCTAAAGTGTGAGAAGCTAGTAAAAATATCTGTGTAGTGTTCATGTTGGTGTTCCCTTTGGAGTTCTTCCTGAGCAGGACCACGCTGATGCTCCCAGGAGGTGGCTAGAATGTCAGTGTTGGCGTCCACCAGGGTAGGGAAATAAGAGCCTGAAATGTTATCATTTGGAGCTTTGTTGCTGCTGATTGTGTCGTACAGTAGGTCTAGACCTGGCGTGTATTTGTAAAAGCGCATGCAACAGATAGATGAGGAGAAATGTAAAACAGGTGTCAACAATGCAAATATGACACCACACTGCAGTGTGAAAACACCATGGTCCTTACACCACCCTTTAATAAAAATGGACTTTTAACTGCATAATTTGCTCTTAGTCATGTAGTAAATCTTCTGTTTACAGAACTTAGCCTGAGTATTTTGTTAAAGTCAAGCAGCCAAGAAGTATAATTTCCTCAACAGTCTTTGTCTTGCCCTTTTACAGATGGAGTAAAATCAGGTGTGTAAAAAATAAAAAAGCAGTTTGAGCTGACGTGAAAGGTATTTCAGATTTATGCTTTGCAGATGATATTGGTATGATTAATGCATTCATTGCTTTTTTTTATTGCTTTTCACAGATAATGTACATGATGCATGGAAAATGTTGTGGGTTTAAATCTGTGCCAGGTTTAGACTGTGAATATCAACAGATGTTATCATATAAGTACCATAATTATTATAAAATAAAAAATTTGTCATGAAATGCAGTGACATAAATTTCATTTATGTAAATTGCTTTCATTAGTATAAAACCTTAGTGTAGCTGTTAGGGTCTGTGAAGCACTTTAGATGAGATTAACTTGGTATAAAGTGGTCACAAATGGGTTGCTTTAAATTTAACTGACAAGAAAATAACACCCAAAACTTAGGAAATTGCTGAGGCATTTGCCTGCATTGCTGGTACCGCTTAAATAGGTTGACTGTGAATTAATAACAATAGACTGCTGGCTCAATAATTGCAGAAAATAATTGAAAGGAGACCTTAAATAATAACTTAAAAGTATTTTGGTCTTGCTCATTTCTGTTCTGTTTCTGTTTTTCGTTAGTATGCCTGCCCACCGCTTCAGTACTGCCATTATCAATAGCTTTCGGGTTTGCACTGCAGTTTTGTCCATAGTTGTGGTGCTTTAGGGCCATGACACAGAACTTGCATTTAGATGTGTCAGAATACAAATATTGGGTGCCTGATGGAGCAGCTGTAGTGGCTGAGCAGTGCTGCACTCACATTCCTGTGGCTGGGTAGCGGCCAGTTGCTTTCTGCCCTCAGGAGGGATTCGGTCCAGCGGTGTGGGCAGGTGGCTGAGGTTCTTCTTCCTGGCTTTGAGCTCTCCATGTTTTGCTCTTTTTCTTACATCCTTTTAAACAAAACAAAGCAGTAATATTCTCTCCCCTGTGTTGCAGAGAATTACTATTATGTTGCGCTTTTGATCTAGGTTAGAGTGGGGCATTCTGACTCATTTACTGAATTTCGCAGAAAGACACTAAACAAGATTGAGATCATGGAATTACTTGTGGTCATACTGGGTCATGTCACAGTTACCAGATGCAAGACTCACATCCCTGGTTCCCACAGCAACATTTTTAGATCCTACTGTGACATAGAAAGGTTGTTTTTTTGATTTTGTTGTTTTAGGCGAGATCTTGTTTTCCAAGGACTACTTGCTGGATTAGTTTTCTCCCTTAAATGGGTTTTACCATACTTCCCAGAGGAAGGGAATATTCGCCAGCTGAAACAAACAAAGCTGTACTTGTTTGGGAGTAGCCCAGGTATCACTGTTGAGCAATCAAAGGTCATTTAATTGTATCATTAAAATCAATCCTATCAAAACAGCAAATGCTGCTAATGACTCTGTTTGCTTGTGTGCTCTCTGCCAACAGGGCAGGATGGAGGCTTTTTTTTTTTTTTGAGACGGAGTCTCGCTCTGTCGGCTAGGCTGGAGTGCAATGGTGTGATCTTGGCTCACTGCAACCTCCACCTCCTAGGTTCAAGCGATTCTCCCACCTCAGCCTCTCAAGTAGCTGGGATTAGAGGCACCTGCCACCAAGCCTGGCTAATTTTTTGTATTTTTAGTAGAGATGGTGTTTCACCAACATGGCCAACATGGCCAGGCTGTACTTGAACTCCTGAGCTCAAGTGATCCGCCCGCCTTGGCCTCCCAAAGTGTTGGGAATACAGGCGTTGAGCCCAGCTGCTGAGGCTTTTTGCTATATCATACATCAAACTGACTTCAAGTGCCCTGTCCTCGCCATCGCAGCCCTGTCGGTGGACATGCACCAGGTGGGTGGAGCAGCCCCAGGCTGGCTGGGCCAGGAGTCACATGGTGTGGTTCTGTCAGGATTCGTGAACCCAGCAGAGCTGTTGGGCTTATATCCACTGAGGGGCTAGTGCTGGTCTGGATCCAAGAGGTGGAAGGAGGAAGATGCAACAGAAGGACCTGGTTTCGTTTCTGCCCAGAAGATCTCCTAGTTTTGCTGGGGAGGTGGCACATCTGAATTGTACAAGGTGATTGATTTTTTTCAGCTTACCATGTTAGTCAGGTACTAGAATGTGAAGTGCTGTGCTAATAAGCCACAGGAGGTGCACTTCAGGGTGGCTGCTGCCTGGAGAAGGGGAGTTTTGAGTTGGTTCTTGAAGATCTGGTATGTGGTTGTAAGGGAAGGCACTAAGGGAGGGGTTAGCAGGTGACATAGGTCTAGGACAGGGAGTAAGAGGACATACTTTGTCTGCAGTGTGTTGGGAAATAAGGGCCCTAAAATGGGTTCAGTGAGCTGGGCCACAGAGTACAGGGGGGTTCCTGTGGCGTACTCTCCTGGGGTAGCTTTCCCACCAGTTTAGGGTGTCTGAAAGCAAACTCTTGTCTCTCTAACTGTCCTTCAAATGGCTTGTTCCTCTCAGTAGCCACACCAGCATCCTCTCAAGCACCTAGACCTGAAACGGAAGAATTATCCTGGTGATTTGTTACCAAGAACTGGTCAGTCGTCCTGTAGTGCCTTTCACAGGACTGTGCTGCTGGCCTGGATACAGCTGCCTTCCCTCTAGAGTTCTGGTAGGAGCTTCCTGGCCACATGTTACCTTTAGGCTCTTCCTGCTTCCACTGGCCTGCGTGCCACTTTGTCATGACCAAGTTGGTCTCTGCTCAGATAATCTCACTGCCTTCCAATTATATTTTATAGGGCATGCTTCATCTTCTCAGAGGTTTTCAAAGCTGCCCACAGCCCAGCCCTAAGCCTACCTCGCATTACTCTGCAAGAAGCCTCTTTGCTCAGAGATTAGAACTGCAATGTTCATGAGAGGTCACCTACTCATCCCTTTCACTGAAGAAGTGGGGAAAACAAGGCTCAGACAGGGTGAGTACCTTGACCAAGGCCACAAAAATTAGTGTCCATGCAGGAATTGGAACCAAGGCCCTTTTCATCTCAGTTCAGTGGTTTTTTTGTTTTTGTTTTGTTTTGTTTTTAGAGATGGGGTCTTGTTCGGTCACCCAGGTTGCAGCCTGGAACTCCTGGGCTCAAGCGATCCTCCTGCCTCAGTCTCTTGTGTAGCTGGGATTACAGGTGTGAGCCACCACACCCAGCTCCTCAGTTCAGTTCTTTTCTTCCTTTATTCAAACTGTTCTTCTCCTTTCCATGCCCCATCTCACACTATCCTGCCCCTTCTGTTCACATCCCACCTATTTCTAGAAAGTTTTTCTTGATTTTTATGCACTTAACAATAAACAGTTATCAAACACTTACTGTAGGCTAGACACTATGCCAGACACTGGGGTATCAGTTAACAAAGCCGATACTGTCCTTATCCTCACAGAGCATACAGTATAGTGGGGGAGGGAGAATGTAAACAAAGAAAAAAGTTAATGTATCATTACAAGTTATGCTAAGTGCCAGGAAGGAAAATCTTTTTTTTTTTTTTTTTGAGACGGAGTCTCGCTCTGTCACCCAGGCTGGAGTGCAGTGGCGTGATCTGGGCTCACTGCAAGCTCCGCCTCCTGGGTTCACGCTATTCTCCTGCCTCAGCCTCCCGAGTAGCTGGGATTACAGGTGCCCGCCACCACGCCCAGCTAATTTTTTGTATTTATTTATTTATTTTTTTAGTAGACACGGGGTTTCACCGTGTTAGCCAGGATGGTCTCGATCTCCTGACCTCGTGATCCACCCACCTCCGCCTCCCAAAGTGCTGGGATTACAGGCGTGAGCCACCTGCCCGGCCCTAGGAAGGAAAATCTTAACAGCAAATGGTTAGTGAACACTTAAACTATGGGTCATGGCACTATGGGAAGGACTTTACATGTATTCATTCATTTAATCTTCACAGAACTCTGTGAAATAGATTTCCCAAATTTTACAGAGGAGGAAACTGAGACTTGCTAAGTGACTTGCCCAAGGTCTCACAGCTAGTAAGTGTGGAGTCAGGATTGGATTCCAGGCAATCCATACTGTTAGTGGCTCAGATACTGCCTCTGCATCAGAAAGGAGTGCTGTGAGAGAGAATAATGGGAAGACCTAATTCTCTTTGAGGAGCATGGTTAGGGAAGGCCTAACCATGGTGAGAATAGTGTTAACGTCATTAGGGTGAGAAGAAAGAGAAATAAGCCGAGGATGTCTTTGATTGTGTAGTAGGGGTGGAAGGTGATTTTGTCGGAATGGGAGGTGATTCCTAGGGGGTTGTTTGATCCTGTTTCGTGTAGGAATAGAAGGTGGAGCGCTGCTAGGGCTGTGATAATGAAGGGCAAGATAAAGTGAAAGGTAAAGAACCGTGTGAGGGTGGGACTATCTACTGAGTAGCCTCCTCAGATTCATTGGACCAGATCTGTTCCGATGTATGGGACGGCGGATAGCAGGTTTGTAATTACTGTGGCCCCTCAGAAGGATATTTGGCCTCATGGGAGGACATAGCCCATGAAGGCTGTTGCTATAGTTGTAAGTAGGAGGATGATGCCAATGTTTCAGGTTTCTAGGTAAAGAAATGAGCCGTAATATAGGCCTCGGCCGATGTGTAGGAAGAGGCAGATGAAGAATATTGAGGCGCCATTGGCGTGAAGGTAGCGGATGATTCAGCCATAATTTACGTCTCGGGTGATATGGGCGATCGATGAGAAGGCGGTTGAAGCGTCTGGTGAGTAGTGTATGGCTAGGAATAGTCCTGTGGTGATTTGGAGGATTAGGCAGGCACCAAGAAGTGAGCCGAAGTTTCATCATGCGGAGATATTGGATGGGGTGGGGAGGTCGATAAATGAGCGGTTAATTAATTTTATCAAGGGGTTAATTTTGCGTATTGGGGTCATTAGTGTTCTTGTAGTTGAAATACAATGATGGTTTTTCATATCATTGGTCGTGGTTGTAGCCCGTGCAAGAATAATGATGTATGCTTTATTTCTGTTGAGTGTGGGTTTAGTAATGGGGTTTGTGGGGTTTTCTTCTAAGCCTTCTCCTATTTATGGGGGTTTAGTATTGATTGTTAGTGGTGTGATTGGGTGTGTTATTATTCTGAATTACGGGGGAGGTTACATGGGTTTAATGGTTTTTTTAATTTATTTGGGGGGAATGATGGTTGTTTTTGGATATACTACAGCGGTGGCTATTGAGGAGTATCCTGAGGCATGGGGGTCAGGGGTTGAGGTCTTGGTAAGTGTTTTAGTGGGGTTGGTGATGGAAGTAGGATTAGTGTTATGGGTGAAAGAGTATGATGGGGTGGTGGTTGTGGTAAATTTTAATAGTGTGGGAAGTTGAATAATTTATGAAGGAGAAGGGTCAGGGCTGATTCGGGAGGATCCTATTGGTGCGGGGGCTTTGTATGATTATGGGCGTTGATTAGTAGTAGTTACTGGTTGAACATTGTTTGTTGGTGTGTATATTGTACTAGAGATTGCTCGGGGGAATAGATTATGTGATTAGGAGTAGGGTTAGGATGAGTGGGAAGAAGAAAGAGAGGAAATAAAGTTTGATTATGCCTTTTTGGGTTGAGGTGATGATGGAGGCGGAGATTTGGTGTTGTGAGATTGTTTTAGGTAGTAGCTTTTCTAGTCAGGCCAGGTCTAGGAGGAGTAGGGGTAGGTTTTGGCTTGTAAGAAGGCCTAGATAAGGGACTGTGCGGTGTATGATACTAGGGTAAAATCCGAGTATATTAGAGAAGTAAAATGTATACAGTGGGGATTTTATTTTGAGTTTGTTGGTTAGGTAGTTGAGATCTAGGGCTGTTAGAAGTCCTAGGGAAGTGACGCCTAGGGCTGTGAGTTTTAAGTAAAGTGGGATTGTCATTTGGGGGGTGGATGTGGGGAGAATGCTGTTGGTGATGAGAAACCCTGCAAATAGGCTTCCGATTGTTAGGCGTTTAATGGGGTTTAGTAGGGTGGGGTTGTTTTCGTTAATGTTAGTGAGGGCTGGGAAGCGAGGCTGACCTGTTAGGGTGAGAAGAATTATTCGAGTGCTATAGGCGCTTGTCAGGGAGGTGGCGATGAGAGTAATAGACAGGGCTCAGGCGTTTGTGTATGATATGTTTGCGGTTTCGATGATGTGGTCTTTGGAGTAGAAACCTGTGAGGAAGGGTATTCCTGCCAATGCTAGGTTGCCAATGGTGAGGGAGGTTGAAGTAAGAGGTATGGTTTTGAGTAGTCCTCCTATTTTTCGAATATCTTGTTCATTGTTGAGGTTGTGGATGATGGATCCGGAGCATATAAATAGTATGGCTTTGAAGAAGGCGTGGGTACAGATGTGCAGGAATGCTAGGTGTGGTTGGTTGATGCCGATTGTGACTATTATAAGTCCTAGTTGGCTTGAAGTGGAGAAGGCCACGATTTTTTTGATGTCATTTTGTGTAAGGGCGCAGACTGCTGCGAACAGAGTGGTGATAGCGCCTAGGCATAGTGTGAGAGTTTGGATTAGTGGGTTATTCTCTGCTAGGGGGTGGAAGCGGATGAGTAGGAAGACTCCTGCTACAACTATAGTGCTTGAGTGGAGTAGGGCTGAGACAGGGGTGGGGCCTTCTATGGCTGAGGGGAGTCAGGGGTGAAGGCCTAATTGAGCTGATTTGCCTGCTGCTGCTAGGAGGAAGCCTAGTAGTGGGGTGAGGCTTGGATTAGCACTTAGGAGGGTTATTTGTTGTGGGTCTCATGAGTTGGAGTGTAGGAGAAATCATGCTAGGGCAAGGATGAAACCGATGTCGCCGATACGGTTGTATAGGATTGCTTGAATAGCTGCTGTGTTGGCATCTGCTCGGGCGTATCATCAACTAATGAGTAAAAAGGATATAATTCCTACGCCTTCTCAGCCGATGAATAGCTGGAATAGGTTGTTAGCAGTGACTAGGATTAGTATGGTGATTAGGAAGATGAGTAGGTATTTGAAGAATTGATTAATGTTTGGGTCTGAGCTTATATATCATAGTGAGAATTCTATGATGGATCACGTAACGAACAGTGCTACAGGGATAAATATTATGGAGAAATAATCTAGTTTGAAGCTTAGGGAGAGTTGGGTTGTTTGGGTTGTTGCCCAGTGTCAGTTTGAGATAATGACTTCTTGGTCTAGGTATATGAATATTGTTGTGGGGAAGAGACTAATAACAAGGGTGGATGCGATAATGGATTTTACTTAATGGGGATATGAGTTTTTTTTATTAGGGTTAATGAGGGTGGTAAGGATAGGGGGAATTAAGGAAGTTAGGGCTAGGGTGGGTATAGTAGCGTACATGGTTATTACTTTTATTTGGAGTTGCACCAAAATTTTTGGGGCCTAAGACCAACGGATGGCTGTTATCCTTTAAAAGTTGAGAAAGCCATGTTGTTAGACATGGGGATATGAGTTAGCAGTTCTTATGCGCTTTCTCGGTAAATAAGGGGTCGTGAGCCTCTGTTGTCAGATTCACAATCTGATGTTTTGGTTAAACTATATTTACAGGAGGAAAACCCGGTAATGATATCGGGGTTGAGGGATAGGAGGAGGATAGGGGATAGGTGTATGAACATGAGAGTGTTTTCTCGTGTGAATGAGGGTTTTATGTTGTTAATGTGGTGGCTGAGCGAGCCTCATTGTGTTGTGGTAAATATGTAGAGGGAGTATAGGGCTGTGATTAGTATGTTGAGTCCTGTAAGTAGGAGAGTGATATTTGATCAGGAGAATGTGGTTACTAGCACAGAGAGTTCTCCTAGTAGGTTAATAGTGGGGGGTAAGGCGAGATTAGTGAGGCTTGCTAGAAGTCATCAAAAGGCTATTAGTGGGAGTAGGGTTTGAAGTCCTTGAGAGAGAATTATGATGCGACTGTGGGTACGTTCGTAGTTTGAGTTTGCTAGGCAGAATAGTAATGAGGATGTAAGTCCGTGGGCGACTATGAGAATGACTGCGCCGGTGAAGCTTCAGGGGGTTTGGATGAGGATGGCTGTTACTACGAGGGCTATGTGGCTGATTGAAGAGTATGCAATGAGCGATTTTAGGTCTGTTTGTCGCAGGCAGATGGAGCTTGTTATAATTATGCCTCACAGGGATAGTACAAGGAAGGGGTAGGCTATATGTTTTGTCAGGGGGTTGAGAATGAGTGTGAGGCGTATTATACCATAGCCGCCTAATTTTAAGAGTACTGCAGCAAGTACTATTGACCCAGCGATGGGGGCTTCGACATGGGCTTTAGGGAGCCATAGGTGGAGACCGTAAAGAGGTATTTTTACTATAAAAGCTATTGTGTACGCTAGCCATATTAAGTTATTGGCTCAGGAGTTTGATAGTTCTTGGGCAGTAAGAGTGAGTAATAGAATATTCAGTGAGCCTAGGGTGTTGTGGGTGTAGATTAGTGCGATGAGTAGGGGGAGGGAGCCTACTAGGGTGTAGAATAGGAAGTATGTACCTGCGTTCAGGCGTTCTGGTTGGTTGCCTCATCGGGTGATGATAGCCAGGGTGGGGATAAGTGTGGTTTCGAAGAAGATATAAAATATGATTAGTTCTATGGCTGTGAATGTCATAATTAAGGAGATTTGTAGGGAGATTAGTATAGAGAGGTAGAGTTTTTTTCGTGATAGTGGTTCATTGGATAAGTGGCGTTGGCTTGCCATGATTGTGAGGGGCAGGAGTCAGGTAGTTAGTATTAGGAGGGGGGTCGTTAGGGGGTCGGAGGAGAAGGATAAGGAGCAGCTAAATAGGTTGTTGTTGATTTGGTTGAAAAATAGTAGGGGGATGGTGCTAATAATTAGGCTGTGAGTGGTTGTGTTGATTCAAATTATGTGTTTTTTGGAGAGTCATGTCAGTGGTAGTAATATAATTGTTGGGACAATTAGTTTTAGCATTGGAGTAGGCTTAGGTTATGTACGTAGTCTAGGCCATACGTGTTGGAGATTGAGACTAGTAGGGCTAGGCCTACTGCTGCCTTGCAGGCAGCAAAGACTAGTATGGCGATAGGTACAATATTGGCTAAGAGGGAGTGGGTGTTGAGGGTTATGAGAGTGGCTATAATGAATAGTGATAGTATTATTCCTTCTAGGCATAGTAGGGAGGATATCAGGTGTGAGCGATATACTAGTATTCCTAGAAGTGAGATGGTAAATTCTAGTATAATATTTATGTAAATGAGAGGCATTTGGTAAATATGATTATCATAATTTAATGAGTCGAAATCATTCGTTTTGTTTGAACTATATACCAATTCGGCTCAGTCTAACCCTTTTTATAATCATTCGTAGGCCAGACTTAGGGCTAGGATGATGATTAATAAGAGGGACGATGTGACTATTAGTGGTAAGTTAGTTGTTTGTAGGGCTCATGGCAAGGGTAAAAGGAGTGAAGGGTATTAAGAATGACTTCCAGGCTGGGCGCGGTGGCTCACGCCTGTAATCCTAGCACTTTGGGAGGCCAAGACAGGCAGATCACGAGATCAGGAGATTGAGACCATCCTGGCTAACGTGGTGAAACCCCGTCTCTACTAAAAATACAAAAAAATTAGCCAGGCGTGGTGGCGGGCGCCTGTAGTCCCAGCTACTTGGGAGGCTGAGGCAGGAGAATGGTGTAAACCCGGGAGGCAGAGCTTGCAGTAAGCCAAGATCGTGCCACTCCAGCCTAGGCAACATGACTCCCAGATTTCGGGCCTGGAGGAAAGGAGGAAATAGGTGGCTGGAAGTGATATTTACTGAGCTGGGGAAGTGTGGGAGAGGAATGGGTTTGGGATGCAGGGATCAAGATTTCTGGTTTGGACACTGTTTAAGGAGTGCTGTGAGACATCCAAATGTCAACTTCCAGAAAATTTATGTCTGAATTAGAAAGCCAGAGGTGAGGTCTGGGTTGGAGATAATTGGAGAATCATAGGTATTTATGGAAAAAAGCCAAGGTAATAGATGAGATGACTCAAGAAGAAATTATAGTGTGAGAAGAGAGGATGGCTCAGGACTTGGTCCATTTAGGGGTGAGTTAGAAGAGGAGGAGTTGGCAAAGACAAGAAAGATTTGTTAGATAAATGGAAAAAGGCTGTTGGCTCTTGCCTGTAATCCCAGCATTTTGGGAGGCCAAGGCGGGAGAATTGCTTGAGGCCAGGAGTTTGAGGCTGCAGTGAGCTATGATTGTGCTACTGCACTGCAACCTGGGTAATAGAGCGAGACCTTGTCTCAAAAAAAAAAAAAAAAAAGGGAAGAAAATCAGGTCAATGTCATGTCACAGAATCCAAAAGAAGATGGTGTTTCAAAAGGAGGGAAGTATGAATTCTGCTGAGACACCAAGTAAGATGAGTACCAGGGGATGCCCATTGGAGGAAGCAGCATGGAGGACATCAGTGACCGTAGCAAAGTTGGTTTCGGTGGGTGGGGCACAGGACAGCCTGGAGAGGAGGTGGAGATCTTATGCTTTATACAGACCTGGTAGTCTCAGACATTAGTCTGTTGTCTTTTCTTTCCATTTAGAATTCATTCCTAGACTTATACTTGTTTGTGGTGTTCTTTCAGACTTATTTTTTAAATTAAAAACATTGTTTTTAGAGATGGGGTCTTCCTCTGTCATCTAGCCTTGAGTACAGTGGTGTGATCATAGCTCACTGCAGTCTCCAACTCCTGGGCTCAAGTGATCCGCCTGCCTCAGCCTCCCAAGTAGCTTGGACTACAGGCACATGCCACCATGCCTGGCTAATTTTTAAAACATTTTTTGTAGAGACAAGGTCTCGCTATGTTGCCTAAGTTGGTCTTGAAATCCTGACCTCAACAGTCCTCCCACCCCACCCTCTCAAAGTATTGGGATTACAGGCATGAGCCATCGTTCCCAGCCCAGCCTTGTTTTGATATTAATTAAGCATCTTAGAGCTTTGATATAGGGCCTATCAATATTAGAGCTAGAAAGGATGGGGCAACTGAAGCCCAGGGGTAATGTAGTTTGCCCAGGGTGACAACGAACTAGTGGCAAAGTTAGGACAAGACTAAATGCAACTTAGATTATGAACAGGGTCATGTAACTGTTTACTCATGTCTCTCTCCAGCTAAGGTATAAGCAGCTTGAGGACAGAGACTTGGATTGTACCTGTGTACATCTCCCATAGTACCTAGCCCAGGGTTACCTAGTTGTATTTTGAATGCATGAGGGCCCATGATTAGGTTCCCCATGGGTGATCCTAGTCAGTGCACTTAGTCCCAGGGGAACATAGTGTTTCATCTTTTTGTTCCCTGTAGGATACATACAACCCTTTCTCACCAGGGACTTTTCCTCTCCCTCATCTCCTTACTCCTAGATATCGATGATTCCTAATGGTGACCAGCTTATCTGGCTGCTAAGTTGCTGTGTCTGAGAGATGAGAGAGGGTGCTCTGCATTGCCACAGGGTGCTTCCCAGAACAGCAGCATTGATTGTGCCTTTGTTCTGCATGCAGTACTGAGACATCAGAGAAGAAAATGGCTGCTCATGGTGTCTCTAGTCAGTTGTCTCCAACCATGAGAGAGACTAAGACTGGCATTCAGTATTTTAGCACCACGGTTTCAGCCACCCACAACTACAGCCACAATCGGATGAGAATATTGATGTCCTGAGGGCCAGTGGCAGATACTCGACCAAATACCACACTGGGAGGCTGCCACAGGCCTGTTCGCTGGCTATCCATTAGGCATTCATTTCTGTTTCAAGACAATTCTTTAATCTCAAATTCTTTCTTTCCCTTTCCTTTTCTGTGACCACTGGTCCAGCGTTCTTGGCTGATTTTTCTTTTTCTTTTTGTTTTTTGAGACAGAGTCTTGCTCTGTTGCCCACGCTGGAATGCAGTGGCATGATCGTGGCTCACTGCAACCTTCACCTCCCAGGTTCACGCCATTCTCCCACCTCAGCCTACCGAGTAGCTGGGACTACAGGCACCCACCACCATGCCCGGCTAATTTTTTTTTATTTTTAGTAAAGACAGGGTTTCACCGTGTTAGCCAGGATGGTCTCGATCTCCTGACCTCGTAATCTGCCTGCCTTGGCCTCCCAGCACTTTGGCCACCGCGCCGGCCTTCTTTTTCTTTTTTTTGAATCATAACTTGGTGGTGTGCTATAAAGAAAAGCTAAAATATATTGGCAGTAATTTGAGGAATTAATTTTAGAAATTTGGATATAAAAATGTTGCTTTAAGGTCATTCTGTACACAGGTAACTCTTAATATTGCATCATTTACCTGAAATGCAGCCAAATCAGTTTTCTTTGTGACAGATTAGAGGGTTACAAAGTATTTTATGAACTAATGAGTGTTTGAGTGTCTATTGGGTATAGTAGCTCATTGTTAGGTGACCTATGAACTAACATAGGTTGTTTCATTGAAGCTTCCCAGAAGCCTCCTAAGGTTAGGTGTTCGTATTCCCATTTTGCTAATGGTGGAAAAGTCAGGGAAGTTAAAGAGCTTGCTCAAACTTCCAGAGGAAGTGGGCAGTGGGACCATCATTCCAAGGCCAGATATCCCACCCTAAGGTGACTGCTCTTCTCTTAACACAAGTCTGTATTTTGAAGAATTGTAGAATAACAAAGGATATGGATTGCAGTTTTGTTTAGGAATGTCTTAGAGCTTTGAATGGGCAACTCTGCTATTCAGAATTGAATCTGTTCTGTTTAGGAAGAAATGTTTATTTTGGAGTGCTTAAAGGAGGCGTATGTTATTTGCATGTTTTGAAGAAAAAGATTGCCAGCTACTGAAAGGAATTTGACTTGTAAATTGCTACATGGTTCCCTATGCCCTACCCTGAAAGCATTAGTTTATAATACTGGATTGATCAATGATCAGTTCTAAGTCTGTTACAGATTGGAGGTGAGCATCTATCTAGAGGGGAAAGTCACTTCCAGATAGGTCTGCAGAGAGCAGCTGAAAACTTTATTTGGAGAAGTGGAACTCTGCATACAGAAGATAAACATCGAAGCCACTAACCGTATAGCTGTGGATACAGATGCATAGAAGAGAGGGCCATTTTAATTCTGAGTTTCTTTAAACAATTTTTTTTTGTTTCTTTTTATTATTTTTTAAGAGATGGGGTCTCTGTTGCTTAGATTGGAGTGCAGCGACGTGATCGTAGCTTACTGTAGCCTCAAATTACTGGGCTCAAGCGATCCTCCTACCTCCGCCTCCTGAGTAGCTGGGACTATAGATGCATGCCACATTGCCTGGCTAATTTTTTTTTTTATTTGAGTTGTAGTCTTGCTCTGTCACCCAGGCTGGAATGCAGTGGTGCGATCTCAGCTCACTGCAACCTCCGTCTCCTGGGTTCAAGCAATTCTCCTGCTTCAGCCTCTCAAGTAGCTGGGATTACAGGGATGCGCCACCACGCTCAGCTAATTTTTGTATTTTTAGTAGCAACATGGATTCACCATGTTGGCCAGGCTGGTCTTGAACTCCTGACCTCAAGTGATCCCCCCTGCCTTCTCAGGCAGGGATTATAGATGTGAGCCACCATGCCCACCCCTGGCAAATTTTTTAATTTTACTTTTTTTTGTGGAGATGGGATCTCACTATGTTGCCCAGGCTGGTCTTGAATTCCTGGCCTCAAGCGATCCTCCCATCTTGGCCTCCCAAAGTGCTGTGATTACAGGCGAGAGTCACCACACCTGGCCAATTCGGAGTTTCTTAAACTATGATTCTGTTATGTAAGCTTGTGGGTGAGTCTCTTCCATTTTTCTATGTGTTTAAAACTGTGAGCTTTAAATAGAAGGGTTTAACATTTATAGGTCACTCATACTCCACAGAGATCCACATCCACCAGGCCTCTCATTCTAATAGGAATGATACCCTCCTGTTAACATTTGAGTGGCATGTTCAGCTGGTAAATAAATTTTTTTTTATGATTGCATAATATGTTTTATAATTTGGAAAACAGAAAAGTATAAAGAAGAAAAATATACCTGTAATCTTTCTGCTCACTTAAAAACGCTGTGAATGTGCATTTGTGTGAATGTTTATGTATGTATATATATTTGGGATCATATTATAGATATTTTTGGTCAGTTGCTTCTTTCATTTCATGTATAGTGAATATTTTCACATCAGTAAAATATTTTACCTCATGATTTTTTGTTTTGTTTTTTGAGACAGGGTCTCACTGTGTCACCTATGCAGGATTCAGTAGTGCCATCTTGGCTCACTGCAGCCTCTATCTTCTGGGCTCAGATGATCCTCCTACCTCAGCCTCCTGAGTAGCTGGGACTACAGGCATGCGCCACCACACCCGGCTAATTTTTGTATTTTTTGTAGAGACTGGGTTTTGCCATATTGCGCAGGCTGGTCTTGAACTCCTGGGTTCAAGCAGTCCACCCACCTCAGCCTCCCAAAGTTCTGGGACTGTAGGCATGAGCCACTGCAGCTGGCTTACCACACGATTTTGAATGGTGGGAGATATATAAATTATTCCATTGAACAAAAAAGCCATATTTAATTTAGCCAATCCCTTTCTACGGTAACCATCCTCACAGAAGAGGCTTTGTGAGCCCACCTTTTCTAAATGCTCCGTATTAATGCTGTCAGTTGGACACAAAAGTGTCAGGGAGCTGTACTGGGTAGTTCTTGCTAAATATACTCAGGATCTCCATGCCCATTGAGATCAGGAATAGATCCAGTCACCTGTTAAAAAAGTAAATAGAAATCATCACCTAGATAGAATTGATCCATTGAAGCTAAAAAATCAAGCCCTTCAAGTTACTTGAGACAGCCAGAAGGAAAATGTTATGTTATAGGGCTTTGTAGCCACCATTCTCACAGCTTAGTGCAATGGTGTAGGAAATATTTTCACAGAAATATTTCTCTTTTAGAGAGTTTTTTCGGATAAAGAAGGCTTGTTTAATTCAGGAAGAGTTATTTCATAGGAAATTAAATCTTTGTAAATCCTCTATCACATTTCCACACTTGCTAGTTCTGTGGCAAATGATGGCTTTCGAGTGGTTCAGGAAGGGTTTCCTGAAAGCAAACAATTCCATGTTTTATACATATTTGTGTTTTTATTTTTGAATTGGATAAGTAAGGGACATGTACTTTCCCCTTTGTATTTGTCTCTGGGTGATATTGCTGGTTCTCAAACTCAGAATGGTAATTAATTACTTATAATGATTTTAAAAAAAAAAATTTCACTTGGTGAAAATGTTTTCTTGGGCCCGATGAATGACCCCAAAGAACTTTTACAACACAACCAGTAATGTTGGGCAGGTGCTGGAGAGTGGCTGCTGCTTAGAGATCAGTAATTGTTACATCATGGTTTGGTATGCTCCGTGGTGTCTAATCAGGTCGTGTGCTTGGGAACCATGAAATAATTCTCTTTTCAAGTCTTAGTGCATCATTTTTTCTGACATTGATCAAAGATTGGAAAACTAGTATTATATTTGTAGCCACGGTATTCATAACTGTCTTACATTCTTAATCTTTCGGCTTTTTGGTTGAAATACATCTATGCCTCTTAAATATTGAAGGCATAATATCCTTTAACCTACAACTGCAGAGTTAAAATGAATTTTATGTGAAATATTTAGTTGTGGACCACATCTTCAGCTTTTTATATGCCACAGTGGTCTTGTTTTTTTCCCTTCCATTGTCTGATAGTGAGGTCATTTTCAGTCCTCTGAGAAATTCTATTCCCAGCCAGATGCGGCTCATATATTAAAAGTAGCACCTGTGGCTAATATCACAGCAGCTTACCATAAATTTACATGGTAACTAGGATTATATCTGTCAAGACTGTTAAAAAACATCTAGATTTAATTTGATTTCCAGTATTGTAGAAGCTATCCAACATTTTGCTTCATAACTATATTTTAAAAGTTAAAAATCACTCCATTGTTAAGTTTTATAGCACTCCTAGTGCCCATTAAGTTGATTTGTTCAATGGAGGTCAGAGTAAAGCAACTTGGCTACATTAAGATCGGAAACCAACCCATTTGTGACAAATTTAGTCCTTTCGTGTGAATCTTCTCAATGTTTCTGCACTGATTGGATTCAGGTGTAGCTTATGTCAGTAGCATTTAACCTCAAAAGAATGAGCAATCTGATTGGGTTGTTGTAAATTATGAAGCATTTTGCTTTTGCTGGTTTAAATGTAACTGTTGACTCTGCTGCCCGTGCCTGACTGCGCCACTGCATCTGCCTAAACAGGAGTGGTTTGGGTTTGAAGACATCTTAGAAAATTGGGTACATGCCCTCATCCCTTTCCCTCCTTTATGTGACCTTCCTAAACTCCTTTATTCCCCATTATCCTTTGAGTCATCTCCCACATGTTACGATTTGCACACCTGCAGTTATAAAATTATTTTGGGGTGTCATTATATCATGTTGTTCACCAACTTTCCAGCATTTATGAATGCAATAATGATTCACTGTAAATCAAAATAATTTACAAGTTACAGAGAATCTGCTCCTACAAATAAGAATTGAATGATGAATTTCTTTGGTGTCCTCTCATTTGACAAAGAAACTGATAACATATTTCTTTGTATTTGTAAAATTTAGCTAGCAGTCCAGAATGGAATTAAAAGTATAAGTTCAACTTTCTGGAAATTTTGTGTTTTAAAACATGTTAAAAAATATAAACCAGTTAAGAAATAAGCAAAGTCTGTTTCCTCATTAATAGTTGCAATTGGCTTGGCAGTCATCTTGCTCCTGAATGAGACAGTTGTCATGTTAAGTGTTGGCGCCGAGGCTAGGGCAGCGTGCGTAGCCCTGAGTGGAAATGCCTGCTTTAAGCTGGAACTCAGTGTGGAGGTTCTTTCTGCTCTGTTGATCTTTCTGGAGGGAAGTTGTAAGCTTCTTTGGCCTGGGTCTCACTAAGGAAGTGGAACGGCAGCCAAGAATTATTATGCTGAAAATGTTGTGGTGATAGAAAAAAGATGATTAGAAGTGAGGCTAAAATTATAATTTAATATGTTACCAAGTGTAATTAGTCACTTAACAGTATAAGAAAATACCATTAATAACTGATGTGGAACCTTGTAAAATATTTCTTGGCGAATTTTAATGTCTTTTTTGTGTACTTAGGATCAGTTGAGCCCCGTGGGTAACTTGGGTGCCCTGTTTGTGACCCTGGCTTGCTGTGCAGGTTCCCCTTGGACATCTGTGGAGAGGAAGAGTAAGAAGGAGATGGCTGTGCCCAGCCCCGGCCTCTCACACAGCCTTCTGGATTGTTTTACCTCTGCTCCTTCACTCCTTAATAGCTCTCTGTGGTTAACCTTTCTGTCCTCCTCAGTCGCACTGGACGCTCCTTGAGGAACGGGAGCTGTGACCAGGGCCAGAGCCCAGGAAGGTGCTGGGTACAGAGCAGCAGATTGGTAACTGTTTATATCACATGCTTTCAGGAACAGACTGTTGGGAAGATTCTGGGATTTCCAGACATGTTAAAGGTTTCAGATCCTGTGTGGAAAGCAGAAACGTAAGAAACTGATAACTTGTTTTGCTGACCATGATCCTTTTTCTCTTCAGGTCATCCATTGCAGTATGATTTTGTTTCTAAAGGTATCAGTTAATGTTCTGAAGGGGACAGGATTCATGACATGCTGGTGATAAGGCTGCTTGCCAGGTAGCTACCTTTAAGATCCCCGAATTTAGCCTAAAAGGGCCCAGGAGCTGCATCTGTCCAGTGGCCAAAGACAGAACCTTAGAAGGTTGATTTTGAGAATAGAAGACCTGCTTGTTTTCAGGGAGAAGCATTATTTCTCTCTTCAACTCAGAGATGAGTTAAATCCTAAAATGATCATTGAAGTGCACATTGCCAGATTTTGTCACTCATTAGTGCCCTATTACCTTAGGTATAGGAAAAATGGCTATAATTTAAAACCAAATGAGCCAATTTTATAGCACTAAATAGGTATAAACTACTTCTGTGTGCATTGACTTAAAAGGCAATGTTTAGCTTGGTTCTTTCATAATTAACATTCCATGTTGAAAAATAAAAACTGGTATTGACTTTATTTTTATTTAGAATTTCGTTTTAAGCTATGTAAAATAGTATTGCATATTTGTTTTTTCAGATTTCAGATTATAATACATAAGTAAAGCATTTATTTCTTCTAATGAAATCCTTATTTAGCAAATTTTGGCTATTATAATAATATGGTTACTATTGGATGAACAGATATATCCATTTTACATGAAAATATTTTTTTCATTCCATCTACAGATATTTCTTTTTAAAATACATGCAACTTTTCCCTTACTAAAAAAGATGAATTTTATTTGAGAAATCAGTTACTTTGGTATTCTGAGACTAGGTTATAAATCTAATATTGCAGTGTTTTAGGACTATAATTAAGAATAGGTTCTGCTGGTAAATGTTGGAAAGAGGCAAAGAAGAAAGTTACAATACATTGCCTATTTACCAATTAACCATTACCTGCCAAAAGCACATCAGACTCACACAGCGGACATCCGCTAATCCAGTGGTTAGCTGTTCCGGGCTCTAATGCACACTGTTTTACACGTTAACGGTTTTGAAGTTCCAGGCCAAAGCTGACCTTTCACATGTGCTCCGTTCACAGTAGGAATCTCCACTCACTGCTTCCTGTCAGAATGGATTATGGTGACACAGCCCAGGGCCCACTTTGGCTGCAATTAAGTTTTTGATCAGAATTATTTCGTTCACAAACAATCACATTTGTTAAAATGTTACATCTGCCCTGAGAACCACTGGCAGACTCTCAGTTTATCAGTCTGATGCAAGCGTAAGTCTTCATTTGTTTTTCATAAAATGGCAAACCATCTTATACATGTTATTTAATTTTATTTTTTTCTTTTGTTGGTTTCTGCCTTTCATTTCATTGGGCTTGGAAGGAAACTGTGTCTTGAAATTAGTCTGAAGCCGCTTGAAGACTTTGGGAATTTGAATGGAATTGCTTTTGGTGCAGAACAAAATTATCCAGTTGGGAGCCAAGACTCAAATATTATTTCCAAAAATTGTTAGTGGTGGTTCTGTTTCTCACACGAGGAAACGTTTTAGCCTTGTGAGTGTGGGGCTTGAAGCTCTGCTTCTTGGTCTGCAGTGCCTGTAGCTGCCATGCCTACGATGTCGCTGCCTTTTGGTATTTATCATAAGGCATGTCTCCAGATCCGTCATTGTTGCCATCGACTTTGGTGCCAGAAGTGAAACCAGTCCTGCTTCAGTAGACTTGCCTCTCATGCCTCTTTGCCTCCCTTTTAGAAGTCATTTTCTCACTAAGGAACAGCAGCAGAGACACTGAAGGAACCTTTTCTCTGAATGACCATTTTTTGTTTATAAAATGATGTGGGTATTGATGGAACTTCTGAATTTTATAGCTGATTTTCACCATATGACGAGGGTGTCCTCTCACCCTTTTGTGACCTTCCTATTCTGGAGAAGAGTCTGTGTGCTTGGGAGCTTTATGTGTTGGGTGGGGTACTTTGGGAACACAGGATTAGAGTTTGGATTAGAGTTTGACTTAGAATGGAAATTAACCTTTGACTTAATTGTGTGTGAGAGTGGAGAAGGGGGAGGGGATAGAGTTAGGAGGCTGTGAAGTTAGGAATGCTTGAATGCTGTCTGAGAGGTTTAGAAATTTTAATTACTTTAAAAAATATATACTTAGAATACTGTTAAAGGAATTTTTACCAGGTTTTAAAATATTGCATTAAAACTCAAACTATTTCCCATTTGTTTTGACGTAACCAAACTCATTTATTACTAACTCATAAAGTTACAAGGGGCAAAAGAAAGGTGTTGTACAAAAAACCATTTTAGCCATAATTTTTTAAGCTTTTAAATAAAGCAGGGCCTAGCTGCACATCTAAAATCCAAAGACTTTACTTAAATGGGATAATGTAAGTACTGGTTATATTAATATAGCCTTCATATTGTCAGATTTGTGAGCACGCATAAATCTGTTTTCTTAAATGTATTATTATAATTGTTTTTTACTCTTTTAAAAATCATGTTTGGAATATACCTGACTATACTTACTATTTAAAGGAAATATATTTAAAGAAAATATTGAATAGTATATTTTGAAAGAAAACCCCAACATGTAACCTTCCAAAAATAGACATTCCTAAGGTACTGTCATCATTCAGTACCGTCCTGTCTTCTTAAAAAGTGGTACACAGACAGAAGGTGCAGAATTTGTATCTTATTACAAGCTCATGTTAATGTAGTCATTTTTTATTTTCAGGTTTTGATGTTTTGTTGTTTTTTTTTTTTTGAGATTCTGAAGTTTTTAGAAGTTTGTATTTATAACTTTTTAAGCCCATGTAATGCATATGGGGCATCTGCTGGGCCATAGGAGGAATCTTCACTTTTGGAGGGTGTTTTTAGGGAAATCGGAAGCAGTCAGGAGAAAGAATGGTGCATAGTGCCCCTGTCTGTTCAAAAAAACCAGAGGCTCCTAAAATCCTGTGTAGCATCTACCATGTACAGACAACCTCCATTCTTAAAACTTTAAATGCATCTAAGGAAGGGACAGCCTTCTGCCTGCAATGAGCAACAGCTTCACATGAGACACCCAAGAAGGTTCAAAAATACTCTTTCTGGAAAGGCTGATACAGACATCTGTGACTTGGGGTCTGCCTCACAGTATATGAAACTGAAAGATAGATTGGACACTTAACTACCTTAAAGTTTTACTAGAGCTTGTAAAGACACTTCCGAGGTCCCAAAGAGGTCCTTTATGCCAGACAGAGCCCTCTAGATTCTTTCCCAACCACCATGAAAAACCAGCCCTCTCTTCCTAAACAATGTAATTGCTGGCATAAGGAGACCCCCACTCTGTAATAAGAAATTTTTTTTTTTTTTTAAATCACCAGGAACATGGCACTTTTTTCCTTATGTTGGCCATCAGGTCACACAGCGGGAAGAACACCTATCATTGGTCCACCCACTTCTTCCCATTATGGGAAGGCTGAGGCTGAGAGGGAGAAGTAACTCTCCCAGGCGAAAGAGCTAGACCTGCACCCAGGTACACCTTCCTTTCTCTATCTGTGGACTTCTGGTGTCACAGGACTATTTGAGTAATTTTCCATTATACTCTGCATGGCCCAGAGAGATTTAAAGTTAAAGCAGAGTACCACTTTTGTAAATAAAATGAAATCAAACTCTAACAATTGTAAGGCATGATTTTCCAAGCCTCCGGGGTTTAGGGCAAGTAACTGCTGCCGTCCCTGCCGGCTCCAACCCTGTTGGTCTCCTGAGGCCTGGTTCTCTGGGTTGTACATTTCTTTTAGAACCACCCCAGTTTATTTCTGACCTTGTGCCCACATCCCATAGTCATGGTGCAGCATATATATTTTTTTTTTTAATAACCCTGGATGTGCAGGTGGTCATATTTCCTAAGGTTTCAATAAAGAATGTATCTCAGAACACCAGGGTAGGAATGGCTCTTAAGTTTGCACTGGGTGCTTGAGGTAAGATTAGGCAGACCCAGAGGGTAGTGGAGACTTTGACCTTATCATGAAACTCTTTAAATATCATAATTTTGAAAACATAAGATATGAGGTATTTCAGAGCAGTACTCTATTCTCTAGGCACTAAAGATAGAAGTGAATGAAGCTCTTTTTTCCTGACTTCTCAGCCTCCTCACAATCCCTTGGTGAGTGGCCCTCTTTTGGACAAGTGCAGGGGCTGAGTGTGGAGGTTGAGTGTCATGTCCACAGACACATGTGACAGGAAGAAGTATTTTGAGCATAAGAACTTGGTTCCTGGCCGGGCATGGTGGTTCACGCCTGTAATCCCAGCACTTTGGAAGGCCGAGGAAGGTGGATCATGAGGTCGAGACCATCCTGGCCAACACGGTGAAATCCCGTCTCTACTAAAAGTACAAAAATTAGCGTGGTGGCGCATGCCTGTAATCCCAGCTACTCCGGAGGCTGAGGCAGGAGAATCGCTTGAACCAGGGAGTTGGAGGTTGCAGTGAGCCAAGATCACGCCACTGCACTCGAGCCTGGGCAATAGAGCGAGAGTCCATCTCAAGGAAAAAAAAAAAAAAAAAAAAAAGAACTTGGTTCCTGAGAAGTCTACTTTGAGGATCTTTCCACAGCACACACTGCCTGCACCTTGGAGGATTTGATGATGATATCCTTGCCATTTCAGTTTTGGTAGGTAGATTATTTGTTCTGACAGGTTTAATTGTCATTGTTTTGGCACACTAGACTGTTAATACCTGAATTAATTGGTTGCTTTAATAGGTGTTCAGCTAAAAGAGGACTTCATCATATTATCTAATGTTTCCACTGGGAGTTGAAAAAAGGGATTTTAAAAAACTTTTTCATTTATTCCATAAATCCCCAAGTATAGAATTGCTCTTCTAATTTTGCCCCTGAAACTGCAATGTATGTTGATAGAGAGTTCAAAGATCTTTATATTCAGAAGGCCTGGCTTTTAAAAGATATATTTGGTATACATGTCTCTCTTCTACATGAAACCATAAAATGGTTTCTAAAAGAGACAGTTACTCGCTGTATGTGAGACTGTGAAGCTTCTAAAAATAAGTAAAGAAAACCATGGTGCCACATGGAGAATGAGTCGGATGTTTTAATAGTATTTAGTGATTCAGGATACACAATTAAATGAATATTATAACAGTTTTGGAAAAAAGGGCACAGGGAAAAAAACTACGTAATAATTTTTTCTTTTTCTAAAACCTGTTATACTTTATCTCTTGTAATTAAATTTAAAAAATAAGATTATGGGGGCTGGGTGTGGTGGCTCACGCCTGTAATCCCAGCACTTTGGGAGGCCGGGGCGGGTGGATCACGAGGTCAGGAGATTGAGACCATCCTGGCTAACACGGTGAAAGCCCGTCTCTACTAAAAAAGTACCAAAAAAAAAAAAAAGTTAGCCGGGCGTGGTGGCGGGTGCCTGTAGTCCCAGCTACTTGGGGGGGCTGAGGCAGGAGAATGGCGTGAACCCGGGAGGCGGAGCTTGCAGTGAGCCAAGATCATGCCACTGCACTCCAGCCTGGGCAATAGAGCAAGGCTCTGTCTCAAAAAAAAAAAAAAAAAAAAGATTGTAGGAAACTTATTTTTGCTAAAATTTACTTTTAAGTAAAAGAAAAAAAAAATGGAAAAAGTATAATCTGACATCAGGGATTTGTACCTAAAGATGCACACATGGAGGCTTTGGAGCTGGACATAGGGGACTTGAATTTGCATCCCAGCCTCACTTTTTATGAGGTGCGTGACTTTGGGCAAGTGATTTAACCCCTCAGAGCCTCAGTTCTCTTCTCTGTAAAATAGGAATGATAAACCTGTTCACAGGGCTGCAGTAAGTACCTGGTCCAGAGTAGTTATTTTATAAATGCTCATTATATTTTCCCCTCCTCTTCTTCATCCTAGAACTGAATGATGAGAATCAGTGGTCAGAGTAATGACTCTGAGATACACTCAGATCCATAGTCAGCAAGAATCAAGTTATGTTCAGAAGGTACTACTTGATCAGAAAAGAGGCTATTCAGGTATTGCCATTGAGATGATGAAAATAAAAAAGTAATTTATGATTAATACCAAAATAGAAGGTAATCAGAGATATCCTGTTCCTTGTGTATACTAGATGATAATATTATTAGTTTTAAATTTGAACATTACTGTGTATGTGAGGGCACTGTGCTGTGTGATTGGTTCATATCATCTCATCTTACCTAGATGGGAAATGCAGCCCAGCCAAGTCATACAGCCTGCTTAAGGTCTGGGTTGAGAGCCCAGGTTTTGGATTCCTGGTCTGATGCTCTTTCCATCATATTGCATTGTTTCTGATAAAGTAAATGTATTTTTAAAATGTCTTATTCCTTTGCAAATCAAATACATAAATAAAGTAACTATCATTTATTAATTTCCTTATTGATGGACATTTAGAGTCTTTCTCATGGTTTTAGTACGGTCAGTTCTGTAACAAGCATCCTATGTCTCCTTGTGCATAAGTGTAAGAGTTTCCATACAGCATAAATCTAGAAATGGAATTGCTGGGATAACTTCTGGTACATGGATTAATAAAAATGAAAAACCAGGATTATGAGAAGGTCTGGGCTTGATGACATTCACATTATAGCCCAGGGACAGGCTGTTTGTCATCAGAAAACCCCTTCCATTCATGAGGCCATAGAAATCCATGGTGACCGAAGCACTTGTGACTTCGGAGCAGTGTGATCTGATTTTGAAGTGGTTTTGAAAACTGGGGACGGTATACATAAGGTGCAAAGATCACGGAAACATGAATTAGCAAGTGGGGCCTCAGTCTAGGTTACGAGTGCTTTAGGACAAAAAATAATCACTTTTAAGGAAAAGTCACTGTTGATAGCACTCAGAATGCCACCAGTATTGCAGATTTGTAATCTATTACTTTAAACTTTTACAAATGCTCATGGTGTAAAGTTCAGACCCAAGTTACTGAATGTCTGTTGCCTGAAAAGGATACTTCAAAATTATATTTTCCCTTTAATTTCCTGAATCAAAAGGCTCCAGGTTGTGACAGAAATGTCACTACTTGCTGTCTCCATTCCTGTACAGAGACCCACAAGAGACTGAAAAATGGTGTTGGTCAAGTTGTCTTGGGTTCTGTGCCTTCTGGGACCGGTAGGAATGCAGTGTGGACTGCAGTGGAGCTGGGGTTGGGGAGCAAATGCCTGGTCTGCTAGTACTGTCTCATCCACTTGTGTTTTAGTAATCTCATTGCTTTCAGTGGAGGGATCCTATTTTACACTGATCTTTATGAGCAAAGATAATTATATATATTTGCCTGGGTAAGCAAATTAATAAACTTGTAACAAAGTGTATCAGACCATTTCTTTGGCAAGACCTACTAGAACAGTTTGTGAAGCAGAGCTGCTTCCAATGGAGCATGAAAAGCTTTGAAAATTCTCAGCAACAGCAGAAAGCAACATTTGAAACCACCCTTAAAAAATTGTTTTCCTCTTCCCCAACCAAGTTTATAAAAATTTGGTCAGACAGGCGTTTTGTTTTGATTTAAAATATTTTCAGTGAATTGTTATCTGCCGAATGCACATGTGTTCCTGCACTTTTTCTTTCATGATTGAAACTTTAAACCCTTCCCTTAAGTTCCCCTAAAAACCTCCCTGTGCCTAGTAAGGTTTTGCATGTGTGAGGAGGGTGAAGGTATTTGGACCTTGGAGAAACTTTGCAATTTGAAATCTGCCTATGCAGTTGTACACCAGAAATGAACATGGTCAATGCCATATTGTGCTCTTTGTCTTTTTCTTCTACCAAGATTCCTCACCCCTAGGAGACGTTGGTTAATATAGGCATTTCGGTTTGGTTAATCTGATCATGAGTGCCCGTGAGCATGGCATGAGGCATGATTGAAGCAGTTATAAAAATTTGGCTCAGAGTTAAGCCCTATAATTTGTTTTAAAGAATTACCTCTTCAGTGACATTAAAAAAAAAAACACAACAACCCAAAAACAACAACCAAAAGACTGTGGTTTATAACACCACACCTGGTCCAGATTGTACTGGATGAATCCATATTTGCTTTGCCATAAATGATTTTGAGGGTGGAATTCTTGGACTGTTTTCTATCTTATAAACCCTTGACATTGTACTGGTACCTGTATGCTCACAAACCTCCTGACATGGGAAAGACCGGCTCAGCCTCCCACTGAAATGTAGGTTGGCTGCATTTATTCTGCATGTTCCTAGAATGAGGAAATGATATGACAATAAACAGAAATGCCCTTGCTGAAGAGAGAAGGGAAGCTGGTGTTTATCTGGTCAGGTGGTTTAGATTAGCTGTGATGCAGCTTTGTATTATGTTACTTTAAATCATTGTGTCCCAACAGGACATAAATTATGAAGATTGTTACAGTATGTTTCATCCTATGTAAGATCAACAAATTGGAATAATTTTTTATAGGAAAATCACAGTGCTTTTGGCAAGGCTATTGAAGCCTTTAATTTGACTTGAGTATGTCTCAAATATTATTGCTTAATATATAAAGTATGATTTGCATAAGGTATGAAATAATAAACTTGTAAAAACAAAAGGGAAGAATTTCCCTGTAGCAGTTGCATCAAATGGCAGTGCACTCCTCCTCCAGCAGTGTGCTTTTTTTGCCCTGATGGTTTAGAGCCAGTTGCATGACTTTCCTCTGATGGGATTGCAAATGAGCTGAGCAGTCTTTGCAGAGATGGAGCTTTGCTGTGTGCTGCGTGCCTGTCAACCCTACCTGCACAGAGAAGGTGATTGCTCCGTGGCAGAACAGAATGGGAGCCTGCTCTGAGGAGGAGAAAACAAATGATCTTGTTTATATACACTCAGGAAAACAAACCATTTTTCTTTCTTTCAGGATATTGTGAATTACTTATATAAAAAAAGCCAACCTCTCCAGAAACTTCCTAGATCAACAGCTGAAGTTAAGATAATTTATATAGAAATGCGGAAAAATTTGACTTAAGAATTTATTATTTTAAATGTTTTCTCTCTTCATTGCTATTTTCTGAATTACTAGCATAATTTGTGAATTTTTGACACAGAGACTTAAAATTTTTCATTTATATTCAAGATTCAGCTAAGTTTGGCTACACAGAACAAATTTTCTAGATTTTAAAAAAGTGGCATAAAATTACTTTATGTATGATTCCAGCAAATTGGAACCGCTTCAGTGTCCCAAAGAAGCACATTTTCTGCGCAAAGCACTGTGCATTTTTGTGAGACCTCCTCACACCCAGTAGTGATGTTAAGAAGTAACAGAGCCTCAGATTTACAGAGTAGTAGAGGCAAGAGAGGTTTAGGATTTGCTGAAGGCCATAGAATGAGACATAGCTAGGATTAGCATTTTTCAGGATATAAGGATACCACCCACCAGACTTTGTCTTTGATACCAAAAATAGGGTTTAAGTGCTAAGCTTACTTTCCTTTCTTTGTGGCTATAAGCCCTGGTATTTTTCTTTAACAAATAATTAAAATTATTATTAAATAAATAAATATACTTAAATAAGATTGTTTAAAACAAAAACAAAAAATCCCTACTTTCCATCTATAAGGGTAGGAATGTTTCTCTCCTTAAGCCTACCCTTATAGGTTGGGTAGGCTTAAGGAGAGAAAAATAACAGGTTAAGGATAAATCCTGAATATATTTGTGGTTTCCTTCAGCTCGATGTCTGAAGATTCTCACAGGTTCAGGGACTATTCCAAGTTTGCAACCTGTGTGTGGATTTTGAAACAAATACAGACAACTTATGAGACGGTTTCTTTGCTGGGCTTCTTGCTTGACACAGTTTTCTGAAACATGGCTCTGGCAGGCTTTTTTCTTCCATGGACACATTGCTGCCGTTTATCACTGAAGTTCCTCTGTGGAGTTACCAGGAGCTAATATTTGGATGATGTACTTTTCTTGCAGAAAATATTAGCAAATGTTGCAGAAACTGTGCTTTAAAAACTTTTAAAAGGGGAATGGATTCCCAGTTTAAAAATAAGCAAAAGAAAGGATAAACATGATTTCATTGATGGTGTGCAACTGCTTTAGAACATCAGATATTTTGTGATGTGAAATGGGATGATACTCTATTTTACAAAATGTGTACTGCTTATAGAAAATGTATTTACTGTACCACTAAGCCAAACTTAGGTGTTGCTTTGTTTCCTTAAAATATTTTTTGAGTCGCTGTGGCTGCCCCACAGATGATGGGGGAGTAGGCATTCTTTCTGCCCAGAGCACTTGTTCTCTTCCTCCACCCTTTTGGTTGTTATTGTAGCATCTTGACTTTCAGCTTAACACATCCCAACTTAAGCAGAAGCCCTTTTGCCTTCTCTCTCTTTAAAACTAGATCCATAGAAATTATTTTTATTACAGTAATAGGGCAAGATAGTTTTATGTCATATATAAACTGGAATTATGTAGTGTTAGTAGTAGTTATGTCTCCTGAAAGGAACCAGTTGATTATAAAGAAGAAAAGTTAGGGAGTAGACTGTCATTTTGCATGCTATTAAAAAAAAAAATTTTTTTTTTTTTTGAGATGGAGTTTTGCTCTTGTTGCCCAGGCTGGAGTGCCATAGTGCGATAATGGCTCATTGCAATCCCTGCCTCCTGGGTTCAAGCGATTATCCTGCCTCAGCCTCCCGAGTAGCTGGGATTACAGGCATGTGCCACCACACTTGGCTAATTTTGTGTTTTTAGTAGAGACGGGGTTTACTCCATGTTGGTCAGGCTGGTCTCAAACCCCTGACCTCAGGTAATCTGCCTGCCTTGGTCTCCCAAAGTGCTGGGGTTACAGCCATCGCGCCCGGCCTCAATTTTTTTTTTTTTTTTTTTTTTGAGACGGAGTCTCGCTCTGTCACCCAGGCTGGAGTGCAGTGGCGCAGTCTTGGCTCACTGCAAGCTCCTGGGTTCATGCCATTCTCCTGCCTCAGCCTCCCGAGTAGGTGGCACTACAGGTGCCCACTACCACGCCTGGCTAATTTTTTGTATTTTTAGTAGAGACAGGGTTTCACCATGTTAGCCAGGATTGTCTTGATCTCCTGACCTTATGATCCACCCGCCTCGGCCTCCCAAAGTGCTGAGATTACAGATGTGAGCCACCGCGCTCGGCCCCCTGACCTCAATTTTTAAAAATATATTTGGGCAGGTACTTTGTGTATCTTAGTGGTTCGGAAGCACAAAGTTGAAGCCTATGAAGTCGTTTTTTTTTTATATAAAGTAGAATTTCTTATAATTTTATAATGATGACAGTACCAAGGAGCTTAAATACAATTTTTAAAAGGATTGCTAAAACAAAACTAACTAAACTTTGGTAATCTTTGCAATACCTCTCACCTCATAAGACTCTGAAAGCCAACAAATAAGGATTATCAGCAGATTAGGGAAGAAAACCTCCAACAGGACTTTTCTGAGGCAGCTGATTGGCAATAATGAACAGCCCCAGTGAATTGCAAAGCATCACAAGTTATTTTGACACCAGGGAACTCTGGTAAGGGGCTTCTCTTGGGGTGGTTTTAAAACCAGTGCTTCTGTTTGCTTTAGGAGAAAAGAATGGGTAGAAAACTGGTGAAATGTGCTAATTCAAAACTGAAAGATTGTGAGAAATTTAAGAAAGAGCTAATCAGACTGGGCAATTGGTCTGCCCAATAGTAGCTGATGAAGATATGGCGAAATGAATTTAAACTTAGGTGCAGAGGAATTTGGAAACCGGTAGTGTCTCTTCAGGGAAAAGATACTCATAGCTAGTGATCACCTTGGCCAGAATGTCTTTTTGGTATACATCAGCTGTGTGAACTCTATCTAGTTAGAGAACTTTCACTAAAAATGAAACAGAAATGAAGGGCCTTTTGGTAAAATCGTGTGTAGAGTTTTTTTTTGTGGATGTAAACCCTGCCACCTGGAGAATAGTGGATTTATATTAATATACTCCTATCTAAGAGGAGTTTTCCTAGCCTGGGAATTCAGTAGAAATTTACTGATGTATTGAAAGTCCTAATTCTGCAAAAGAAAGTTGTTTTGCACCTTGCTTTTCATTTAACAGTATATGTTGAAGATGGTACCATGTCATTAGCTAAAGAGTTGCCATATTTTTTCAATTGGCTGTGTAGGCTATTATGGCAATTGCCAAGAATAGTGACTTGAAGCTTTTTTTTTTTTTTTTAAAAGGCTCTAAAATGCTACAGTATGAAAACAGCTTTTGAAAGCAGTGTTTAGAAGTGAGCATGCTATCTCACAGGTGTTGACCTGTTCAGTGACATTTAAAAAATGTACTTATTACCATGAGCTAAGGGGGACTCATTTCGTCTGGGGCCTGGAAGAGCAGGCAGCTTTTTCAGTAGCTTGTGGATGTTGTCTTCAGTGCCTGGAGAAGCCAGTTTTAATTTCATAGTTGGATATTCTTGGCCTGAGTTATTGGAAATGTTGAGCTCTGTGGCGGATCAAGTAGATGGCAAGTAGACTAGTGGCTTAGGATTGGTGGGAGTTGTGTCTGCCCCCAGACACACAAGGGACTGCACAGGGAATGGTCCTCAAGCAGGCCTTTAGCCCCACTTCCTCAGGGAGACATGAGTCACCTGCTTGGCTGAGATGCTCGCTGACAGATTGCCAGTTCCGCAAGGAAATCTTCCCGTGCCGACACCCACTCAGAGAAACAGTGCTAAAGATGTTTCTGGTTTTCTGAGCCTTGTAAAGGTGAATTTCTTTGGCCTTCAAATTGGTCTTCTGCTAGGTTTGGAAAGGAATTCTTCCTTTCCAGGCCACAGACACTATAATATCAAAGTGTTATTGATGATGATAATAATCACTAGCATTAACTGAGTTCTTAATAGAGTGCCAGGCATACTGTAAAGTATATTACATGAATTAGCTCCTTTTACGTATGGGGAAACTGAAACTCGTTTCAAAAGTTAAGTAACTTTTCTGAGGTCATATAGCTAGTGAATAGCAGAGCTAGGAACTGAACTTAGTTGACCAGTGTGCTAAAAATATGTCTGACAGTCCAGAGAAAAAAAGCATGGATTAAATACATCTTTGGTTGGATCTGTTCCTCACAGTTTAGTTGAGAATATTCTTGTGTTGCCTACAATTAAAATCTGACGTTTCCTTTGCAGCGGCTAGAACAGTTAACAGTGTTCCACGTGAAAGTCTTGGTGAGACATGTAATCATGTTCTGTGGCAAAGAATGCCTTTACTTGGTGCACTAGACAGTGTTTATGTGATTGATAAGTCACCAACACCAGGGGAAGGTCCTGTCCTGTGACATGTGCGTGCTTGGCAATGATCTTGCCTTGCATTTTGCTTAATAATTTTCATTATTTTTAATTAAAGTTGAAGAAGTGCAGACTCTAGCTGAAATTAAGGTAGGTTGTGTTGCCGGAATCTGGTAATTACTTTAATTGATCACAAGATAGTTTCCTTGATCACCAATTAGAGTAAATTGCTGATCATGTTTCAAGACGTGAAGAAATGCCCAAACTGATTTATGTAATAGTGTTTTCATTTGTAATCAGACATAAATATCATTTCCTTCCATAGCAATTGTGTTTTATAAAAGAAGGGTTATAGGCCTACAAACATAATGGTGATTCATAAACAATAGATGTCTAATTCATTGAATTAGTAAAGGAAGTATTTAGAGGCTTAATGGAGATTGTACTGGGGAAATTACTTTGGAGTAGCTGGTGCTCATTTTCTTAGTGGGAGATATGTTCTTTTTTAGTGCATAATTAAAATAGTCTATAATCAAAATATAAAAGGCAGCTGATTTAAAGAATGTATATCAAAGAGACTTGCTCTGAGTAACGAAAGATTTGTATTGTAAGTATGTGCTAGAAGTCTTAGAACTTTAATAAATCATACATGTTATTTGACTGAAGCTGTATTTTAAATTCAGGGTGCTGTTAAACATTTCACAGATTGATGCACGATTTTTGTCTTGGTTTTGTGCATCTGATAGTCTTTCATAGTTTCATGGAATAAAATGAAACAAAAGGAACTTTAAGAAAAATTAAAGTTCCCAAAGAATACTTGATTTGGGGTTCATGGAAAAATCTTTAATTGCTGATGGTTTGGAGATTTCCAAATGACAAACTTCATTGGCCCAATTTACTGTGATTGTATTGCTTACATTCCTTAAAATGGTAGAGTAACTTAAAAAGTCATACTTCATCATACATTCATTGACTTGTTCATAAAATGTTTGTAATTTGCAATAGAGGAAAGACTGAAACTATTATCAGCCATTATACGTTATTTGTTGGCCATATGTTTGTTTGAAATGGCTGTGGCTCAACAGAACATGGCTCATAGACAAACTATGCTGTAAATTGGCACTAAAAACCCACCTAAACAGGTAGGCATATGTTAAGAAGTTAACATGAGCCAAAATATTTTAATGTGAACCAGGTTATGTACATTAAAGGATTCCAGCTCCCTTTACAGTGGGAACTTCATTTGCATGTTGTTCATTTTTTTCCCAAACTAATTTTTAAAAAATAGATCAGGTATACACATGGTACGAATTCAAAAGGTACCAAAGAATGTAGGAAGTCTTCCTGTTTGTGATTCTCAACCATCCAGTTCCCACTCTCCACTCTCCTCATCTTTCACCATTGCTCCCATCATTCTTGTATATCCTTCCAGAGATATTAATGCATACACAAGCATATAATTTCTTTTCTTTCCTTTTTATATGCTTCATGAACTATTGTTATGCATATATTTTTTTTCATTTAGTAATGTATCTTAGAGGTACTTCCATGTCAGAGGATAAATGGTTTCCTTGTTCTGCTTAATGGCTGCATAGTATTCCAGTGTGTAAATGTACCATAATCTTTCTAATCAGTTCCCTGTTGATGGAGATTTTGCTGTTTCAAGTCTATAGCTATTACAGGCAGTGCTGCAATTACCTTTCTTGTAATTTATGAGTATGTCTGCAGCACAAATTCCTAGAAGTATTGTTTGGTCTAAAGGCATGGACATTTTCAGTTTTGACAGATAATGTCAGATTGCCTTCCATGATGATGATATCAACTTATATTCACCAGCAGCATGTGAGAATACCTTTTCTTCTATATCCTCACCAACAGAATATTAGCAAATATTTTGATCTTTTTCAAGCTAATAGGTTTAACTTAGTTTTTAATTTGTATTTACCATGATTGAGATTGAGCAGTTTTTATGTTTCAGAACCATTTGAATTTCTTTTCTGTTATCTATTATGTCCTTTGCTCATTTAAAAAATGGTGGTTGGTCTCATTAATATGTAGGAGCTTTTTATATGCTAAGGAAGTATATACTGCAAATATAATTTGTTGTTTATCTTTTGCTTTTGTTTGTTGGATTTTATTACCATACAGAAAAAATTTTTTTTGCCTGTCTTCTTCCTGCAGTACAGAAAAAAATTTTTCGTGTAGTAAGATTTATCTATTTCTTAGTAGTAGTTTTTTAAAGTTTTCAGGAAATAGAATTTATAAATTTCTTGTTAAGTTACTCTTAGATTGTTTTTCGGTGCCATTTTAAATGATATCTTTTCTTCGGTATATTTTCTAATTGGTTATTGTTTGTATGAGAAGCTGTTGACTTTTTTTTTTTTTTTGTCTTATTCTTGACTTTAATGGGAATTCTAGCATTTCCCTATAAAGAATGATGCTAAGAAAAATGATGCTGCCTTTGGACTGAGAATATATTCTATCGTATTAAGGAAGGATGCATCTATTCCTATCTATCAGCATTCCAGAGAATGTTTTCAGTACTATTTCTACTTTTTGGAATTGATTGAGATTTTCTTTGTGGACTAATATATGTTTAATTTCTGTGAATATTTGATGAGCGCTTTAAAAGTGTTATTCTCAGTTTTTAGAGTTTAAAGTATAGCAATTAGCTCTACCTTTAAAATTATGTTTGTTTGTTTAATCTGTCATGGGTTAAGAGATGTAAGTTAGGCTAAGTGCAGTGGCGCATGCCTGTAATCCTGCCACTTACAGGTTTAGAGGCTGAGGTGGGAAGATTACTTGAGGCCAGGAGTTCAAGACCAGGCTGGGCAACATAACAAGACCCCATTTCTACAAAAATTTAAAAAAATTAGCCAGGCATAATGGCACTTGCCTGTAGTCCTAGCTACTTGGGAGGCTGAGATAGGATGGATCCCGTGAGCCCAGGAGTTCAAGGTTGCAGTAAGCTATATTCGTGCCACTGCATTCCAACCTGGGAGATAGAGCGAGACCCTGTCTCTTAAAAAAAAAAAAAAAAGTTAATTAAAGTCTCCAACTATAAATGTTTCTATTTATTCCTATATTTCCTACATGGGCTTATTCAATGCCATGTTATTATTTGTAGTGTAGATATTTGTAATTATTTAATCTTCATTGGTGGATGCAAATTTATAAATGCAAATTACCCGCTTCAGGACTTTTAATGTTTTGCCCTAAATTAGCCTGTTCAATATAATTTATTAACAAGTTTTTTTTTTTGCATTTGCTTATGTGCTTTTATTTTTAATGATTGAATTTTGCTTTGTGATCCAGCGTGAAAGTTTTCTCTTTATTTTGATTGGTTGGATTTATGTTCTTTACATTTATTGATTGCACAGATGAGTTTAGTCTTATAAAACATGGCAGAACCAAAATACTTTTTTCTTCCTTATTTTAAATTATGATATGGACTGTGTTTTCTTTGTTTCATTTTAATTATGTTTTTCTTTACTTAACTGGGAATGTTTATATTTTTATTTTGATTCTTGTGGATACTATTATAACTATATATAGGTATATAACTTGATAGTACCTTATGGATAATATAGTATATCGTATATATATATAATACCTATATATAGTATTATATACATATATATGTACTATTATACCTATGTATGGTATCTACAAGATCCTATAAAATTATATACCTATAATTTTACATAGAAAATATAGTCTTCTATTTCTGGCTGGGCATTGTGGCTCACACCTGTAATCGCGGCACTTTGGAAGGCCGAGGCGGGCGGATCACTTGAGGTCAGGAGTTCAAGACCAGCTGGGCCAACATGGCGAAATCCTGTCTCTACTAAAAATACAAAAACAAAAATTAGCCGGGTGTGGTGGCACGTGCCTATAGTCCTAGCTACTTGGGAGGCTGAGGCAGGAGAATTGCTTGAACCTGGGAGGCGGAGGTTGCAGTGAGCTGAGATTGTGCCACTGCACTCCAGCCTGGGCGACAGAGTGAGACTCCATCTTAATAACAACAACAAAAAAAGAAAATATAGTCTTCTATTTCTTTATATAGCATTTATGGTCCCCCCTCAAAGCAATATTGAAATAATATTTTCTCCTACTTTTTGTTCACTGTTTAATTTTAGTTTATATTATTTTTCAGTCCTAGTGCTTATGTTTAATTAATTAATTAATCAGATACAGAGTCTTGCTCTGTCACCCAGGTTGGCGTGCAGTGGAGTATGATCATAGCTCACTGCAGCCTCAGATTCCTGGGCTCGACGGATCCCCCAACCTCAACCTCCTGAGTAGCTAGGACTACAGGTGCATGCCACCATGCCCAGCTAATTTTTAAAATTTTTTTTGTAGAGATAGGGTCTCACTATGTTTCCCAAGCTGGTCTTGAGCTTCTAGCCTCAAGCAGTTCTTCAACCTTGGATTCCCAAAGCGCTGGGATTACAGGCATGAACCATTGTGCCCAGCCTTAGTACTTAAGTTTTACACATTTAAGTATACTTATGTCTCTAACTTGATCTTTCATCTTTCAAAGATTTTGTTTACTTTTATATACCTTCTTCATCTTGTCCTTTCTCTTTTAAACTCCTTTAATAGTTTATAACATTTGCATTCCATTCTGTAACTGTAATTCCCACAGTTGTTTTAAATGTATTCCTAGAACTGAATGAATATATTGCTTACTGCTAATACCTTTGGTATAGTTTCTCCATTCATCTCTTAGTTACTTATAGTTCATCCTTTAATAGTTTCCTCAAGAAGGATGAGTGATAATTATTCCCTGACTTATTGTATTTCTAAAATGTCTGTCTTTTGCATTTATTTTTGAAAAGTAGCTTAGCTGGGTATAAAATTCCTGGTTTTCAACTTTCATTTCTTAAAGTTTTTGTAGGTATTGCCCCTCTGACTTCTAATGTTGAATGTTGGTATGTGAATGTTTGAAGTCAGCAGAATCTTTTTTTTTTTTTGAGACAGGGTTTTGCTCTGTCACCCAGGCTGGAGTGCAGTGGTGCGATCTTGGCTCACTGCAACCTCTGCCTCCTGGGTTCCAGTGATTCTCCTGCCTCAGCCTCCTGAGTAGCTGGGAGTACAGGTGCGCACTGCCACATCCAGCTAATTTTTGTATTTTTAGTAGAGATGGGGTTTCTCCATGTTGGCCAGGCTGGTCTCTAACTCCTGACCTCAAGTGATGCGCCTGCCTCGGCTTCCCAAAGTGCTGGGATTACAGGTGTGAGCCACTGTGTCTGGCCAGATTCTTTTCATCCTTATTGATGAATTGATCTTTTTGATTAGATGCCAAAAGGATTTTTTAATCTTCCGAGTTTAACTTTGCTACAGTATATATATATATATATGATTGAAATATTACAATTTATAGATTTAAACCCTTTATTTTTGGAAAACTTATTTTTTTTTTAAATTTTTATCCCCAAGTGTTCTGAGTCATAGAAAGTTTTCTTAAATTACACTCTAATTTTGGGGGTTTCGTATTTTTGTTCAGTTAAATAGCAACAATGGTTTTTTTTTTTTTTTTTGAGATGGAGTCTTGCTCTGTCGTCAGGCTGGAGTGCAGTGGTGCGATCTTGGCTCACTGCAACCTCTGCCTCCTGGGTTCAAGTGATTCTCCTGCCTCAACCTCCCGAGTAGCTGGGACTACAGGCACACGCCACCATGCCCAGCCAATTTTTGTATTTTTAGTAGAAATGGGGTTTCACCATGTTGGCCAGGATGGTCTCGATCTCTTGACCTCAGGTGATCTGCCTGCCTCTGCCTCCAAAAGTGCTGGGATAACAGGCATGAGCCACCACGCCCAGCCAACAATGATCTTTATGTTAGATCTCCTTTGTTTGTCCTTACATTTATTCTTTTCTAGTTCTTCTAAACTCTTGTTGATTTCTATTTCATTTTGCCCATTTTCTGGATCCTGTCCTCTTGGGTCTCTTACTGGGTTGTTAGTGGTGTCTATTCTGCTTCTGGCTGTTTCTAGCTTTCCTGTCTTTTAGTTAGCTCAAAGCCTTTGAGCTGGAATCCCATAAGCAAGTAACTAAGACTGTAAAAAGAAATCTTTGAAAGAAGGAGCAGATGCTTTTCACCATCTGCTAAGTCAGCTGTTTGGCATTGTATCTTCTTCATTGTATTCCAGATAATCAAACTTTCGTTTGAGTTTTGCCTTTTTTCTCTCTTATTCAGTCATCTAAATTCCTTGGAGTAGTTCTTTGAGTGTATATTTTGAAAGAAGTTTTTAATTTGTGGATTTAAAAATACATATTTTGGGGATTGGTTGGTTCTGTTATATGGAAGAAGGATTATGGAATTGTCTTTTTGCTTCCAGAGCAGATTATTATTTTCCCCGGGGAAGAATTAAGAATAAATCCTGTGTAAATGGTTTATCAGGCTTTGTAGTATTTTATTAAATGCAAATATTATGTGACAGTTGAAGGGAAATATGCAAAGCTGAGAAAAATACAAATTTGAGGGGTTTTGATGTGTCATAAAAGTTTTTTAATTGTATGTAGATATGGTAGATGTTTTTTCTTTGATCAGTATGCCTCTTAGGCTGTGGCTGTGTTTCCTTTCAAGCCTTATATCTGTGATGGAATAGATTTTGCTACTATACTGATGGCATGCCAGTGGTCAAAGATTTGAGGACCACTTCTGTGTTCCGATCATCCACTTGATCCACTTGGCTAATGGGAAATGGCAAGGAATTGTAGGCATCACTTTAGACATTTTAGAATGACATGGTTCAAAGAAATTGTGGCCACAGGGTGTAAGAACTTGGGCAGTGACTGTGCACTCATAATTTCTTGCCATTAAGCTGCTTTCCCCAGTCAGTGTGCATCAGGATGTTACCCCACAATGTATTATCTGTTCGTTTGCTCTACATGTGCGAGTCTCTATTTATGACAACTGGAAAAAGGAAAGAGCCATTCTTCTGGAAGACAGCAACTAGAATCTTAGATTCTCAAGCCCATGGAGAGCTTTTCACCACTCATTGTGTTTTGTAAGGTTTACCTTGTGTAGTTTGGTCAGAAGCAGTAGTGACAGCAGTATGTGCCATTACCGATCTCTTATTCTGTACCAAGTGCTGTGCTAAGTACCTTTATATACCTTATCTCATTGTTTATTAGAATGTAATCACATGACTTTTAAAATTATTGTCTCCATTTTACTGATAAGAAAACTGAGAGGGCCAGGCATGGTGGCTCACGCCTATATTCCCAGCACTTTGGGAGGCTGAGACAGGTGGATCATGAGGTCAGGAGTTCAAGACCAGCCTGGCCAAGATAGTGAAACCCTGTCTCTGCTAAAACTACAAAAATTAGCCAGGCGTGGTGGCAGGTGCCTGTAATCCCAGCTGCTCAGGATGCTGAGGAGAATCGCTTCAATCCGGGATGCAAAGGCTGCCGTGAGCCAAGATAATCCCACTGCACTCCAGCCTGGGCAGCAGAGTGAGACTCTGTCTCAAAAAGAAAAAAGAAAACTGAGACTGATAGTTAAATTGCATGATAATTAAGTGATAGAATCAGGATTTGAATCCAGGACTCCCTGGCTCAAAAGGCCATGCCCTTAACAATTGCATTGCTGTCTATCAGTGATGTTGATTAGCATTGTACATCTTCTAATGCTAAACAAGAATAAGGCATTATAGGCAGAGTAGAAATTCTCCTTATACGTAGTTTAATGTGGGTTAACTCTATGTTTGAATAATTAGAACAGACTTTCATGGCTGGGCATGGTGGCATGCACCTGTAGTCCCAGCTCCTTGGGAGGCTGAGGCAGGAGGATCCCTTGAGTGATCCCTTGAGCTCAGGAGGTTGAGGCTACAGTGATCTATGATTGTGCCTGTGAACAGCCCCTGCATTCCACCAGCCTGGGCAACATAGTGAGACCCTGTCTCTATAAAAATAAAAAACAGGCTTTTGTCCCTTCCCTTCACATAATCTAGACAATCAGATTATGAGATGAGAAGGGCTGGGAAAGTGAATATTGTTTTTCCACAGATAATTCCATACATGGTCAAATGGATTTTGCTTGAACTTTCTCCCTTTTCCTATAGGGAAAACCTTCAGGCCTCAAATGTCAACATGGAAACTTTTATCCCAAATAAAATTGGCTCCGAGAGAGGTACCATAGTGAATGATATAGAATTGTTTAAAATGGCATCTTCTGTATTTCTCACTGTTAACTAGGAAATACACACTTAGGTCATTTGGTGATCCCAAAAACATGGCTTGACTAACATCATATTGGTTTTTCTGGATAGGGGTAATGAAGTTAAATATTTGTTTACGTGGGTGTAATGGGTATTGCCCTGTGAATGCCACTCTAACTTTGTAATTCATGTGCCATTACCCTAAGAGTCTTACCAAGTATTTGTGCATTCTGGAACAATAGAGACAGACTCTCCTATTGTTTGCAGTTACCTTCATAAAAAATTGAAAACAAACAAAAAAATGAGTTTTTTCCTTCTTCTGAAGACAAGTTTACCTTCTGCTTAACAAAATTGTTTCCACTCCCCGTGTGGTATAAAGACAGAGCCCCGTCAGTCCACACTTAGTCGTGTGACTGGTTTGCAGCCCTCTGCTCATTTCCTGGCTTGCCTTCTGCCCTGAGGTGGGTGCACTGTCACCTTGAAATGGCAGTGCAGGGCAGTAGCAGGAAGAACCCAAGCAGGCAAGCTGGGCTTCTGTTTCACTCTAGGTGCCAATAGTCTTTGATTTGTTCCTGTCCTGCCTGGGAGGTGAGATGAAGAAGTTGTTCATTTCTGCTGGTGCTTTTGCTTAAGACACCCTCAGGAGACCTTTTTCCATAGTCTTGTGGGTTGCCTTAGTTAGCAACCCAATCACTAAAAACAAAAGGAACAGAGCTGCAAGAAAAGTGGCTCCTAATATTTGGAGCCAGGTAGTGAGACCCAGAGCACTGGGTTGAAGGGAAATTATTCCCGTGCTATTTTGTAGAGTCTTGTCCTGAGGACAATTAAATAGTCCAGACGGGTCACTAGGTGAGACCAATTTCCTGGTTTGTTTACTCGAGCCTGATAGTTTTTCACCATCCAGCAGTAGGTCACAGTCCTGCTGCACTGTGACCCCAGAGGCCTGCAGAGAGCAGTCCTTTCATAGTTGATTTCCACAGGCTTCCCTAAGGATCCTTGCCTGCCTTTATGTGGTTGGATTGCTCTGTTGTGTCTCTCAGGCTTAGGGTAGAGGACAATGTCAGTAATTACTCTTGACTTCATCTTATGCAGGCATTTGGCTTTATGTCCCGAGTTGCCCTACAAGCAGAGAAGATGAATCATCACCCAGAATGGTTCAATGTATACAACAAGGTAACTAAACTGCCTTATTTGGGAATCACCTTAATTATGGAGTTTAAGAAACTTCTTTCTTCCTTGTCATCTTGTGCAGCTAAATGTCATTGTACTTAAGAAAGTCTTATCCTTTCTCTCAGAATCCCTGTGTATTATTGCAAATTAGTAACACATTTTCAGGTCTGCTCCTAAGAACAGTGAATAAGCTCTTTATTTTCATGCTTGTCTTTCTACTGAAGCTAATATGAGAAAGTTGGGCCAAATGAGGCTCCTGAATTAAACCGGAGTATCAGCCATGCAGATACGTTTCAAAACTTAAGGTAAATTATTGAAAGAAATGGTAGCAAATCAGATAGATATGGCCTCATTTATCTCGTTGAAATATTTTTACTCAAGAACTGTGCTTTGAAAACTATTAAATTTTGTATCCTGCGTAGGAAATGACCTTATTTAAGACAAAGGACAGACTAAAAAGTTTTGAGGGAACACAGTGAGAAGAACCTTGTTCCTCCCAAAGTGTCCTTGCCTTTATGGTCATGCCATTTGAAATGTCTTATCATCTAGATTTCTATGAAGTCTTCTCTGTGAAAATCTTTGAAAAAAGAGAATTTCACAATACTCACGTGACTTAATAGAATAACTCAGAGCACCTTGGTACCAGGCTAAACTTTTCTTTGCTATTTGCTTCTCTTTGCTCGTAATTTTGCTTTTACTTTATAATCAGTTCATCAAGAAACAGCATTCCATCCTTTACTCCCATTTCCCTAATTTAGAAATGTGCTTTTTTTTTTTTTTTTTTTTTTTTTGAGTTGGAGTCTGGCTCTGTTGCCCAGGCTGGAGTGCAGTGCTGCGATCTCAGCTCACTGCAGCCTCCACCTCCCGGGTTCAAGCGATTCTGCTGCCTCAGCCTCCCGAGTAGCTGGGATCACAGGCGTGCAGGGTAACTTTTATATTTTTAGTAGATACGGGGTTTCACCATGTTGGCCAGGGTGGTCTCAAACTCCTGAACTCAGGTGATCCGGCCTCCCAAAGTGCTGAGATTACAGGTGTGAGCCACCATGCCCAGCCAAAATGTGCTTTTTAAACGTTGCTGCTAAGATATTACATTTGATAGCTTGGTTTTTCTCAGTGGCCTGAAAATAGTTGATGTAATTAAAGTAACGAGAGTTCAATTGGAACCTCAGTCTCTCTTTTTATTTAAAGAAACAAGATTTGAGATTCTGGCAGCTGCATTGCCTCTTCATGGAAGAGAACTTTTTATTTCAAGGTGGCTGTTGAGCCAGGCCTAATGTAGACTATGCCCCTGGAGTTCGCTGGGTTTTGGAAATGTTTTGCTTATTCATAATGTAGTATTTTCTAAATCATTTAATCCCCCTAATTCTCAAATATGAATGTTGAATAATAGACTGATTTCTGAACTGCCAAAGGAAAATAACCATGATTTGCTGCTCAGAGTTTTAAAAACTGCTTTTCTTTTTCTTAGGTCCAGATAACTCTCACCTCACATGACTGTGGTGAACTGACCAAAAAAGATGTGAAGCTGGCCAAGTTTATTGAAAAAGCAGCTGCTTCTGTGTGATTTCTTCCAAAATACATGTAAAATCTTGTACACATCTTAGCTGCAATGTATGTTGAAGGAAATTTATGTGAACAAATAGAGTTGTTCTTTTTCTCTTTTTTTTAAGACAGAGTGTTGCTCTGTCGCCCAGGCCAGAGTGCAGTGGTATGATCTCGGCTCACTGTAACCTCCGCCTCCCAGGTTCAGGTGATTCTCCTGCCTCAGCCTCCTGAGTAGCTGGGATTACAAGCACGTGTCACCACGCCTGGCTAATTTTTGTATTTTTAGTATAGACAGGGTTTTACCACGTTGGTCAGGCTGGTCTCGAACTCCTGACCTCGTGATCCGCCTGCCTCAGCCTCCCAAAGTGCTGGGATTACAGGCATGAGCCACCATGCCTGGCTGTTGAATTGTTCTTAAGGCATCATATCTAGAAGCAAAGAAAAAAGAAAAATAACAATTTAAGTTGTGTAAATTGTTTGCCTTTATATATTACATTTGGTAAAATCAGTGCTTAAATACGCAATGATTTAAACTGGAACCTGAGGTATTTTTCATGCTATCTAATCATATACCTAAGATAAACCAACCCAGTTACTTATATTAATAATATTCAGAAAGAGAAGTGGCTTTTTTTTTTTTTTGAGACGGAGTCTTGCTCTGTCACCAGGCTGGAGTGCAGTGGCGGGATCTCGGCTCACTGCAACCTCTGCCTCCCAGGTTCAAATGATTCTCCTGCCACAGCCTCCCGAGTAGCTGGGACTATAGGCACGTGCCACTGCGCCTAGCTAATTTTTGTATTTTTAGTAGAGATGGGGTTTCATTATGTTGGCCAGGATGGTCTCGATCTACTGACCTCGTGATCCACCTGCCTCCACCTCCGAAAGTGTTGGGATCACAGGCATGAGCCACCGCGCTTGGCCAGAAGTGGCATTCTTAAATTCAAGAAATTGGGATGGGGAGTATTCACACATTTTATAACCCAGAAATTCAAGCAATTCTGGTGACTACAAATGCATTGTTTTGGAGAATAGTTGTAAGGTGGAAAAAGAATTAGGAACTCGACAGATAGTGAGTTTTAACTTTAAATAACAATTCTTCTTTTGTTTTGTTTTGTTTGAGACGGGGTCTCGCTCTGCTGCCCAGGCTGGAGTGCAGTGGCAGGATCACGGTTTATTGCAGCCTTAACCTCCTGGGCTCAAGCAGTTCTCCCTCCTCAGCCTCCAGAGTAGCTGGGACTATAGGCAAGTGCCACCACGCCTGACTAATTTTTAAATTTTTTGTAGAGATGGGGTCTCCCATCTTGCCCAGGCTGGCCTTGAACTCTTGGGCTCAAGCAAGCCTCCCACCTCTGCCTCCCAAAGTCCAAGGATTACAGGTGTGAGCCATTGCCCCCAGCCAGTATAACAGTTTGTGTGTGTGTGTGTGTGTGTGTGTGTGTGTGTGTTTGACACGGGGTCTCATTCTGTTGCCCAGGCAGTAGTGTAGTGGTGCGACCATGGCTCACTGTAGTCTTGACTTCTCAGGCTCAAGTGATCCTCTCACCTCAGCCTCCTGAGTAGCAGCGGTTACAGGCATGCATCACCACACCTGGCTTATTTTTAAAACTTTTTTGTGGAGACAGGGTCTTACTATGTTGCCATGGCTGGTCTAGAACTTCTGGGCTCGAGTAATCCTCCTGCCTTGGCCTCTCAAAATGTTGGGATTACAGGTGTGAGCCACTGTGTCATAACAATTATTTTAAAATTTTTATTTATTTATTTTTAATAATTATACAAGATGGAGTCTCACTATGTTGCCCAGGCTGGTCTTGAATGCCTGGGCTCAAATGATCTTCCTGCCTTGACCCCCCAAAGTGCTGGGATTACAGGCGTGAGCCACTGCGCCTGGCCTATAACAATTCTTATGAAGCTAAAGTTGATTTGGATTTTAGCTGCCGTTACTACTTATATAATTAATTAGATTAAACAAGTCACAAAAATTGGATGAGCTATCTTGGTGTGTTTTCTTTACTTTTCTCTTTCAACAGAGAGTTGAAGGAGAGGACAAGTGTCTTGTCTGTGGCTTCCAGGAATGTGTGGCAATATAAGATTTACTGTTACAGCAGCCAACTCACCAAGTCATTATTTGACTTACTGAGTTAAGGAGGAACTAAGGGTCATTTTCCCCCCATCATTTGCATGTTTTGACTCCTGAACTGAGGGTCTACGGCCACTGAAGCTAGAAGCTAGAAGGGTGTTAATCAGTAGTGAGCTCTACTTACTCCATGTGTCACTGACAGATGTAAAAAGGAATATCAAGTAATCTATTATTTAAAAATTGTAATAAGAGTGTTTTTTGAAGGAATTCAGGAATGTACTACTAACGAGATTATGATGCAGGTATATCCATCCATGAAGCATTTGTTAGTCCCTTGAAGCATCATGGTAGTGGAATTTAACATGGATCATCTTTGTAAACCCACCTCTCTTTAGGGGCCAGAGAAATCACTGTTTGTTACAACAAGCAAACCTTTCCCTCTCCATGTCACCCTTGCCCCAAACCTGAGAAACATATGGGAACATGGCACAGAGGCTGAGCTCTCTGAAGCCAGTTCCTGGCTGGTTTTGCTGGCCAGGGAGAGGCAGGTGTGGTCAGTTGCCCTGTGGACATGTGGTGTGCAGGGAGAGAAGAGGGAAAAGAGCCACTCAGGCTCTCTGGCTGCCAGGGGATCCAGACTCTTAGCACTAGAACTTCTGTTTCTTAGAATTCTTCCCAAGGAAAAGACAAAACTGTGTTTTTATAAGCTGGTTTCCTATAGTGTAGATTTGGGACTTTTATACATTTTATTACCAAATATTTTTAGTTAAGTGCTTCAATTTTCAACATTAATTCTTTAAAATTTTCTTTTGAGAATCATCACCTGGATTTACATGAATTTTTTAAGCATGAAAAAATTTAAACATATTCAAAAGTACATGAATAGTACATTGAAGCCTTATATACATATCACCCAGATATAAAAATTACCAAGATTTTGTCCCAGTTGCTTCATTTTCCCTGTTTCCTTCTTTGCTAAAGTATTTAAAAGCAAATCCCAGATAGCTTATCATTTCACCCCTATATCCTTCAGTAAGTTTCTATGGAAAATATGGCCATTTTCTTGTATAAACCACAGTACCTCTGTTTTTTTTTTTTGAGATAGAGTCTCACACTGTCGCCCAGGCTGGAGTGCAATGGCGTGATCTTGGCTCACTGCAACCTCTGCCTCCCAGGTTCAGGCGATTCTCCTGCCTCAGCCCCCCGGGTAGCTGGGATTACAGGTGTGCGCCACCATGCCCAGCTAATTTTTTTTTGTATCTTCAGTAGAGATGGGGTTTCACCATGTTGGCCAGGCTGGTCTCGAGCTCCTGACCTCGTGATCGCCCGCTTAGGCCTCCCAAAGTGCTGGGATTATAGGCATAAGCCACAGCGCCCGGCCCACAGTACCATTTTTATACCTAACAAAGTGATTCCTTGGTACACTTAATACCTAGGCAAAATCAAATTGTCCTGAAGGTCATGAATGTCCTTGGACAGTAATCTGGTTCTAATCGAGGATCTATATGAAGCCCACCAATCGCATCTGGTTGTTGTGTCTCTTTAGTCTGTCAGTCTGGAGCAAGCTCCCCTCCCTTCCTCAGTTCCCCATGTTATTTATTTATTGTAAAAACTGGGTCAGTTGTGCTGTAGAATATTCTGCTTTCTGGATTTGTTTGTTTCTTCCTGTGGTGTCATTTAACTTGTTTTACTATACCCTAAACGGAACCCTTTTCCTCTGTTTTCAGCAGAAGTCTGAGAGGCTAAACTTGATGGCTGTGTTAACATATGTCACGTGTAGCACAGTGGAGAAAGCAGGATATGGCTCATAATGACAGTGGTGAAGACCTGCGAATGAAGTTGCTAGTTATCACCTACATTAGGGTTTGACATAGGTCTATGTTATGGGTCGCTGCATCTGCTGGAACTCACAGACTTTACTATAGAGAATCAAAGATCCCGTATCCGAAGTCTATGGAAATGCTCATGGTGGTAAATTCCAACAGAATGAAACACCAAACTTGCTTAAAGTAACTCACGTTTCAATTTGAAAGAGATATTGTCAAAATTGGAGGCCCCCAGGTTCCTGTCTGTTCCAAATCTTTGCATGATGACAGTGGTTTCTCTGATGTGGTAAGCTTTGGCTTTCTTCTGTTTTCTTTCTAAAAGATCACTGGAGTAGAGAGGAGTTAAACAGACATGACCTTTGACCTCTTGCATGACCTCCACAGATAGCAAACCGGGCCGACACATGGTTGACGATGTCCTTTTCTACAATGAAGTTAATGAAAGTTCTGAAAATAGTGATTACTTTCTGACATTGATAGGATTTAGGAAACCTCTGGATAAATAGCTTAAGCATGGCTGTTTATGTTTTTGCTATAGACAAAAAGCAGCAGCATGTACATTGTATTTGGACACAAGCCTGCCTCGGTTAATATATTGAACTATTGGACCACTAGGGTTAGTAGGGAGCGGTCTGTACACTTTCTGATTCAGCATTCAGAAACATTCTAGGTGGACTCTGTAGCTTTCAGTTTTGTAAAGTTATCAGAAAAACATCGGGAGGGTTTGGCCATCATATGTGAGCTTTGTGTTTCAATGCCAGTTACTCAGGATTAGTAAATTAATGACTGTCCAGAGGACTTCAGGGTCACCAAGCTGCTGCACCTGCCATTGGCTGACTCTCCCCGGCTATCTGTGGCTGAGATGGTGCTGCTTAGGTCACGCAGAGCATGAGCTGCTGCTGAAAGGGCACAGGAGATGGCCCTTGGGCTTCTCATCCCAGGATGCCTGCCCTGCCCACCAATCCATGAGAAGATATGTATGATTTCAGTAGGCCCTGGATCAGCTTGTCACCTCTGGTTTCCTGTTTGCTTTCCACTCACTCAGCTGGAGTTTCATTTCCAGACTAAAGTCTTCATCATTGGCTTCAGAAACAGCATTCATCTGTGGCTGTGCTGATGTAGTACACCAAGAACAACTGGGCTCTTCTCTGTCACTTTCAGTGGGCTACCTTCCCTCACCTCTCCAAGCAGCATGAAAGAATTCTTTACATTTTTAATCTCTTTTTTGTTTTTCCCTGAAAGTATGCTTTGGTGCTTAAAGAGAGAAGTCACAAAAGTATACTACTGAGTTTCCTGGAGATGAAATCCTGTTGTCCCTAGCTATGTGAATGAGCACAGGGATCCCTGATGCCATTATTTTGTATATTCATACGGCACACACTTACTGAGGGCCTTCTGTGTGCCCTAGGGGATTGAGCACAGTGACATATCAGGGCAGGTAGAAACAGATGGAGAGCTGATGCGGGCTGTCTTAGAGCAGCTGCCCCAGGAGGCCCCTGTGGATGGATGTTGGGCAGGAGCCCTGAGACGTTAGGGGCATATAACTAAAGGACATAGCAGGAGTTATAGGAGGAGCTGATCCCTGAGGGAAACAATGAAGACGGAGAAGATGGGGCTAAAGTTTGAATTGTGGGGACATTAATCACAGTGATTCTTAAAACTTTGCTGTTGATGATTTTAAATGGAGAAAATGAGTACGTAAGATGTTATTTCCCAGTTCAGTATATTGGTTGCCCACAAAGTATTTTCCTACCATGAATGGTCATATATACTTGTTGTAGAATACCAGGGACAGCAGAGATGGTGGGGTAGTTACTTCCTTTTCTTACAGCCCAAGAACTTTGGTGTCCAGGAGATTGACCAATTTAGCCACTGAGCATTTAATACAACACAGGGCTACCCAGATCCCACTGTCCTGATTTGCCCTGAAAGCCAAAGGAGTTAGGAGAAGGTGAGTGGGGAGAATATATTAATCCTGAGAGTTGAACAGAGCAAAAATCCCTATTACTTTTGTACTTAAAACATCTCTGCCACATGTGCTCACTCTTTATATTCTGTTTAGGTGGTTTATATGTGCACATCCCATCCTATGCCTGCAGTTAGCCAACTCAGGGTTTATATTGCCTCCTTTCTTTTTTTCTTTTTTTTTTTTTTTTTAAGAGATGGGGTCTCATTCTATCATGCAGACTGGAGTGCAGTGGTGTGATCACAGCTCATTGTAACCTCCAACGCCTGGACTAAAGTGATCCTCCTACCTTGGCCTCTCTGGTAGCTGGGACTACAGGTGCATGCCACCACACCCACCTAATTTTTTTTATTTTTATTTTTTGTAGAGACAGTCTCACTATCTTGCTCAGGCTAGTCCTGAACTCCTGGGCTCAAGTTATCTTGCTGCCTCAGCCTCCCATGGGTAATTTTTATTTCCTTTTTTTTTTTTTTTGGAGATGGAGTTTCGCTCTTGTCGCCCAGGCTGGAGTGCAATGGCACGATCTTGGCTCACTGCAGTCTCCACCTCCTGGGTTCAAGTGATTCTCCATCCTCAGCCTCCTGAGTAGCTGAGATTACAGGCAACTGCCACCATGCGCGGCTAATTTATGTATTTTTTTTTAGTAAGAGATGGGGTTTCACCATGTTGGCCAGACTAGTCTTAAACTCCTGACCTCAAGCGACCTGCCTGCCTTGGCCTCCCAAAGTGCTGGGATTACAGGCATGAGCCGCTATGCCTCGTCGCTGATTTTTATTTCTTATTTTTTTTTTAGAGATGGGGGTCTCACTATGTTGCTCAGGCTGATCTCAAACTCCTGGCCTCAAGTGATCCTCCCACCTTAGCCTCCCAAGTTGCTGGGATTATAAGTGTGAGCCACTATCCCTACCTCACTATTACCTTCTTTGCTTCTCTTGTTTTCTTTTGTTCTAAGTCAAACCCATCACAATCTTTTCTTGTCCTTCCAGGTGTTTTCCAGTGCTGTGCCCTGGATGTGCTCTCTTTCTCTTAGAGCCCAGAGAACTTGCTTTTCCCCCTTATATATGACCCTTAACTTTTTCTAACACATTATTAAGGGCCTGTGTCTATCAGCTGGGGGCACTTCTTGAAGGGAGGGCCTTTGTGTGGTCTGTTTCTAGTGACTTCCAGCTTTAACCCAGAGCCTCATGATTGCTGGGTGCCCATAGCCTTTTTGCTGAATGGAGGCACTCAGTCTCCTTGGGAAGAGAGAATCCATGATAGACCCACTTGGGAGCTCCCCACTTCAGGGGCCTACACACTGGTAATGCAACAGAATGCCCAAGAGTGACCTCATAAAGCAAGGATTCCCTTCGTGGCCCCTTCTCTGCTGCCTCTCAGAATCCAGACGCTAAGGAAAATCCCTAAGCAGAGATTTTCTGTTGGATGCTAAAAGCAAGGAATAAAAGTTGAAAATTTGGAAAATGTCTCAACACCGTCACCAGCGCCACTCGAGAGTCATTTCTAGTTCACCAGTTGACACTACATCGGTGGGATTTTGCCCAACATTCAAGAAATTTAAGTAAATATTATCTATCTCCATTGCCTGTTAAGAAATGTGCTAGTAGAAGTGTGAGGGCAGGGTGTCAGTGTTCTCTCAGCCTCTTCCCTCAGATACTCGTCTGCTTACCAAAATAAGTTGCATGTCCTTGACAATCTGGTTTCTATGATTGGTGAGGCTGGCATGCTATTACCTTTATGTGCCCTGTAGACTTGAATGACCAGTTTGACCAGTTTGACTGTTAGATAATCTGAAGGCTTTTCTCTTTTTTTATAATAGACCCCATCTCAAATCAGATAATGAAAATTACATATCTTGATATATTAGAAAAGTATATACATTCTGGCTGGGCACGGTGGCTCACACCTGTAATCCCTGCACTTTGAGAGGCTGGGGCGGATCACTTGAGGTCAGGAGTTTGAGACCAGCCTGGCCAACGTGGCGAAACCCCATCTCTACTAAAAATACACAGATTAGCCCGGAGTGATGGTGTGCACCTGTTGTCCCAGCTACTCAGGATGCTGAGGCAGGAGAATCCCTTTAACCTGGGGGGCGAAGGTTGCAGTGAGCCAAGATTGCACCACTGCACTCCAGCCTGGGTGACAGAACGAGACTCTGTCTCAGAAAAAAAAAAAAAGAAAAGGAAAAAGAAAAATATATATTCTATATTTTTTTAACTTATGAGAATGTGTTCATTTCATTTGTAACATATAATGGGAAACAGTAATACGTACTCTGAGAAAAATTGCAAAGCACAGATAAATGGAAATAAACAGGAAAAAGAATCACCTATAACCTCACCATCCATAGACAGACACTGTTAAAATTTTGGCATATTTCCTGCTGATTTTTTCTACTGCTGATTTTTGCACAGGTGAGATAATTTTGAACAGAGAATTTTGTATCTTTGGTTTTTGTGTTTTGCTGCACACAAAAACAAAAGATATAAAAATGGATCATAAACATTTTTCTAAATCCTGAAAAATGCATAGACATATTTTAGTGCCTGTATTTCACAAGATGGACATACCATAATTTACTTACACAGTCCTTTTTGTTAGATGTTTAAGTTGTTTTCAAGCTTCTCAGTGCTGGAAAAAATACTGAGATAGACATGTTTAGTTGAAGTTATTTCATTTCAGGTTATATTATCTTGGGTCAGAGAATGAATGGTTCTCAGGCTTTTCAAAAGAGCTGGTCAGTTTTTATGCCTCTGGCAGTTTTTGAGAGTGCTCAATCATACTACACTGTTGCCAGCATTAGATCTTATCACATTTAAGTCATTGCTAATTTTATAAACAAAAACAATGGTTTTACTTTGCATCTCCCTGATTGGTATTGCTGTAGAACATATTTGGAGAAGTTTGTTTGTCTTTGGTGTTTATTTCATGAATAGATTGTGTGCCCATTTTCTCTTGGGGTATTCAGTTTTTTATTACTGATGTGAGCATGTGTATGGGTGATTATTTGATGATTATCAGTTTTGCTTAGTAGACTGGCAATATTTAGTCTTGCTGTCACTGTGTTCCCAGTGCCTACTAGATTGCTTGATATGTAGTTGCCACTCAATAAAGATTTGTTGAGTCAATGAAGATGACACTTTGTTTTGCTGGAGAAGGAGTGGTGACCATTCTTTTTCAGAGGTCCAGGGAGAGGGAGCTAAGTAACTGAGTGAGGACAGAGTATCCATGATCATCATATATATGTCAGTGGTCATTTATTCAACATCTCATTGCTATTTAAAAGTATATGTAAATTTATATTCACACAAGGGAGAAAGCAGAGCCTTGTCCCTACAAAAAGGTATGCATTTTATGGGGATCTAGCTCTATTGTGCTGTAACCATACTTCACATTCAACTTTTTGACAGGAGGAACGATGATGAATGTCGGGCATTTGTGAAGAGAGTCATAATGAGCCGTTTCTTTAAGATAATTATGATTAGCACTGTCACATCGAATGCGTTTTTTATGGCCTTGTGGACCAGTTATGACATAAGGTACCGCTTGTTCAGACTTCTTGAGGTAAGCAGACAAAATGGGTCCATTTTCTTCTTTTTTTAAAACATGCTTTATTTCTGGAAACATTATAAGATTTTTTTTTTTTTCCGAGACAGAATCTCACTCTGTCAGGCTGGAGTGCAGTGGCGTGATCTCAGCTCACTGCAACCTCCATCTCCACCTCCCAGGTTCAAGCGATTCCTCTGCCTTAGCCTCCTGAATAGCTGGGATTATAGGCACCCGCCACCACGCCCAGCTAATTTTGTATTTTTAGTAGAGACGGGGTTTCACCTTCTTGGCCAGGATGGTCTTGATCTCTTGACCTCGTGATCCACCCGCCTCAGCCTCCCAAAATGCTGGGATTACAGGCGTTAGCCACCATGCCCAGCCCATTATAAGATTTTAAGGGTATTTTGCTTCAAGAAATTTTCTGTAGAATTCTAAAAATACTCTAAAATCTGGGAAGAGGGTGGCAAGAGCAGCAGTGGTGACATGGTGGATTTTTTTTTTTTTTTTTTTTTGAGACAGAGTCTCGCCCTGTTGCCCAACCTGCAGTGCAATGGTGCTATCTTGGCTCACTGCAACCTCTGCCTCCCAGGTACAAGTGATTCTCCTGCCTCAGCCGACTGAGTAGCTGGGATCACAGGCACACACCATCATGCTTGGGTAATTTTTGTGTTTTTAGTAGAGATAGGGTCTTGCCATGTTGGCCAGGATGGTCTTGAACTCCTGACCTCAAGTGAGCTGCCTGCGTCGGGCTCCCAAAGTGCTGGCATTACGGGCATGAGCCATCGCGCCTGGCCAGTGACATGGTTTTTAAGTCTCCTTGAATCTCCTCTCAAAAACTGAGCAAGCCTGGGCAACAAAGTGGGACTCCTATCTCTCTTTTTTTTTGTTTTGAGACGAAGTCTCGCTCTGTCACCCAGGCTGGAGTGCAGTGGCGCAATCTCGGCTCACTGCAAGCTCCACCTCCTGGGTTCACGCCATTCTCCTGCCTCAGCCTCCCGAGTAGCTGGGATTACAGGCGCCCGCCACAACGCCCGGCTAATTTTTTGTATGTTTAGTAGAGATGGGGTTTCACCGTGTTAGCCAGGATGGTCTCAATCTCCTGACCTCGTGATCCGCCCTCCTCGGCCTCCCAGAGTGCAGGTATTACAGACGTTAGCCACTGTGCCCGGCCCCTCCCATCTCTATTAAAAAAAAAAAGTTGGGCATGGTGGTGCATACCTTGAGTCCCAGCTACTCTAGAGGTTTAGGTGGGAGAATTGCTTGAGCCTGGGAGTTCGAGGCTGCAGTGAGCTGTGATTGCACCACTGCACTCTGGCCTGGGCAACAGAGTGAGACCTTGTCCTAAACAACCAACCAAAAAAACCAGAGCAACTAGGTAGCAAAGCCAAGAACCCACAGGCAGCATTTACAACAAAACTGGTTAGTTTCCTTACTACAAGCCGTAAGAACTGAATAGTATGTCTCTGTGGGGAAAGAAACAGAGGGAAGCCATTATTTATTTATTAGAAAGTGTGATGGGCTGATGTGAGAACAGCATTTGATATCAGTAACAGTATTGTCTAATCCAATACTGGGCTAGATCAAGAGGTTCCTGGTAATTTTTGAAGGGGCTAGAGGAGCAGATGGTGTGAACTTTCAAAGCTGACCAGCTAGAGGTCTTTTTAAAGACAGGATCCCACAGTTGGGATAAATACTGGAAATGGAATAAAAATTGAGCAGGTTAGAGACATAGAGATGAAGGAAGAGAAGGTTCAGATAAAATTGGAGGAGGAACCAGGATACCTCAAAAATCAAGCTACTGCGTTTTTAAACACAACACAAAAGCAGAAGAATGAGCTCAGTGAGGTTAGAACCACACCATCTTCTAAAAGCTCAAGAAAACAAATTTTATGTAAAACAGCACAATAGAAAAAGATTGATGCTGCTATAGTTGTGTTTTTAGAAAAAAAAGGGTTGAGATAAAGTCTCATACACAATTACTGTAAGAAAAAAGAGAATGAGGTAGAGAATAATCCCCTTATACAGGCTGAGCATCCCGAATTTGAAAATCTGGAACCTGGAATGCTCCAAAATACAAAATATTCTGAGCACTGACGTGACACTCAAAGGAAATGCTTACTGGAGCATTTTGGATTTTGGATTTTCAGATGTGGGTTGCTCAACTGGTAAAGAAAATGCAAATATTCCGAAATCCAAAAACTTTGAAATCCAAAACACTTCTGTTCCCAAGCATTTCAGATAAGAGATACTTAACCCGTAGATAATGAAAGCCCACCACAAAGACATGCCCACAAAACAGGGAGAGACTGTAGCATATGACTTTAAAACAAGCCAGATGTTTAAGAAAGTGATACAAGATAGGAAAGAACAGAAGTGAAAAGACAAAACTCAGGAAAGAACTAGAAATAAAAATTTCAAAAATAAAGACTAAAATAGACTAAGCAATTAATTGCAACAGATAATAGCTTAAGAGAAGTATAGGATTAAATGTAGGAAATTTTTTAAATCAATAAGAAATGAAGACATGAAAAGGTTTCAAGAGAAAATGATGAACATCGAAGATGGGGAAAAAAAAATCCAGTGTAATGACAATAGGAGCCCCTGAATTTGAAATAAAACAGACACAAAGCAAAGGAACAGAACAAATGCTAAAGTGTATAATCCAAGAAAAGTTACCTGAAACAAAAGATTTGGAACTATACGTTGAAAGAGCACACATTGCATACCTGAGAATATGGAGTTTGAACAATAAACACCAAAACATATTCTAGTAAAATTATTGGATTTTAAAGGAAAGAGGGGGTGAAGGAAACTAAGTATCAATGCAATGTGGCTTATAAGAAGATAATCACTTATCATCAAACTTTGCTATGGTAATATGTTATGCCAAAAGAAAATAGAGTTACATATTTAAGATACTTCAGCAAAGAAAATGTAAACCAAGAATTTTAGATCAGAAAAATTGACTTTCAAGTATAAAGGACATAGACAAATTCATCAATATTCAAAAACTTGGGGAATATTGTTTCCAAGAGCCCTTCCTTAGTAATTTACTAAAGAATAGGTTTCAGCCAACCAAAATGATTAGAGAAGCATCAACATTAGGACTGAAGATGAGCATTAAATATGTAGTTATTTGTAGAACTAATATTAATTGTGGTTTAGCAGAGAGAATATAGTATATAATGAATGCATCATCTGACAGTGAAGATAGAGTATGACTAAAAAATGGGAGACAATGGGGAAAGCCAAGATAAAAAGTTTCAAAATCATTTTCAGTAATCAACTTAGTGGCAACAGTATTAGTAGTGTTATTCTGAGACTTGTATGTCTGTAATACAGGATAAGGCAATTGAGTAATTATGGGACAGTTTATTTCTGTCATCTCCTGTGTTCTTAAGAACCAGGATACTCATGGAGGAGAGAACCCAGGACTTCTTTGAGAAATAACCAATTCCAGGTCTAGGGCAGGAGGTACACAAGATGAACCATGATTATCTTGTCATAGACATTAGCAAGGAAGCTATCAAAGACTACTGGGGTCATGTCAAAAGTCTCAGGAGACTATGTGAAGAGTCCTACTGGCCAAAGATGGGACAGTTTGAGCTCCAATAAGAAGAATAATTGCCATGTATTGAAACTCATTAAATAATCTGTGAGGTTTTACTACTGGCCAAAGATGGGACAGTTTGGGCTCCAGTAAGAATAATAATTGCAATGTATTGAAATTCACCAAATAATCTATGAGGTTTTAATGATACCCCAAAACAAACTGTCCACTTTTGGAGGATGATAAGGAGCTAATCCTTTATCTTGATAATTAGTAAATTAAGGGAAAGAGTCAAGCATTACTGACCTTATGTGAACTGCAATACTGAGTAAGCATATAGTAGGTGAGGGGAAACATCTTTTTATAGATGTGTCCCCCTTAATAAATGAAAAAGAAATGATAGAATATCACAGTTTTTCAATGCCCAAAGAAGTTATTGATCTAGGCACTGAGCATCAATGAAAAGAGAGACAACCAGAAATTATGTGCCGTCTATAAAAGAACAGCACCTCTAATCTTGCCAAAGAGATCAGGAAATATGGAGGCCAGAGGGATATGCTGAACTGTACCATGAGCGTGCACTCAGCAAAATCCAGACTGGGAGATTTTACAAGTCAAACTCCCCAGGTTCTTTAACAGATAAATTGTAAGGAAAGAAAAAGGAATGGGAGACTTAAAAGATACACCAAAAGTTTAAAAATTTATAAAATGGCAAGACGACTTATTAGTTCTAGGGATGGATGCATGAATTTTTATCTATAAAGAAATGCAAGGTATTAATTACTATAAAAATTTGGATAGTGGTTAATTTTGGGTGGAGGGAGGGAGTTGTAATTGGGATGTGGGACATGTGAGGGGCTTCTGGGATGGCAGAGTTCTATTTCTTGACCTAGGTGGTAGTTACAGGGATATTGGCCTTGAAATAATTTATTACACTATATATTTGTTCATGTGGTTCTATATGTGTGTTTATTTTGCAATAAAAAGGTTAAAAATATACTCTTCTTATCTTTAGGATAAATAACACATTTCCTTCTTGGGGGTGAAAAGGTTAGCATAAACATAATGTGGTATCAGAGGCAGTCGAGGTGGTGGGATACCACAATTAATGCTTAAAATGTGTCAGATCCACTTGGCACCACTTCTGTGAACATGTTGGTATGGCAGTGAATTCCACACCACAAATCCAGAGATTGGTTATGGACTGTGGAACATCATGTTAGGTATAGGACTTGGCAGGGGTCAGGGAAAGAGACAAATTGAGGAGCCTAAACCCTCTGTTTGCCTCCCTGATGCCATAAGGGTCACTAAGCATGTATCCTGGTTTAGGGACCTGGTTTGCAAGCCTAGGGGATGTTCTGTGATGGGCAGACTTTGGAGTTATACAGATTTGGGTTCAAGCCCCAGCTTCCTACCTTATTACTAACTGAGAATTTGGACAAATTACTTAAGCTCTCTGTGGTTTGTCTGCAACATTTGTAAAATGATATAATTAATATACAACTTACAGGGTGGTGGTACAGCCATTGAAAATAACATGTATGAAAGCCCCTGGTTAACTGTGAAACTGAGAAATTATTAACACTTCTGGGAACTCCACTGAAGGTGCCGGGAAAGATGTGAGAGAGCCCTGATCTCTCACCTCTGGCTAACCTTGAGGCTCTGTGCAAGCAGGAAATGAAGGCTGAGGCAGAGTGGTAAGTTGCTAGAGCATTGAACATGTGGAAATGCTGTAGGAAAGCTTATAAAAAAAGACAAACAAACAAACAAAAAAAACCCAGGCAACATAGTGAGACCCTGTCTCTGTGGGGAAAAACAAACAAACAAACAAACAAAAAAAACAGGCATGGTGCCATGTGTCTATAGTCCCAGCTGCTCAGAAGTCTGAGGTAAGAGGATTGCTTGAGCTCAGGAGGTCAAGGCTGTAGTGAGCCATGATTGCACCACTGCACTCCCAGCTGGATGACAGAGTGAGACGTTGTCTCTTATTAAAAGACAACAAATAAATGCTGGTGAGGATGTGGAGAAAGGGGAACTCATACATTGTTGGCAGGAATGTAAATTAGTACAGCTGTTATGGACAACATTATGGAGGTTCCTCAGAAAATTAGAACTACCATATGATTCAACAATCCCACTACTAAGTATATAGCCAAAGAAAATGAAATCTGTATATTGAAGAGATATCTGCAATCCCATGTTTATTGTAACACTGTTCTGAATAGCCAAGATATGGAATCAACCTAAGTGTTCATCAATGGATGAATGGATTTTAAAATGTGCTATATATACACAATAGAATACTATTCATATGTAACAAAGGACAAAATCCTGTCATTTGCAGCAATGTGGATGAACTTAGAAGACATTATGTTAAGTGAAATAAGCCAAGCACAGAAGAACAAATACTACATGATCTCACTCATGTGGAATCTAAAAAAGTTGACTCATAGAGGTAGTATATTAGTTAGTTTTTGCATTGCTATAAAGAAATACCTGAGGCTGGGTAATTTATAAATAAAAGAGGTTTTATTTTGGCTCATGGTTCTGCAGGCTGTACAGGAAGCATAGTACCAGCATCTGCTTCTGGTGATGCTGGCACCAGATGCTTGGGAGGATTGCTTGAGCCTGAGTGATGATCTGTGATCACACCTCTGCACTCCAGCCTGGGTGACAGAGCAAGACCCCATACCAAAACAACAAAAACAAAACCCCACCCCACCCCACCCCCAAAAAAACCCAAGGTCTGTTCTATTGCCTCTGCAACCAAGGAGCAGGGTTTCACATTGGGAATGTAAGCTGGTGCAAGGGGTGGGCTCCCGGGGCCTTGGGAAGCTCCACCCCAGTGGCTTTGCACAGTGCACTCCCTGTGTCTGCTCTCATGGGTTGGAGTTGAGTACTTGCAGCTTTTCTAGGCTTAGGATGTAAGCTGCTCATGGCTCTATCATTCTTGGGTCTGGAGAGCAGTGGGTCCCTTCCCAGAGCTCCACTAGGCAGTGCCCTAGTGGAGACTGTGTGGGGGCTCTAGCCCCAAATTTCCTCTTTGCACTGCTTTAGTAAAGGTTCTCTGTGAGGACTCTGGCCCTATAGCAGGCTTCTGCCTGGACACCTGGGCTTTCTTGTACATCTTCTGAAATCTAGGGGAAAGCTGCTAAACCTCCATCACTCTTGCATTCCCTAAGCCCACAGACTTAACACCATGTGGAAGCCACCAAGGCTTGCAGCAGCTTGTGCTCTCCAAAGTCATGGCCCCAGCAATATGGGTTCCAGAGCAGACCTTATTTGAGCTAAGACTGGAGCTGGAGAAGCCAGGATGTGGGGAGCAGTGTCCCAAGGCTGCTCAGGGCAGCAGGGCCCTGGGCCTGGCCCCAGAAATCATTCAGTCCTCTTAGGCCCCTGGGCCTGTTATGAGAGGGGCTGCCTTGATCTCTGAAATGCCTTCAGGGCCTTTTCCCCATTGTCTTGGTTATTAGCACTTAGCTCCCTTTCAGTCATGCTAATCTCTCTAGCAAGTCATTGCTTCATAGCCTGCTTGAATTTCTCTCCTGATAGGGCTTTCTCTGTCTCTGGCAAATGGCGAGTCTGCAAATTGTCCAGACTTTTATACTGTGCTTCCCTTTTAAATATAAGTTCCAACTTTAACCTCTCCTTTCCTCCCATATCTGATCATAGGCTGTTAGAAGCAGCCAGGACACATCTTGAACATTTTGCTGCTTAGAAATTTCTTCCGCTAGATTCCCTAAGTCATCACTCTTATGTTCAGCTTTCCACAAAGCCCTAGGATATGGAAACAATGCAACCAAGTTCTTTGCTAAGGGATAACAAGGGTGACCTTTATTGTAGTTCTCAATAGACTCCACATTTCCATCTGAGACCTCATCAGCCTGGGCTTCACTGTCCATGTCTTTATCAGCATTTTGGTCACAACCATTTAACCAGTCTCTAAGAGGTTCCAAACTTTTCCTCGTCTTCCTGACTTCTGAGACTTCCAAGCTCTTCCATTCTCCCTGTTACTTAGTTCCAAAGCTGCTTCCACATTTTCAGGTACCTTTATATCGGTACCACACTTCTGGTACCATTTTCCCATATTAGTTTTTGTGTTGCTGTAAAGAAATACCTGAGGCTGAGTAATTTATAAAGAAAAGAGGTTATATTTTGGCTCATGGTTCTGCAGACCATAAAAGAAGTATGGTGCCAGCATCTGCTTTTGGTGAGGGTCCCAGGAAGCTTACATGGTAGAGGGCAAAGGGGAGCCAGCATGTCACATGGTGAGAGAGAGAGCAAGAGAGAGAGGGGGGAACTGCCACACACTATTAAACAACCAGATCTCATGTAAACTCAGAGTGAGAACTCACTTATCACCAATGGAATGGTGCTAAACCATTCATAAGGGATCTGCTCCCACGATCCAGTCAACTCCTGCTGGGCCCCATCTCCAACACTGGGAACCACATTTCAACATGAGATTGGGAGGAGACGAACATCCAAACCGTATTATGTCAATAGTGGTTGCTAAAGGCTGGGAAGAGCAGGGGGGAAGGAGAGGAGCAGAGGTTGGTTAATGAGGTACAAAGTTACAGTTAGATAGGAGGAATTAATTTTGGTGTTCTGTGCAATAGGGTGATGATATTTAGCAATATGCGTTGTATACTTCAAAATAGCTAGAAGAGAGGACTTTGAATGTTCTTATCACAAAGAAATGGCGTGTTTGAGGTGATGAATATGCTGATTACCCTGATTTGACATTACACATTGTATATATGTCTTGAAATATCATACTGTACCCCATAAATACATACAATTATTATATGTCAATTAAAAACAAAATAAACGTTAAAAAACAAAACACAATCTATAAAAAAACTGATTGCAAACATTATACTTAATGATGAGAAACTTGATGCCTTCCTACGAAGATCAGGAACAAGAAAAGGATGCTTACTTTCACCACTCCTATTTAACATCATACTGGAAGTCATGGCTAATGCAATAAAACAAGAAAAAGAAATAAACATGTAAAGACTGGAAAGGAAGAAATAAAACTGTCTTTGTTCACATATATATTTTAAAAGTTAGGAAAGTTTTGTTATATTTTCTTTTTTTTTTTTTTGAGACAGAGTCTTGCTCTGTTGCCCAGGTTGGAGTGCAGTGGGGCCATCTTGGCTCACTGCAAGCTCCGCCTACCAGGTTCACGCCATCCTCCTGCCTCAGCCTCCTGAGTAGCTGGGACTACAGGTGCACGGTGCCATGCCCGGCTAATTTATTTTTGTATTTTTAGTAGAGACGGGGTTTCACCATGTTAGCCAGGATGGTCTCGATCTCCTGACCTTGTGATCTGCCCGCCTCGGCCTCCCAAAGTGCTGGGATTACAGGCATGAGCCACCGTGCCCAGCCAGTTTTGTTATATTTTCACTGCCTTGTCCACTCCCCTCCCCAGCATGGTGATGATCCTGAAGACAGCAGCTCACATTCCTAATGTAGAACCCTGGTCCTTGGTTCCAGAGCAGACTTTATTTGTTTGTTTGTTGAGATGGGGTCTTGCTCTGTTACCCAGGCTGGAGTGCAGAGGCGTGATCACAGATCGTTGCAGCCTCAGCTGCTTGGGCTCAAGCAATCCTCCCACCTCAGCCTCCTGAGTAGCTGGGACCATAGGCATGCACCATCATGCCCAGCTAATTTTTGTATGTTTTGTAGAGATGGGGTCTCGCTATGCTGCCCAGGCTGGTCTCAGACTCCTGGGCTCAAGTGATCCACTCACCTTGGATCTCCCAACAGTCATGAGCCACCATGCACTAACCCAGACCTTGTTCTTAAAGAATTGTATTGGTCCATTTTGACCTGAGAGCCAGGTGAAGGACTGATGGAAGTTGACTGCTTTTGTTTCACCTAGCTTGGAATTTTCTCAAAGCAGAAAGGTGGCTATAGAGAGGGAATTTCTTACAAACATTAAAAGGCATGTGAACAGTCTATTGCTGCCTGGGGCAAAAAAAGTTAAAGCAAACAACGGACATACTGAAGTGTAGGAAGAAAGGCCTAGAAGGGAGATTCTTTGGATAAGTAGGACATTGAGAAGCTCCGGTGTATATGGAGAAATTTAGAAAGCATTCATGCCCAAGGCAGGACGAATGTTTCAAAAAGACCTAAGGTCTCAAGATTTCACCTTTAGCTGATCTTTAGGCTCAGTAAAAACTGGAAGTTAGGGGTAATGTAGAGTTGTAAATGGCTTTGCTAAGCCCTGAAAGAGTACCCCAACACAGAGCCAATCTAAAAAATCTAGGAGAACTTTTCTTCCTCCCTCCCTCCCTCCCACCCTCATTTCCCACCCTTCCCTCCCTCCTTTCCTACCCTTCCCTCCTTTTCTTCTTTCTTTTTGAGACAAAGTCTTACTCTGTTGTCTGGGCTAGAGTGAAGTGACATGATCATAGCTCACTGCAGCCTTAAACTCCTGGACTCAAGGGATCCTCCTGTCTCAGCCTGCTGAGTAGCTAGGACTACAGACATATATCACCATGCCCAGCTAATTTTTTAATTTTTTGTAGAGATGGGGTCTCACTATGTTGCCTAGGCTGGCCTTGAACTCCTGGCCTCAAGAGATCCTCCTGCCTGGGCCTCCCGAAGCACTGGGGTTACAGGCATGAGCCACCATGCCTAGCCTATCTTCTTCCTTTCCTTTTTCTCTCCTCTCCTTTATTCTCCTTTCTCTTTTTTTCTTTCCCTCCTCCCTCCCTCCCTCCTCTCTTCCTTCCTTCCCTCCCTCCTTCCCTCCTTCCCTCCTTCCTTTCCTCCTTTCTTTTTTTCTTTCTTTCTTTTTTTTTTTTTTTTGAGATGGAGTCTTGCTCTGTCACCAGGCTGGAGTGCTGTGGTGTGATCTTGGCTCACTGCAACCTCCAGCTCCCTGGTTCAAGTGATTCTCCTGCCTCAGCCTCCCGAGTAGCTGGGATTACAGGCATGCACCACCACACCCAGCTAATTTTTGTATTTTTAGTAGACATGGGGTTTCACCATGTTGGCCAGGATGGTCTCAATCTCCTGACCTCATGATCCTCCCTCCTCAGCCTCCCAAAGTGCTGAGATTACAGGTGTGAGCCACCACGCCTGGCCCCTTTCCTCCTTTCTTTATCAGACAGTCTCACTCTGTTGCCTGGGCTTGGGTGCAGTGACATGATTATAGCTCAATCAGCCTTAAACCCTTGGACTCAAAAGATCCCCACATATCAGCCTCCTGAGTAGCTAGGACTACATGCATACACCACCATGTCCAGGTAATGAAAAAATGTTTTTTGTAGATACAGTATCTCACTATGTTGCTCTCAAACTCCTGGCCTCAAGAGATTCTCCTGCCTTGGCCTCCCAAAGCACTGGGATTCAGGCATGAGTTACAATGCCTGGCCTTTCTCTCTCTCTCTTGCTCTCTTTTTCTTATTTCTTTTTATTTTTCCTTTTTCTTTCTTCCTCTTTCCTCCCTTCCTTCTTTTGTTTCTTCTTTCCCTCTTCTTCCCTTCATTTTTTCCCCAAACCCTCTCTCTCTCTCCCTTTTTTCCTTCTTTCTTTTTGCTTGAGACATTTAAGAAAATCTCTGTTGGCCGGGCACAGTGGCTCATGTCTGTAGTCACAGCACTTTGGGAGGCCCAGGCAGGCAGATCACTTGAGGTCATGAGTTCGAGACCAGCCTGGCCAACATGGTGAAACCCTGTCTCTAATAAAAATACAAAAAAATTAGCCAGGCATGGTGCCTGTAATCCCAGCTACTTGGGAGGCTGAGGTAGGAGAATTGCTTGAAGCTGGGAGGCAGAGGTTGCAGGGAGTTGAGATTGTGCCACTGCACTCTAGCCTGGGTGACAGAGTGAGACTCTGTCTCAAAAAATAAATAGAAAGAAAATCCCTGTCAAAACACTAGTTGACCAGAAAGTGAAGAAATAGAGACTTCAGAGATCACACACAACAAAGAATATAGTTCTTTGCAAAAATAGTTTAGAAAAGTCACTAAACAAGTAAATACAACTCACATAAAGCAACAAAAACAAACCATGAGGAGGGGGAAGAATTTGATTTCCAAACTTACCACGTTGCAATATTTAAAACATTTGGTTTTCAACAAAATATTATAAAGCAATCAAAGAAACAAAAATGTCTGACTTATACAATGAACAGAAACTCTTCCTGAGGAAACCCAGTCATTGGAATTACTAGACAAAGGCTTTAAAAATAAATGCTCAAAGAGGCCAGGTGCGGTGGCTTCTGCCTGTAATCCCGGCAATTTGGGAGGCTGAGGTGGGTGGATCACTTGAGGTCAGGAGTTGAAGACCAGCCTGGCCAATGTGGTGAAACATTGCCTCTACTGAAAATACAAAAATTAGCCAGGCTTGATGGCAGGGCCTGTAATCCCAGCTATTTGGGAGACTGAGGCAGGAGAATTGCCTGAACCCAGGAGACGGAGGTTATCTAGGGGGATTCAGTAACAGATTTGAGTAAATAGAATAAAGAATTGGTGAACTTGAAGACAGGTCAGTTGAACTTGTTCACTTTGAGAAGCAGAAAGAAAAAATGATGATAAATGAACAGAGCCTATGAGAACTGTGGGACACCATAAAACATACTAATATACACATAATAGGGGTTCCAGAAGGAGAGGAGAAAATAAGGCAGAAATAATATTTAAAGAAATAATGGCCCCAAATTCCCAAATTTGATGAGAGACATGAATATATACATCCAAAAATTCCAATGAATTCCAAGAAGGAGAAACATAAAAAGAGCCACACTAAGACATGTAATCAAACTGTCAAAAGCCAGAAATAAAGTGAGAATCTTGAAAACAGCAAGGGATAAGCAAGTTGTCACATACAAGAAACCTCAATAAGATTAACAGCCGATTTATCCTCAGAAACTATGGAGGCCAAAACACAGTGAAAAGCCATGTTTAAAATATAAAAGAAAAAATACTGTCAATGAGAAATACTGTATTCAGCAAAATTATCCTTCAAAAATGAAGGGGAAATAAAGACTTCCAGATAAACAAAAATGAGAGGGTTTGTTGCTAGTAAACCTGCCCTCAAAAAAATGATAAAAGTTGTTTTGTAGGTGGAAATGAACAAGACAGTAACTTGAACTCATACAAAGAAATAAAGAACTTGGGTAAGGCAACTGCATCAGTAAATACAAAAGCTAGTGTTATTGTGTATTTTGATTTGTAACTCTTTTTAAAAATATATGGTTTAAAATACCAATGTTATAGTTAATGGGCACACATGTTTGAAGGAGTAGTTTATAATCACAAAAACATGAAGGGAGAGAGATGAAGCTGTATAGAGCAGAATTGTTATATACTATTGAAGCTAAGGTTGTGTTAATTAAAAATAGATTGTTATAAATTTAAGAGGTTAATTATAATCCAAAGGGTAAGCACTAAGGGAACAACCAAAAAAACTGTACAGAAAAGGAAATGAGAAAGGAATCAAAATGGCACAGTACAAAAAAATCAGGTATATATGCAAAAAGGCAGTAATGGAGGAATTGAGGAACAAAAATATATGACATATAGAAAACAAATAGCAAAACAGCAGAAGTGTGTCCTTTATCTGTAATTACTTTAAATATAAATGGATTAAACTCTCCAATTAAAAGGCAGAGATGAACAGATTTTTAAAATCCCATTCATATGTTGTCTACAGGAGACTCACTTTAGATTCAAAGGTACAAATAGTCATGACCAGCCTGGCCAACATGGTGAAACCCCATCTCTACTAAAAATACAAAAATTAGCCAGGTGTGGTGGTGCACGCCTGTAGTCCCAGCTACCCAGGAGGCTAAGGCATGAGAATTGCTAGAACTCGGTGGCGGAGGTTGCAGTGAGCTGAAATTGCACCACTACACTGCAATCTGGGTGACAGAGTGAGACTCTGTCTCAAACAAATGAAGAAACAAACCAAAGATACAAATAGGTTGAAAGTGAAAGGATGGAAAAAGATATTCCAAACAAATAGAAACCAAAAGATAGCTGGGGTGGCTATACTAATATCAGACAAAATAGATAGTAAGGCAGAAACTGCTCTAAGAGAAAAGGAAGGACATTATATTGACAAAGGGATCAATTCATCAGGAAGATAAAACAATTTTTCTCTAGTACACAAGGATCACTCTCCAGGATAGATTATATATTAGACCATACAACAAATCTCAATAAATTAAAATATTGAAATCAAAGCAATCCTAAGCAAAAAGAAAAAGTCTGGAAGCATCACATTATCCAACTCCAAATTATACCACAAGGTTATAGTAACCGTAACAGCATGGTACTGGTATAAAAGTAGATGCATAGATGCAGTGGAAAAGAATAGAGAACCCAGAAATAAGGCCAAATACTTAGCAACCAACCCATATTCAAAGCATACAAAAACATAAATTGGGGAAAGGACACCCTATTCAATAAATGGTGTGGGGAGAACTGGTTAGCCACATGTAGAAGAATGAAACTGGATCCCTGTCTCTCACCATATACAAAAATTAACTCAATGGAATAAAGACTTACATCTAACACCTGAAACCACAAAAATTCTAGAAGGCAACCTGGGAAAAACTCTTCTGGACATTGGCCTAGGCAAACAGTTTATGATTGAGACCCCAAAAGCAAATGCAACAAAATTGTATAAATGGGACCCGATTCAACTAAAAAGCTTTTGCAAAGGAAATAATCAGAGTAAGTAGACAACATACACAATGGGAGAAAATATTTGCAAATTATGCATCTGACAAAGGAATAATATCCAAAATCTACAAGGAACTCAAAGAAATTAGAAAGAAAAACAAATCCCATTAAAAAATGGGCAAAGGCTATAAATAGACTTTTATCAAAAGAAGATACACAAATGGCCAACAAACATTTGAAAAAATGCTCCATATGACACTAATCAGCATGGAAATGTAAATTAAAACCACAATGACATACCACCTTACCCCAGCCAGAATAGCCATTATTAAGAAGTCAAAAAGCAACATAGATGTTGGTGTGGTTGTGGTGAAAAGGAAATGCTTATACATTGCTGGTAGGAAGCTAAATTAGGACAACCTCTATGGAAAACAGTATGGAGATTTCTCCAAGAACTAAAGGTGTATCTACCATTCAATCCAGCAATCCCACTACTGACTATCTCCCCAAAGGAAAAAAAAATCACTATATCAGACACCTGCATGCATTTTTTTTTTTTTTGAGATGGAATCTGGCTCTGTTGCCCAGACTGGAGTGCAGTGAGAGGCACGATCTCAGCTCCCTGAAACCTCTGCTCTCAGGTTCAAGTGATTCTCCCGCCTCAGCTTCCCGAGTAGCTGTGATTACAGGCATACGCCACCACGCCTGGCTAATTTTTGTATTTTTAGTGGAGACGGGGTTTTGCCATGTTGGCCAGGCTGGTCTTGAACTCCTGGCCTTGAGTGATCTGCCCACCTCAGCCTCCCAAAGTGCTGGGATTACAGTCATGAGTCACTGTGCCAGGTCTGCATGCATATGTTTATTGCAGTGCAATTCACAGTTGTAAAGAATTGGTATCAACCTAAGTGCCCATCAACCAATGAGTGGATAAAGAAAATGTGATATATATACACGATGAAATACTACTCAGCCATTAAAAAAGAACAAAAGAATGTCTTTTGCAGCAACTTGGATGGAATTGGAGGGTATTATTCTAAGTGCAGTAACTCAGGATTCAAAAACCAAATACTGCATATTCTCACTTATAAGTGGGAGCTAAACTGTGGGTATGCAAAGGCAAACAGAGTGGTATAATGGACATTGTGGGGAGACAGTGAACTCAGAAGGGGGAGGTTGGGAGGAGGGTGAGGGACAAAAAACTACCTATTGGGTTCAATGCACACCTACATGGGTGATGGGTGCATCCAAGTAGTGTACATTGCACCTAATAGGTAGTCTAAAGTCCCAGACTTCCCTGCTACACAATTCACCCATGTAACCAAAAACCATGTGTACCCCTAAAAGTATTGAAATAGGCCAGGGGCAGTGGCTCACATCTGCAATCCCAGCACTTTGGAAGGCCAAGATGGGAGGATCACTTAAGTCCAGGAATTTGAGATTAGCCTGGACAACATAATGGGACCCCCATCTATTAAAAAAAAAAAAGAGTGGTGATGTATGCCTGTAGTCCTAGCTGCTTGGGAGGCTGATGTGGGAGGATCACTTGAGCCCAGGAAGTCAAGGGTGCAGTGAGCCATGACTGTGTCACTGCACTCCAGACTACGTGATAGAGCAAGATCTTGTCTCAAACAAACAAACTGACAAAATCCCCCCAAACAAAAAACAATTGAAATTTTAAAAAAATTTAAAAAGAAACACACACACAAGAAACACACACACACAGCCATATATATATACATATATAATGAATTCTACCAGTCACTTAAATATATATATACATAAAATTAGACAAAGTATCTTCACTGACAGCAATGAAACGGAACTACAGAGGAAAACTACATTTTTCAAATATGTGTAAATTAAACAGCATACTCTTTTTTTTTTTTTCTGAGATGGAGTTTGGCTCTTGTTGCCCAGGCTGGAGTGCAATGGCACAATCTCAGCTCACTGCAACCTCTGACTCCTGGGTTCAAGCGATCCTCCTGCCTCAGCTTTCTGAGTAGCTGGGATTATAGGCATGTGCCACCACACCCAGCTAATTTTGTATTTTTAGTAGAGACACGGTTTCTCCATGTTGGTCAGGCTGGTCTCGAACTCCTGACCTCAGGTGATCCACTCACCTCGGCCTCCCAAAGTGCTGGAATTACAGGCGTGAGTCACTGTGCCTGGCCTTAAACAGCATACCCTTTTTTTTTTTTTTTTTTTTTGAGATGAAGTCTTGCTCTGTCTCCCAGGCTGGAGTGCAATGGCACAACCTCAGCTCACTGCAACCTCTGCCTCCCGGGTTCAAGCAATTCTCCTGCCCCAGCCTCCTGAGTAGCTAGGATTACAGGTGCATGCCACCGCGCCCAGCTAATTTTTGTATTCTTTAGTGGAGACGGGGTTTTGCCATGTTGGCCAGGCTGGTCTCGAACTCCTGACCTCAGGTGATCCACCTGCCTCAGCCTCCCAAAGTGCTGGGATTATAGGCGTGAGCCACCATGCCCAGCCAACAGCATACTCTTAACTAATGGGTCAGAGAAGAAATCACAAGCGAAATTAGAAAATATAAGATGAAAATAAAAAACATAACAAAACTCATAGGATGCAGTGAAAGCAGTGCTCAGAGGGAAATTTATACCTATAAATGCTTGACATTAGAAAAGAAGAAAGGTCTCAAATCAGTAACCTAACTTTATGCCTTAAGGAACGAGAAAAAGAAGAGCAGATAAAGCTAGCAGAAGGAAGGAAATAACAAAATACTAGAACGAGATAAACAAAATAGAGGGTAGAGGAACAATAGAGAAAATGAACAAAATCAAAAGTTGGTTCTTTAAAAAGATCAACAAATTGACAAGCCTTTAGCTAGATTGACTAAGAAAATAAGACTCAAATTACTAATGTCAGAAATGAAATTTGGGACATTTCTACTGATCTTATAGAAGCAAAAAGGGTTATAGGAGAATACTATAAGCAATTATATGCCAACAAGTTAAATAATCTAGATGAAATGGACAGCACACAATTGACTTAAGAAGAAATAGAAAACTGACCCATCAGAACAGATAACAAAAGGTTGAATCAGTAATCAAAAACCTCCCAACAAAGAAAATCTCAGGACCAGGTAGTTTCACATGTGAATTCTACCAGTCATTTAAGGAAAGATTAACACCAATTCTTCCCAAACTCTACCAAGAAATAGAAGAGGGAAGACTTCTGAGCTCATCCATGAGACCAGCACAAAACATCATTAAGTAAAGAAAACTATAGACAGATATTCTTTAAGAATATAGATACAAAAATTGTCATTGAGAGAGTAACAAACTGGAGCCAGAAGCATACTTAGCAGGATTATACACCACGATCAAGTGGGATTTATCTCAAGAAAGCAAGGGTGATTCAAAATACAAAAATCAATCAATGTAATACACCAGTAGAGTGAAGGAAAAAAATTCACCTTAGTTGATGTAGAAAAAGCATTTGATGAAATCCAGCATTCTTTCATTATACAAAAAAAATTAAACTACAAATAGAAAGGAAATTCCTTAACTTGATAAAGGGCATTTATGAAAAAACCCACAGTTAACTTCAGACTTAATTGAGAAAGACGAAAAGCCTTCCCCCTAAAATTAGGAACAAGACTAATATGACTGCTTTCACCACGATTTAACATTGTACTGAAAGTTCTAGCCAGAGTCATCAGGCGAGAAAAAGAAATAAAAGGCATCTAAATTGAAAAGAAAGATGTAAAGCTATGGATATGCCTCAGATATTGTGGATTAAGTTCCAGACCACCACAATAAAGTGAGTCACATGAATTTTTTTGTTTCCTGGTACATATAAAAGTTAAGGTTACATTATACTGTAGTCTGTTAAGTGTGCAATAGCATTAGATCTTAAAAAAGTATATACTTTAATTTAAAAATACTTTATTGCTAAAAAATGCCAACAATCATCTGAGCCTTCAGCAAGACATAATCTTTTTGCTGGTGGAGGGTCTTGCCTTGATGTTGATGGCTGCTAACTGATCAGGATGATGGTTGCTGAAGGCTGGAGTGTCTGTGGCAATTTCTTAAAATAAGACAACAAGGAAGTTTGCCACATCAATTGACTCTTCCTTTCATGAAAGATTTTTCTATAGCAAGTAATGCTGTTTGTTGAAATATTACCCACAGTAGAACTTCTTTCAAAGTTGAAGCCAATCCTCTCAAACCCTGCCACTGCTTTTATCAACGAAGTTTACGGAATATTCTAAATCCTTTCTTGTCATTTCAACAACTTTCATAGCATCTTCGCCAGGCGTAGATTCCATCTCAAGGAACCAGTTTCTTTGCTCACCCATGAAAAGCAACTCCTCATCTCTTCAAGTTTTATCATGAGATTGCAGCAGTTTAGTCACATCTTCAAGCTCCATTTCTAATTCTAGTTCACTTGCTATTTCCACAACATCTGCAATTACTTCCTCCAGTGAAGTCTTGAACCCCTCAAAGTCATCCACGAGGGTTGGAATCAACCTCTTCCAAATTCCTGTTCATGTTGATATTTTGATCTCTTCCTGTGAGTCCTGAATGTTCTTAATGGCATCTAGGATGGTGAATTCTTTCCAGAAGGTTTTCAATTTACTTTACCCAGACCCATCCGAAGAATCACTATGTCAGCTATAGCCTTATGAAATGTATTTCTTAAATAATAAGAGTTAAAAGTTGAAATGACTCCTTGATCAGAATGGATGTTTTATTAGCAGGCCTGAAAACAACTTCTTCATCTTTTTATACATCTCCACCAGAACTCTTAGGTGACCAGGTGCATTGTCAATGGGCAGTAACATTTTGAAAGGAATCTTTTTTTCTGAGCAATAGGTCTCAACAGTGAGCTTAAAATATTCCATAAACCATGCTGTAAACCGATATGCTGTCATCCGGGCTTTGTTATTCCATTTCTAGAGCACAGGCAGAGTAGATTTAGCATCATTCTTAAGGGCTCTAGGATTTTTGGAATAGTCAATGAGCACTGGCTTCAACTTAAAGTCACCAGCTGCATTACCCCCTAACAAGAGAGTCAGCCTGTCCTTTGAAGTTTTGAAGCCAGGCCTTACTTTTCCCCTGTAGCTATGAAAGTCCTAGATGGCTTCTTCTTCAGATATAAGTCTTTTTTATCTACTTTGCACATTGAAAATCTGTGGTTGAGTGTAGCTACTTTCATCAATTCTCTTAGCTAGATCTTCGGGATAAGGCGTTGCAGCTTCTCTATCAGCACTTGTACTTTTATGTTGTGGAGATAAGTTATTTTCTCAAACCTCAAGAACCAACCTCTGCTAGCTTTCAGCTTTTCTCCGGCAGCCTCCTTCTCTCTCTCAGACTTCAAACAATTGAAGAGAATTAGGGCCTTGCTCTGGATTAGGCCTTGGTTTTAAGGAATGTTGTGGCTGGTTTGATCTGTACAGACTGCCAAAACTTTCTCCATATGAGCAATAGGGCTGTTTTGCTTTCTTATCATGTATGTGTTTACTGGAATAACTTTTAATTTTCTTCAAGAACTTTTCCTTTCTATTCCCAACTTGGCTAACTTTTTGGTGCAAGAGGTCTAGGTTTTCAACATGCTTTCCTCACTAAGATTAATTATTTCTAGCTTTTGATTTGAAGTGAGAGACTTGCAACCCTTCATTTCACTTGAACACTTACAGATCATTGTAGGGTTATTAACTGACCTAACTTCAATATTGTTACATCTCAAGGAATAAGGAGGCCCCAGGAGAGGGAGAGAGATGGAGGAATGGCTGGTCAGTGGAGCAGTCCGAACATGCACATTCATTGAGTTTGCTGTATTATATGGATCCAGTTTATGCCATCCCAAGCAATTAAAATAGCGTGAACCCCGAAAATCTGAGACAGGTCTCAGCAAATTTAGAAAGTTTATTTTGCCAGGGTTGAGGATGCATGACTGTGACACAGCCTCAGGAGGTCCTGACGACTTGTGCCCAAGGTGGTCAGAACACAGTTTGGTTTTATACGTTTCAGGCAGACGTGAGACATCATTCAACATATGTAAGATGAACATTGGCTCAGTCTGGAAAGGCGGGACAGCTCAAGCAGGGAGGACTTTCAGGTCCTAGGTAGATAAGAGACAAATGGTTGCATTCTTTTGAGTTTCTAATTAGCGTCTCCAAAGGTGGCAATCAGATATGCATTTATCTCAGTGAGCAGAGGGGTGACTTTGAATAGAATGAGAGGTAGGTTTGCCCTAAGCAGTTCTCAGCTTGACTTCTCCCTTTAGCTTAGTAATTTCAGTGCCCAAGATATTTTCCTTTCACAATAGTAACATCAAAGATCACTGATCACAGATCATCATAACAGATATAATAATAATGAAAAAGTTGGAAATACTGTGAGAATTACCAAAATATGACACAGAAACATGAAATAAGCACACACCGTTGGAAAAATGACACCAATAGACTTGCTTGATGTAGGGTTGCCACGAAAGTTAAATTTGTGAAAAACCTGCAGGATCTGCACAGTGCAATAAAGTGAAGTGCAATAAAACAAGGGATGCCTGTATCTCTATTTGCAGATGACTTGATCTTATATATAGGAAATCCTAAAAGAATCCATATACTCACATACACACAAGAGGTATTAAACAAATTCAGCAAAGTTGCAAGATACAAGATTAACAACAAAATCAATTATATTTCTCTTTTTCTCTGTACTGTATTAGCTGAAAAAAATCAATTGTATTTCTATGCACTATCAATTAACAATCTGAAAAAGAAATTAAGAAAATTATCTTTACAAGAGCATCCAAAAGGATAAAATACCTAGGAAAAAATTTAAGGTGATGAGAGATGAGTACTGAAAACTATAAAACATTGCTGAAAGAAATTAAAGAAGACTTGAATAAATGAAAAGACATCCTGTGTTCATGGAAGAGATTTAATCTTGTTAAAATGGCAATACTTTTCAAAGCAATCTACAGATACAATGCAATTTTTGTCAAAATTCCAATAGTGTTTTTTATTGCTACAGAAATGGAAAAGGAGATCTTCAAATTCATATGGATATGTAAAAGGCCCCAAATAGCTAAAACAATATTGAAAACGAGGAACAAAGTTGGAGGACTTGCACTTTCTGACTTCAAAACTTACTACAAAGATATAGTAATCAAAACAGCATGGTACTAGCAATAGGATAGACATATAGACCAAGGGAATAGAACTGAGAATCTAGAAATAAATTCAAATATCTATGGTCAATTGATTTTTTGATAACGGGGTCAAGACCATTCAATGGGGAAAGAGTAGTAGTCTCTTCAACAAATAGTATTTGGACAACTTGGTATTCACATGCAAAAGACTGAAGTTTGACACCTACCTCACACCGTGCACAAAAACAAACTCAAAATGAATCAACAACCTAAATATAAGAACTAAAACTTTTAGAAGAAAACATAGGGGTAAATCTTCATGACCTTGGATTTGGTAATGGATTCTTACACATGACATTAAGAGTACAGACAACAAAAGAAAAAACAGACAAATTGGGCTTCATTAAATTAAAACATTCATGCATCTAAGGACACTATCAAGAAGGTGAAAAGAGGCTGAGTATGATGGTTCATGCTTGTAGTTTCAGCACTTTGAGAGGCCGAGGTGGGAGGATTGCTTGAGCCCAGTTTGAGTTTGGACCAACCTGATGGAACCTTGTCTACAAAAAATACAAAAATTAGCCAGGTGTGGTGGCATGTGCCTATGGTCCCAGCTACTTGGGAGGCTGAGGTGTGAGGATCGCTTGAGCCTGGGAGGTTGAGGCTGCAGTGAGCCATGGTCATGCCACTACACTCCAGCCTGGATGACAGAGCAAGACCCTGTTTTGAAAAAAAAAAAAAGTGAAAAGACAATCCATAGAATGAGAGAAAATATTTGCAAATTATATATCTGATAAAGAATTGATATCTAGAATATATAAAGAACTTCTACAATTCAACAACAGCATCAACAAAACAAGCAACCCAATCTAAAAATGGGCAAAAGACTTACATAGACATTTCTCCAAAGTAGATATTACAAATGGCCAATAAGCACATGAAAAGATGTTTGACATCACTAGTCGTTAGGGAAATGCAAATGAAAACCACAATGAGATACAATTTCACACCTATTAGAATAGTTATTATTAAAAAAAACAAAAAATGGGGCCGGGTGCAGTAGCTCACACCTGTAATCCTAGCACTTTGGAAGGCCGAAGCGGGTGGATCAGTTGAGATCAGGAGTTCGAGACCAGCTTGGCCAACATGGTGAAACCTCATTTCTACTGAAAATACAAAAATTAGCCAGGTGTGTTGGTGGGCACCAGTAATCCCAGCTACCTGGGGGGCTGAGGCAGGAGAATCACTTGAACCTGGGAGGCAGAGGTTGCAGTGAGACTCAGATCATGCCACTGCACTCCAGCCTGGGCAACAGAGCAAGACTCCATCTCAAAAAACAAACAACAACAACAAATGGACACTAACAAGTGTCGGTGAAGATGTAGAGAAATTAGAACTGCATTGCTTGTGGGAGTGTAACAATGGTACAACTACTGTGGAAAACAGTTTGGCAGTTCCTAAGAAAGTTAAACATAGTATTCCACGATCTGGCAATTCCACTTCTGGGTATATACCCAAAAGATTGTAAAGTGGGGACTCAAACAGATACTTGTATTGTGCATACATGTTCATAGCCGCATTATTCACAATAGGCAAAAGGTGGAAGCAGCCTAAATGCCCATCAACAGATGAATAAACAAAATATGGTAGATGCATACAATGCTATATTATTCATCTTTAAAAAGGAATAGAATTCTATTTTTAAATCAGAAACCAACACATGCTAGAAATAGAATTCTGCATTCTATTCCACGTGCTACAACATGGAATGAACCTTGGAAACATTCCATGAAGTGAAAAAAGCCAGACACAAAGGGACAAATATTGTATGGTTTCACCCATATGAGATACCTAGAATAGGCAAATTCATACCATCAGAGAGTAGACTAGAGATTACCTAGGGTTGCGGGGAGAGGGGAATGAGAACTTATTGTTTATTGGGTACAGAGTTTCCATTTGGGATGATGAAATCCTTCTGGAAATGGTAGTAATAGTTGTACAATATTGTGAATGTGCTTAGTGCCACTGAATTGTACACCTTAAAATGGTTAAAAATGATAGTATCAACAAAATAGTTAAAAAGAAAATATCAATAAAGTCAAAGTTAGATCACAGAAAATAATTATAAAATAAAGAACTTTCTTCATGAGACGATCAAGATAAATAGAAGCCCTAAATTAGGAATTAAAAAGGGAAGTACAGATACGGTAGATATCAGAAGTCTAACAATTTTATGCCAATAAATTTGAAAACCTAGCTGAAATAGATAATTTTCTAAAAAAAATTATAAAACTGATTCTCAATAAGCAAAAACTTGAAATAAACATTATATATCCTTTAATGGCTATAAAGCATTGTCTTAGTTTAAAATTTCTACTGCCCAAAACAAACTAACCTGGACTATATGGTTTACCTGCATGGAAGGTATAATTATAAACATATAAAACTGTCCAGGCGCAGTGGCTCACACCTGTAATCCCAGCACTTTGGGAGGCCAATGCGGGCAGATCACGTGAGATCAGGAGTTCGAGATCAGCCTGGCCAACATGGTGAAACTCCATCTCTACTAAAAATACAAAAATTAGCCAGGCGTGGTGGCAGGTGCCTGTAATCCCAGCTACCTGGGAAGCTGAGGCAGGAGAGTTGCTTGAACCTGGGAGGCGGAGGTTGCAGTGTGCTGAGATTGTGCCACTGCACTCCAGCCTGGGTGACAGATTGAGACTCTGTCTCAAAAAAAACTATAAAAAAGGTGAAAAGTCAATGTGATAAGTCGGTGTGGGAGAAGATATTTGTAACACATATAACAGGCAAAGCATTAGGATTCAAAATGTATAAAGATGTCTTCCTGATCAATAAGAAAAAGACAAAACAATCCAGCAGAAAATTTGGCAAAAGATTAGAAACAGGCAATTCATAATTTAAACATATAAAAATGCCCAACTTTATTAATAGAGAAATGAAAATTTAAAAATAGGATACTATTTCATATTTGTCACATTGATGAAGTCTGATAGTCAAAGTGTTAGCAAAGATGTAGAACAAGAGGAACATTGCTGATATTAAAGTAGATTGGTTCAATAACTTCAGAAAACAATTTGCCAATATATAGTGAAGTTAAGATGTTCATATCCTACAACGCAGTAATTCCACTCCTAGGTATATATCTGAGAGATACTTTAGACATGTGTACAATAAAACATACAAGAATTGTTGTGAGATATCTTAAAAATGTAAATTAGTTCAGATCACTTCCTTCCTCAAAATCCTCTGAGGCTGAGATTAAAATTCAAAGTCCTCACCAGGCCTACAAGGCATGACAGTTTGCTTGTCTAACCACCTCTGCTGCTCTGCTCTCTCTCTCTCTGTTCTAGCCATGCTGACTTTGCTGTTCCTTGAACAGCCTCTTTTTCTCCCTGGGGCTCTTGGACTCACCATTTCTTCACTTCCTCAAAGTGTTCCCCCAGTTTTTATTTTGTCTCAATTCCTGGCTTCAGCGAGACCTCTGTCGACCACCTTTTCTTTCCCTCCCTCCCTACCTCCCTCCCTTCCTTCCTTTCTTTCTTCCTTCCTCTCTGCCTCCTTTCTTTCTTTCCTTCCTCCCTCCCTTCCTTCATCCCTCTCTCTCTCTTTTTCCTTCCTTCCTTCCTTCCAATACATATTAGATGTACATATTTTGGGCTACTTGATACATTCATATAATCAAATCAGGATAATTGCCTTAAATATTTATCTTTTTCTTGTGCTAGGAACATTTGAATTATTCTCTTCTAGTTATCTTGAAATGCACAATAGATTGATGTTAACTATAGTCACTTCACTGATCTATTGAACATTAGGTCTTATTTCTTCTCGGTGTGTATTTGTAACCATTAACCAACCTCTCTTCATCCCCTGCCCTTCCTGGCCTCTGGTAACCACTAGTCTACTCTCTATCTTCATGAGATCCACTTTTTTAGCTCCCACATATGAGTGAGAACATGTGATATTTGTCCTTCTGTGTTTGGTTGCTTCCATCTTTTCTAAAATAGCTGCTAGGACTTCCTCTTCTCCTCCAACCTGGCGAGTCCCTTTATCTTCTTTGGCTGGTTTATTTTCCTTCCTGCCTGACATTATATTCTATATACATTTGTTCCAGCATTTATTTCTGTCTCTCCTACTAGACTGTAAGCTTCCCGGGGGCTGGACGTTTTCTGCCTTACTCATTGTTGCATTTCCCGGTGCCTAAAATGATGTTTGCTTGTTACAGGGTGGGTGCTCAGTCACAGCTCTTCCAGTGAATGAATGGATTTGCATGATAGTCAAGATAAGTCCATTTTGATGGGAAGGAAACACTTAGATGACACAAAGAGTACTTCTTGGTAAAAACAAAGCCATTAGAGTTGTAGATGCATGAAAAGAATTTGAAGAAGATTCGTTCATAAAGTGTAAAAGAATATTCTTCAGAAACAGATTGAATATGTATGATTAAGTTAATAGATTAAACATAAGTAGATATCTGAGTATTTCATCTATATTCCTAAAAGTTTGTATATTCATGTTGGTCAGAAAACTCTTGGGACCTTCCCTTGGGAAACCTTATATTCAGGTTGAGTTGCAGTATGCTAGAGCTTATACAGTCATTCTGTCTGCCAGGCAGTCATTCCCAAGTACCCAGGGTCAGACCCAGCCCCAGGTGTAGGGCCACGGGGTAGGGAGGACAGAGAAGGGGAAGGGAATCAGGCACACTGAGCGTGTGCTGTGTGCCAGAAACTCTGCCTGGGTTTCTCTCTCATGTGGGTGACTTAGGAGCACCCCTTCCGGGGCTCACGCAGGGAGCAGGCCAGAGCTCTAGGGCTGTGCAGCTCGATCTGACTTCTCCAACCCTTGCTACCCCTGTAGTTCTCGGAGATCTTCTTTGTGTCCATCTGCACATCTGAGTTGTCCATGAAGGTCTATGTGGACCCCATCAACTACTGGAAGAACGGCTACAACCTGCTGGATGTGATCATTATCATCGTTATGTTTTTACCCTATGCCCTCCGCCAGCTCATGGGCAAACAGTTCACTTACCTGTATATCGCTGATGGCATGCAGTCCCTGCGCATCCTCAAGCTTATCGGCTATAGCCAGGGCATCCGGGTGAGTGCACTGGGGGTGTCATGGTGCTGGGAGGGCAGGCCGTAGGCCCATTTGCCCCCAAGACACTAAGGAAATAATGACTCTACTACCATCTTCCAGTTGTTGAGTCCAACGTGTGTGGCAGGTTGATCTTTACCAATATTATCTCATTTAATCTTAAAACAATTCTAAGAATGGTATTATTAGCTCCATTTTACAGATGAAGAAATTGAAGCCCAAGGTCACCCAGCGGTGCAATGTCAGAGCTGAGATTTGAAAGGCGTGCCTGACTCCAGAGGCCACGTCTGAACTTTTCCTCTCTCTCATGCTGCAAAGTGCCTGATTTTCTTATGCTATGCATCCTTTGAACTACATGCCCAGGACGCCTTGGCTTTTTGGTGGCCCAGGCCACTAGCTGCTTTCCCCAAACAGCTGAGTCTGCTCTCTTGCTGGAAATAGTCTCTGTGCTTCGTTAAGGTGGCTCTGGAAGGGCTACTCCTGCTGAGAAGTCTTTCTGGGTTGCTGAAAACCATGACCAACACTCCCTTGACTCAGAGGCTTCAGAAAGAACCTCAGGGCTGCCCCCCTGCCTTGAATCGTGCCCTCAGGCACTTGTCCTGTGCACCGTAGGTTCACCTAGCTCTGCACCCAGTGTCCATCCTTCTCCAGGTGGGGGCTGGTCTGGGTTCCCGTGTTCAGTCGGGGTGTGTCGTCCTGTCCTGCCGGAGGCTGCCCCTCGCCTGGGCTTGGGTGGCTGGCCGTCTAGGGCCTGGCCCCACACTCTGGGAGCCCCAGGCCTGGGTAGAAAAGAGAAGGGGAACGTTAGAGGTCTCCCCTGCTGCATACACACCTTTGTTTGTTTCTTGCTGTCATGTAAACAAACGCCTGCCTGTGTGTGTCCCCTCTCAAACAACGCAGTCCAGCCCTCCCTCTCCTTCTCTTCATGGCGAACCTTCTGGGGAAAGGTGTCTGTACTTCCAGTCCCACTTCCCTGTCCGTCATTTATGCCCTAGCTGTTTTCCCTACACTCCAGAATATCTAGCCTCTCTGAAGTTGCCAGCAGCCTCCTTGTCTCCAAATCCAGTGGCCAGTTCCCTTGGCATCCTTGTCACTGCTTTCTCTTGGTTTTCCTCCAGCCTGACTTCTCAGGAGCGTTTATCCTTTGCCTGGCTCATACACGCTGTTTTCTCGGGATGGTCCCTGAGTTCTCCTCCTCTGCTCCCTCTGCACATTCTCTCTGGGTGATCTTTTCCACTTTCCAGGACCCTCCACCTGCCTACCCCTCTCTCTTTGACCTTTAGACCCAGCTGCCCTCTGGGCATCTCACAGGCTTCTCAAATTTGATGTGTCTAAACTGAAGTTGTCACTCACCCCCATCCCCAACCTCAAATCCCAAACCCTGGCTTCCCCTCCAGTATTTCTTTTTTTTGTTGTTTTTTTAAAAATTATTCTTTAAGTTCTAGGGTACACGTGCACAACGTGCAGGTTTGTTACATATGTATACATGTGCCATGTTGGTGTGCTGCACCCATTAACTTGTCATTTACATTAGGTATATCTCCTAATACTATCCCTCCCCGCCACCCCTCCATGACAGGCCCCGGTGTGTGATGTTCCCCTTCCTGGGTCTAAGTGTTCTCATTGTTCAGTTCCCACCTATAAGTGAGAATATGCAGTGTTTGGTTTTCTGTCCTTGTGATAGTTTGCTGAGAATGATCATTTCCATCTTCATCCATGTCCCTACAAACGACATGAACTCATCCTTTTTTATGGCTGCATAGTATTCCGTGGTGTATATGTGCCACATTTTCTTAATCCAGCCTATCATTGATGGGCATTCGGGTTGGTTCCAAGTCTTTGCTATTGTGAATAGTGCCACAATAAACATACATGTGCATGTGTCTTTATAGCAGCATGATTTATAATCCTTTGGGTATATACCCAGTAATGGGATGGCTGGGTCAAATGGTATTTCTAGTTATAGATCCTTGAGGAATCGCCACACTGTCTTCCACAATGGTTGAACTAGTTTACAGTCCCACCAACAGTGTAAAAGTGTTCCTATTTCTCCACATCCTCTCCAGCACCTGTTGTTTCCTGACTTTTTAATAATCGCCATTCTAACTGGTATGAGATGGTATCTCATTGTGGTTTTGATTTGCATTTCTCTGATGGCCAGTGATGATGAGCATTTTTTCATGTATCTGTTGGCTGTGTAAATGTCTTCTTTTGAGAGTGTCTGTTCATATCCTTTGCCCACTTTTTGATGGGGTTGTTTGATTTTTTCTTGTAAATTTAAGTTCTTTGAGATTCTGGATATTAGCCCTTTGTCAGATGGGTAGATTGCAAAAATTTTCTCCCATTCTGTAGGTTGCCTGTTCACTCTGACGGTGGTTTCTTTTGCTGTGCAGAAGCTCTTTAGTTTCATTAGATCCCATTAGTCAATTTTGGCTTTTGTTGCCCTTGCTTTTGGTGTTTTAGACATGAAGTCCTTGCCATGCCTATGTCCTGAATGGTATTGCCTAGGTTTTCTTCTAGTGTTTTTATGGTTTTAGGTCTAGCATTTAAGTCTTTAATCCATCTTGAATTAATTTTTGTATAAGGTGTAAGGAAGGGATCCAGTTTCAGCTTTCTACATATGGCTAGCCAGTTTTCCCAGCACCATTTATTAAATAGGGAATCCTTTCCCCATTGCTTGTTTTTCTCAGGTTTGTCAAAGATCAGATGGTTGTAGTTGTGTGGTATTATTTCTGAGGGCTCTGTTTTGTTCCATTGGTCTATATCTCTGTTTTGGTACCAGTACCATGCTGTTTTGGTTACTGCAGCCTTGTAGTTTGAAGTCAGGTAGCATGATGCCTCCAGCTTTGTTCTTTTGGCTTAGGATTGTCTTGGCAATGCGGGCTCTTTTTTGGTTCCATATGAACTTTAAAGTAGTTTTTTCCAATTCTCTGAAGAAAGTCATTGGTAGCTTGATGGGGATGGCATTGAATCTATAAATTACCTTGGGCAGTATGGCCATTTTCACGATATTGATTCTTCCTATCCATGAGCATGGAACATTCTTCCATTTGTTTGTATCCTCTTTTATTTCACTGGGCAGTGGTTTGTAGTTCTCCTTGAAGAAGTCCTTCACATCCCTTGTAAGTTGGATTTCTAGGTATTTATTCTCTTTGAAGCAATTGTGAATGGGAGTTCACTCATTATTTGGCTCTCTGTTTGTGTGTTATTGGTGTATAGGAATGCTTGTGATTTTTGCACATTGATTTTGTATCCTGAGACTTTGCTGAAGTTGCTTATCAGCTCAAGGAGATTTTGGGCTGAGACGATGGGGTTTTCTAAATATACAATCATGTCATCTGCAAACAGGGACAATTTGACTTCCTCTTTTCCTAATTGAATACTCTGTATTTCTTTCTCCTGCCTGATTGCCCTGGCCAGAACTTCCAACACTATGTTGAATAGGAGTGGTGAGAGAGGGCATCCCTGTCTTGTGCCAGTTTTCAAAGGGAATGCTTCCAGTTTTTGCGCATTCAGTATGGTATCGGCTGTGGATTTGTCATAAATAGCTCTTATTATTTTGAGATACGTCCCATCAGTACCTAATTTATTGAGAGTTTTTAGCATGAAGGGCTGTTGAATTTTGTCAAAGGCCTTTTCTACATCTGTTGAGATAATCACGTGGTTTTTGTCTTTGGTTCTGTTTATATGATGGATTACGTTTATTGATTTGCATATGTTGCGTCCCATAGGATGCAGCCTTGCATCCCAGGGATGAAGCCCACTTGATCATGGTGGATAAGCTTTTTGATGTGCTGCTGGATTCGGTTTGCCAGTATTTTATTGAGGATTTTTGCATTGATGTTCATCAGGGATATTGGTCTAAAATTCTCTTTTTTTGTTGTGTCTTTGCCAGGCTTTGGTATCAGGATGATGTTGGCCTCATAAAATGAGTTAGGGAGGATTCCCTCTTTTTCTATCAATTGGAATAGTTTCAGAAGGAATGGTACCAGCTCCTCCTTGTACCTCTGGTAGAATTTGGCTGTGAATCCATCTGGTCCTGGAGTTTTTTTGGTTGGTAGGCTATTAATTACTGCCTCAATTTCAGAGCCTGTTATTGGTCTATTCAGGGATTCAACTTCTTCCTGGTTTAGTCTTGGGAGGGTGTAGGTGTCCAGGAATTTATCCATTTCTTCTAGATTTTCTAGTTTATTTGTGTAGAGGTGTTCATAGTATTATCGGATGGTAGTTTGTATTTCTGTGGGATTGGTGGTGATAACCCCTTTATCATTTTTTATTGTGTCTATTTGATTCTTCTCTCTTTTCTTCTTTATTAGTCTTGCTAGTGGTCTATCAATTTTGTTGATCTTTTCAAAAAACCAGCTCCTGGATTCATTGATTTTTTTGAAGGGTTTCTTTTTGTCTCTCTATCTCCTTCAGTTCTTATCTGATCTTAGTTATTTCTTGCCTTCTGCTAGCTTTTGAATGTGTTTGCTCTTGCTTCTCTAGTTTTTTTAATTGTGATGTTAGGGTGTCAATTTTAGATCTTTCCTGCTTTCTCTTGTGGGCATTTAGAGCTATAAATTTCCCTGTACACACTGCTTTAAATGTGTCCCAGAGATTCTGGTATGCTGTGTCTTTGTTCTCCTTGTTTTCAAAGAACATCTTTATTTCTGCATTCATTTCGTTATGTAGTCATTCAGGAGCAGGTTATGTAGTCATTCAGGAGCAGGTTGTTCAGTTTCCATGTAGTTGAGCGGTTTTGAGTGAGTTTCTTAATCCTGAGTTCTAGTTTGATTGCACTGTGGTCTGAGAGACAGTTTGTTATAATTTCTGTTCTTTTACATTTGCTGAGGAGTGCTTTACTTCCAACTGTGTGGTCAATTTTGGAATAAGTGCGATGTGTTGCTGAGAAGAATGTATATTCTGTTGATTTTTGGTGGAGAGTTCTATAGATGTCTATTAGATCTGCTTGGCGCAGAGCTGAGTTCAATTCCTGGATATCCTTGTTAACTTTCTGTCTCATTGATCTGTCTAATATTGACAGTGGGGTGTTAAATATTGACAGTGGGGTGTTAAAGTCTCCCATTATTATTGTGTGGGAGTCTAAGTCTCTTTGTAGGTCTCTAAGGACTTGCTTTATGAATCTGGGTGCTCCTGTATTGGGTGCATATATATTTAGGATAGTTAGCTCTTCATGTTGAATTGATCCCTTTACCATTATGTAATGGCCTTCTTTGTCTCTTTTGATCTTTGTTGGTTTAAAGTCTGTTTTATCAGAGACTAGGATTGCAACCCCTGCCTTTTTTTGTTTTCCATTTGCTTGGTAGATTTTCCTCCATCCCTTTATTTTGAGCCTATGTGTGTCTCTGCACGTGAGATGGGTCTCCTGAATACAGCACACTGATGGGTCTTGACTCTTTATCCAATTTGCCAGTCTGTGTCTTTTAATTGGAGCATTGAGCCCATTTACATTTAAGGTTAATATTGTTATGTGTGAATTTGATCCTGTCATTATGATGTTAGCTGGTTATTTTGCTCGTTAGTTGATGCAGTTTCTTCCTAGCCTTGATGGTCTTTACAATTTGGCATGTTTTTGCAGTGGCTGTTACTGGTTGTTCCTTTCCATGTTTAGTGCTTCCTTCAGGAGCTCTTTTAGGGGAGGCCTGGTGGTGACAAAATCTCTCAGCATTTGCTTGTCTGTAAAGTATTTTATTTCTCCTTCACTTATGAAGCTTAGTTTGGCTGGATATGAAATTCTGGGTTGAAAATTCTTTTCTTTCAGAATGTTGAATATTGGCCCCCACTCTCTTCTGGCTTGTAGAATTTCTGCCGAGAGATCAGCTGTTAGTCTGATGGGCTTCCCTTTGTGGGTAACCCGACCTTTCTCTCTGGCTGCCCTTAACATTTTTTCCTTCATTTCAACTTTGGTGAATCTGACAATTATGAGTCTTGGAGTTGCTCTTCTCGAGGAGTATCTTTGTGGTGTTCTCTGTATTTCCTGAATTTGAGTGTTGGCCTGCCTTGCTAGGTTGGGGAAGTTCCCCTGGATAATATCCTGCAGAGTGTTTTCCAACTTGGTTCCATTCTCCCTGTCACTTTCAGGTACACCAATCAGACATAGGTTTGGTCTTTTCACATAGTCCCATATTTCTTGGAGGCTTTGTTCGTTTTACTCTTTTTTCTCTAAACTTCTCGCTTCATTTCATTCATTTGATCTTCAATCACTGATACCCTTTCTTCCAGTTGATTGAATCGGCTACTGAAGCTTGTGCATGCATCGCGTAGTTCTCGTACCATGGTTTTCAGCTCCGTCAGGTCATTTAAGGCCTTCTCTACACTGGTTATTCTAGTTAGCCATTTGTCTAATCTTTTTTCAAGGTTTTTAGCTTCTTTGTGATGGGTTCGAACATCCTCCTTTAGCTTGGAGAAGTTTGATCGTCTGAAGCCTTCTTCTCTCAACTCATCAAAGTCATTCTCCATCCAGCTTTGTTCCATTGCTGGTGAGGAGCTGCGTTCCTTTGGAGGGGGACAGGTGCTCTGATTTTTAGAATTTTCAGTTTTTCTGCTCTGGTTTCTCCCCATCTTTGTGGTTTTATCTACCTTTGGTCTTTGATGATGGTGACTTACAGATGGGGTTTTGGTGTGGATGTCCTTTCTGTTTGTTAGTTTTCCTTCTAACAGTCAGGACCCTCAGCTGCAGATCTGTTGGAGTTTGCTGGAGGTCCACTCCAGACCCTGTTTGCCTGGGTATCAGCAGTGGAGGCTGCAAAACAGCGAATATTGCATAACAGCAAAGGTTGCTGCCTGATTGTTTCTCTGGAAGCTTCATCTCAGAGGGGCACCCGGCCATGTGAGGTGTCAGTCTGCCCCTACTTGGGGGTGCTTCCCAGTTAGGCTACTCGGGGATCAGGGACCCACTTGAGGAGGCAGTCTGTCCATTCTGAGATCTCAAACTCCGTGCTGGGAGAACCACTGCTCTCTTCAAAGCTGTCAGACAGGGAAATTTAAGTCTGCAGAAGTTTCTGCTGCCTTTTGTTCAGCTATGCCCTGCCCTCAGAGGTGGAGTCTACAGAGGCAGGCAGGCCTCCTTGAGCTGCTGTGGGCTCCACTCAGTTTGAGCTTCCCAGCCGCTTTGTTTACCTACTCAAGCCTCAGCAATGGCAGGCGCCCATCCCGCAGCCTCGCTGCTGCCTTGCAGTTCAATCTCAGACTGCTGTGCTAGCAATAAGCAAGTCTCCGTGAGCATGGGACCCTCTTAGCCAGGTGCGGGATATTAATCTCCTGGTGTGCCATTTGCTAAGACTGTTGGAAAAGTGCAGTATTAGGTGGGAGTGACCCGATTTTCCAGGCGCCGTCTGTCACAGCTTCCCTTGGCTAGCAAAGGGAATTTCCTGATTCCTTGTGCTTCCTGGGTGAGGCGATGCCTCGCCCTGCTTCGGCTCTCACTCAGTGGGCTCCACCCACTGTCCTGCACCCGCTGTCCGACAAGCCCCAGTGAGATGAACTCAGTACCTCAGTTGGAAATGCAGAAATTACCCATCTTCTGCGTCACTCACACTGGGAGCTATAGACTGGAGTTGTTCTTATTCAGCCATCATCTCCTCCAGTATTTCGTCTTTTGGTAAAGAGGGGTCCCCCACCCGCATTCAGTTGCCAAGTCATAAATTTGACTGTCAGCTTAGACTCCTCTCTCAAGCTTTGTTGTGTGGCCTCCTCAGTGGTTATTGACTTGTCCACATCTCTTCATTCCTGTCACCATCAGCCTCACCTGGATTCCTGCATTGGCGTCCCACACTACTGGGAGCCCTGGAACAGAAATGCCCGTGTGGGGTGGGGAGGATCTTGAAAGTGCACATCCAATCATAGCATCCTAGGTTTCAAGCCTGAGGGTGGCTCCCCATTTTCAGGCTACAGACAGACCTTGCAGTGTGTCCTAAGAGGAAGGGAGTATGTAAGGTGCTGGGCACTGGAGTCAGCAGGGATGAGAGGAAGGCAGGTGGACGGGAAAGAAGACTGGAGGCCCGAGGTGTTCATGGTCAGATGGGCACCCCAGAGTGAGGGCGGGATCTGGCAGTGGGAAGTGTAATCTGGTTTTTCCAGGTGTTGGGCACCAAGGGAGCAGGGGCCAGGAGTGGCACCAGGGTCACTAGAGAGGGAAGTCCAGGGGTGAAGAGGCCTGGCATCTTCCATAAAGATGTGGAAGGTCCCCAGGCTGACAGCAGGGTTGCCTGGAGAAGGAGGTACTGAGTCTGGAGGCAGAGACTTCAAGACATGAGGGAGAGGGGGAAGCTGGAAGGTTGGCCCTGCCCAAAAGCAGGGTCTGTGCCTGTGAAAACAGGGGATCCCAGGATAAGGTAGATGGTGGCCCCCTGAATCTGAGGGCTGTCGGGGATAGGCAGCCTTCTTGGAGAGGGGAACTGGGTTGTGATGTCCTCTGCTGAGAGAGGACTTTCAGGTGAGGCCAGGAGAGAGGAACTGTGGAATGAGGGTGCCAGAGACCAGTGGGAATCATGCGAGGAACAGGGCGGAGGGCAGGGGGCTGAGGAAAAGGAGACCCAGGACCACACAGGGAGGAGGGAAGCAAAAAGGACTGGTGGCAGGGAGGGCTTCCATCTTGGAAGAAAGGGGCATTGACCCAGACTGGCACCTCAAGGCTGGGGGCACTTGCTGCTGGCTTAGTGCACCGTCTTGGCTGTATTGTGGCAGCCTGATTAGAAGGCAAAGGCTCCTGCTGGCCAAGGGCTGTATCCCAGAGCAAGCCGGCCTGCTTGGGGACTGCTCAGCCTTTGGCCCTTGCAGGCATGCACAGAGACCCTGGGCATGCAGAGGCAACAGGCACACACGCATGCACCACAGGTTTGGCCTCATGGTTTTTCTGTCATTAAGCAGGGCCTTGCATCCTAGAGTGATTCCCTGGGGATCACCAGCCACCCTGAGCTGTGGCTCTCCTGTAGCCTTGGGATGTCATGGGACCCTAGATCCCCAGAGGCACAGAAGTGACCCTGGATAACATGCCCTCTGAATGTTGGCTGGCCTGCTGGCCATGGGGAGCTGGACCTGCCCATGGTCGGGACTTGTACCTCTGGGCTAATTTCTATTAATTGAAGTCTAAAGGAATCCTTAAATAAAGAGCTACAATCTCAGAGCCCAGAGATGGCGCTCTGGCGCATTCTTGGCTCCTGACCCCTGATTAATTAAAATGACACTCTGCCTTCTACCTATGACAATGAACCTGCACCATGAGGAAATGCTGTTTTGCACAGAGATGCACAAATGTTCATCAGCATTTCAGCCGGAAGCAACCTTCAGATGCTGGGCTGTGATGTGAGCATTAGTCCCCCTTCCTCCCTGCCTCCTCCTCCTGGGGCCAGATCATCTTCCACACATCCAATGGGCTGTGTAGGAGGGGTCCCTCCAAGCACTGGGCCTGGGCACCTGCCTTGCCTGGAGCTCCTTTCCACATCCAGAATGCCCCAGGGCTGTGGCTTGATCCAGAGCCCGGGAGAGCTGAACTGGGTACAGGGAATTGCCCCCCCAAAAGAATTTGGGAATTCAAAATCACACATCCAATGGGGGCCAGACCATGGGCCTCAAAACTTAGAACTTCCTCAGGAGGGAGCTACTGGCCTAAGGGGAACTGGGCAACCCTCTCCTAGGACTGGATTTCCGCACCTTTCTGGACTGCACCCTAAGAGGGCCTGCGTGGATTGTGCTTAAAGAACTTGGCCAACTCTAGCTGTCATGGGTCCTTTATGGGGCTCCCAGGAGAGCGTGTCTGTTCCTCCACTGCTGCTCTAAAGGTTGCTCAGCTTGGACCTCAGGTGGCACCAGCTTGTGGGCTGGCCTGGAGGTGGGAGGCCCAACCAGGCCTCTCCGCAACCCTTCTGCACAGGCTTTGGATTCTACCACCCAGTGTTCCTCCCTTCCCACTCAAAACCTGATCTGCAGACCATATCTCATCACAGCTTTTCTCATGAGGATTTACTGCTTTCATCTTAGTCCTTGGGAAAGAAGTTCTGCCTCTGTTTAGTTGGGAGGAAGGCATTAAGAAAAAAAAAATATCGGCTGGGCGCCGTGGCTCACACCTGTAATCCCAGCACTTTGGGAGGCCAAGGTGGGTGGATCACGAGGTCGGGAGATCGAGACCATCCTGGCTAACACGTGAAACCTCATCTCTACTAAAAATACAAAAAAAAATTAGCCGGGCGCAGTGGCGGGCACCTGTAGTCCCAGCTACTTGGGAGGCTGAGGCAGGAGAATGGCATGAACCCGGGAGGCAGAGCTTGCAGTGAGCCGAGATTGCGCCACTGCACTCCAGCCTGGGTGACAGAGCGACTCCGTCTCGAAAAAAAAAAAAAATAATAATAATAATAATAATAAAATCTCAGCTGTTTTGCAATTAATCCAAAAACATTTATTTTCTTTTCCCAAGGAGAGATGGGAGGCATCTGGTGTGCATTCACCCCTGCAGGCAGCGCCAAACCGTTCCGCATGGAGGGCAGCCCAGGGCTCTTGGACTGCCTCTGTTTCCCAGGTTACCCCAAACTGTCCAAACTGTACTGCCTTGTTTCTTAGCTCTAAGGACCTCCTTTCCTAGTACTAAGCCAGTAAACAGTCTCTGTGCTCAGGGTCATTAGTGGTTGAAGGTGGTGGCATGGGGCAAAGGCTTTGAGAGTTGGTCCCAGCTCTGCCATTGTATTGGAGTGTGACCCTGGCCAAGACAATTTGCTTCTTTGAGCCTCTGACGGCTCATTTTGAAGTGGGAAGAATGATAACACCTACCTACCTTGAGGTTATGTCTGTGAAACGTCTAGGTAGGTGAACATGCATTGAGTGACTACTGCATGCAAGACTCCAGAGCAGGAAGAATGAATGATAAGGAGTCATACACGGTGCTCCCCAGAAATGGGCAATGTAGCGGGGAGATAAGACAAATGCCCACTTCATACGGGGCAAGACTGAGGTTACAAGACAGGGACCTACCTGTGAAGACGGGGTCGACAAGGACCAGGGAGCCACATTCCTCTCGGCCTTCTGTATACTCACTCCCAGAGTCGTTCCCCTACTCCTCCTGGGCCCGGGGCAGAGAGCATTCAGGGCTGGCCCTCAGCTGAGAAGCAAAAGCAGGACGCCCTGAGATGACCACACAGCCAGGTTGGGGTTCAAGTGGAGTGGTCACCTCAGACCTGAGAGAATTGACTGAGGGTGGATGTCAGACACTGGTAAAGCACTGTTAAATTGATCCAGCCCTCAATCTGGGCACAGTTCTGATTCACTTCATTAATTCGTTAGTTTATTCAACCAACCAACCAACCCACCCACCCACCCTTATTGAGCATCTACCTTGTGCCAGGCATGGCAACAGTTGCTGGGGACAGCTGTGAACTGGGCAGAATGGACCTCTGTCCCTGGAGCCCACCCAGCTTGGTGGTACCCTCGCCTACCACAGTGTCCCTGCCTTGCAGACGCTGATCACCGCCGTGGGGCAGACAGTCTACACCGTGGCCTCTGTGCTCCTCCTGCTCTTCCTCCTCATGTACATCTTCGCTATCTTGGGCTTCTGCCTGTTTGGATCTCCAGACAATGGTGACCATGATAACTGGGGGAACCTGGCTGCAGCTTTTTTCACCCTCTTCAGCTTGGCCACGGTACTGTGTTTGGGAACAGTGGTGAGGGCAGGGGCCTTAGGAAGGGACAGCCTAGGTGGTGCAAGCGTGTGGACATGTGGGGCCTCACATGGGGCTTTCCTCATGTCCAGGTACTCATCTGGGCCTAGGGAAGCTGGGGTCTGTTCCCCATCACAAGCCAGCACCCTGCACGGGGCTCCATCGCTGTCTCTAGGCCTGTGATTCCTTATAGTGCTTCCACATGTCTCACAGGGTGATCAAACTTTGCAGAGTCCTCAAATGATAATTCATTTGGATTAAGTTTAATTTATAAATGAAACCCATGTCATATAGCCTTTGGGGAATTGGCTGTCACAAATCCACCTAGAAGAAGCATGCAAAACCCAAATCTAGAAATCTAGATTCTGTTGGACTCTGGAAAGAGTGGGGTCTTTTTAAAGGTGGGCCTGGCAGAGAGGCAGTGTCTTTCTGGGAAGGTTGGGAGGCCTTGAGAAAAGAGACCTCGAGGCATGTTGGTCAATAGCATCCCCACCCAGGGGTGCTCTGCATTCCCAGGCCATCACGTATGTGCTGGAGCCAGTGGACTGGGAGGTGTTGAGGGGATGACGTGGAAGCGGAGCCACCCTTCTCCTCAGTGGGCCTGGGACTCCTCTAGCATAGGTGAAAAGGAGGCCTGTGCCACTGGGTCTGGGCCCTCAGCATACTCTTCCCTGCCTGAGCAGGTTGATGGCTGGACAGACCTGCAGAAGCAGTTGGACAATCGGGAATTTGCTTTGAGCCGGGCATTCACCATCATCTTCATCTTGCTCGCCTCTTTCATCTTCCTCAACATGTTCGTGGGTGTGATGATCATGCACACAGAGGTGAGGCCACACCTGTGAGGATCGGAGGTCAGGGCAGGTGTGGCAGATGGAGCTGTAGGGCAAGTCTCCAGGGAGGACCTGGAGCTGTGTAGCTGTGTCTTCCCAATGAAGTGGAGTAGAGGTGGCCAGATGGACCTGTCCCTCACCCGGCCCAACTCTCCTCCCTGAGCCAGTGCATTTGCCTTGCCTGCTGATGGTGGTCAACAGGACGGTGGGGCTTAAGAAGCCTCTGCAGCTACAGTTGGCAGCTTGAGTGGCGGCTGGCCCTGTGTGGGGAAAAGTGCTCCTGCTGAGGGCCTGAGCAGCGGTGCAAGACTGGGGAAGAGGAAAGACTGGGTCTGGGCATGTAGCGAGAGCCTGTAGTTGACCTCCATCGTCTGACTCTCTAGGACTCCATCAGAAAGTTTGAGCGAGAGCTGATGTTGGAGCAGCAGGAGATGCTCATGGGAGAGAAGCAGGTGATTCTGCAGCGGCAGCAGGAGGAGATCAGCAGGCTGATGCACATACAGGTGAGTGGCCCCTGCAGGCAGGTGGACAGATGGGTGGATGGATCGTCAGGCTGATGAGATGGCCAGGAGGAGGGGCCGTGGTGCCTGTGTAGAGAGCAGGTGGCCTCAGGCATCTGCAGCCTTAGGTAAGACAGCTGCCTTCCTCCAATGTTTTATAGAATCAGCCTTTATTCTCGGCATTTTTGTGTTTCTCTGGACCTCTCGGAGTGTTGAGTACTGTGATTATAATGTCTCCCTCTGTTGTGGGCAGAACTCCACTGCTGGGCCCTTTGGGGCCAGGCAATCTGTGCTGAGGCTTCTTCTTGGGGACTCACTGGATGCCAGGCAGCCATGGCCCCAGGCCACTGAGTGGACGAGGATGCAGAGGCTCTGACAGAGTGCCAGACAACCTTGGTTCTCTCACATTCCTAAACCCAGAACAAGAATGGGCAAACCAGGCTGGAGATTTTCTGTCAAGCATGATGCAACCATGAGGGACCCGGGTGAATTTTCCCCCTGAGCCTGAGTGCTCTAAGCCTCCCATGCTGAGCTTTGGGTGCTCTGCTGGGCCTCCCTCCCTTGGTGGGTGTGTCTCTCCTTGTCCTCTTCTCTGGGGTGGAGACATGTGCCTGTCTTCACCGTGCCCAAGGTTCGTCCAGGGTTGGGAGAGCCTGCGCTGAGCCTCAGTTGGACTTCATGTGCTGCCTGTCCTCAATGGTGGCCGCCTCACCCCGGAGTCCAGGTTCAGAAGGGGTCAGGATGAAGTTGTGACAAGGCTGAAGCTTCCTTCCAGGACCAGGGTCAGGCCGCTGCCTGGGGCCCATCCTGGAGAGTCTCCATGTCTCTGTGCAGCTCGGCTGTCACCTCCTCATCACTGCTCTCTCGTTATGCTTTCCTCTCTAGAAAAATGCTGACTGCACAAGTTTCAGTGAGCTGGTGGAGAACTTTAAGAAGACCTTGAGCCACACTGACCCAATGGTCTTGGATGATTTTGGCACTAGCTTACCCTTCATCGATATCTACTTTTCCACTCTGGACTACCAGGACACAACTGTCCACAAGTCAGTTCCAGCCCCAGCCTTCCCTGGTCCCTAGGGCTTCCTCGAGGTTGGGCTGTGTCAGGTGCCCTGGGAGAGTGAAGGGGGTGATGACTGAAGTGCTGATGGGCAGTGGGTGGGTGGAACATGGCTTTCTTGGGGTTACAGGATTCCATATATACACAGGGGCTGGGCTGCTGTGTGGACGGGCCATGGCTGGGGGGAATCTGCCCCTCCTGCCCCTCCCCAACCCACCTTGACTTGTATGTAAATGCCAGCTCCTTGAAGTCTCCAGGCCTCTCCTCACTAACCCCTTTTCAGAGTGCAGAGGAAAGACCACTGGGTAGCCTCAGCTTCTGGCCTGGTTGTGCCACTACCTTCCTGTGTGGCCTTGGGCAATTCTCTGCCCCTTTCCCATCTGTCACATGAGGGGCTACTGGGCTGATTCAATGAAAACAGTATATGTGAAGCTCTGAGTGTGGCCTGGCCCAGGGCTTGTGCTCAGTGTGAGTCAGCTGGGATTATGAGCAGCCATTACTGAGCAGGAAGGATGTAAAAACCTGGCTGTGGGCATCAGGAGCTACGGTGGGCTGTGGGCACTAGGGAGCTACAGTGGACTCTTCAGTGAGGACAGATATAATTAGCCTGGCTTCTCAATGAAAGCTGCTTGGAGGGCTTTAGAGATGGGAGAAACCAAAAAGGAAGGCATTGTTGGGGAATGCCCACTTTTGGCCCAGCAGGGGTCAGTCACTCTCTGGGCACCTCCACACAGTTACTTCTCTCAGGACCTAAGAATTTATTTCCACCTGACACATGAAGTAAAATACTTTGCTCCAGGGGGCCCCAGGCAGAGTGGCAGATCCAAGATTCCAACCCAGCCTCATCTGGCTCTGAAGTCCTTGCTCTTCTTTGACCCTACACCTGTGCAGGTGCAAACGTGTGGTCAGTGGGGCCAGGGGGTCCTGGAGCCTGCCTCTGACCTCAGATCTTATCTCCTCCTGCTCCATTTTTCAGGCTTCAAGAGCTGTACTATGAGATCGTGCATGTGCTGAGCCTAATGCTGGAAGACTTGCCCCAGGAGAAGCCCCAGTCCTTGGAAAAGGTGGATGAGAAGTAGCTGGGCATGGGGCACCCATGTGCCGAGAGCCTTGCAGACCATGACAGGTCCCTATTAAACACAGGCTTTCTGAGTTGTCCTCTCCAGAGTTGCTGTGATTATGGCATTTCCCCACCTTTTAGAGTTGGGCCTGGACAGGTGCTCATGAAGTGTGATTCCCCAGAGCCAACTCCCCGTCCCCCACCACAGGACATGCAGACCTAGGGAATGGGGAGAGGGAAGCTCAAGACTTGTCCTGGCCAGAGGCCAGATCCAGGGCCCATGCTGGCTCTAGGCTCCCTGGACCTAGCAGCAAGGACCTGGGGAAGCTGCCTGAGGACCACAGACCAAGAGGGCCTCCAGCTACCCCCCAAAGCACATGGCCCCCTTGAGCTGGTGTGGCCCTGTTGATCTGGGTGTGGGTGTTCTCATACTGACAGAGTCACATCTCTCTCTGTGGGCCCACTGCTGCAGAGACCCTTCTTTGGAAGGCTACTCTGAGTTCCCCTAGGCTCAGCCTAAGGGGTGCTGCTAGGACTGGCAGGATTCTGTCGTGTGGGCCTGGAGCTCAATCTGGGGGAGTGGCCTGCTGGCAATGCCAGGGCACCTTGCACAGAGCCCAGGGCAGGTGGCATCATCAGCACTGTGGGCTGCTGCCTCATATGGTTAGGTAGGACTCTTCACTTAAAAGGTGGCATTTTCTCTGTCATTCCTAGCCAAATGACTACCAGGGCCATCAAGGTCCTGGCACCACTCTGGCTTAGCCATGATGGAACCATCTGAAGGCCCCAGCAGGGTAGCACAGCACAGGTGACTCTCCTTGCTTCAGACTGGCCAGCCCAGAGGCCTGGCAGTGCCCACTCTACACCATTGCTGGAGAGTATGCCCGAGGCCTGTCACCTTGGCAGTGCCACCTCACACAGAGGGGGAGGGGTGTTCTGGGACTGGGACCTATAGCTGGGTGCAGAAAGGCCCCATACCCACACTGGGGATTCAGGTTAGCAGAAAATGCATGGGGTAGAGCGGAGAGTGGCCACACAAACAGTCAGCCCTGGGTGGTGGCACCCCTGAAGCCACAGGACAGGGGCCGTAGGAACCTGTCCTCCTGGTTTCATCTATACATCCGACTGCTATCTACTGAGCTATGCTGGGTGCTGGGGCTTCTATGATGAGAAACCCGTGGTCTCTCCCTGGCTCTCTTGGTGCTCACAGTTTTGTAGGGAAGACAGTCATCCAGCCACTGAGGAAGTGACAATCATTGAATTCAGGGTGGGGGGACTGCGTAGAGAGAATCAGGGCCACATTGAGCATCATGAAAACAGTGTGAAAGAAGGATGGCTCTTCAGGGTGAGACCTGTTGAGGTGCTGTGGGGGAATCCTCTGAGGGCAGGAAATGCCTGGCCACTTCCGGCACGGAGAGAGCTTTGTGTCCATGCCCTGAAGCTGGGCTGGGGTAGATAGGGTGTTTGTGCCCCTCATGACAGGGGGAGTTGCTCTGGGTCTGACAGGTCCAGGGATGACGCCAGGCTTGGGGCTTCCAGGGGTGCTCTTGTGGGTGCAGCCCCATTAGTAGGGCAGGCAGGCCCCAGGCAATGGCTCCAGTTCAGGGCCGGGGCAAAGCAGACATTGCCAGCTGCTCACACAGGGTGTGCCAACATAGCCATGGGAACGCTAAAACATATCCAGCTACTCTCATCAGGAATCCTTGGAATTGCTCTAGGCATCTGAGAGTGAAAAAAAGATTTAAAAATTGGCCTCAGTGGGGCAAGGTAGAAAGTGCCATGGTTTTGGAGTTGGGACACCTGTGTTCCCTGTTAGGGAGACCTTGGGTAAAGTGTCTGGTCTTTCAAGCCTCACCTATTTCCTGTGAGAAATGCGATGATAAAATGACTGGGTGCAAGGATCAAATCTCTGTAAGGTGTGAGAAAAGAGGTAGTCAACTCATGGTTCACCCTTCCCCACTGTCAGCCCTGCGCCTCTGCTGGGGGCACGTGTAGTGGGCTGTGCTGGTCAGGGGCTGAGAAGGACAAGGCGAGCTTGACGCTGGTGTTGGTGGGGAAAGTATGGAGCTGAGAGCAGGATGCAGAGGTCATGAACTATACAGGGGTATGAATGGGTCCCAGGATGGAGCTGGTTCAGAATAGGCAGATGGCACGTCAGATCTGGAAGGCCTAGATCCCATGCCTAGGAAGGCAGACTTTGGGCACAGCCACCAGGGTGTGGTGTGGGAGGGTGCATTCGTCCATTTTGTGTTGCTATAAAAGAATACTGGAGGCTGGGCAATTTAAAAGAAAAGAGGTTTATTTGGCTCATGGTTCTGCAGGCTGTCCAGGAGGCATGGCAGCACCTGCTTCTGGTGAGGCCTCAAGAAGCTCCTACTCATGGTGGAAGGCAAAGCAGAGCCCGTGTGTGTCATGTGGTGAGAGAAGGAGCAAGAGAGAGGGGAGGAGGGCTACCAGACTCTTTTAAACAACCAGCTCCCGAGTGAACTAACAGAGTGAGCTCTCACTCATCACGAAGTGGGGGCACCAAGCCGTTCACAAGGGAGCCGCCCCCATGATCCAACACCTCCCACTAGTCTCCACCTCCAACATTGGGAGTCACATTTCAACATGAGATTTGGAGGGGACACACATCCAAATTGTATCAAAAGGCAAGCTGACTTTAAGGGCACAAGAAGAAGGCTTTCAGAGAGCAGAGAGCTGGTGGGGGCAGAGGTGACGTTTACAGGGCCGGCCCAGCACTGCTGGCAGAGCAAGCTGATGGATATTTGGCACAAAGTCACAAAGCAGCATTTCTGTTTGGCTCTATTCGCCTGCAGAGCAAACACGGCAGATTGGAATTCCCACTTGGGCTCTCACCAACTCAAACAGGCTTGGCCAAGACCTTTAATTGATTTGCTTGGGGCAGAAGTGGCTCTGCTTACCCACGCCTGGCTGTGGAAAGCAGGACCCTCCTCACCCTCCCCCGACCCTGGGATCTAGTAGGGTTGACCCTAAATGGCTCCTTCGTCTCCAGCCTGCCAGTCTGATGGTTTGGGGGCCACAGTGGGATACAGGGGACTTGGGCCCGAGTCTCCTCCTGGTCATGCCCAAGCCCTCCCCCAGTTCTTGTGGGATGGATCTGGAATTCAAGGCTGGAGGTGTTTGGAAGGTGGCTGGATTTTCTTTTTTTAAAACTGCTTTCTGATTCCACCAGCAGGAAGCAGGCCCTGTATTGTGGAGATCGAGGCAGTGATTGAGAATGTGAATGCCCCTGTCCATTCCAACAGCCCCTAGAAATCTGATACTGGGACTCTGGAGACCGTGCCCCTTGAGGCTTTCTTCAAATGCTTTAGCACACCTCCTAGAGCAAACTGGCCTTCAACAGGTCAGGTCTGGCTCTCTGGGCATCTCTGCCTGTGTCAGGCTTTGTCCCTGGCCCCAGATGGGTCTGCTGTGTTGTCCTACAGGCCCTCAAGAGAGACGATGGTTCTGAATTCCTGACTAGGCTACTCAGAAAAGAGAGGAGGTTGTTCTGATTATAGTCACAGGGGTTGGAAAGAGGGGAAGGAGATAAATGTGACGGTGCAAAAATCTATCAACACACGGGCATCCCCACTCTTCCCCATACTGTGCTACAAAGAATTTTGTCTGTGCTTGGTCGGCCACAGGCTACACCTGCCCCAAGTTCTATGTTTGACTTTATTGTAGGCTTTGTGTGATGTGGCATTAGGAGAATGGTGGAGAGCCAGGCCTGCAGAGCTAGAGGGAAAGGGGAGTATTTTTGCTTTCTCAGCCAGCTCCTGCATTCTCCTCCATGCTGGTCAATGGGCAAAACAGAGGGAAAGTTAAAAGACCAGCGAGGTTGGATGAAAACACAACAGGGAGCCGGGAAAATGGAGGGAAGAAGGAAGCAAAATCTGAGGGCTGAGAGTCTGGGAATTGTGGACAGCAGCTATGATATAGCTGGTGGGCATGTCCTGGAGACAGGATAAAGGAGGGGGTTAAGGTTAAGTGTCCTTGTGGGTTAACAGTGGGATCCCTATGGGTGTTCTTTGAGAGAGGCAAATGATGATTGGAATTATCTAAAAATTATTTTTGGTTGCTCTACCTTTTAAAAATGAAGCCCTATGGATAGATTAGACCAGGTGGAGTCTGGGTTATATTCAGGTTATATAAAAGATCACCCTGCATAATAGAGACCTACTGGGTTAACAGTGGGAAATGCTAAGAGGGCTTTCCATGGACTGAGCCCTTAGCTGGGATCAGGGGCCTCCAGGTGAAGCATACCAGAGGGTGGTGGCACCAGGTATGACTGTCTTCTTGCAAGATGAAACTAAAGTATCAGAAGGGAAGTGTGGAAGAAACCAGAAGGTGATGAAGAGCCTGTTTCAAAACTCTTGGGAAACTACAGAGTGACTGGGACCTGTGTGAACTGGTGATGGGACCATGGTGGTGTTCTCGCAGCAGCGGAACCTCGCTGCCCTCCAACTTGGCATTTGGGGAACACTGCCCCTGACTTCTTCTCTCTCCAGTGCTACTTCGATCCCTGGGATCAGGGCCTGAGATAAAAAGAACTCTTCAAAACTTGACGTTGGAGCTGGGCATGGTGGCTCACACCTGTAATCCCAGCTGCTCAGGAGGCTGAGCTGGGAGGAGTTTGGGGCCAGGAGTTTGAAACCAGCCAGGGCAACATAGTGAGACCCCGTCTCTAAAATGTAAAAAAAAGAAAAAGAAAAAAAACTTGATGCTGGCCCAGAGAAGGAGGGATCCAAACAGAGGTCAGGCCAGAGCTTCAACGGCACAGCCTGTTCTCCTTACTGACTGTGGAAATACTGCCTTCTGTTTTGCCAGTATTTCTGTTTATAAGATTTTTTCACATGTATGACTTCAATCACATAACAACACTTATTCCCATTAAACAGGTGGCAAAACTAAGGTTCAAAGAGGTGATGTAACCTACCCAAGGTTGTACAACTAAGGGGGAAGAACCAGGATTCACAACCAAGTGTGTCTGGCTCTTTAGCCACTGCTATGGTGCCACACAACAATCTTCCAAGGAATTGTTGTCCCCTTTTATAGGCAGGCAAGCCAGCACTCAGACTCACTGGGCCAAGGTTATCATTAAAGGGCAGAGTCAGTATTTGAACACAGGCCCCTCTGCTCTACTGCCTCATAGCAACCTTATTCTTTCTTACTGAAGCAGCTATTTTTTCAACTTTAAGAACCAAGCCATGATTCCCTTCTGAGAGGGGCCTAACTCTGAGAAGGGGGCGGTGGTTGCACAGACGGGTCTTGGTTGGCCAGTGAGTTCACTGGCACCTTCTCACTGCTTGGTCCAGGCTCTGAAGTCTGCTGGCCCTGGGAGCCCCGGGAGCCGGGAGATTGGGAGGACAGCAGGAAGAAATCAGTGTGTGCAGAAAGGGTGGTGACTGCGGCGTCTAATCAGGAAATTACAGCCTGGGCAGAGAGAGAGGTTTGGCTTGACATCGCCTTTCCCTGGGCTTCAGTACAGCAGGCCCACATGGTGGAGGCTTGGCTGCAGATGGGATGTGCTAAGCAGGCGTGAGCAGGTCACAGCAGGCAGGATGCACCAGCCTGGTCGGTGTCCGGATGCCCACAAGGCTGGCCCTCTAGGGTGGCGACTTGCAGGCAGTTTCCTCTGCCTGCCCTTGCACCCACTCATAACTCGATCAGCAGGAGTGGCAGCTGTGGGCATCTGGAAGGGGTGCCTTGAGAGACTCTTGGCTGGAGTTTTTTATCTGACCCTTGAAAAGGCAAGTGGAAAAGGAGAGAAAACATTATCAGGTGGAAAAAGCTAGCTGCAGAACTATACATATGCGACACCATCTGCATTAAAATGAAAAAGAAAAGGGAGAAATAAATAAAACACCACACATAAAGTGGCAGTGAGAGGTTTTTTTTTTTCTCTTTTAGGTGGCAAAGATGATAGACAAAACCTAGGATCGGGCCGGGCGCGGTGGCTCAGGCCTGTAATCCCAGCACTTTGGGAGGCTGAGGTGGGCGGATCACGAGGTCAGGAGTTCAAGACCAGCCTGGCCAATATGGCGAAACCCCGTCTCTACTAAAAAAAAAATACAAAAATTAGCTGGGCATGGTGGCACGCGCCTGTAGTCCCAGCTACTCGGGAGGCTGAGGCAGAAGAATTGCTTGAACCCGGGAGGCGGAGGTTGCAGTGCGCCGAGATTGCACCACTACACTCCAGCCTGGGCAACAGAGTGAGACTCTGTCTCAAAAAACAAAAACGAACAAGCAAAAAACCTAGGATAGGCCTGGGTGTGGAGAATGGACACCCTTGTCCACTTTTGGCAATGCAAGTAAGTGTGGCCTTCTCATAAGACAATGTGGATTAGATTTTATATGTGTGCTTCTAGGACCCAATCATTCTACTTCTTGAAATTATCCCAAGGAGCTAAATAAATGTCAAATGCACAGAGACACATGGATAAGGATGTTTACTGTGGCTTGTTATAATAGGAATATAAGGAATCACCTAAATGCTCATTGGTGAGGAACTGGCTATATTATTATGAATCCATATTTGTGGCCATTAAAAGTAATGATTTCTTGATAAGAAAAGATGTTCTTGATATTTTATTGAGTGAAAAACGTGGCTTTCTAGAGCAGCATGGGATCTGGCATCCTTTAAGTAATAGTGAGTGAGCATATAGAATGAGCATATAGACATTATGTCTGATGAAGGACATCTGCAAGGATAATCATAAAAATATTCATAGTGGTTTGGGGGATCTCGACTTTTGTCCTCACACTTTTTTGAACTTTTTGAATTTTAAGAATGAGTGTGTATTTTATGATCAGGAAAAACAACAGTTTTTACCTTGAAAACATTGTATGTGTGTCCCTGTGGTAGGTGGAAGGGCATTCTCTGCAGAAGGAACCAAATGCACAAAGGAAAGATGGCAGGAGCTCCGTGAGGGTTAAGGGAGTGCCGAGGTCAGTGTGGCTGCAGCCTGTGCTGTGGGGTGAGGGGTGGGGGGACTGGAGGCTAGGGCAGTAGACTGGAGCCAGATCCTGAGGGGCTCACATGCTCAGCGGGGCAGTTTGGCCTTTAAGGGATGGGAATCGTGGTAAGCAAAGCAGTGACCTGGCTGGATTTCATTCCCACTGCCTCTGAGGGTGGCTGTATCCCCCTCACTTGGCATCTAAGGCTCCTCTATTCTCTCTATTCTGTCTCTCCTTCCTCTTCCCATGCCTCCCAGGCCAGGGATCCTCTTTGCCTGGCTCAGTCTCACCTCTACTCCTGCATACCCATCCCAGTTCTGCCTGTCTTTTAAGGCTGAGTACCAGGCTCCCTCTAACAGGAAGCTTTCCCAGATTGCTCCCATTAGCCTTGATTTCTCCTTTCTCATGCTGTCACCCTTGACCTTTTGTATCCTACTTTGTATCAGACCTTAATTCCTCTACCCATAGATATTTATTTTCGTAGCACCAGCTGGGGAGGGCTGTGGACTGCAGGGTCGTCCCTGACACCTGGATGCCAGTGATCAGCCTGCCTGAGATATGCCAGCTTTAGAATCCTGATGGAGGGAGGGAGGAGGAGGGCAGCAAAGAGACCCAGCAGTTATTTTATGCCTATCTGTCACAGGCACAGTGCCAAACACCATATGTAACTTTTCACATTTTCCCCACTTTACAGATGAGGAAACAAGCTCAGAGAAGTTCTGTGGCAGTGAATGAGTGGTGGTGCTGTGAGTTAAACCCAGGCTCTGCCTAACTCCAAAGTTCGTGCTCTTAACCTCCATGATCTTGTCTCTGGCCCTCATTTCCCCACCACACCCGGAGGTAGGCTGGGCTGGGTGGGCTGAGGCAGGGTCTTCCTAGGCCTTGCTGGCCAGAGCAGGAGGCTGGTGAAAGCCCAGGACTTAAGGGACTTCAGAGGGGGACGTGGTTCCCTCTCACCCAAGGGGGAGCTCTTGACCTGCTGGAGGATCTGGGGCAGTGTAGCATCCCTGCTGGGGGCTTGGAAGTGCCACTACCCCCAAGGAAGCAAAGCAAGAGGCTTCCCTGGGGAACCTGTCTGGAGGGGAGGGAGGTTGGACATGTTGGTCAAGAAAGAGCGTCTTCACTCAGAAATCCTCCAGCAGTACGAGGTCAGTGAGATGAAAATGAGTAATTTTGTGCTTCTGAAGCAACAACCTACTTGACAGCAATATTTAATGGTCATATCCAGGGTCTTTTCAAACCCTGACAGGAAATCCCAAGAGGTAGGCAGGTGGGGCCAATGCCCGCTTGACAGAGGGTTACTGGGGTTCTGTGAGGTGACATCATGCCCTGGGAAGAGCCCAGCTCACGGGCTAGGATTTGGGCTTCTGGACTCCCCGAGGGGATCGTGCCCTCCTCCAGGCCCCTCCACCAGCCTGGGCTCAGTGGATATCCCTGCCTGGAGGGGCTGGGTGAGTCTCTGTGAGCCTGGGGGGCTGGGTGGGCTTCAGTTGCCCCACTGTGGGCTCTGGACTGTGGGAGAGTTGAGAGGCCTTGGTGGAGATAATGCCAAGCTTGGGAGAAGCCAGGGGTTCACCATGAATTGTGTGTGCCTGTACTCATTCCGGCCTTGGTGACAATAGGAATGCCAGCTTGGGGATGGAGGAAGGATCCTTGGCCACACCGTGCCTGGGGTGGGGTCTTTTGTGTAAGGGTATCCTTTATTGAGTTGCATTTACCCAGCGGGAGAGAGGTGTGCGTGTGTGTGTGTGCGCCTGTGTGGGCATGTGTGTGCACAAAGAGGCTGGAGTCTGGGTGGTGATGCGCATCCATCCCAGTGTGTCCTGGAAAGTTCCCAGATAGGCCACAGGAGGGAACGGTTTGGGGAAACCCTTGCTGGGCCCCGCCACAGCCTGGCAGGTGGTGAAGTGGCCAGCCACTTTGTGGCTACGATGCCTTAGAGAGTTTGCCAAGCACTTTCTGTGAAGTCATTGGGATGTTAAACCCTTGGTTCAATTAAATGGGTTAATAAGCATTGTCTGATTTTGATGAGGAATAATAATATAATGTGATAATAGCAATAATGGTGCTATTAGCTGCGATTATTACACGTGCTGCACTGTCCCAGGCATGGAGGGGGGGCGGCTTGCATTCCCGCATGCTCAGGCCGCATTTTCCACTCATAAAACCCCATTCTTCAAAGTCTTTCCAGCCCAACTCCCGATATCCATTTTCAGGACAAATTACCAACACTTAAAAAAAATTGGTCCATTTTGCGTGAAAGCCAAGTTCAAATTACTGTTACTTTCCCCTTTATGTTGGAAACTTAAAAAAGGATAGGGGTGGGAGCTGAGGGGGACACAGGGGACAGATACAGGAGGCGAGGCAGAGGAGGGGGAAAGAGAGAGAACGGTGTATGGATGAAGAAGAAAAAAGCGAGCCTTCTTGTTTCAGTAAAAATGTATTTCTGGAATGATGTTTCAGTTTACTCAGGCAGAAAAATTAGAAATGGTGTGCTTATTAAACAGGCTAAGTAAGCATGACTATTTTTAGTAGTGTAGTAAAACCTTGGTAATTTGGACCTCTTTAATAAAGATTCCATGATCATGGTGGCTGGCAGGCACACACTGTGTGTGTGTGTGTTGTGTGTGTGTCAGGGCAAGGTAGGGGTGCAGATCGGTTGCTGAGTTGGAGGCTGGGGAGCGGGGAGGGTGCAAGAAGGGACGGAAGGAAAAGGGAAGGACTCCCTCTTAGGAGAACCTGCTTCAAACACTGAACTCTTTTGCTTAGTAATCAAAGATCGTTATAAATTCTTCTCACTGAACACTTTTATTGGCACCTACTAGTATGACATCTGTTCAAAGAAGAATGTATTTGAAAACAAAAGTTTCATTTCTGTAAAAATCTGTAAAAGTTTACTTGATAGCTGTCATACTGGCCTCCCTCAAATGAGGCTGCATCCCAGGTAGGTGATGACTGGCACCTCAGTGGGAGGACAGGGGCAGTGGGCGGAAGGCTATTCCCTGTCCTGCGGGTCACAGGGTTTTGTATTTTTAAAATAATCATTATTTTATTTCATCATTGCAAAACTGATACATTGTCAGTGCAAAAAGACCTTGAAAGGAACAAATTTAAAAAATGCTCATTTTCCCCGTCAGAGGTAGGTGTTATTAACACTTTGTACATATCCATAAATTTCTCTGTGCATATATAAGAACAAAAATGGCACTGTGCTTAAGACTGTTTTGTTACTTGCCTTGTTTAGCTTTTTTGACAGAGAAGCTCGGTTAAGAAAAAGGGCAATAGTGAATCTATATTTAATTTTATGCCAAACTTACAAAGAAAAGTCATGCATCCCGGGTTGCTCTTTCTTGGCCACATAGTAGACGCTAGATAAAGGAAGTGTCCTTAATGGGGTCCCACTGCTATGCTGCATAGAAAGATGAAGAGTCAGGATGAGGGCCATGCAAGGGGTCAGCTATTGTTGGGGCCTCCAAGGGGCTGCTGGTCGAAGAGGATTCTAGGGAAAGGTTTGCCAAACAGTGAACACAGCCCCTGGGAGTCCTGGGAACCAGCCTCTAAATGCCTCTCTGGGTAACGAAGGGCATAAACACAGATATACTTTTGGAATAAAATTGAGGTAAAAATATACATAACATAAAATTTACCACTTTAACCTTTTAAGCTGTACAGTTCAATGGCATTAAGTACATTCACATTGTTATGCAACCATCACCACCATCCATCTCCAGAGCTTTTTCATCCTTCCTGAGACTCTGTACCCATTAAACAGTAGCTCCCCTTTTCCCATCCCTCAGCCCTTGGCAGCCACCATTCTATTTTCTATGATTTCACCTCTTCTAGGAACTTCATGTAAGTGTAATCACAATCTTTGTCCTTTCGTGACTGGCTTATTTCACTTATCACAATGTATTCAAGGTTCATCCATGTTGTAGTTGTGTCAGAATTTACTTTTTAAGGCTGAATAATATTCCACCATATGTATACACCACATTTTGTTTATCCATTCATCTGCTGATGGGCACTGGGGTTGCTACCACTTTTTGGCTATTGCGATAAACATGTTTTAGCTACTGCTGTGAACGTGGGTATGCAAATATCTCTCTGAGCCTCTGCTTTCATTTATTTTTGAGTATATACCCAGAAGAGAACTTACTGATCATATGGTAATTCCATGTTTAATTTTTTTGAGGAATCATCATACTGTTATTTTTTTGTTGTTGCTGTTTGTTTGTTTGTTTTTGACAGACTCTCACTCTGTTGCCCAGGCTGGAGTGCAGTGGCATGATCTTGGCTCACTGCAACCTCCAACTCCTGGGTTCAAGCGATTCTCCTGCCTCAGCCTCCTGAGTAGCTGGGACTACAAGCATGTGCCACCATGCCCAGCTAATTTTTTTGTAGTTTTAGTAGAGACAGGGTTTCACCATGTTGGTCAGGCTGGTCTCAAACTCCTGACCTCAAATGATCTGCCCACCCTGGCCTCCCAAAGTGTTGGGATTACAGGCGTGAGCCACCGCGCCTGGTCCATCGTACTGTTTTCTGTAGTGGCTGTTCCATTTTACATTCCCAGAAGCAATGCACAAGGGTCCCAATTTCTCCGCATCCTTGCCAACACTTGTTATTTTCTTTTTTGATAATAGTCATCCTGATGGGTGTGAGGCGCTATCTCATTGTGGTTTTGATTTGCATTTTCCTAATAACTAGCAATGTTGAGCCTCTTTTCATGTGCTTATTGGTCATTTGTATATCTTGTTTGGAGAAATGTCTATTCAAGCCCTTTGCCCATTTTTGAATTTGTTTTTTTTATTGTTCAGAAACACTTTTAAAAGCGGTGCCAAGAGCTGCCTGTGCTGAAAAGGAGTGAGCGAGTGAGTGGCAGAAGGGAAGATGCAAGAGAGAGGACACAAAGGAGTGCAGAGAGGGGGAAAGGGTCAAGATTTGTTTTGTGGAATGTGGGGGTGAGGGAGGGCCTTCCCTCAATTCTTTTTTTTTTTTTTTTCTTTTTTAGATGGCGTCTTGCACTGTCGCCCAGGCTGGAGTGCAGTGGCACTATCTTGGCTCACTGCAAGCTCCGCATCCCGGGTTCACGCCATTCTCCTGCCTCAGCCTGCTGAGTAGCTGGGACTACAGGCACCTGTGACCACACCCAGCTAATATTTTTTTTTTGTATTTTTAGTAGAGACGGAGTTTCACCGTGTTAGCCAGAATGGTCTCGATCTCCTGACCTCGTGATCCACCCGCCTCAGCCTCCTAAAGTGCCTCAATTCTTTTATTCAACAAATATTTATTGAGCATCTACTATGTGCAGACACTTCTGAGGGGTTGCTGTCTATACCTGTTTGACTCAGTTCACCATGCTGGCTGTCTGACTACACTGATCCTGTTCAGCTGCCAGGGCCAGCCTCTGGGAGGCAGTGCTTATAGTCACAGCCCATTGACTCTGCAGTCAGGCTAGGGATTGAGTCCCTAAAGTGGTGTGGTACAGCTTAGGACAGGTTACATGACCTCTTTGAGCTCCCCATTTCCCATTTATAAAATGAAGCTAATAAGAGAAATGAAACATGTCAAGTGCAGTGGGGGACAGCACAGAGTGAGACATATGCCTCAGCCAGCCACAGCAGCTTTCATCCCCTGTGAGGGCCAGCCTGCCCTCTGCCTCCTCCCTGCTCCACAAGCAGCTTCCTGCACCCTGACCTGCTCCTCAGCAGTGGTCTGATTCATGGAATTGCAGCCCCTCCAGCCAGGGCTCCAGTGGCCCTCTCTCGTGAGTGCTCTGCAGCTGCTTGACAGGTAGAGGTAGACACCTGCCCTGGGCAGTACCAGCCAGTCAGGAGGCAGGACCCAGGAACCTGCAAAAGCAACGTGGGAGTGTGAAGAGTGGGGTTCCCCTGATGGGAGAGGCAAGGAGGCAGGGACCAGCAGGGGCTGGGGGGGTGGCCTCAGGGTTGGGGGGGGTCTCCCCATCTCGGAAACAGGAAACTTGTAATCCGGACTGACGTGGGAGCTTGGATTTTGTGATTGAGAATTCAGGGCCCTTTCTTCACCAAAAAGCTGCTCTGTGCCTCTGTCTGCCCCTACCCCAGGGCTTCCTCTGTCCCTGATACCTGTACGCTTTGCTGCTGTCACATAGCCCGGAGCTTAGGAGGGCAAATCCTAGGGCCTGGGGCCTTTTCAGTCTCAGTCCTGGAGCCCAGCTGAGTCTAGCTTCTTGAAGAGAATTCTAATTTTTTATTTCCTTTCCCTCCTGAATACAAATGTGATTCATGTAAGGGTAATGTACAGCACAGTGGGTGCGAGCGCAGGCCCTGGTCAGAGGGTCTGAGTTCAGGTGCTGCCTCTACCCCTCATTAGCTGCCTGTGCCATGTTGGGCAAGTTACTGATTCCCTTTGAGCTTCAGTTTCTTCCCGTGAAAAATAAGGATAACAAATCCCTCCCTCATGAAATTGCTCTGAGGAGCTTGCTGGGGCCTGGCGCTCAGGAAGAGCCTGCTGTTAGCTACTCATAACATGATATGCAAACAAAAAGAAGTGTCCAGGCATCCTTGCCCCATGGTGCTGGGCGCCCCCAGAAGAGCATGCTGGGGTGAGTACCCCTGCTTCGCCCCCTGCCCCGCGTCCTGTCCCTGCTCATCTCTTAGGGTATTGACTGGGCTCTGCCTCTCCCCAGAGGCCAGGTAGGTGGCAGGAATTGGGTCTGGTTCCTCTCCCAGGGCCTGGCCCACAAAAGATTGGTGGGGAGATTGTACCACAGGACAATAGGCTGGGTGATCGAGGGCCCAGAATCTAGGATAGTTCCTGGGGTGGGGTGGGGGTGTGGCCAGGAAGACTGTCAATCATGACTCATATTCAGGACACCCTGCAGAGGTGGGGACGGAAAGCTGAGCTGGGAAAATCCCAAATGACGTCTAAAGTGACCTGTTGAGAAATTTTGACAGGTAAGTCCTAATAATGCAGAAAGCGGGGAATAGGACCTCAAGAGGAGAACCAGGGCATTTCACTTTAATAAAAGAATAGCAATACCAGCCTCACAGGGCTGCGTGCAGGTAAAGGGGCTCATGAATGAGGAGTGTACACTTAGCTTGGGGCTTGGGGCCTTGTGTTGGTTCAGTCAGCATTGGAGCTTGGTACTGAACATAGGGATGGAGCCACCTCCCCAGAAGGGCCTTGCCTGACCACCTGGTTTAAAGTGAGACCCCCTTTACTCTCACAGCATCCTGTTGTTTTTCAGCCTAGGTTGTAATTACACACGTCTATTTACTTGTCCAGCAGAGCGGGGGCTGCGTCTGTTTCCACTGCTCCATCCTAGCACTGACAGCAGGGGCACAGTCAATGTTGAATGAATGGCGGTCTCCTCCCCGTCTTCTTCAGGCAAAGCTGGCTAGGAATTCTGCCTTTTTTTTTTTTTTTCCAGAGGATTGGGCTTTCAGAGCCCCCTACAGTCTCTAGCCCCCTTCAGAGATGACCCTGCAGCCGGAGCAGCGGGGAAGGTCTGCATGCTGTAGTCTCTGCCAGCCACAGATGGGTGGGAACAGCTGGGAGGGGCCTGCAGCTGGGTCTTTCACTCACCTGCTTGGCCACAGTCCTTGATGGATGACGGGGTCATTCTGGGACTACTTCTGCCCTTCGACCCGTCTGCAGCTGTTTGGCCTGTGGCCCCACAGATACACTGCATCTCCACCTGAGCCCTGTGTGGCTCCCCTTGCACCTGGTGCTAGACCTGACTTTCGGGACAGGCTTCCTTTTTGCTCTTCACTTTCCTCCAGCCCGCCTCCTTCTAGGTCTCCCCTGACTCCTGCCCTCAGCTGAGACCAGGGCCCTCTGGCCTTGGCAGATGCGTGAGGCTGAGGGAGGCCCTGAGTCCAGATGTGGTTGTGTTTATGTTCCCAGAGAGTGAGGGGTCGGAGCTCTGGACTGGAGCCGCTGGGGGAGGGGTGGTCTGGCTCCAACACCCTGCCCTATTCCACCCCCACCCCCACTAGCCTGTGTATCTGGCCCTGTCCATCTCAGAGCTCCACACTCCAGGTCTCACAGCATCAGGCTGACCATCCTCCAGGGAGGACCTCTCTTCATTCCTCATCTGAAGGTGAGAAAACCAGTGGAAAGATGCCTGGCTTTGGAATTAAAAAACCTACTGGCTCAGTGTGACCTTGGCCCAGCTACAGAGCCTTGGTTCCATCTGTAAAATAGGGACAACACTCCTGACCTCAAAGGCTGTGTTGACCTGGCTTGAGAATGTGTGCACAGGGCTCTCCAGCTGTCAGCTCGTGACTAGGCCTGTGGCTGTGCCCTACTCCTAGCTAGGGCTTGCCTGGGTCCAGGGCAGTGCCAACCCCCATCATAAGGTGATTCTAAAGCAGAATATCAACCCCTCCTTCCTCCCCCACTGCAGCTGCAAACATTTTGTTTTGCCATTAGAAATGACTTACTTAAGGGAAGCAGAATTTTACAGGCAGTTTACAGGCTGGTCTTGTTCAGTAGTTTCCAAAAGCCAGGGGAGGGCGGAGGCGGCCAGCAGTCCCCACAAGTTGGGATGGATTGGAAGTGAGAAGTGAGTCCTGTGTGACGGACACTTTCTCCTGCACAGCCGCACGCCCCTCGGTGGGCTCTCGGCACGTTGCGGGCATTAGGGAGAAAGGCAGCGGGAGGCCCTCGCTATACTCTGATAGATCCAGCCCCCTCAGTCCTCCTGGAATAGCCTGGCCCTGGCTCCGAGGAGAGAAGAGGGGCTGTTGCTGGGCCCACAGAAGAAAAGGCAACCCCAGGCATAAAGAGGCTCTCAGCAGCCCCTGCCCGAACGCTCCTGGCAGGCAAGGGCCCCATAGCACCCTGGGGCCTCGAGGGTCACCGCAGACCCGGCCTGGGAAGAAACCCGTAGAGTCCCGCAGCCGCGGAGGGAGGGGGTTCTCGCTAAGGCGTCCCGCGGACAACGCCGAGAGGCACAGCTTAGCGGGTGCGCACCGGACAGGCTCGCAACGCAGGACGGTGCCCTCATGGGAGCCAGGCTGAGCAGGTCAAGAATGGTGGTGGGGAAGCGGGGTAGGCAGACCTCGGCGGGGGCTGCCTCGGCGCTCTGCTCCTACCCAAGGGGCCCGGTTCCCTTTCTACCCACAGTTCCCTTTCTATCCGCCTCCCTCCTCAGCCCAATGAAGCAGTCGGGGCTCAGCAGTGCTTAGCACGCTCGGACTATGGTTTTAATAGACGTACATGGACAAGTCGATATAGACAGATTTATTACAGTCAGTCCAACATACACAGGGACGCTGTAAACAGGGGCGCGGGCCGGAGAGCGGGTGTGCAAAGTGGGCGCAGGGCCCTGGGGCCGCGCCCCTTGCTCTGCCGGCTCGACTCTTGCACGGCGGGCGGTGAGGAGGGGGCTGTTCGCCCAGACAGAGGGCCACCTCCTAGCCCGGGAGCAGAGCAGAGGGCCTGGGCCTGCAGCTAAGCTCAAGGCTGGGGTGTTCTGAGATGGACCTCCCCCACCTCCCGCCAGGCCCGCACTGCCCGCTGTCGCTCCGTGGCCTTAATATAGGGCTCCGGGGCGCGGGGCCAGCGAGGCTCTACCAGGCGCGCCGGGGCCGTGTGCGGCTCCACTGAGTGCCCGATCCTGGGCTGGGGGCACCGTCCCCCCAAACCCAACGCCCGCCCCAACACGGATCCGACTCGAGCTAAGGCGCTCTCGGCCGGGCCTAGCTCGGAGAGGGCAACTTGGTTTGTACGGGGTCGGGAAATCCTAGGCAAGTCCAGGCCCCGCACATCCAGTCCGCAGGCCCGGCCACTCAGTCCGGATCCAGCGCGGCGGGGACGCGGGATACGAGGTCGTCCTCCCCCGGCCGCTGGGCCTCGGCGCTCGCCTACCGCGCCGCGTGCCCTCCGCGGAGTGGGCCTCCGGGGCCCGTGGGAACACACACACCACCCGCGCCATCCCGAGAGAAATTGCAACTCATCCATTTTTTCGCGGCACTTTTCTCCGACGTCTTTTTGCTTTTTTTTTTTTTTTTTTTTTTTTGTCTTTTTGGAGGGCAGAGTGGGGTCCGGAAAAGCAAACACAAAACCAACCCGGAGTGGGAAGTGGGAGGAGGGGGCTGCGCAGGTGTGAGGTCCGCGGCGCGGTGAGCTGGGGCTTGCGAGCCGGGGCCCCGCGTGCGTCCTCCGCGCCCGCGCCCGCGCCCTTCCCCGCTCCGGCCGCCGGCCCGCGTGGTGCGGCGGGGCGGTCAGCTGTTGTACTGGCACGCGTTGAGGCCCGAGGCCGGGCCCTGCAGGCCGCCGTAGCCAAACGACGAGTGCTGTTTGGACTTGAGCCGCAGGCTGGCTAGGCTCGAGTTGCACGTGTCCCGGTAGACGCTGTAGGGCGAGGCGGGAGTGCCGTACGGGCAAGCGCCCGGCGACATGGCCGAGTTGAGCGAGGAGCCGGTGAGGTTGTTGATGTTGTTGAGGCCCGAGTTGGGCATGCCAGGCACGGCGCCTGGGCCCATGCTGGACGGCATGGTCATGGAGGAGATGGAGCTGGGTGCTGAGAACATGGACTGCGACGACAGCGGGCTCATGGAGTTGAAGAAGGTGAAGCTCTTGGTGGAGAGCGGCGCTGGCGCCAGGCTCTTGGCGGCCCAGTTGTTGTAGGAGTAGCCGGCGGCGTACACGTCCTCGTAGGGCTGCACTAGGCCGCTGAACTGCGGCACGTAGCCACCCTTGCACAGGTCCAGCTGCTGGTTACGCTCGCGCTTACGCCACTTGGCTCGCCGGTTCTTGAACCAGACCTGGGGGAGGGGACGGGAGAAGGGTCAGGGCCGCTGCGGGCCGGGAGGGACCCCACCCCCTTCCCCACCGCCTGGAGCCTTCCGTCGGCCCGCTGCCCTCCGAACGTCGTTTCTCTCCTTCGACCGATATTTCCGCTCCTGCATTCCCTCCACAATGGTTCCTTTCCTGTCCCCAGAAAATACTAATTTCTTTTTCCGATCTTTATCCTCTCCCGAAATTATATCCGTTTTCTTCTCCGAATACGGATTCTCGTTTAACAGATATTCGTTTTCTTTCTTCCTCTCTCAACCAGTTCACCTCTGCCTTCTCCCCCAAACAGGTTCGCTCTATCTACTAAATATTTCAGTCTTTTTATTCTCCCTCAAATACAAAAGGTATTTTTCCTCCCTGAGACATAGGACTTTCCGACTCCCCCAATTCTTCGATCTATTTCATCGCTCAAATAGTTTGTTATCATCTTTATCGGCAATATTTGATGTTTTCTTTTTGGCTCCAAATGTTTATTTTCGTTCAGTCCACCCCACTGTCTGAACCTCTTTCTTCTCCCTCAGTCTGTTTTCTTGTTTATCCCCCATTTTTGATCCTTTTGAATCGTCCTCAAATATTAGGCTTTTGAATCCTTTCCAAATATCTGACCTGCACTGTTCCCCTTAAACAGTTGATTCTTTTTCTCAAATACCTGATCTTTTTGCTTCCTATTTAATTTCTTTCCTGCCGCCTAAATATATGCCAAATATGTTTCTCCACAAATATTTAAATTTTTTCTATTCTTACTAGATTCTTCTAATCTTCCTGCCCTTCCTTTTCTCCCCCCAAATTTGGTAAGAACCTCCTAGTCCTCCCCCATCCTTACCTATCTGCCTACCGCATGCCCTCTGCCCACTCGGATTTTCCTCCAGTTCTGAGTGGAGTTTCCTGAGCTAGTTTGCCAGATCCCTGCTTCTCAGCTTTCCCTAGTCCCCAGCACTGACACTACCTGATTCCACCCCCACCCACCCCTACCACCATAAACCTGGGCAGGATTAGTGAGTTCAGGATTACTGAGTGCTGTGTCTTCATTCCAAGTCCCACTGGGCTGGCCAGCCTGCCTAGGGAGGGGTGAGGGCTGGGGTTATGGTAAGGAGTCTGTGGGCCAGCTGGGATTTTGGTCGACTTGGGAGGTGCTCCCAATATCTGATTAAATATTTACGCCCCCAGGGAAGAAATGATTCTCTTGCTACCCTGGCAGGAAAGCCTTGCTTTTACTGGAAACCAAACGGGTGAGAAGAGGGAGAATGCAGGCTGGTCTTGGGTCTGAGATGGCATATCCTAAAAGGGACTGGGAAGGACATTTGGCTCCCGGAGCCACCCCCCACCTCACCTGACGGGAGACCTTCCGGAAAGGGCAGAAGGCAAAGGGTCCTACTGATGGCTGGGGAGGGTGGAGAATATCTTGAGCTTTTAGAGAATCTGCTTATGAGATGGGACCACTGCTCCAGGAAGTTTTGAGAGCCCCAAACCCAGGCACCTTTCAGGCTTCTCCGAGGCAGCCAGACAGGACCTGCCTTTCCCTTTCGTTTTCGGGATAAGGCCAACAGCTCCCGAGGTCCCCAGCGGCAGGGAATCCACTGCCCAGTCTCTGGCCCAGGGTATCCTGCTAACATCTGAGTGGGTCCTGGGCCCCATAGGGCATGGGGGAGTCCCCTGGGGGCACAGGTCTTTGGGCTGGGGTTGCCTTAGTCCGAGGATCAGGTAGGATGAGGGTCAAAGGGGTTGAAGGTCCGAGGCGCCTGGAGGCCTGGCAGACGCTAGTGGGCCAGGGCCTAAGGTGGGGATCTCCGGTGGAGGGAGGGAGCAGGTCTGAATGGTGGGAGAGTGAAGTTCTGCTTGTGGGTCTAAGCTTTGGAGGGCTGCAGCAGAGGCGGCCCGGGAGCCCTCTGCGCGGGTGCCCTTAGGCGCGCACCCCTTGCTCACCCGCACGCGCGGCTCGGTGAGGTTGGTCCACACGGCGATCTCCTCCCTCATGCTCATGTCGGGGTAGCGGTTCCTCTGGAACGTGGCCTCTAGCTCTTGCAACTGCTGGCTTGTGAAGTGCGTACGTTGCCGCCGCTGCTTCTTCTTCTTGGCTGGGTCGTCTGCGCCGCCGCAGCCCGTGCCTCCCGCACCACTGTCCTCGGGCCCCTTGGGTTCCCCGCCGCGCTCCTTCTCTGCAGTAGGCAGGACGGGGAGCGGGTCACCTGGGCTTACGCCCCGTTGCACCCCGTCCCGGCTCCACCGAACCGCTCGCCACCAGCGCTGGCGGTCTTCCCTCCCTCCCTCCCTCTAGGGTTCCTGGGAACTGTCCCCACTGGAAAGCGCCCGCCGGGTGCTGGTCGTCAGTAGGCACCTCTAGTCTGGTGTGCCGCGGAGAAGAGCCCAAGAATCGGAGCTGGAGCCGCGGGCCTGCGTTCCTGGCTGGGCAGGGCCTGCACCCTTAGCTCGGCTCAGATTCTGACCCTGCTGCTGATGTTCCCAGCAAATGTATGCTTTTTGTTTGTTTGTTTTGCGAACTCTTAGGGGGTCTAAATCTGAGGGGGTCTCTGCTTTTCTGAACTAGGATCAGATCTCTCCAGCCTAAAGTCCCTCCACTTTCTTCTCCTCAGGGGTGTATGGGAGCCCCACTGGGCAGGCACAACACAGCCGGGTTCTCGGCCTTGCTTCCAGGCCTCCAGTCCCAAAGCCTAGAAAACCCCACCAACTGCAGCCCAGACAGACAGACTCTGTCTAGGTGACCTCGGGCTTTAGTCTGTCTCTCTTTGAAGCTACACAAAACACACGCAGTCATAGAAACATTAATACATAAAGAAAAAGAGTTTAAAAACAAAACACAGAAGCCCAGAAAAGCTCACAGCTCTATGCCTAAAGACACTGAAAGGGCCACAAATTCTCAAAATCAGACAGGAAGAAACACAGAGCAAATGTAAATTAAGAAGCCAGAAAGCTCCGTACAAACACACCCCTAACTAAATACAGAGCTGTAAGTGTATAAACTCCAGGTTGACAGAAGCATTTATTTCTCTGGGATTTAAAAAAATAATGTACCGTTGTAGATAGATTTTTAACTCCTTCCCAATAAGGCCCTTGTAGAGATAATTTTTAAATCCCAGAGAAACACATTATAGTTAGATAATTTAAATTCCCCAAATAACACCACTGTAAATGGATTTTGAGAAAATTCCGGAGAAACGCGCCATTTTGGATTGACTTTTTAAAATCTCCGGAAGAATAATGTTGCATGTAGATATTTTAAATTCCAGACCTACACTTCGTACGTTAATTCTTTCAGAATCGAAAGATACAGTTAAAATTAATTCATCCTCATAGATTTGGTTCAAAAAAATCAATATACGATTATATATCTCTCTAGGTTTTAAAAATAAAACCAACCAAAGACCGCGCTTAAAACTTTTGAAAACAAAAGTAGAGTTCAGCGTTGATTATGTTTTAACCAAGCAAACAACCTCTCAGAAAAATCACTTAGGGATGCAAAAGAGAAACAGATACTAAGAAAGTGGAGAGAAACATTCAGCTGTGTATTAAGAAATGAACGCAGAAGAGGCGCCCACACCGGGGAGCTCGGAGCCCCTCCGGAACCCGGCCGGCTGCGCTGGGCAGCGGATTCGCTGCCCCACTGCCCGCGCCGGCCACCCGCGGGCCCAGTTCGCTGCTGGAAAAAAGCTCCAGCTCGGACAAAAAAAGGCAGCGCGGAGGGAGACGCGCAGGAGCCGGGGCGGGGGCCAGAGCCGGGCTGCTCCGGGCTTCGGCCGCGCACGTGGGCCGGATCCCTTGATCGGCGTTCCGGCTGGCCTTGCTGGGAGTCCGGCCGCGCCTGTTGGCCCGCTCGCCCTCACCGTCCTCTGTGTCTCCCTTCTACTTGATGACCCCTCTCCCCCCGTTTACCCTTCCCGCCCGCCCCTTCTCTTTGGTCTCTTTCATTCTGTCGCCTACTGTCACGGTGTTAACCTCCCTCTCTGTCTCTCTGAGTGCGTTCTCTCGCCCGTCACCCCTCTTCCTTTCTCGGTCTCCTCCTCTCCCTTCGTCCGAGCCGCTCCTTAGCGCCCAGTTGCGCAAATCAAATTCTTTCCCGTTCTATTTACTCCTGATCAAGAGGGGCTGTCAGTCCAACCCTCCAGCTGTAGGCTCGTGCATCTGCCAGTCTCTTGGCGCGTGGGGACCGCGTGGAAGTGCCTTCGCGTGTGCGTAAGTTTCCGCGTTCACCGTCAGGTCGAGAACGGGAAAAAGAAAGCTCCTGACGCTTCTGGGGCGGAGAGGGAGCTTGGTTGCGCGGCGCGGGCGTCAGGCCCTGCTCCCAGCTCCCCGTGCTCCGCGCCCGGGTAGGCTCTGTGCGCGCCGCGCGGGGAACGGCGCTTACCTGGCAGCTCCGTGTCAGACGACTCGCTGGCGGAGTTCTCGAGCGGCTCGCGGGGGTCGGCGGGCCGGGCCAGGTGGAAGGCGGGCCCCATGTCATGGGGTGGCGGCGGCGGCGGCCGGAGCCCCTCCGGCAGCCGCTCCAGGCTCATGCCCCCCTTGAAGGCGTCCATGGAGGTGGGGACCGCGGCGGGCGCTCCAGGGGCCGGGGCTGGGCGCGCCCCGCCGCCCTGGCTGCGACCTGCGGGGACAAGAGCGCAGCGCCTAAGCGGCTGCCCTCCAGGGCTGCCGGCGCCTGCAGCGACGCCGTGCCCGCCCCATGGACCGCCCGGGGCTGCGGCGCCGGGCGGGCAGAGGCGGCGGCAGCTTCTCGCGACTGGGCGCCTGGCTCAGCGCTCCGCGCTGCGCTCCTGCCGCTCGGGCCTCAGCAGCCCGGCCGGCCCCGGCTCCGGCTCCGGCTCCGGCTCGCGATCCGGGGCCGGTTTCTAAGGCTCCGGACGGCGCCGGCAGAGTCTGTCTTAAAGCGACAGCGCGCACAGCCAGGTTCCAGCAGTCCCTGCGCCAGGGGTGCTGGGTGGGGTGGGCCTGGGTGGGAGGGGGCTGGGGAGGGAGCGAGCGAGCGAGGGAGCGCGGGCGGAATCCAGCCCCAAGCCGCCCGCGCCGCCGCGCCCTCACTGCCGCCCTCCCTCCCTCCCTGCCTCGCCCGCGCCCTCCCCCTCCGCAGCCACCTTCCCGCCGCCTCCCCGCCCCCCGCGGCCTCGCCGCGCCTCTCCCTCCTTCCCCGGTGACACACCGAGTTCTCCCTCGGCCTCACAAAAGAAACGCATCTGGCCTGCGAGTCCCGGGCGGCTCGTGCACACCTCAGGCCTCAAATGACTTGTTTCGCCTAGAATCAACTCCCGTCTCGGCCGCCTCGAAGTCCCCAGCCCTGGCGAGAACAGCCCAGGATGAGTGAATGTTTGCCGAACAGGATCGCACCGAGCGGGCGCCTTCGAGCCAGCGCCGGGGCGGGGGCAGAGCCCGGGGCCCGTTCCGGCAGCTCCCAGCGGTGTCCTCGTCGAGGGGCCGCCTGCCCCTCCTTCTCCAGCCTCTTCTCCCGGGAACTCAGCCCGGCTGAGTGACAGCAGCCTGCGCTCTAATGGGCCCCCGGATGCTGCCTCCTAATTAGCTTGGACCTTCTCCCCTACGGCTGCTTCTCAGGCCTCCCTCTCTGCACCGCAGTCAATTTTCCGGGATTGGGATAGAAATGATGGCTTCTAATCAGACGAAACGTTTCTGCTGGCTCTAGGCGTTTGGAGAATGCAGAAGGAAGACCCCAAGGATCCCAGCCAGACCCCACAGCCTCTTGTACCTCTCCCCTTGTTTTACACCTTAGGCCTTGGCCAAATGGGCCAGGCCTGGCCTTGGCAGGCATGGGGTTGGCCTTGGCAGCCTTTGCCCTCCTTCAGGGTAGCTTTGTCCCAGCCTGGGGCCTGCGTCCTGGCTTCCCAGGGCTTCAGGCATAGGCCTGGTAAGCCAGGTGACTGCTGTCTCCCAACCCTGGGCCAGCAGCCCAGGAAGCCCTCAGTCTTCCAGCTTCTCTCCCACACAGTGGTAGCTGAGCTGCAGCTCCAATGGGCCTTCACTGGGCACAGGCAAAGACATTACTCTCCCACTCCTAAGAGTGATTCCCTCCTCGAGTCCTTGCACGTAGGTGAAGTTTGTCGAAGGATTTTGCTCAACAATTGTTAGCTGGCCCCGAGACCTCAGCGTCTTGAGCAAACAGGCCACAGCTGGGGCGGCAAGGCGCCGCCCTGACCTGCTCCTCTGGCCATAGGCGGACCCCAGACTGCCCTCTGCCCCTCACCTGTGATCAGCTCCACCAGACACAGCAACCCAAGGGAGCTGCGCCAGGATTGTCTGCCTGGGAAAGAAGCAGGGAGGTGTCCAGTGTCCTCACCCCAAAACCCAGTGCCTCCTCAACTCCTGGGTGGGTGGCACTGACTGTGCAGGTATCAGCGTCTGGGGCACTCTGCAGGTTCTGCCTTTGAGTCCTCGTCTTACCCCTTCCCATCACAGGGAGACACCCAGGGTCAGCTGAGCTCCTTGTGGGGGCTGCTGGGGCCAGGGTCGGGCATGCAGGGTGGAACCAGGCCTGCCTTCCATTCCCTCCACGTTAGTCCAAAGCACCCCCACCCCTACCCCCATCCCCATCCCCATCCCCATCCCCATCCCCATCCCCATCCCCCGCTCTGGGCCGTGGAGAGACAGCACAGCTCCTTAGGGCCTGGTCCTTTCTCACTGTGGGTCTGTGACCACAGGATGCAGGGTCTGAGGCCAGAGGGAGGACACTTCTCAGGGGTTTGGATTGGGGAGGCTCAGTGACTCCTGCCTTCTTCCAAGCTGAGATCTCCCTCCATGAAATGAGTCTTGGCTACGGGGAGGGGAACATGGGGAAGCACAGTTGCCCAGCATTTGCCCTCAGCCCCACCGTTGCCATGTTTCTTGGCCACCTTTACCACGAGTCTCCTGCAGTAGAAGATCCCTCCTTTCAAGGAGATATTCAGGTGTTGCAGCGTGCTAGGGAGTGTCCCTTCACAGACCATTCTTTTTTTAGCTGTCTTACCAAAAAGAACAGCCTGAATGCAGACAGCATGGGGGCACGCACACACACACACATCCTGTACATCCATGCGGAGATGCTGTACACACACATGTATTCACTGCACTATGGAAGTGCTGAGTTTAGGCATATATGTGCTACTTGGCATGAACGCGGGCTGGCAGGGGATAGGAGGTGTGTTCTAACCCTGCCACATGTCAGGCCAAGGTGGGAAGCACAGTGCGTCTCTGGGTAGAGACTTAGAAATGAATGGTCTGTCTGTGGGCCTCTAGAGGAGGTTAAGACTCACAGCCTTCTCACTTGCCTTCTCACTTCCCAGAGGGACCAAAGTGACTCTTTGGGCCATCCCCCAATGGGGACTATTCTGTGAGCAGCACTCACTGCTTAGTCTGAGGGGCGTGTTTCCTCACTGTTAGTGCATTTAATGCAGTTATTGAGCACCTGCTGTGTGCCCCTCTGGGCCCAAACCTCTGGCAGGGCTCCAGGCAGGCACAATAGTCCCTTTATTTGGTGATCTTGATGCCTGCTGTGTAGAAGGAAAAGCCCTCAGACCATTTCAGGTGAAGCCCCATATCCTCAGGGGACCTGAGACCCAAAGAGGAGCTGGGGCTAGTGGGGCCTGCTGGCAGAGTCTGTTCTGCTGGGCCTGGGCAGCACTGAGTGATCAAGGAGTGAGGAGGCAATTGATTGTGAGGAGGCTGTGGCCTGATCTTGGGCGTTGGCTGGGGAAGGGACCTGGACATGCTCTCAATTCTTCCCCAGCTACACTCACTGGCCATTGTCCCAGTCAAGATAGGGGCTTCTTGCACGCTCACAGACACGTCACACATACAGGACAGAAAACAGCACTCTTTCAGGAGTAAGCAGAGGCTTTGTGTTCCCCCAGCTGTGCTATGTGACCTGTGTTTCCCTCAAGGTTAAGGCTTGATCTGCACTGTGCCTCAGTTCCCATGTCCAACACCGGACTCTGCCTGCTGCTTCAGCATCCAGCTCACTTGCTGATGGGACACGAAGAGAGGAGGGAAGGGGGCTTAGTGGAGCTGGAACCATGTGCCCTGTTCCCCACCCCTCCGTGACCACACAAAGCCAGCAATGATTCTCTGATTTTCAAGAATTTTGGAGTTTAGGGTCTTGGCTGGGCTGAGCAGAAGAGCTTGGGCTGTTGTGGGGTTGAAGTAGTCACCATGAGGACCCTTCCTGAAGCCTGGCTCACTAAAAACACCCTGTGCCCAAGAATGGTTTAGTAATGTAATTTGGGAAGGGTGGTTGGAAGGCTCTCAGTGGGGGGGCATCCTTCTACCCACCCACGGGGGCACCGTGCCCTAATCCTTGCTCCCAGAATCAAGGTATTTTAGGAAAAAGGAAGGAATGTGCCATGGCCTGCCACCAGGGCTATCCATGACTCTCTGGGACATTCCAGCCCTAAGCCTCTTAGTCCGTGGAGAAGTTCAAACTTGAAAACCCTGTTTTGGGAGTGCAGGTTTGGACCACCTACCTCTTTCTGCCTGATCTAACACCCCCTCCCCAATAAAAGCTCCCGTTTCTTTGAATACAGCAATTACTGGGTAAGTGGGGAGGAGGGTGCTCAGGTAGGGGCTGGAAAGACCTCACTGGCTCCTTTAGGCTTCCTGGGACCCCAGTCTGAGGCTTCCTGCCAAATGGGGATCCCCAGCCTGTCCCGGGGAGAGCCAGGATGTATTTGAGCAGGACTGCCGCCAGTGAGGCACAGATGGGAGTATGGAACTCAGGACTCTGTGCCGTGGGCCGCTCAGTCAGCGGCTGGTAGGACCCATGGCTCTACCCGGCCCATCTCTCACCTAAGTCCATGGACGCTGTCTGGTTCCTGAGAATGGCTGAGCTGTGGGGAAGAAGACTAGGAAGGAGGTAGCAGCTGGTCGCACAACTGGGGAGCAGAGGGGCAACTTATGGATGCACCATAGCCTCCTCCTCCCAGCGGCTGCTTTCATGGGAGAAGAGCACCCTGAGCCTGTCTGGAGGCCTCTGCATCCTAGAGTCCAGACAGCCTGGTCTCCAAGCCCCAGCCCACCTCTTTTCCTTTCCCTGGAAGAGATGCGGGAGGCCGAAAGCAGCCCCGGGAAAGGGCACGGGGACAGCAAGTCTCCTGTGCTGCCCCTGCTGCCTGTAGCTTTTGCCCTGACTACCGTAGACCTGAACCCTAGACCTGAATCCTCCCCCAGTGGACAGCAACCTGGGATTTCCTCCCTCTGGCCCTGGTGGCTTTCAGAGGTCACAGGGATGTCAAGAGAATTTGTGTTTTTCAGAATTTAGTTTTTCAGAAAAGTGGACTAAATATTTGTAGATTCGGGGAATTCCTAAATCGGAAAAGCTTGGGACCCGGATTCCAGCCTGGGGTTCCCATTACTGCGATCCCGGCTTTGGGGCCCTGCCTTTGCCGCGGGAGAATAGGCTCCAATTTACGAAGCTGGTCAATTTCAGAAATCCGAGACCCGGTTCTTGAGAAGCGACTGCGTGCTCCGGGACCCTGCGTCAACAACCAAACCTGGGAGAAGCCGCGGGAATGTCTTTATTGGACGTTACGAAGGGAATTGGGGTTTCTCTCCTGGGAAGAAAAAGCCCGACCTGTGCCGGCGAGAGCAGGCTGCCTTGGGCTGGGGGCACCTCCGAGCGCTGCGGCGGGACGTCGGGGTCCGGGGCGAAGAGAGCCAGGGCGCGGACCGACGTCTGCTGCTTTTCTGCGGCATTGCTGCCCGAACGAACGAACGAACGAACGAACGAAGCGGTTTCGTTTAGGAAAAATACCCTCTTGACGCGAAGCCACGGCTGAAGTCCCGGGCCACGCAGAGGGGCCAGCAATTCCATGGGTGGTGGGGCCCTCCATCCCTGGACGCAGCGGGGAGCAGCGGGCGGCCCTCTCTCCTGCCCACTTCTCCTGGGGGTGGGGGAGCCCTGTGTCACCCGACGCTGCGAGGGGCTGCCACGGGCTTCTCAGGTTGTGCCCTTCGCGGGGCCGTGGCCCGTGCCCCCGAGGCTGCTACCCTCTTGAGGTGCCCGGAGCCAAAGCAGAGGGTTGATCCCGCCGGTTGGGTGAGGTAGCACCCGGTGACGGCGGCTATGACTGTGCCCTGGGCGCAGGAACGAGCTCCTCGCGCTGCCTCGAAGGCTCCTGACCTTCCGCGCCTTGCGCTGTCCCGCGCCGCCGGGTGGACCCACACACGCCAGGAGCAAACTGCGCAGGACTCGGCCGCCACCTCCCTGCGCCCCTCCACCGCGGAGACCCTGCGCCCCTAGCCCAGCGTCTCTTACCCCACCTGGGCAGCGCTGCGTCTGCGGCTCGTGGGCTCCGGGCTCGCCCGCCGCGGACTCTGGCTCAGGTTTCGGCTCCGGCTGGGGCCCCGGATCCAGCTCTGGCTCTGGCACTGCACGGTTCTTCGGCCCCTGCTGGTTCGCTACATCCCAGCGCGCGAGGCCGGGGCTTCCTCGGCTCGGCCCGCTCCTCCCGCCGCCGCCGCCCGTCGCCCGCGGGGAAGGCGGGGACACTGGCCGGGAGGCGGGAAGGGTGGGGGGAGGGGAAGCTAGGTGTTCGCCGGGACCTGCGGGGAGAGGGGCGGCGCGCAGTCCCGCCGGCTAGGGGTCCTGGCCTCCCTCGGGGCGTAGGCTGGGGTCCGCGCGGCTGGCGGCCGGGCCTCGAGGCCGGGGAGCGCGCCCTGGGACCTCCGTGGAGGGGCCCTGCCGCATGCGGACGAAGCCAGAGCGGGTCCCAGCCTGGCCCTGGGGCACTTTCTCTCCCTGGGCCCAGTTTCCCACCTGACTCGTGAGGGGCTGGCCCTACTTCCGTTTAGACGGGGGCTGGTGGTCGAGTTTGGGGTTTTGAGATTGGACCTTTCTTCTTTCTGCTCAGCCTGCGGGAGGGAGCTGGTCTTGCGTGTTGGCAGGGAGAGTCCGCTGCCCAGAGCGTGGCAGCCAGGGAGGTTTGAGGACAGACCCCAGGTTTTCTGTGTTTGGGGGTAGGGGGTGTTAGGGTGGGGCAACCGCCCGACCTGCCCTGGTTGGGGGAATTGCCTTCTTCCCTCTCCTCAGGGGCTGGGCTGGTGAGGAAAGGGCACACCAACCCCTCAGGACAGACACTTCTGGGGCCCCTTGTCCAACCCCTATGCCTGCACATCCCCCAGCGACCATCCTGCTGCGGGCCTGCGAACGGTGACGCCTCCACCCCTGTGGCCCCGCAGGCCGTTCCTGGCTGGCTGCCGCTGGGAGACGGGCTGGACGCAAGGGAACTGGGAGCCTGTCCTTTGCCCACCCTCAGGCCACAGGGCTCCCCAGCGTTGCCTCGTGGCCAGATAACCCTGTGCGCGAAGCCTCATGGTGGAAACCAGTTGGCCGAACCTACTCCTGGTACCCCGAAGTGCCCAGCCTGAGCCTGCTTGCTGTTGGGATTATGGGATGGGACCACAGGGCAGGTCGGGCTGTGGCCTGCCTTTCTCAGGGACTGGAGCGGCTAAGCCTGCCCGCCGACGGCCACGGGCTCCAGAGCGACCGTTTCCGGCGCAAGGTGCCGGGAGATGGCAGCGCGGCAGCCGGGCCTGAATCTTTCATGAGATGCAGTCAGCAGCGGCGCCTCCCTGCCTGGTTCTCGCCGACAGCTGCTGCGGGAGAGGCCGCGACCCGCGCCACCTCGGCGTCCTGCTAGTCCGTGCCTCCAGGGCCGCTTGGCCTGGGAACGCAGAGACCCACGACCCCCTCCCCAACCTCCGAAGCGGGAAGCCGGCCCGACCCAAGCTCACAGAGGCCTCGGTGTTCAGGCCCTGCCAGGTGGCCTCTGCACCCTGTCGTGCTGTTCCAGGGACTCCATACCCTCCTCTCAACCCTCGACAGCAGGAACCCCTCTCCAGTGGTGTGTGCAGGGCTCTGTGCACCCAGGGTCGCAAGTTAAGATAACGAGTCCCCGATGCCGGCACTAGCGGACCTGCGCCTGGAGAAAGTGCAGTCTACCAACTTGGACCCTGTGCTGTGGGGAGTTTAGCCCCCTACGTCTACCCCCTCCCATTGACTGCTTTATGTGTAAAATGGCTTGTTGGCGGGTCCAGCCCTAGAGCTGCTAAGCTGAGAAGTTTCTAATCTTGTCTCTGGAATCTTCCTTCCACTCCAAGCACCAGGGGCATCTTTGGGCATAAATGCAGCCGCTGGACCTTACTATGGAGGGCTGCACAGGCACTCCTGGGGTGGCTTTTACTCTGGCGTCTGTAGCAGGAAATCACACCTTCCCCCCTCCCTGCACGCTAGCAATTTTCCAAATTTTGTTCCCATCTCTTGTGAGATTTTCTGCATGCTCTTGTTCCCAGGCAGGGCCTGTGGTGCCAAAAAATGCTGCCTCTGGCACCTGATGGCCTGAGCCAGAATCTTGTCAGTGGCTTTTACTAGTTGTGTGGCTTTGGCAAATAACATAACCTCTCCTAGCCTCAGCTTCCCCATCTGTGAAATGTGAGAATAAGTATTTCTGCTTCTTGGGAAACGGATGGGATAGTGAAGGTGAGGGGTTTGGTCCTGAGTCCTGTGGACAGAGGGGCTGAATGCTAATGGTGATAGCTGCCAGGCTGCTCTTTAAGAGAGTTTGCTCTTGTTTTTGTTTCTTCTTTCCCCACGGTGGTCATGTTGGTTGAGTCTAGGAGGAACAGATCCCTTTTCTGATTTAGTTTATCTGCCCTCATCCCCTGCTTAGGTGCTAGGAAGTTTGGTCCAGGAAAGCTGGGCAGGCTGGTGCGTGGGGCACAACCAGGGCCTGGAAGTCAGGAAGTTCTTAGTGAAACTTGGGGGGTACAAAACACATTTTTTATAATCTTATTTTCTCTCTAAAAATATATGTATATATTTTTTGCAATTTCCCTTTAGTTTTGACATCTTGGGGAGCATATATTCCCACTGGCACAGTGGAATCAGGAATCAGAGAGAGAGGAGGTTTGGGGCAGGATTCACCAGGAACAGAAGTAGCAGTCCCTGTTCCTGAGTACCACTTTAGCTTTCAGCTTCCAGGTGCCCCATCAAAAAAGATCAGCAGAATTGGCTGAATTTTCTTTGTCTTTCAGTCCAAACTGCTGTGCTTCCTCTAATACAAATTTTTCTCCCTAGTGCAAAACGCTTTGATGAATTTGTCACATGGGTTCATGCTGAACATAATGGGCAAATGTCTGCAGCCACTATTATATAGAAGGCCATAACAATCCTTCAGGCAGTGTTTTTTTTTTTTCTTCTTCAAATCTTAACACCAAGTAAAAGTAGGGGGAGTGTTCTTTTCCTTCATAGCTCTTATTGCAACAGTATTGAAATTAAATATTTGTGTAATGATAGATTAAAACCTGTTGCCCCTACCAGTTGTAAGCTTCTTGAGAACAGGGGTGAGCCTCTCTTGGCAACAACTATAGGACCCTCCCCAGGGTGGGCAAGGGATTTGGTTATGCTGATTGGCTGGGTCCAGCTTACATGCCCACTCCTGCGCCAATCACTTTGTGGGGGAAGAGTGGCTCAGGCCTTTGGTTGGCCAGGGTCAGAGGCTCCACCCCAGAATCACCATGCTCCTCCAAGAATCCTGGCATCTATCTGGAACAACTTCTCTGAGCTGGTGGAAGGAAAGGGTTGGTTTTACCAAAGAAGCCCCTGCCCTGTGAAGTTTCTCAGGGGCCTGTTGATGGTGTGGGTAGCAAGTCCACTCCAACGTGATGGGGAGGGATTGGCTCTGTTGGAAGAGTCTGAAGTCTGTTAGAATTGTTCCTGCACTCATCTGTGGGGAGAGGTGAAGCACTGCCAGAAAGTCAGAGGGGAAGCTCAGAGTCTTGACTACCTGTAGGAATGGATCCGCAGAGCAAGGGAGGGAATGTATTTGTACTCCCCTTTTCACCTGTGAGAGGGAGGAAGTTTGAGGCTTTAAAAGTAGAGAGGACCCCCTAGGATCAAGTAAGATGTTAATGTATTTGAGCATTATTCTATTGCACTGTGCAATTATTGGTAGTCAAAGCAAAATGAGAAGCTATTTGGGCATTTGGGCATCTCAAGTATTTTTTTAATTGCAGTCCTGTCAGCATCTGCATGGAATACTGGACAGAACCGTGGCCTGAGACCCTTCTAGAATGGCCTCTCAGGTTGGAAAAAATGTAGAGAGCACCTATTTTGTGCCTGTGATTGCAGAGATACAGAGATAGATGGCTCTTGTTCATTTGGGTTGAGTCAAGGAGGCAGACACAGAAATCCATTACACAGTTGGAGCACAGTGCTGGAGAGGAAATCTGCAGCCTGCTGTTGAAGGGTCTTGAGTGACACATGGAGGAGTTGGCTGTAACCGTTTTTCTACCACCTGGGGACCCCTCCCTAGGAAAATATACTGTGCAAAGCCTCTGAGGTGAGATAAACTGTGGTATGCTTGATAATAAAGGAAGAACGTGTGGCTTCATAATAGCACTGGAACAGATGAGAAGGCAGGGCATAGGGGAAGAGGAAGTTGGAGAATCAAGTGGGAACCAGATCCCACAGGGCTCCATAGTCCTTGATAGGAGGGTGGGATGTTATCCTGAAGGCAAAAAGGAGCAGATGAAGGGTTTGAACAGTGAGAGACCTGGCCAGATGTGTATCTTAAAAGCCCACTCTGCCTGGAGAGAGAAGGATGGATTTGAGGTGAGTTGGAAGCAGATCATTGCAGCATCATTTGCTGAGCTGCCCAGCTGCTCCATCTATCCCTTTGTTTCTCCATCAGTCCATCAGCCTTTGTCCACTCATCTGCCATGAATGCAGAAGGCCACAGCTTGGCACGGGAAATATGAAGGTGAGACATTATGGCCCCTGCCTTTCTGGAGCTGCCCCCTCGAAGGCCTCAGTTTACCCATCTGTAGTCCTAGTGAGTCTCTCTCATGATCACAAGCTCTGCAGCCAGTGCCTCAGTCTCCCTCCAGATATCTGACTGCTGCACAGGACACAGGGTGCTCAGGGCCCGAAGGGGCACAGCCACTATCACAGATAGACAATTTGGGGAGCCAGTACAGTGAACAACCCTGTTGGAAGCTTTTAAAGTAATTGCCCTTGCCTGTGCTGGCTGACTGGCTGATGGCAGCCTATTAGCCCTGAGTTGGAAATTCTGAATTGTTTCATGACAATTGAACACATGATTGGAGGCTGGGAAGGAGTTGCCCATGAAATATTTATGTTTCCTCAGTGTTGTGGGCTGCTACCCTTTAGCCTGGGAACCCTGGATGTACGGGGCCAGTGGCTTCAAAGTGACTGCCATTGTTCCTGGGGGTCCTTGGGCCACCTCCATGTGAGGAGATGGGAGTGCATTTTGTGCAGTTGTAAGGGTGGTTGGGGGCCAGCACTGCTATAGCCTCACTCCATGCTGTGCATCCTGGCACTCCAGTCTCACTCCAGTACCAGAGAGGGAACAGAACCTGGGGACTTGAGATGCTCTATGTTTATGCCTGGCCCCAATTCTCCCTGTACTCAAGGCCTCAAGGCTCCTGGGAGTCAGCCTGCGTGCGAGTGTCAGTTCTGCCCCCTTAGTATTGTGAGCCTTGTTTTCTTAGCCGTTCAATGAGGGATGCAGAGTTCTTGCCTCGCAGGGTTGTGAGGGACAGAGATGCCTATATGTGGAGGGCCTGGCCCTCAGCCACAGCTCGTGGGACCATCCCGAGCAGCCCTTGGTAGATCCTAGGGTCAGGCTGGGGCTGGCTATGGGAGCCCCTACTGGATCCCCAGGGCTTTGTGGTCTCTTTTCCTCTGCAGATTATTTGAAGTACTCTGTATTTTTCCCTTCTCTGCAAATCCTAAATAAATAGGAGGGTGTGTGCCAGCCTGGCAGGCATTTCTGGTGGGTGAGGTGCACTGGAGTCTTGGTAAGGGATCCCATATGCCCAGCCCAGGCCTCTGCTCATGAGATTGAGGCTCTGCCATGGCAGAGGAAACTGGTGGGTGGTTCCTGCCTGGCTGCCTGACCTTGGAAGCTGCTCAGGGGCAGCAGGAGAAGGACCCCTGCTGTCTGAGCCTTTGGCTTGCCAGCCTACCAGCCAGCCCAGTGAGGGGCCCACTTTTCTTACCCTGGAAGGTGGTATTTATTCATCTTGCAGATGAGAAAATGGAGGCCATACTTCAGTCGTTCATTCAACAGGCAATTATTAAGTACCCACACTATGTGCTGGCATTGGGTGGGGTGCTGGGGACTCAGGAGTGATGGACAATGCTGGTGCAATCCCTCACAGGGGATCAGATCCAAAGATGAATGCATCTTTAGAAGTGGTGCAGTTTTGGAGCCATGGGAGCACAGAACAAGGAGAGCAAAACTAACCTGGTGGTCATGGCAGACTTCCTGGAGGAAGTGACCTACTGGCTGAGCACTGAAGGTAGCAGGGGTTTACCCTGAAGCTGGGATGGGGGCAGGGCCATGACAAAGCTAGTGAAGGGCAGGTGCATCTGGATGTTCTTATCCACCTGGGGCTAGGTGCACAACACCCTGTGTGCCCTCCTGCCCCTGCTGCCATGAGGAGCCTAAAGAGGCACCAAGAAGGGTTTCCATGGCTCCAAGGTGCTGGATTCCTTGCTGATTGTCCTCTCTGGGCTTTATTTTCTCACCTAAAAAACAAGAAGTGAGGTTAGTTAAGGCAACAGGGCACATTTTTCAGATGAAACTTTACTAAGACTCCTAAATAGAGGAATGAAATGATGCCCTGGTTGCTGTCTGTTGTCCCCTCTAGCCCCTTCTGATGCAATAGACAACCCCGAGGAGCTCCAGAGCTCCCTGGGCCACAGTTTGCAAACTGTAGGAGCCCCTTTAGAGGCTTTCCAGCCCAGCCTCCAAGGGTCCTGGACCCTGGGGATAGCCAAGGCAGCCTCCCTCTTTATCCCTCAGGGACCTGTTTCTTGTTCCTTTTAAATATCCTGTTAGCCATTTGTGATTGAAGTCAGCAAGCATCTATTGAATACCTACTGGATGCATGCAGAGGGGCTAACACTTTCTGAGCACCAGCTGTGTGCTAGGTCTGAAGTGGGCTCATTTTATCAGGCTATTTCCCCATCACAACTGGCTGTCAGCTCATTTTACACATGAGGAACTCAAATTGGTTGAGGCTCAGTGACATGGCTAAAGCCCCAAATAATAGTAATAATAACACCAGCTCGCATGGATTAGGCCCCCAGGTGTGTGTCAGGTCTTCGCAAACATCTTCCTGTACATTAGCTCCTTTTGTTCTCAAAGCGAATCTGTAGAGCAGGGACTGTTTCCATCTTCAAGGATCAAAGAAGTCAAGTTGCAGGGAGGTGAAAGCGCTGCCTGGTGTCTGGGTTGTGTCTGGGGCTGCTCCCTCTCTCCTGCCCTTTGCCAGAGAGTCTGAGGCAGCTGCAGCCATGGCCTCCAGGATAATGGGCTCCCCTCTGTGTTCCTACTGTGTATGCAGGGAAACTGAGGCCCAGAGACTCACTCTCCCTAGAATATGTCTGCTCTCTGGGGCTCCATCTGGCACCGACCTCCGTCTTTCTTCATCCTGGCACTGACTATGAAATGAGAACCTGGCATCTCCCCAGAGACCTTGCCTTACTGGGGACTGTCTGTCTGTCTAGCAGCATTAATCAGGGCACATTGACCTCAACTGGTTGGGCAGAACCATCCTGGTGAGTCCAGGACACAGGGTGGGGTCAGCCCCTCCCATGGAGGCTGGAGCTGGGGGTGCACCTGTCTCCCCCTCCCTTGCCTCCTGTTGGATTCTAGCTCACCCTCAGCCCTCCATCTCAAGCCTTGAGTCTTCAAAGGCCCCCCCACCCCCCCTCCAAAACTCCTCAAATGCCTGCACTTAGGTGTGACTGTCTGAGTGACACCGTCTGGATGCTATTCTTGCCCCAGGGGGAATGCATGGTATTGAGGAACAATGGTGGCATTTCAGGCAGGGTGAAGGGACGCTGAACTTTTGGTGGATAGAGAGACTCCTACTTTGGTATACCTGCAGTGGAGCCTTGGGGCCACAGAGGATGGGGGCTCCCCCTGGGCCTTGGAGGGGAAACTTGTCTGTGCACAGAGCCCAGATCTTTGCCGCGTAGACAAACACAAAGTGAGGGGACGAGTCTTGACAAATGTTTGCCAAGTCCCCGGCTGGCTTGGGAGTCAGGAGTGAGCTTGTTTGGCAGAACAAAGGGGAAAGCAGCCTCCAAGGGGCCATAAATAGCAAGGAAAAGGGAGTGGCCTGGGCCTGAAGGCTCCATGAGACCTTGTCTCCAGGCTTGTGTCCTCTGCCAAAGCTGCCATCATCCTCTCCCACATGCTTTGGGCCAGCTGGCCAGAGCTTGGACCATGTTGGTGGCAACCTTCTTGCCCCACAAGCTCCATCTCCCTGGGAGTCCCTGGGTGCTGGGTCACCTGAGGTGCCTGGCAGGCTAGGAGGTTGGTGTGACCTGCACATCCCAAGGTCCCTCTTCCTGTAGGAACCAGGAAGTTTGGCTAAAGCCAACAGTGGTAAAGTTTCCTAAGAGGCAGAGCTGGTCTAGCCCTGGGACCTGGGAGCTTGTGACACCTGGATATACTCAGGCTGGGAGGGGCCCAATACTCCCATCCCCAGAACTGGGGGGCTCAAAGGAACCTTGTTCTTTCTGCCCATATTCCAGACAAATATGGCCACCTACTTTTTTAAAGCAAGAGGGCAGGACAGGAGGCGGAGGGTGGCAAGACCAGACACTTTGCCTATTTGGGCCTCAGTTTGTTCACTGTAATATGGGATCCTCACCCTTGGCCAGCCAGCTCTGATCCCCCACCTTCTCACCGCCTGTAACTGTGAGCATCAGGTGAGGTACTGCATCAGAGAAGGCTTCCTGGAGGAGGTACATTTGCACTGGGGCTCGAGACCCTGGCAAGACTTCCTTCAGAGCAGGTGGGAGGGTGTTTAGGAGAATGCACAGATAGGCAAGCATGTGGAGCTGGGGAAGGTGGGCAGTGTTTGGGGACCTGCAAGTTCAGTTGAGTTCAGGGTGGCAGAGCCCAGAGTGATCATGGGGGTGTGATGAGGTGCCTTTCCCACTCCCTGGGGACCATCTCAGGCAAGGATGTCTAAGCTGGGAAATGGCCTGAGCAGGGCTCTGCTGTAGGAAGGTAGGGAGGGAGCAAGAGGCGGCTGAGCTGGTCTGGATGAGAGGCCAGTGGAGGACTATAAAGGGCCCCTGCCTTTTTCCTTTGAGCTGGGAAGGAGGTCTCCTGGCAGGGGGTGGGAAGGCCAAATTCCTGAGTTCACTCTGATGATCTGGCCTACTTAGCAAGGCTGGGCCTCCTTTTTTTCTGAGTGGAGGCGGCCCAGACCCCCAGGCTCTGGCCCCTGGACCCCCAGCTGGGATGTGGCCTGAGCTCTCCATGCCTCAGTCTGTGTCTCCATGCTTCCCTCTGGCTCTCCATGCCCTGTGTCCAGTATTCTTCAAGGCGCCCCCTCCATGGGCCCTCAGGAAGAGGAGGGCTGACCAGGAGACTTGGTAGAGAAAGTCCGAGTGCTTTCCCCATCCTGGGCTCTGTCACAGGCCCACCCAGAATTACTGTGGAACTATCACCAGATGTCCAGGCTTCCCTGGCTGTGTACCTTGCTTTAGAGGTGAGCTTGGGGCCTCAGTGCCTAAGACAGGAAGGACTCACCCCCAGGTCAGGTACTTTCTTTCATTCCAGCAGCCTTGTGGGGTTCCCACCTGGCCAAGGGTCCATCTGGGCCTCTAGCATGGCAATGGGGAAACCCTCTTTAGCCACCCACACCCTAGCCTACAAGCAGGGGAAGAGGGGCTGCCAGTGTGTGTGGGAACTGCTTTATGGGAAGGCTGGTGACTGGCCCTCCCTCCTGGAGGACAGAGGAATGCAGGCTGGGGCCTTTGTGGAGCTTGTTGCTGGGTTCTGGGTCCATACGTCTGAGTTCCCTGCTTCCTGCTCACACTTCTGTTTTGCCTTCCACTCTCTGGTGGGCCTGGGATGGGTGGAGAGTGGAAAGAGAGAAGAAAAGGTCCCCACTTCCCCAGCCACCTTCATTTAGGTATGGACCTTTTCACCAGTGTGTGTCTGAGGCTAGATCTCTTGAGTTCATTCTCTGTTCTCCATTTTGATTTGATATTTTTTTTGCTTTATGCTATGTACTTAAGAAAAGGTCATCTCAAAGCCTTTTGGGAGGAAGTGGGTCTAAATATGTAAACATAATTAAATCATAAACACAAACCACTTAAAAAAAGACATTTTGGAGAAATGTGAATAGTTTAAAAATGGGGCAGATGCTCGGCTTCCTGACAGGTACCTGAGTTTTTATAGCAGTTTTATTTGTGATGGCCCAAAGCTGGAAACAACTAAAATGTCCTACAATAGATGAATGGTTAAACAAACTGGTACGTCCATACTATGGAACACTACCCAGAAATAAAATGGAATGAACAGTTGATTCCTTTTGGCCAAGTCTCAAGGGCATTATGTTGAGTGAAAAAAAGCCAATCTCAAAAGGGCACATACTGTCCGACTTCATTTATGTAACACCCTCAAAATGATGGACATTTCAATGTGGAAAACAGATTGGGCCAGGAGCTGGGACGGGTGGGAAGAGAGGGGGTGAGTGTGTCTGTCAGGAGAGCAGTGGGGAGATCTTGGTGTTGATGGGGTGATTCAGTGTCTGGATTTCGGTGGTGATCTCATGAGTTTACATATGTGATAAAATGACATGGAACTATATGCACACTTTATACCGATCAATTTCCTGGTTTGGCTATTGTGCTAATAAGATGTAGCCACTAGGAAAAACTGGGTGAATCTATATTATTTCAGGTAAGGAAATATGGGGCAACTCCCGTGAATTTATATTATTTCAAAATAAAACGTTTAAAAATGTAAATAATTAGGCAGTTTGAGGTTCTGCTTGTGGGGCGACGGGCATGCCCTCATGGCACACCAGGAGCTGTCTCGGGACCTGGGAAGGGCAGGAGGGCGAGGGGCTAGGGCGATGGAAGGGGGAGATCAAGAGTGGCGCGGCAGGGGGAGAGCGCCCTGAGCCTCGCTGGAGCCCATCCCGGCATGGCTGCTGGGACCGACAGGCCGATCGCGGGCCGCGAGCACATCTCACAGAGCCTGGGCACAGAGGGCCCGAACTGTGCCCAGCGAGGAGGACGCGTGTGGGTTTTGCCTGCAAGGGTTCTGACCACTTGGGGACAGCGAGGGCGCGTAGAGGCGCGGAGCTCACTACGCGCCGCCTCACTCTTCCGCGCGAGGTGCCGGGTGGCCCAGCAGCAGGTGCTCGCGCGCAGGTCCAGAGCGGCGCGTTGCAGAGCCCGCTGTGCCACCGGAGAACCGTGGAGCAGCCAGGGCCGCACTCGGGCGTCTGTCCCCAGCCTCATGGTTGCCAGCAGAGCTGGCGCAGGGGCGCGCAGGCGGTGAGAGCAATGATCCAGCCACCTGGGGCAGCTGTGATTTACCCCAACCTTGGAGTCCACACGGCTGATACCTCAGGCAAAACATTCCCGCCCGCTCTCTGGCCTCCTCGCCAGCCACCCTGGAACGCTCCCCTCTGCTGTGATCCAAACGCAGTTTCCCCAAAGCGATCTACATTGATGTGGCTGCCTTGTCCCACAACTTTACCAATCCCAGACTCCAGATCAACACCTTCAACATGAGACTGAGCTTGCCCAGCCTACATTCAAGGTTCTTGGTAATTGGATGCCGGTCCACCATTTGTGTGCACCCTCTGCTGCCCTTTCCCAGACATCTCTGCCTCCTCTCCATGGGACTCACCAAGGACCCAGTATCAGCCTAACTAACTGCAGGGAATGGCTTTCTCCTCCTCTTCCTTCTCTTCCTTTTGGCAAACTCCTATTCACCTGTTCAGGCCCTGCCCAGATACCTCTCTTCTGAGAAGCCTTCTCCGGCCTCCCTCCCTGACCGTGATTATATCTACTCTCCTGTTCTCTTGCCATGATCCTGGAGTTTTGTATTTAGCATGTCCTGCCTTTGTAGGCTTATTTTTGGTCACAGGCTTTTTGGGAGTCAGGACTATGACTTTCTCCATCTCTGAAGCACTCTCCTTTCCCCCAAGCACAATGACATGTTAGGAGCCCAGTATGGTTTGTCACATATGTAGGGCAGGGGTTAGGGCCACCGTCATTCAGATGAGGCTGGTATGAAGGTTTCAGGCTTCCAGGGCCCAGCCAGTTTGTGAAAACAAGTGGTGAGTTCTGGCCTCTTGGCTACTTTGTCGAGTCATCCAATGTAATGCTCCTATTGGCTGAGTTCCTTCTGTGTGTCCCATCGTGCAAGGTTAGGTACTGTTGCATGGGCCATTTTACAGATGAGAAAACCTAAGGCCCAGAGGGAGTTACTGCCTCAGGCAGCAAGGGGAAGAATTGGGATTCAGACTTAGGTTGGCTGATGCAAGAGCTTCCTGCCCTGGTGCTTTCAGCCTTTTCACAATCCTGGCAAGTTCAGGGGAGTGGGGATGGCAGAGTCCTAGCTCCAACCTGGCTGTGACCCCAAACCCTGCTTGGGGAGGGAGCCCTGAAACGCTCTTTCCAACTTCAGTGGGCTGTGGGACAAGGGCTCCAGAGTGTACCGATGAGGGCTGCTAAGTGGTCTCAGGAGAACCTCAGTCCCAGCCCCAGCCCTGGTTTTGTTTCCATGTGGCTTTGGCTCAGTCAGGGCTTCCAGGAGGGCTTGGATCTGCAGATTTATTGCCGTGCTCAGGAATTTCTTGTCCACCTCAGATATGGGTGTCTGGGGGATGGCCGCCTGGACTGGGAGTAAAACTGGGGTTATCTTGATCTCCAGATGAGGTTGTATCTGCTTGTGGAGTTGCTGGGGAAGGCTCTTTGCCTTCGATCTTGCTCATGCTCTCCTTCCGGCCCCTGATAAAGAGTCCCAAACACAGGGCCGTAAAGGTGGTCATAAAAATGGAGAAGAAATGCTGGCGCAGCTGGCTTATCAAAGCGTATCGCGACGCCCGCCAGGTCTCCCTACTTCAAGTTTATTTCTCCTCCTCTGCTTTCTCTCAGAAGGTGTCTCGTAAACAGCTAAGAGGGTCATTTATAAATGTCTTCTGCCTTCATTCTCAGCACAGGCACTGCTGCCTTGCTGTCTTCCTGCTTCCAGGTATGTGGATGATAAAGAGATGGTCCAGGCATGGAGCATGGTGACCTTTTTCTCCCGTCTTCCAGGTGCCAGCTGAGATGAGACGTGGAAGCTGGAGGGGTCCGGCATCCCAGAGAGGCGTGAGGCTCCCAAACGTGAGTGACAACGACCCTGGTCTTGCCGGCATCCTCCCATCATATTGGTGGGGGGTGGGGGGTGGGCTGACCTCTGAGGGGACACCTTGCCATGGGCTGGCCTCTGTAGTTAACCCACATCACAGAATCAATCCTATGGCATCAGAGCTGAACAGACTTTAGAGATTGCCTTGTGCAAGTCTCTCATTATTCTAGTGATGCCCAGGGGTGGTGGGGGACACTTTCCTGAAGTGGAACCAGAGGCAGAACTCGAATCTCTTGCCTCCTGACTGGGTGCAAGAAGCACAGCCTTATAACCATAACAGCAATAATCCCTCCTGCGTGTTTCAGGATGTGGAAGGCTTTGATGGTTCCCATTTTGTCTGATCTTTGCAGTGACTCCTTGGGCAAAACATGTGATTCCCATTTTACAGATAAGAGGAGCTGATGCTCATAGGTGCTGGGTGCCTGGGGCCAGCTTGCCTGGAGCCTCTCTTGACAGCTGTGTTCACTCTTTGGCCCTTCCATTCTTGACAGAGTTTTTTTGTGGAGTTTCTTCTCATTCATTTTCAAGAGCAGCTCATGGGACGTAATCTAAACACAGCTTTTGACTCCCTAGTCCTCCTACCCTAACCTCCTGAACTATCAAACCCACAGCTTCATGGTCATGAGACGAAGCAAAGTGGGGTATTTCCCTGGGTCTTGGTCCCACGTCCTGGGGGTCGTTTGGGATCCTAGCAGGTGAGAGGCTCGTGACTGGGTTTGGCAAAGCTCCCCAAATGGTGAGAAGCACTGGGGACTCAGAGTCCTGGGCGAGAGGGCCCCAGATTTTGAAGATGGGTGGGTGGGGTGGTCAGAATGGGTGTGGGGTGGGGGTCCCTGGCTGTGGGAGCATGAGCCTTGCCTGAGTCCCTGTCTCTCTGGCAGCACCCAGTGCTTGGCATGCAGCAGGCACTCAGGAAATGCAAATTGTACAAATTAGCTCAGCCTCGGTGGCCATGGTAACTGCACCTGCCTTGACCACAGAGTGGCTTCCCCTTTTTTTTTTATAGCGCTTTTTGTTAAAAGGTATCTATGTATTACACCATATCTATTTAGAACCTCCCCCCTTGCCCCACCAGAGTCAGGTAAGATTGTTTTCACATTGGCTGCTCTTCAGCCCAGCAGGACTTGGTTTTGCTCTGGGCACATCCATCTCTTGCACGAGGTGGGAACTCATTCTGCATTTCTGCACTTCCAGAGCTGATTCCTTCATGCAGGCCGATTTTGCTTGTGAATAGGCCTCCAAAAATAAGTTCTCTGTGATTTAGAAGACTAGGTTCTCCCTGCATTCAGGAGCAAACAGAGGCTTCACGTGGTCTGGTGACTTCACTGGGGTTGCGCAGAGAGCTGGTGGCAGATCCAAGGTTATGATCCTGGCCTCAGTGTCTCTTTTTGCCCCTTGTTTCTTATTCTTTCCCAGAATAACTTGCTGAGTGGTTAGGGGATGTGCAGGCTGCTGTGGTGGTGACCCCTGTGAGGCCAGGTGGGGGAAGCCCTTGTGTCTGCCTGGTGCCTGTAATATATTTGAATTATCTCCGCAGATGAGCCCTGATTTAGCAAACAGTCTCGAGTAAACCTAGCTTGAAGACAAATACAATTGACACTGGGCTTGAGTGGTTCAAAGGTTATTGGCACAAAGCTGTCGGCTTTGTTTAGCCAAGGGGCTGTATTTATGATGGGTGATACGCAGTGCCATCCATAACTTGCCGGCAAGAGGGGCTGACGTCGGACCAGAGACAGCTTATTTACACTGAGCCTGGAGTTTAGTTTCTCTGCTGGGACATGCAAAGGCAATTCGATTCTTGGCCAAGTTGCTTTATGGGTTGATGGCTTAGGTCTGTTGTCATAATTTGGGTCATCAGTTAACCTTGCTGGGGAGGGATAGCACCCCTCAAGGGGATCATTTCCTGGGTGTGTGTACAGCAGGGTGAACCGGGGGAAAGGTGGAGATGTAGGAGAGGTCTTTGGGGCTATTCAAAGGATGTGATCAATGGGTTTCACATTGACCCCTAATTTAAGCCTCACATACACTGGAGTAGCAGCACGTCTGAGTCCCTGGGGCCTGGGACTTGATTCCTCCCTGTATCTCTTGGATGCTTTGGCTAGTTTAGGGGAAAGGAACCATGGGGCAGACTTGCACTGAAGAGATTCATGTGGTTGCAGTGCTAGACAGGCAGGCTTTATAGACACTGGATTCCTTGGGAGAGAAATTATCCCAGGAATGAGCAGACTGTGGCTGTAAGGAGCCACGGCCAGTGCAGGCAGAGGTGTGTGAGGTTGCTATCAAAAGCTAGCCTGTGGTTTGGCTTTTTGGGGAGCAGCAGGCAATCTGTATCAGGGCCTTACAATATGCTTCTCTTGGTGACCCATTTATTCCATTGGCTAAAATCTATCCTGAGGAAATCGTCATAGATGGGGACAAAGATTCATGCACCTGGATGTTCACTGCAGTGTTATTTATAATAGCAAAACAAGGAACAGGTTAAATGTTCAACAGTAGGAAATTTTTATTACATTAATTATGGCATCTCAATAAAATGGAATACTATAAATTGACTCAATTAATGTATATAAAGAATGTTTTATGATTTGCAAAAATGATGCTAAGTAGGAGAAAGAAATATTTTATAAATTGTCTGTAAAGTATGTTTTCTGTTGTATAAAACACAGCAGAATGTAAGTGAGTTAGCTCAGATGGTGGGGTTCTGATTGTTTAATTCCCTGACCTCTTCATGGAATATATTTTCAGTTTCTACTATATTACTTTTCAGCCTCAGGAAATATTATTGAATAAATAAACAAGAATCAAAGTTTACACTTCTTTGGTGGTCCCTACCCTTCTCCAGACCTCAGTTTCCCTGGGCCTAAGAGGAGATGCTGGGCCACTCTTGTTCTGCCCTGGCTTGAGTCCTGGGCTAGGAGGAATGATCCTCTGAGCCAGTGCTGGCAATGTGCCTGTGATCACCATGTCCTGGGTCTAATGGGCCACCTAATTTTAGTGCATGCTGGGGCAGCTGCCTAAGTGTGGCCCCAGCTGCCAGGCAGACGGTCAGGGCAGTGTTGGCAGCATCGGCAACCTCTCTGCCAGGCTGGTGAGGTCAGAGCACAGCTTGGGACCCGGCTGGGTAAGTCACAGAGCCGTGGAGGAATTCTCCAGTGTACATGACACAGAACATCACAGCCTGCATTTGGAAAGAAATCCACTAGCCTGGATCCTTGGATTGAGCAGACGGGAAGGGGGTGCCTTTGGGGAGTGAGGGAGAGGAAAGGCCTGCATGCTTTAAGTGCTCAGTGTTATTTTCCTGGAATTCCAGAAGTCACTGTGCTCTCAGGGTTCCCAATTTATGGCTTGAACTTGTCTCTGAGCCCAATTCCATTTGTCAACTGGGGACTTGCATGGAGACATGAACGTTTCCCTGAAAGGTCTTGGCTGAGGGCATCTTCTGATAGTGGGCAGCTGTGGGCACTGTGTCCTTCGCCAGAATAGCTGGAGTGTAAGGTCTTCAGGGGTGTGAGCTTGAGAACATCTCTACCAGGAAGATGGTTGAAGGGCAAATGGAGGGCAGGGCTCGGTTGGTGAGGGAAGATGGGGATGCTCTGGCCTCCTCCCTGGTCTCCTGCCTTCAGCTTTGTGTCACTTGCTTTGCAAGTCAAGCCACCTTTCTAAACCCAGCTCTTATTTGTCACCCTCACCCTCACCCCCGTCTTGGCTCTGCAGAGGCCATTAATAAAGCCAAGACCCCTGACTGTGGTGTTCAAGATCTTTGCCTAACTTGACCTCAACCTATTTTCCTGCTTTTTTGCTCACATACTCCCTACCTTAGCTAAACCATAGCCTGTGCCTTCTCTATTCTTGAACACACCATACATTCTCATTTCCCTTAGGCTGAAATTTTCTTCTGTGACTCTACCTCAGTTTAGTCACTGTTTATTTATGGAACACCTACTATGGGACTGGGCAAGACTCACCAGACAAACTCCTATTCAACCCTCAAGACCCAAATGTCTTTTGGTCTGACATGCCCTCATCAGCATGACCTCCTAGGTCATCCCATCTCTACTGATGATGATGTTTTATATCTCGTATTCTTGGAGTGTTTTGTCTGCTTTTCCCACTGGGCCTTGGTAACTTTCCTCTGGGCTCCTGGCGCAAGGCATAATTTTCTCTAAATAGCTGTTGGGTGTCGTCATACGGAGAAGAGTCATTAGTGAATGCCGACAAAGCAAGTGAAAGGATCTATTCCCTGGAGTTGTAAGGACATGGGATAATGATAGTAAATAGTGTCAGTTTACACTTACCAAGCACGTACCATGTGCCAGGCACTGTACCAGGTGCTTTCCATGCATTAACACATCTAGTCCTCCTCGACCCAAGAGATCGGTGTGGTTACCCCCTCATGTTACAGACAAGGAAACTGAGGCACAGGCAAGTTAAGACACTTGTTCAGGCTTATGTAGCCAGTAAGCAGATGAGCTGGGATTTGAACCTATGCAGCCAGGCTCTCAAACTTGCACAATATTTCTTCTTTCCTACTAGGCACAGCAGAGATATTTGGCCCCTGGGAAGTGAAGGACACCCCCGTACCTGGTGGGTCCTGGCGCCGATGGTTGTTGGCAACCTTGCACAGGTGCATGGTGTAGGGGTGGTCGGGGATGTCCTCAGGGGGTCAGGGCTTTCCTGGAGCTATCCTAGTGATGTACTCAGGCATATTTTTACATCTCCTTCCCTTACCCCCACTGCCTGCCATGCAGGGGTTGGCAGTCCCCTCTCCTTTGCCTCTCCATTTGCCTCTGCATTTATTGTACTTGCAGTTATGATGCACTTACTGCCCAGGCACTGGGGATGTAGTGGTCCCTGCCTCAGTGGAGCATGGTCTCGTCAGCTGGCATGGCTTTCACATTATTTTAATCCTACATTGCAGGTCTGGCACAGATCCCAGGTGGTGCCCACCCCTGCTTGCATTTATCTCAAGCTCTGGGGTGGCCTGGGGCATTTCTGAGGACCCCATGCCTTCCCCCACTTTCTATCTGTCCAGGGCTCTGTTGTGCAGCGTCTGGAGGACATCTTTAATGCTATGAACATCTTTAAGCTGGGGGCAGTGATTCTTTAATGAGCTGACTGAGTAGTTGAGAGCACTTCAGGAGGAGAGGGGCCTGTCTGTTTCTGAGACCCATCATGGACCATATCTGTGCTTAGTTTTCAGTGTCTGCTTCCCTACTGGGGCCAGAGTGGAGATGCCTTAAGATGAAGGAGATGAGGATGACCATGAGTTCAGTATTTGTTTGCTGGGGCTGCCATAACAAAGTACTAAAAACTGGGTGCTTAAAACAACAGAAATGTATTCTCTCACTTCCTGGAGGCTAAAAGTCCAAAATCAGGGCTGGCTCTTTTCTGGGGGCTCTGCGGGGGCATCGTTCCATCCCCCTCTCCTGGCTTCTGGTGATGGCCGGCAACCCTTGGCTTTCCTTGGCTTGTGGACGCGTCACGCCAGTCTGTGCCTCCATCATGTGGCATCCTTCTTGTGTCTTTGTCCAAATTTCCCTTTTCTCATAAGGACACCGGTCATATTGGATTAAGGGCTCACTTTACCCCAGGATGACCTCATCTTAACAAATTATATCTGGAATGACCCTATTTTCAAATAAGTTCACATTCTGAGGTTCAGACTTCAACATGTCTTTTTGGGGACACAGTTCAACCCGTGACAGACTCCCTGAGAGAAATGCCTGGGCGCTGCTTTGTGGGATTGCTGGACTTGTGGCTCAGTTGTCCTCTTTCTCTTGAGGGAAGCCCAGGAAAGCAAGCGTGGATGTCCGGCCCACCCAGGCTTCAGCGGAAGGGTTTCCCGGCCTGGCCTCACAGCTCTGGGAGGGCCTTGGGAGAGACATGGATGATCAAAGATGGCTGAGGGGGCCGGGGAGCAGCTGAGTCTCTGAGTGCTTCTTCTGCCTCTCCTCTTAGAAATGCAAATGGCATCTGTGCAGGAATCCTTTTAAGGGATGAAAGCAGTTTTTAAAAAGACATTAATCTCCTCACTCACTTCCTTCTGATGGTTGGAGATGAGTGACAAGCCTCGTAATTGAAGATGGTGGGGCTGATAATTCGACAGTAGCCTCGGGAGGGATGTCTTGGGCTGTGAATCACTGCACTACACAGACCTGATTGTCTCCCTGATGGTACCTCCCAGGCCCTCACAGCCTCTTGCTGGCGTACGAAGATGCACACACATGTGAAGGCTTGAGTTGCCTGGTTGTTAGGGTGCAGGATGCAGCTTCCTGGCCCAGGGAATTTTTTTTGGGGAGCAGCTGCTGCAGTGAGCAGGCACCTTTGTGCATGGGCACCTGCTAGGTGCGGCGGTGAGAGTGTATGTGCATAGTAGGTGTTTGATGTCTGTTGAATGGGAGCATGCAAGGCTCAGGGTAGGGCCTCAGATGCTTAGACAAGCTACATGTGGCCTCCCCGACACCCCAGGGCTCTTCTTGTCCTCCCTCACAGTAGTCTTCCTAGCACTCTCAGAAGGACCAGCCTCTCTCAGCTCATGGGGACCCACTGCCCAGGATGCTGCTGGTGAGTGTTGGTTCCTGGGGGATACTTGACCTTTCTGTTGCAAACGCTTACACCCACGCTTGTGCAAGTACACTCAGATCCCCTGCTCTCGGCCGAACCTGGGGGTTGTGTGAGGATGCAGGCAGCAGTGAGTGCAGAGGAAGCCAAGGAGGGACTTATGGACCTCAGGGAGCCCCTGATGGGCCCATCATTGGCCCTGATGACTGAGGTCGGGTCGATGTTGCTAGCACCTTGGATAGGTCCAGCCCTAAGCTGGGCTGGGTCTGAGCAGAGTGGAGATGAGTGAGAAGCCTTTCTACTCCACGTTTTCCCACAGCATTTCCAATAGAGCGTGTTGAGGGGGTCCCAGAAAGTGCAGCTCTCAGATGGGCTGTGTCCTAGAGACAGTGTGCTGAGAGGCTGGGGAAGTGATTTGGGGCTGTACTCTGCGTGTGTGTGTGTGTGTGTGTGTGTGTGTGTAAGGGGTATTCACTAATTCATTTACTCATTCATTCATTCATGTATTCATTCTAAGGTGCCAGTCACCATGTTTAATTCTGGGGTTTCAAGGTGGGGACAAAACTGACATGGTCCCACCCTGTGGGAGCTCACAGCCTATAGAGGGAGACAGACATCAATCCAGCAATCGCACCAATAGACACAAAAGTACTGATACTGCATGGGGACAGCACTCTCTGCTGAGTTTTGCCACAGGTTTGTGACTTCCCCCTTCATGCCAGGGTATTCACACGTTTCACTTATCTGGAGACCCCTTTGCTGAAGTGAACACTTGTCTGTACACAGCAGAACAGCTAGCTGGGTGTTTCTGACCCCCATTCACTTGCCCTTTAAACCGCCTCCCAAAGTCCCCAGTGGCCCCAAGGTTCTGGGAGTACAGTTTGGACATCATGGCATTGGGGGGATAGCAAAAAAGCCTTGCAGCTTTCAGAACAGCAGCAGCAGGGCAGTGAGAAGTTGACATTGCTGTTGCAGGATGATGCACCCAGCAGAGTGTTCTGAGAGGGGCTGTGGCAGTAAAGGAAGGCTGTGTCATCCAAACAGAGGGATGAGTGGGTCTGGGACCAGTCTGGGGCCCGAGTGGGAGACTGAGCAGCTAATGGGAGCAGGCTCTGCTATGGAGAGTGGGCCTGCCCAGGGGCCCCTGTGGAAGAGGTGGGGGCCAGGGCTACCTGTGAGCTTGTGCCGGTCTCAGCATGGACTCTTGGCCCATATTTAGAAAGCAGGCTGTGTCAGTCACAGAGCTGAGCTCCTTAAGCAACGTCCAAGGGCAGGCCCTTCCATGAAGAAGCCTGGGAAAGGGGAGGGCAGGGTGGCTGAAGTCTCTGGGGCAGTGTTAGTTTTCTATTACCGCTGAAGCACATTACCACATACTAAGGGACTTTAAGTCAACATGCATTTATTATCTTACAATTCTGTAAGTCAAAAGCTGGACATGGTCTCCCTGGGTTAAGATCAAGGCCTCGGTCAGGCTGTGTTCCATCTGGAGACTCTAGGGAAGAATCTGTTTTCTTGACCTTTCTAGCTTCTAGAGGCTGCTTGCATTCCCTGGCTCGTGACCTCCTCCTCCATCTTCAAAGCCAGCCACACTGCATTTCTTGGACACCCCCTTCCATCGTTGCTTCTCCCTCTGACCAGAGCTGGGGAATACTCTCCACTTTTAGGGACCCATGTGATTACACTGGGCCCTCCCAGGTAATGCATGATAATTTCCCCATCTCAAGACCCCCAAACTTAATCACATCTGCAAAGACCCCTTTTGCCATGTAAGGTACATCATTGCAGGTTCTGGGGATTGGGTCGTGGGCATCTTTGCTTGGGGTGGGTGGGAAGCCTTCTGCCCTGGAATCTTGGCAGCCAGGGACAAAGAAGCTTGTGACTCTTATTTGACTTTGAAGGTAGGCAGTCCCCCAAGACTCAAACCTACAGAAACCATGCCCCCTAGCTAGAACTGGGTGTGGAGGACCCTTCTCCATGGGTCATTTCTGGTGGGGACCCCTTGACTGTGAGGCCTGCCCCTCCTCTACCTGTCCCAGCCCTGGGGCAGGGCTCCTTCTCAGGCTTTCTCAGCAGCATGCCTCAGCTCAGGACTGCACTCCTGGTGGGGGAGGGAGCTGCGATGACGTGGGGCACACCGAGTATCCCCGTGGGAGACCGTGGCTTCTGGGGACCCAGACAGGGGACCCCTTCTTTCTTTTCTTTTTCCTTTTATTTTCCTCTTCTCTTCTCTTTCTACAGAGTCTTGCTCTGTCACCCAGGCTGGAGTGCAGTGGCGTGATCTCAACTCACTGCAACCACTGCCTCTGGGGTTCAAGTGATTCTCCTACCTCTGCCTCCTGAGTAGCTGGGATTATAGGCACCTGCCACCATACCTGGCTAACTTTTTGTATTTTTGGTAGAGACGGAGTTTCACCATGTTGGCCAGGCTGGTCTCGAACTCCTGACCTCAAGTGATCCACCCACCTCAGGCTCCCAAAGTGTTGGGATTACAGGCGTGAGCCACCACACCTGGCCGGGACCCATTTCTGAGTGAGGAGCTGGGGCTGAGCAAATGGGAAGCACAGGTACCCCAGGGTGCGTTTCCTCCCTGTGCCACCCCCAGATGCTGGCAGGCTCCCTCTGACCTCTGTGTACCTTCTTCTCCAGGAAGGCCCCTCAGGGTGGGTGCTGACCTTCTGTAGGAGCCCTCACTTGGGGGTCTGGGATGTTGACCCATGACATGGCTATGGGGTTGCAGAGTCTCCTCCAATGCAGAGGACAGTCTGGGGGAGCACCCTGGACTGAGTGGCCTTCCCCGCAGTGCCATGGAAGCCACACTGGAGCCTGAATTGAAGGAAACACCAGTACTACCGATCCTGTCTTTATTTAACATTTTGGTATTTTATTCATCATAGATTTTTGCATTAATTTTGATTTTTAGAAATACTGTGTGGAAATATTGTTTATCTTGATTCCTGAGTTTTTTGGCTCCCTTAGCTTTTGTGTTTCACTTGCTCACCCTAGTCCTGGTCCTGCCTCCCAGGACAGAGCAGGGAATCTCTATACCCCAGAGCTGACTCTGGCCTCTGGTCCTCTCTCCAGAGGAAGAAGGCGAGAGTGAGCTGGGTGTTCAGGAGAGGACGGGCTGGTGACATGGCCGTCTTGGTTTTTCATGGGATCTGCTGCAGTGACCTGGCATGCATGAGCATGGGCTGGGTTGAGTAGGCCCCGGGGGCAGGGGCTTTTCCTGCATCTTCCAGCCCAGCTCCAGGTGAATCCTCTCACCCTTTGTGGGGTCGGAGGCCCTGCCTTGGAGCATCTGGCTGCCCGGGACTAAAGACACCTCCCTGCTGGGGTAGGGAGAGGCCAAGGGGCATGGCTGTGGAGTCTGAGGATAGGAGAGGAGGCTATCTGAGCTGGGGACCCCGGCAGCCAGCCCCAGCAGCTGCATGTGTATCCGGGTGGCCGGGGGCCGTGTCGTGCTGGGTGTCTGACTGCAAGCCGTGTTGGCAGGGCCTGGGCTCCTGGACCTGATGCTCAGCACGCTGTCAGCACTCAGCAAATAATAAATAATAATATCTCCAGCATGTTTGGGAGCTTGAGGAGGGAGGGAACACAGAAAACATGTGTTCTGTCTCATGGTGGGTGCCGGGAAGCTGAAGTCTGCTCTGTGCCTCTCTTTGCCTGGAATTTGGGGGGAGGCACACCCCCTCCTCCTAGCTGCAGCTTGGGACACAGGGAGGGCAAGCCAGGAGCCGGCGCTTGTGCTGGGAATGCGGGGCTTGGAGAGGGTTGCCTGGGGAGGTGCCCTTGAGCTGTCCTTTAGAAAGAGCCTGGACTGTCCTCAGATGTCCTCTGGGATTTGGATAGTTGGCCTTGGACTGAGATCCTGGCTCTGCTCCTTCAGACAAGTCACTTGGCCTCTCTGAGCTCCTCAGTTTTCTCACTTACGAAAATGGGAGGTTACAGCAGCTGTTAGAGTGTGTGCAAATGGTTGGCACTGCTGGCGGCGTCGCTTGGGCATCCGTGTCGCTGGTTCTTCATGTGAGGCCTGAGCTTGATCCCATGGAAAAAGACCATGAGGAGCAGGACTGTGTAGGTGGCTGACACTAGCACCAGGTCTGGTAGGCGGGGTCAAGGGCAGCGGGTGTGTGGTTCTGCACATCCTTGGTCTGCTACAAGTTGCTCCAATGCAGCTGACACCCATTACTGTTGTTGATTGACTGCGGGACCCAGGAGCTTTCAGAGGGCAGGGGATGGAGGTTGAGTGCTTGATGTCAAAGCCCTCTGGGGACTTGATGGCTCAGTGGGAGTCTCCTGGGTGACTCTTGCACCTGGGGGCTCAGCACCACATCTTGGGCTGCAGCTCCCAGGCTGGGGACCAGATGGGAATGCTGTTGGGCTGACACAGCAAAGGCTTGGGAAGTGCCCCAGCACAGCCCTCATGACCCCATCTCTCCCTAGCCTGCTTCCTCAAGATGTCAGGGAGGGACTGGAGTAGTAGTAGCACAGGTGCCACTTTCTATCCAGTGAGGCTGAGTTTTCCCCACCTGCTCAGCCATGAAGAGCCCCAGGCAGCTCCTAGAGGGCACCTTACCGTGCCCCTGAATCTGGCTCTGTGGCTGCTCTCTGGGTGAGCGATACCCGGGGAGCAGATGTGCAGAGGTCCTTGAGAGGTGGCCCCTCTTGAGTGCAGAGGCCGTGGGGCTTGTGCAGCCTCCCTGTGAGAGGACTGTCTCCCACAGCCCCCTTTCCAGGGCCCTGTAGCTCCCCTTCTCTCCACTCCTGGGTCTCCAAGTGGGCGTTGCCCCTACTTACCGAGAGCCTCCTGCCTCCTGCCCTGAGGGGCCAGCTCCTCCCGGGTGGGCCAGCGAGGCCTAGATGGTCCCCTTTGCCTGGCTCAGGGAGGTGCCACAGGGGATGGGCCACTTGTCAAATGCTGTTGTTTAATTTTCTTCACGCAGACTCTGCTTGTTCTAACACCCTGCAATGACTCGGCTGTTAACCGAGCACCAGGGACTATAATTATCAGGGGTTGAGAGACAAGAATCTCCTGGTGGTGCAGCAGCTGCAGGCAGGAGCTGCAGCTTGATCTGCCCCCGGAGAGGAGCTGCTCCAGCCTGACTCGTGTCTGAGGAGCCGCTGGGGTTCACACCCTTCACCCCCACATTTGTCTGCAGCTCCACAGGGATTGTGCACTCCTAGGGTCGTGTTCAACCGCTGTTGGTGGGGCAGACATGGGATGTGATTCATATAGAGTGTGGCTGGCATTGTTCCTGAGCATCTGGGAAGGACAGGCCCCTCTTGTAGTTTTGCAGATGTGCAGAGGCTTCCGCTGTGAAGGGAAGGGCAGCCCTGACTGCATGGGTGCCCAGGAGGGGGGTTGCAGGGTGCCCACAGCCCGTGAGGGTGCTTTGCTCAGCACAGGTGCAGACTCTTGCATTGAGTCAGGAATCATTTCCCTGGAGTCTAGTAGGACAGACCAGACTCAACAGCCAGGATTTTGGCTACGAAGTTGGGGTCAACTGGTCACATGCTGTGAGTGCTTAAGAAACACCAGTGAAGGCCACCTCCAGATGTATGAACAGACATTCAGTGTCTTGGTTGGTCTAGGGGACTGGGTGCTCTCCTGGGGCTGGTCCCCATTATAAGAGGCACAGGCAGCCTGGTGCTGTGAGGATTGGGCACCTCGTCATGTTGGGGTGGGGGGCAGGGCGGGTGTGCTCTCAGAGCTGGGGATGGTCTGGGAGGGGTTGCTTACCTGGGTTCAGGTATGGGAAGGACATGTGTGAAGAGGTGGGAGCAGCTGGGCTCAGCTTTGGGGAGGAAGGTTTGGGCTCAGCTGCTGACTGTTGGATGACCCAGAATGGAGAGGGTTGGGTTGTTGGGAACTGACCCCTCGTCATTGGGGATTTTAGCAGGCAGAGGTAGGGTAGCTGCTGTTGACATGTGGAGAGATGATTCCTACCTGAGGAGGGGCTCGGGCAAGATCTCTTACCCTGACTGAAGAGTCTCTAGCTCCGAGGCTAGCCCTGGCTCTGCCACTGACTGGCATCTGCCCTCTGCGTAGGTCTCTCCCCTCTCTGTGTCTCTGTGTTCCTGCCTGGGGCAGGATCTAAGGGCCTGATTCCTCCTGGATTTTTCTTGTGGATCATATGAGGGGACATGGGGAGCGGGGTGCAGATGGGGGCTCTGGGAGCCTTCTGTACCTATAGGATGCAGCCATAGGATGCAGGCACACTGAGCCAGGGTGCTGCAGAGGTGTGGAGGTCGGCATTTATGGATGGAGCACTTTCTCCTAGGACTTCTGGTTCTCCAGTGAGGCCCTGAGGGCATAGGAATGTGACCATCCCATGCATGTCTGTGCTCGTGGGGCTGGTGTTGGGACCTGGGAATATGGGAGCCATCTGAGGTTGCAGGGCTGGGGGAGGTGAGGCCCTCACTGGAGTCTCCTGGCTCAGCTCCCTTGAGCACTGGCATTGGCTGAACACACAGTAGGCCTTTCCTCGGTCAGCACATTCAGTGGGGTCTGCCAGAAGCACAGCTCCAGCTGCCAATGGAGTGAGTCTATTTTCTGTGAGCCAAAGATGGGCTTCCCGAAGGTCTGCTGGCCTTCTGGGCTTGCTCCGGGGCAAAGGGTTGGAGTCTGGGGAGGAAGGAGAAATTGGAGCTCACAGGGAGAATCAAAGGGCTGGTGCAAGGTTTATTGGGGCCTTTACTGCCCTAGTTTTCATTATTTACACCCTGTTGGTTCTAGGAGCTCCCGTTAAACGTGTAATAAATATAAAAATATTTTACAGGCCAGTGAAAATTCCACAGCAAAAATAACTCTATAAAGAGGGATTTCACCCTGCTCTGCCCGCTGCCGAATTCTGTGTGGCATTCCTCTGAGCCTGTTGGCTGGCAGCAGGGCAATGAGGTGGCAGGGTTCCCTCATCATGGCGGGGGGCATGGGCTGGGTGTTTAATTAGCCCCTTTACCAGCCTGTGAACGAGCCGCTCCTCGTAGGCTGAGCCTGCCAGCTCTCCCAGGTGGCAGTGTGTGGGAGTGGGCTGCCGTTGGGCCTGGGTCTCAGGTTGGGCTGTGGAGGTCTGCGAACCAGTAGTACGGAGGAAGGGCAGAGGCTGGAGCTGCTCTCCTGGCACCTCCTGGCCCTTGCTGGGCAGCCTGAGGTGTGGCCAAGGAGGCGGGAAGGAAGGGTGGCGTTGAAAGACATTGCAGAGTAGTGATTTGGAGCAAGGGCTCCAGGGTCAGACTGCCGGGGTTCCAGTCCCGCCTCTACCACTTAGCTGTGTAACCTTGGGTAGATGCCTTGCTCTTTCTGTGCCTGATTCCTCCTTTGTGAAATCCCATCTCACTTGATTGTTATGAAGCTGCTCCAACCTAGGATGATCCCCCAGCCTTTGGATTCTGGGTCCTTCTCCCATGGGCTTTGGTCCATCCTGTTGGCATCCCCCAGACCCCTAAACTACTACCATTTGGAGCTGGACGATTCTAAGAGACTCTCATACATAACTGGTCTCACCCCTGCTTTCTGTGCCTTTCCTGCTTCTGCTCATCCTGACTCTCTAGGGAAGCCAAGTCGGGACTGGGGAGGACTGGGAATGGAGTGGCAAAGTGTGGAGGCACCATCTTCATCCCTCGTGGGCAAGGTGGGGGAGGGCTGCAGAGTGCCATCCTGCCTATAGCCACCCCATGCAGACTGGCAGCTTCAGCACAAGCCCTTCAGTGGAGGAATGGGGTTGCTGGTGCAGGGAGGCTGATGTGAAAGCCAGCATCCACCGGCCTCGGCATGTGCCAGGCTCTGTGCTTTCCATACACCAACCCCAGGAGGGGTGCCGGTGTGACTCCCATCTTAGAGATGGGACTGCTGCTGCCAGGGAGGCCTAACAGGGAAGTGGTGGGAATGGAGGAAGCCAGGGTGGTCTCACCACTGGGCCACCCTGCCCACCTCCAGGTGGGGTGGAGGCTGCTGTGTGCTGGCAGTGCAGCATCAGGGCTGCTCCCAGTGCTCTGTCCTCCCTGGCATGGCCAGGCCTCCCCGACCCCTCCTCCCTGGCATGGCCAGACCTCCCTGACCCCTCCTTGCCGGCATGGCCAGGCCTCCCAGACCCCTCCTCTCTGAGTGCTCAGTCTCTCCTTTGCTTTGCTTTCCTGAAGAAAGTGCCTTGGAAAGCCAGCTGTGAAAGGGATGTTGTTACAGAAATTTCCTTAAATCTGCTGTGAATCTATAGAGATGGTAAATCATTCCTAAATGTTAGTACTTAATTTTAGTCACAGATTTAGCCTCCTGTTAATAAAAAGGAACCCCAGAGTGAAAGTCAAAATGTGTGTTTTGATCAGGGTGCTCTACTGCATTACCTTTTCCTCCCTTAGAGGTGGGGGTGACAGAGGGACCATGTCACGGATGAGGAAACAGAGATGTGGGGGAGGTTATTTGATCACTAACATTGCAGTGGCAGGAATAATGGTTTGCCACAGTCTCCAGTGGATGGAGTGCATTCATTTTGGTTCTGGGGCTGCCTTGGCTCTCTGAGTGGCCTGGACCACGGGCAACAGGTTGCCAGCCCAAAGAGTTCCCCTCCCTGCCAGCATGGCCAGCAGTGTGGATGCTGACGTTTGGGGCAGTGAGAAGTACTAGCTGTGTGGCCCTGGTAAGTCTCTGCCTCTTGGGCTTGGTGTGCCCACCACAGCCTGGAGGATCTGATGTGGGTGCCCACCAGGCCCCGACCACTGTGACAGACAGCACAGGTGCGGTTCTGGGACCTCAGCAGGCCCGGGAATGCAGAGAGGGCCTCAAGGCTGCCGGGTTTGGCGGGTACATCAAAGGCGGCATGGGTGAGGGCCTCCAGTAGGGCTTAGGGGCTGAGGGGTCTAAGCCCCCTAAACGTGGGGGTTCTCTCTTCTTTCTCCAGGGGCCCTGCCATTAGTCCAGAAGCCTCTTGCTCAGATTTGCAGTCCAGGCCTGCTGCTGTTCATCCTTGAGGCTGGCAGGTGTGCAGGCCCAGCGTGTTTTAGGGGCTGCAGGGCAGGGAAGGGCAGGGCATATGACTGACTCTATGTCTTCCTGTCCTCCTGGCCTGATCTGCTTCTTCATGGCAGGGCAGGGGTCAGGCTGGAAGAGCCTCCCCCTTGGCAGGCCCTTCTTTGGCTCTTCTGGCCCTCTGAGCTCTTTCCCTTCTGCCAGGACATGCCTTTGGAGCCATCGACCTTGGTATAAAAAACTGTGCTTCTGGCCAGGCACAGTGGCTCACACCTGTAATCCCAGCACTTTGGGAGGCCGAGGCGGGCGAATCACCTGAGGTCAGGAGTTTGAGACTAGCCTGGCCAACATGGTGAAACTCCATCTCTACTAAAAATACAAAAATGAGCCAGGAGTGGTGGCAGGTGCCTGTAATCCCAGCTACTCGGGAGGTTGAGGCAGGAGAATGGCTTGAACCCGGGAGGTGGAGGTTGCAGTCAGCTGAGATCATGACATTGCACTCCAGCCTGGGGCACAAGCGCGAGACTTCATCTCAAAAAAAGAAAACAAAACAAAACAACAACAACAACAAAAACAACCCCCCCCCCCAAAAAAAAACCACCACCAACAAAAAAACTGTTTCTATTGCTGTGAGCAAACCACGGCAGATCCTTGAAGGCTGGGATCTCTGTCTTTAGACATGCGGGCTGGGATTAGGGGGCATTACAGAGCATTGGGATGAAATTGTCCAAATGGAACACCCAGTCCGTAGTAACAACAGCCTTTGCCCAACTCCTCTGCCTAGAGCCAGCACACCTCGGCAGAGAGCCCCAGGAGAGGTAGCCGGGTCTCTCTGAGGCTTGCTGCTTAACTTCTTTAGGAGCTGACCACAGGTTTTTCCAGTTGTGGTTTAGGAGGGTCATGGTCCTCCCGAGGGGCTGGGGGTCTAGGGGATCAGCTTAGGGTGAGAGCCAGCCTCATTGAGTTGTGTGATCTGCCTCACCCTGCTCAGGCTGTCAGGGGAAATGGCCATGCTGGGCATTGGGACCTCAGCTTTTTAGAGGGGGCTTCCTGTGGCTCAGCCCCCTGTCCAGTGGAGACAGTGACCACATTTTCTTCCCCAACAGTCCAGTTCCCCATCGCTGTTCCTAGGACAAGGTTTTGCACCCTCATCCTAGAGGATGCTGGAGTGAGGCTGTGGGCCTGCAGAGTGGAGATTTCCAGGCCAAAGCCAGTGGCTTACTCTGCCCAGATGATCTGGCCCTGGCTGTGGAGAGAACGGCAGTGTGAGTTTTGGTAGCCACCTTCTGGGGCCATGCCCGCCATGCAGAGAAGGCCTGCGTGGGGCAAGAGCGTCACAGGAGCTGGCCGGGCTTCTTCACTTTGCTGGAAGGCCACCATTGTTGCAAGGTGTTACAGACGGAGAGTCAGAATTTCACACAAGTCATGGCTGCTGAATACCTGCCCACCTCCTTTGTCTCTTGTGGGGGCTGCATAGGGGCTCTCGGCTCTGCGTGTTGCTTACAGAGCCTCTCTGCTTTGAAGATGCAGACTTAGCCTCCCTGGCCCCGGCAGGCAGTCTTTAATCCCTCCTTTGTGTCGTCACTGGTTGGGGTGAGAGTTCATGAAGGAAGAGAGTACGCGGGCTATGTAATTAAGTCGCATGCTTGGCACAGAGACCTGGTTTTAATGCACGTATCTCATTTGCTGGCTTTTCCAGGCCATTGTCCCTAGCCCGGGCCTATGGACTAATTACAAGGTGTGGGGCTCTGCGGTGGTTCTGTGGGCCCTGGCTGGTAGTGCTGAGTTGTGCCTGCTCTCAGGCTCTGTGCTGGCTGTGCTGCAAGGGGACATTGTCCACCTGCTGGAGGTGGCCTCAATGATAGCTCTGCTGTGACCGGGTCATCACTGGGGGAGATGTCTGAATCCTCCCAAGCACTGTCAAGTTGGGCTGGCTTCTGAGATGGGCTGCAGCAACCCGTGGAGAAGAAAAAAAGGCAGAATGGGGAACAGAGCTCCCACCAGGGCTCTGCGGTAGGTGTGAGGAAGTGCATTCCAGGAGGTGGACTCTCTCCGTTGGTCGTGGTGTGGTCGTGGTGCAAGAGCACTTCTGTGGAGCTGTTGCTGTCAAACACACCTGCTGAGCCTCTCTGTTTGGGGCTTTGTGGTCCTGCCCCTGCTCCTGGTCTTTGGACTGTGGAGGGGACTCTGTTGTTCCTCAGAGGCAGATACAGATGTTGCATGTGGGACTTGCCATCAACAGCATATCACGGACGAAGAGCCCACTATGTCCAATCCCCGGTTGTGGTGCATTACGGTAATGAAGTGTGGATCCCCAGCTCTACAGAGGGGCGTGGGTGTGCCACCCACATTCGTCACATGCAGGGAGCCCCACTGCCGTGAGCATACCGTACAACAAGAGCAGCTCTGGGGGGGCCTGACTTTGGTTCCCAGTGAGTATGTTTGTCACCACGTGGATTGCACTACACGTCGCCTGCTGTTTTACTTGCCTTAGATTTAGAATAGATTTGAGGGGATGGTTTCGATGACTTATTTCTTCAGAAACAGTATCCACCACGTTTTGAATAATTTTTTAAAAATTTTTCTTAGAGTTGTCCCCAGGAAACAGGAGGTATTCAGGGTTATTTGGCTCCCGAGTGTGCCTGGAGTGGAGGAAGCTAGGAAATGCTGCGTGGAAGTGCCAATAACAGCTTTGCCATCAGCGTTTCCTCTCCAGAAAAGTGGTGGGGTAAATAATAGCTAACATTACTGAGAGCCAGACTGTGCCAGGCTCTCCTGGGCCCTTGATGTGTGTTATTTTAATCATCGGTCAACGTCTTGAGGTAGGGACTATTAGGAAACCTATGTATAGGTGAGGAAACTGAGGCAGGGAGACGGTGATGTGTCTCATATCACACAGCGAGGAGGTGATGGTCCCGGATTGGGAAGGGGGCTGTCAGCTGCCAGACCCTCTCCTGTCTCCACCAGGAAGGGCTGACCAGCATCCTCACTTGTGGCCCCTGGTTCCCCAGAGCCACAGAGGGAGTGTGCAGGGGCAGACTCTGGCCACGTTGGCCAGGATAGGTGTTGTGGCTCCAGAGAGGGAAGCCCAAGCAGAGTCCTCTCTACTCTGAATCCACCTGACCACCAGGCCCAGCTTTCCTTCCCTGTCCCCTGTCTACCTGCCTCCAGCAATATCAGGTGCAGCAGGACTCCGAGAAAGCCTTGAGAGTGGAGACTAACTCTGTTTTAAAACCATGAGCCCCGAGGCTCAATCCAACAAGGAGCAGTTGGACCCTACAATGTGCAGAAGGTATTCCTGCCTGTGAAATGGCTGGTGAGCTGTCCCCATGCCAGATGACAGGCACTGGCGGTGTTGTGGGGAGGCCCTATGACCTGTCAGTCACACAGTGGGCTGCTGTGTGTGTCTCAGAGAAGAGCTGCCACAGACACAGGGCAGGCCCCACCAGAGAGCCGTGTGAGTTCTGGGTCCCGCATGGGTGAGCACCTCTGCTGAAGCAGGCAGACTCTGTCTGGGATCTGTGGTCTGCGTGGGAACCCTGGCCTCACTGAGCCAGGCACAAGGTCTTTTTCCGGCCATCTGCCCCACAGGACCCAGACCAGGGCTGCTGTGGGGCCTCAGTAAATGCTTATTCCACATACTTATTTTGGAGTTCAATGAAAAACAAATGGTGGACAATCCCTGCTCTTGCACAGTGGCTAAGTTCTCAGTGGACTTTGATGGGCAGATCCTCTTCATCCTCACAGTGGCCCAGCAAGAGCACCCCACCTCGCATGTTCTTGCCAGCCTACCCTGTCCCTCAAGCCTCTGTACCTTTGCACATGTGGTTCCTTCTGCCTGGCCTGCCTAATACCTACTTGGCCTTCAGCTGCTTGCAATAGGATGTCTCTCCTCCAGGGGCTTTCTCTGATCCCCACAAGCCTGGGCTTGGTGGAGTGGTCTCAAGGAAGCAATGATCACACTGTGCAAAATGGGCAAACAGGCAGTTCCACCTCCCTCAGAGACGAGGACTGTCTTGTCCTTACTGTCATGTCCCTAGCATGTCATATGATAATAATGAGTGACAACAATAATAATGATGACAATAAGCACTCAGCCTGTGCCAGGCACTGTGCACAGCATTTTTCCAATGTTTACCTATTTACTTCTCATATCAGCCCTGTGAGGCAGCTACTCTTCTTATTGCCATCTGGCATGTAGGACACAGGCATAAAGTGTCTAGCTCGGGCGATCTGTCGGGGCTGCTCTTAACGCTAGGCCAGACCACATCTCCGGGGTGCTCCGGAGTATGTGATCCGTATCTAGTCATTTTGTCTTTTTTGTCTCCCTCTTCACATGAGGGCCAAAGGTAAAGGGTGAGGGGCTTGGCTAAGGGCATGTGACTGGTAGGAACAGCAGGGGTCTCCAGACCACATTAGGCCACAAGCTCTTTGAAGGCAGGGACTTGGACCAGTTTGTCCTTCTGTGTGTCACTGGCTTTTGGCTTGGAGCCCGGGGCATAGAAGGTGCTCATTCCCTGTGAATGACATCCAGGAGTTTTTGATTTCCTGGCAGTGACATCCCTAAATCTCACACCAGGAACCCCTGCGAAGAGGTGTTTGGGTTGATGGCTGTCAGAGGTGGCCTTGGCAGGCAGGGACAGCAGTCTGGGGGTGTGAGGCAGAGGGAGGACCACCATGGGATACACCCATGATCCTGTCTCTGGCCTCCTGGAGGTGACTCTGCCCCTCAGATGGGGCCCTGAGTTCACCTTGGTCTGAGAGCAGTCCCGTCTGGGAACACCTGCAGGCATCTGGGGCTGGAGACTTCCTTGCAGTCCCCTACAGGAAAGGAGGTGCCTATCTCAGAAGGTTAGGCTTTGTTTTCCCTGCAGCCTGGAGTGAGCTCCTCTTCGGCTGGGAGGCCCCTCCCATTGTGAGCAAACATGGGCTCTGTAGGAGGTAGCATGGTGGTATGGCCTTTTGTTGGGCACACCTGGCTCAAACATCTTGCGGGCTGGGAGTGACTCTGTCAGTCCCTCCTCTCTGCATAGCAGCACGGAGTCGTTCCGAACATTCTCGTTTGGGCTCTGACAGCTGTGTCAGCTGCTGGCCTCACTCACAGGCAAAAGGCACGTCGAAAGTAAGGTTTAAACCTGTTACTTGCTGCCGCCTTCCTGCCTGGCTGGGTCCTGTTGCCCTGGCCCCAGCTGCACGTCTGTTCTCTGCCTGCCTTAGTGCCAACATCCAAGGCCCAGCTCACCATGTGTTTCCCCGTAGCCCCTAGACATAAAATAACACCCCGTACTACACGCACTTTCCTCCAGAACCCTTTATAAATAGTCGTTAAAGAATTAGAATCACCGGGTTAAGTCAGTAATACCAGATGCCCTGGGTGGCAGGGAGAGGCACACTGACCACAGCGAGCTTGGACCGCCTCATCATTTGTGCCAAGGTCAGCAGCAAGCCAGAAAAAGGGCAGATCAAAAGTTGCTGTCATTGGCCCTTGAGCCTAGAATTGAGAAATCCATAACTGAGCTGTTCAATGAAATTATTTTCAATAATTCTCTTTTGTGCTAATGAGTCACGTCGTCTTCTGAAAACTCAAGCCTTGTTCACCTTAGGCTTGTTATTAAAATAATAATTGGAGGTATTGTCTCCTCTTTGTAAACTAGCAGCACAATGGCTGTTAAATAGAAAAGAGAACTGTAATTTATTTTAAGATTCAGGGATTTTGTATTTGCAAATAGGCAGCAATTATGAAATGAATACTGTAATTATAACCACTCTGGAAAGATGAATGAGGTGGTAACTAGCTGAGATGTGTTTTCTGGTTAGAAAATATATTATCTCAGTTCTGAGCAAAATCTGCTGGGCTTCCTGTCCCTGGGTTTTTGGGCGCTGAATCAGAGAGTGATTAAAAGCCTGGGAAAGCTCCCTCTCCCCCTGATTTGCTGAGGGAGCAATGCTGCCCTTTCTCAGATGAGCGGGGTGTTCTCTCAGAAGTCAGGCCGGGTGAGGGGCTCAGCAGGAAGACTTATAGCCAAAGCCAGAGAGGGGAAGTTGTCCACTCTGCTCTCTTCTTTTGTCACGAGTGACAGGGCTGTGTGGCCTGTCCCCGGCCGCGTCAAGCTGGCTGAGCTGTTTCCTCGAGCTGTGCAGAGCTTCCCCTCACTTGGTGTCTCCCCTGGGCTCTGCCAGATCAGACCCCTTGCTGGAGATTCATGCCCTGGAAAGCATGACCCTTCCTCCTTATTTCCCTTTTGGGGAATAATCTGGAACCCATGATTAGATCCCTCAAAATCAATTATCTTTATCTGGTGATGTGTTTTTCCAAGAAACACTTCTAATGTTTGACTTTCTGCAGGGCATCCTTAGAAACATCTCAAGACTTGCTGGATGTTTGAAGGTCTCTCTGGATTCCTAGCAGGTGGTCTGATGCTCGAAGGTTTCCCACAGCTGGATGGGAGGGAATTCAGGTATGCTGAACATTGACATCTGACTTGTCTGGAGGAACTCAGAGACAGAAAATAGGACCTAGTGTTACAATTCACAGGTCTCTTTACTCAGCGTGGACCCAACCTCAGGATCCTGTGGCTCTTTTAATAGATATCTCAGTTGGAGCCAAGGTTTAAATATTTGAGAAAAATGAGACTCAACACAAGTGTGAAGTGAAAAGGACATTGCTACCTTGATTAAGAAACAAATCAGCAAAAGTAAAATTCCTTAGTAGACAGTCAGCTCCTTGAGGTGAGGATGCGTCTGCTCTGTTCATTGCTGCTTCCCCAGCTCCTGGAACAGTATCTGGCTCAGAGAGTCGGTGGATAAATAGGAAAAAACCTCAATAATAACTGGGTTTGCTTGAAATCTTTCCTGTTGGAATGATAAACGCATCCTGGATTTGTGGTTAGGGCCCAAGCTCTCCTGGAAAACCCTTCTTCTTTGGAGAAAGCAAAAGGACCTGTGCTCCCCAGGTAGACCTCCCAGTTCTGTTGCCTGGGAGGTTGTGGAAGCAATCCTGCTGATTTTTCAGGGTGCTGATTTAGTGAGGATCATGTTGTGGGTGGTTCTTCCATACTTCCCAGTCTCTTTGAGTAGTATTGGCATCAGTGGCCTAATGTGAACATTAGCTGGGGTTTCTGCCTTAGTCATGTATGTCTAAATGTGTATGTATTTGTTTATGTACACAAATAGCAAAGATCAATATATTCTGAAAATTTAAAGCATACTTTTTTTTTTTTTTTTTTGAGAGACGGAGTCTTGCTCTGTTGCCCAGGCTGGAGTGCAGTGACGTGATCTCGGCTCACTGAAGCATACATTTTGAGAGTACCGTAACAGGGTATGTTGTACTGTTTGCTCATCTGAGATCATGTCAAATATGCAACTAAGCGCATGTCGGTCATTTTCAGGGATGCACATGGAGTTTGTGTGTTTTCCACGGATGTGTTAAGCCAGAGCACTGGATGCAAGGCAGCCGGGTCTCTTGAATACAGAATAGGACTGTGTGTGTGTGTGTATTTGAACCCTTCTTGGTCCATGGAACTTGTGCTCTGAGGCTGCAAATCAGTATGTCTGTATTTCCTCTTTAAATTGGACTTCTAGAGAAGAATTCCTATCTGCGGGTTAAATAACTGACTTGGCATTGATTGGGACAGACCTGGTCTTCTGTGGGTGTGGCTGACCCTAGGCGTGGACATGGGAGTCTCTGAGAGGCTTTGGATGAGCCTCCTCCACCCTCACACCGACCAGCTGCTGACCCTGGGTTCTTAGGGTCTCACTGCCCCATGAGTTCTGGTAGCAGAGATCAAGGTCTCCAAGCTTTTTCCTTCTTTGCAATTCTCACTCTGGGCTGGCGTGAGTGCTCCCAGTGAGGGGCCTGTAGACCCATGGCTGTCTCCTCTCCAGGGCAGATGTACTGCCAGAGCAGAGGAGTGGTTTCTGAACACCCAAGCTGTGGCTGGGCTGAATGGTGAAAATAAACACACACACATCCTCTCAGTCACCCGGCTCTTTTCTTCTCCATGGGAGTGCTCAGGGTTTCAGCATCACTAATATGCCTATTGTGGGCCCGATAAATGGGAAAGAGGCATTAACAGGCTGCAAGGCCTCACGGTGACAGAAGCTGCCTGCAGAATGTACTGCGGGTTCGGACTGGGGTGAGTCACCGCCAGCCTGGGAAATGCACTGGTGATGATGGATGGCCGGGGTGCTCGGATGCGCCCCTGACAGTATTTGCACAAACAGGGAACTCAAACGAATGGGTTTTTTGAAGAGCTTATATAAGTCAGTTGGCAATGCACAGATACCCAGCTGTGTGGCATGACAGGACAGGGCTTTGCGTTCCTGTTCAGAAACAGGTGACTTTCAGAACCAGTTTGCCTGTGTCAGGACTTGAAATGGTTTGCTCTGCGCTTCTGTTGTCATAACCCCCCTTTTCTCTTTGCCTTTCTCTTTATAAAAACTTTCTTTGCAAAGGGATTCTCATAACTGGAACAGTAGGGCTACTGTTGCTTCCAGCAGCTGCCCAAGGGGTTTGCTTTTCTTTGGGACTCTGACTTCCTTGAAAGATGCATCAGGGAGGGAGCGGCAGGTGTGTGTGGCTGGGCGCTCTGAGAGGTGGTGGGGGGAAGGGGCAGGAGTTGGGGGGCATTGCTGGAAACGAACTTTACCACATTCCTGGGGTCATCTCTGGTGTCTATCCTGGCTGTGGGGTGTAGAATGGACACAGAATAACCTCACATCCACATAGCACTTTGCCAGTCCCTGGCAAGTAGGAGGCATCTCATTTGCTCCTTCCATCAGCCCTGCTGCAAGGTAGGCAGGGCAGGGGTTGTTGTCATTTATAAAGATAACAGAGTCAGACAGGAGTTGGTCCTTGCAAGGTCCCCCAGCAGGCCAGAGCGGGGCAGACCTGGAATACTGATACAATGCCTTTCAGTCCCATTCCTTACTGCCACGGTCCCAGCCTGCTCTAGCCCTCTGTCCTACTGGCTTCCTGGAGGTGCAAGGGGCTGGTACGTAGGGCCTTCTGAAATGTGGAGCCTATAGTTTGAGACCACATCGAAGTGTGGACCACATCCCATTGTTGAAGCTAGGGCACCAGTCCCTTACTCCCCTGGTGCTGTGGGACAAGCTGGTACTGATCCAAACCTGCTCGCATTGCACCATTGATTCTTTCGATCACTATTGAGATTAAGAAAATCATTAGCTACAGAGGCAGCCTCTTGTCCAAGATTTTGTTCTAGATTTATCATTTATTTATAAGAAAAAAGTTTTTACTTATTATAAAGTAGTACATGGTTATTGTGGAAAGGCAGAAAATATGAAGAAAAAATATTCTAATGATCTCACCACCTTTGTATGTAAAACAAAGTGGGATCATGCTAATTATTATTATTTTTTTAGATGGAGTCTCGCTCTATCACCCAGGCAGTGGCGCGATCTTGGCTCACTGCAGCCTCTGCCTCCCAGGTTCAAGCAATTCTTCTGCCTCAGCTTCCCGAGTAGCTGGGATTACAGGCACATGCCATTATTCTCAGCTAATTTTTGTGTTTTTAGTAGAGACGGGGTTTCACCATGTTGGCCAGGCTGCTCTTGAACTCCTGACCTCAGGTGATCTGCCTTTGAACTCCTGACCTCAGGTGATTTCACCAGCCTCAGCCTCCCAAAGTGCTGGCATTACAGGCGTGAGGCACTGTGCCCAGCAAATTATGTAACATTTTTATAACTCCAGTTTTTCGTCTTATTTTATTGTGAATGCTTGTGACTGTCACTGAATAGTCCTAAACAACATCATCTCTAGGGCTGCAGACTATCTTCTCATTGGTTGGAACCTAGGCTGCTTGTAACTTCTGTTTTCCTCAACACTGGCAGTGAACAACCTCATGGCCAAATCTGCTCACATTTATTCTTTAACAAATATTTGTTGGGTGTGAGGCATGTTTTCCGTGGGATAAATTCCTGCAGGTGGATTTGGTGGGCTAAATCATGTGTTTTTAAAGTTACTAAATTCATGGTAAAAAGTTTCAACAGTACAGAAGGGAATATAGTGAGAACTTGAAGACTTCTCCATCCTCTACTCTCTAAAATAACCACTGCTAATTTCTTAGTTATCCTTCCAGAAGTTGTGCATGTGTGCACGCATGCATGTATGTGTGTACCTTTTAAGGACAAATTGATTCATAACTTTCATAACAGTATGAACAATGATTTTTCTATTTAATAAGGTGTCCTGGGCAACTTCCCACATTAGCATGGCAGCTTCATGACATAGCTGTACCAGTCTCTTATCAATGGACTCTTTTAAAAAAAATTACAAAGCATTTTTTTTTTTGAGATGGAATCTCACTCGGTGTAGTGGTACGATCTCGGCTCACGGCAACCTCCGCCTCCTGGGTTTAAAGGATTCTCTTGCCTCAGCCTTCCGAGTAGCTGGGACTACAGGTGCACGCCACCATGCCTGGCTAATTTGTGTATTTTTAGTAGAGATGGGGTTTCACCATGTTGGTCAGGCTGGTCTCGAACTGCTGACCTCAGGTGATTCGCTCACCTTGGCCTCCCAAAGTGCTGGGATTACAGGCGTGAGCCACCGTGCCTGGCCACAAAGCATTTTTTTAAAAATGCTTCAGTGAACATCCTTATGTCTTGGTGTAGTTGCACAGCAGAACTGGAGAAATGCTAGGAGCAGAATTGTTGAGTTGGAGAATTATGTCCATTTACAGTTTTTATAGCCATTGCTAAATCAGTGTGCATGTTTTATACTCTCATATATGTCAGCAAATTATTTTACAGGAAGGCTATATCTACCCCCTTACCAGCAGAGTCTAAGAATGTCTTTTTCCCCACATCTTTCACTACCACCGTGGATTATAAATTTTAAAATGTCTATTTATTAGGTAAAAAAGAAGGAATTTGGTTTTTGGATATTAATTTGCATTTCTTCTGTTATTAGCATGAGGTCCTCCCTGCAGCTGAGATAGTGCTTCCTAGCAAACACCTTGCAGTGAGCTTGGTCCCAAGCCTTCTGACTAGCCTCGTCTCCCCTGGGAGATTGCCTTGTGTAACCCAAGGAAGTGTCCCCACTTCTGATACTTGCCTGTGGTTTGCTTTTGCTTCTGGAATTTGATTCTGGTAAGAGCCTGCTGACTTTCTGGTAAGGGACCTCCTGGCGTTGTCTTTTTATTCAGTGTTATCATCCTTTCAACTTGGTGACTGCTCCACTTACCCCCACACCCTCCTGACTTCTCAGTCCTCTGGTGCCTGAGGTCATAAGATGTAGTTAGCTCTGGCTGTGTTTGAAGGAGGGTGGAGATGGAGCTGCCCTGCCAGAAGGCAAGCCTTCAACCTCTTTCTGAAAAGTAGATGAGGACTTGTTGAGTCCTTACCATGCACCAGGCACTATGCTAGCTACTTCACATATATCTCTCCAGGAATCCTCCCAGCGGGCCTGGAATGAGGGCCACATTACCCCAGCTTGCACAGGTTCAGAGTGGTTGAGGAACTTTTCCAGAGTCACAGAGCCAGCTGGTGGCAGAGCTCAGAGCTAGTTGATTTCAAGGCCTGTTCTCCTTCCACCGTTTTATGCTGCTGAAGACAGGCAGACCCTCAACTCACACCTCTTAGGAGTCTGGAAACCCACCACCAGAGAAGATCTGTTAATCAAGATTGAAAGGGTGCTTCACACCTGGTGCAGGCTGCAAGGACACCTTCAGGGCACCAGAGAACATCCCCACTTAACAGCAATGGTGACTATCATCCCAGCCTCACTAGGTCCAGGCTAGCTAGGTCTCTCTGCAGTTCCCAGCCAAGGATCCCAAAATGAGCCTCTGGAGCACAATCATATCATACCAGGGAGAGTCCTGTTTCCCATGGGGCAGATCCTGCAGGGCCAGACGTGCCCACCAGCAAGCGTGGCCAAGGCTTCTAGCTCAGGAAGCAGGCAGAGGACCTACTCACAGGCTTTCAGCTTTCTGGAATGGTCCCTCCCTAGCCTGGGGTTGATGGGGCCACACCTCCTCATGTGTCCTCTGGGTGACATTTTATTTTTTAAAATGAAAACATGTTGGAATTAGTTATTTTAGCATTTATTTTCTTAAATTTCTAAAACTTTATTTTTTTCTGCTGATACTCACTGTAAAAAGTCCAAATAATATAGTGACTAATATAGTTAAGTGCTCAATAAATATTTGGAGAACAACGTATTAGTCTGTTTTCACACTGCTATAAAGAAATACCTGAGACTGGGTAACTTATAAAGAAAAGAGGCTACATTGGCTCATGGTTATGCAGGCTGACAGGAAGCATGGTGCTGGCCATTTGCTCGGCTTCTGAGGAGGGCTCAGGAAACTTACAATCATGGCGGAAGGGGAAAGGGAAGCAGGCTCATCTTCCATGGTCAGAGCAGGAGGAAGAGAGAGATGGGGGAGGTGCCATACACTTTTACACAAGTCATCTACCTCTATTTTCTACTTCCCAGAGAAAAGCAATTTCAATCCTTCTAGCTGATTTTTAAGAGTATTTACTTTTATAACTCTATAAAACATGTTTGTATTGTTTCTTTTAAATTGTTCAGTTTTGAGGCTGGGCACAGTGGCTCATGCCTGTAATCCCAGCACTTTGGGAGGCCGAGGTGGGCGGATCACCTAAGGTCAGGAGTTTGAGACCAGCCTGACCAACATGGTGAAATCCCGTCTCTACTAAAAATACAAAAAAAAAAAAAATTGTTCAGTTTTGAGCATTATCTATTGACTTCTCACTGTGGGAGATTAGCCTCCGGCTTTCTTTTATACTCCTCACCCACATGCTCCATCCCATGCCCTCATGATACTCCCCTGTGCTCCCCAAAGGGTTCTGTGTTTTGATAAATCAGTTATTTGGGCTATGTCATATTAGACTATGAGCATTTTCTTTTGGCTACACAATGTTTTGTTCCCCCACAGTTAATAATTATTGTTATGTGCTTAGTTTTCTGTGTATTTGTCATTATTTTGTTTGCACACTGTTCTCTGGTTGTATAAGTCTCCTCTCAATGTATTTAGATGCATTAGGTATTTACTAGGTTAATGTTTCTGAGAAAAATCTCTCCTGGAACATTCAGACTTGCTCTGGTCTGGGCTGGTTGCCCTCTATGCTGGGTGTACATATGTATTCCTGAGATGTTCCTTCACCATTATCCTGGGAATTAGTTTTATTTATCTTCCAAGTAGGATTTCCTGTCTCTTGAATCCCATGCTTTCCTGCTTGGTTTACTCCCTCATTTGTCAGAGCATACTCCCTGTGGATTCCCAAGAAAGAGTGTGTTGCGGGTAATGTTTTTAAAGGCACTTACATGTTATAAACTCTTTACTTTCCTATCACACTTAATTTGATAGTTTGGCTGGGTATAGAATTCCAATTTGGAAGTAATTTTCCTTAAGAATTTTGAAGGTTTTCTCCATTACCTACTAGCTTTTGATGTGGGTGTTGAAAATTCTCATGCCATTTTGATTCATGATCTTTTGTGTGAAACCTGTCATTATTTTCTCTCTAGAGGCTTTTAGGACCTTTTTTTTTTGGACCCATATTAGTCCGTTTTCACCCTGCTATAAAGAACTGCCAGAGACTGAGTAATTTATAAAGAAAGAAGGTTTAATTGACTCACAGTTCCACATGGCTGGGGAGGCCTCAGGAAACTTACAATCATGGCAGAAGGCGAAGGAGAAGCAAGTACCTTCTTCACTAGGTGGTAGAAGAGAGGAGAGCTTGTGATGGAGGATCTGCCAAACACTTATAAAACCATCAGAACTCACTATTACAAGAACAGCATGGGGGAAACCACCCCCATGATCCAGTCACCTCCCATCAGGTCCCTCCCTTGACGTGTGGGGATTACAATTCGAGATGAGATTTGGGTGAGGATACAGAGCCAAATCATATCAGTTCCCAATGTTCTGAAACTGACATTTGGTATGATTTTGATATAATTCTATTTTGTTTCATTGCTAGGCACTCAGTGGGCTATTCAGTTGGGAAACTCATGTCCTTTAGTTTTAGGAAATCTACTAGAATTATGTATCTATCTATCTTCCTGTCCTTTCTATTTTCTGCCTCCCTTTTTGAACTCTTATGTGGCAGGTTGTAAAAACAACCTGTTCCTTGTCTCCATGCCCATTGCCATGTAACTTTGACTACTCTGACTCTGGGCTCAGCCATATGTCTTGCTTTGGGCCAAGGGGATGTTGGTAATCAATACAAGTAGAGGACTGAAAGCCACTGAAGGTGACTGAGCTTGCTTGCTCTTGCCTGCCCCCATTGCCATGAGAGGAACATGCCCAGGTTAGTCCACTGGTTCCAGGAAGGTATGAGAGACAGGTGGAGCAGCCAACGTAAGCAGACATCTGGATACATGAGCAATAAATGCTTGTTGTTGTAAGCCACTGTGATATTGTTGTTATTAAGAATTTTTGTGGCAATAATTGATATATCTGATTGTTTGGATATTGGACTTCTTAGCATAGTCCTCTAATTTTCTTTTTACTGTTCTTTCTGGGAGAGTCTTTCAACACTATCTTTTATCCCCCTTACTGAGTTTTTCATTTCTGCTATCATATTTTTAATTTCCAAGAACTCTTTTTGGTTCTCTGAATGATGTTGTTGCCTTGTAGCATCCTATCTTGTTTCATGGAAGCAAGATCATTTCTCATTGCATTCACTATTCTTTAAAGTTTTGTCTTCTTGCATTGAATCTTTCCTCCAAATAGCTTTGTTATTCTGTTTCCTTTGTTCTCTTTCATATTAGATAATTTCTTCTAATGTCTCGTATTTCTTTTTTTAATTAATTAATTAATTTTTTTATTATTATACTTTAAGTTTTAGGGTACATGTGCACACTGTGCAGGTTAGTTACATATGTATACATGTGCCGTGCTGGTGTGCTGCACCCACTAACTCGTCATCTAGCATTAGGTATATCTCCCACTGCTATCCCTCCCCCCTCCCCCAACCCCACAACAGTCCCCAGAGTGTGATGTTCCCCTTCCTGTGTCCATGTGATCTCATTGTTCAATTCCCACCTATGAGTGAGAATATGCGGTGTTTGGTTTTTTGTTCTTGTGATAGTTTACTGAGAATGATGATTTCCAATTTCATCCATGTCCGTACAAAGGACATGAACTCATCATTTTTTATGGCTGCATAGTATTCCATGGTGTATATGTGCCACATTTTCTTAATCCAGTCTATCATTGTTGGACATTTGGGTTGGTTCCAAGTCTTTGCTATTGTGAATAATGCCGCAATAAACATACGTGTGCATGTGTCTTTATAGCAGCATGATTTACAGTCCTTTGGGTATATACCCAGTAATGGGATGGCTGGGTCAAATGGTATTTCTAGTTCTAGATCCCTGAGGAATCGCCACACTGACCTCCACAATGGTTGAACTAGTTTACAGTTCCACCAACCGTGTAAAAGTGTTCCTATTTCTCCACATCCTCTCCAGCACCTGTTGTTTCCTGACTTTTTAATGATTGCCATTCTAACTGGTGTGAGATGGTGTCTCGTATTTCTTGCCTGTGCTTTCATATTCACTAACAAACTGGTTGGAACACTGTGTTTGTGTTGTTCACAGAACAGCAATCTTTTTGGGGGAACTTCTAACTCTTTTTTCTAGGACTGGCTGGAGGACTCAGAGAAGCCCCCTCCCATTCTGCAGATTTAAGGACATTCACCTAGCTGCCAGCCTTATGTGAATCTGATGGGGGAAAAAGTCAAGGGGGCCTTGACATTCAGAATGTAAACTTTCACTCACTTCCTCTGTTTTCAGTATGGTACTTTACCTCTCATCTGTCCTTGGTGTCCCCCAAACCAGAGTCCTTCTGTTTAACTCTTCCCAGAAAATCCTCCAGTCTTCTATCAGCAGGGAGGGGGGCAGTCACTTGGCTGCAGGGAGTTGGAGAGGGTACCTGTACCTCTAAAGGCTGATGATAAGGGCTTTCAGCCGGCCCTCCTGTTCTCAACCCCTCCTCCCACAGGTCTCTGGTGCCTCTAATTCCTAAGGCTTTGTATAATTCTATGGCAAATGTCAGGTGGCTTTTTGGCTTTCTTCACTGCTGACTTAGGATTTAGTTTACTTAGGTCTGTTAAGTCAGTTCCCCTCATCCATCTGCTTTCCAGTTTCCAACATTTTGTTGCTATGGTTTTCTCTTATGTTCTTCCTATCCTTGTGGATTTAGGCCTTTTGGGGGTACATAGTGCTTTACTTTAATGGGATGTCTTTATCACTTCTTTGATAGTACATGGTCATTATAAAAATCAAAACCATCCAGAGCAAGTGAACTTCCCTCATAATATGCCCTCTCCATAGCTACTCTTAAGTATTTATCCTTCCAGATAGTTTTGCCTTTGTGAATTATATGCATGTGTATGCTGAAATAAATACTCACGTATATAAACACACACACTTTGCAAATATACATGAGATCACATTACACTACAATGTTCTGTAACCAGTCTTTTCCCCCAACACCAAGTCTTGGATGTCTTTCAATGGTATTTAAGGAGCTACTACTTTCTTTTGAATAAGGAGCAGAATGTTCTATCATACCATAACTTACATGCCTAGTCTCTTATTAATGAACATTTAGGATACTTTCGACTTTTTGCTACTCTGAATATGAGTGTACCCACATCTTTGCAAACCTGTCCTTTTGTCTCCTTAGGCATTTTCTTGAAGTGGGATTGCTGGATGGGCATGCTTGGCTAGGATAGTGTCAGATTGCTCTCGAGAGAGGTGGGCCAGCGTGTACTCCATTCCTCGGCGAGTGAGAGGGCTTTTCTCCTTTCCTGCTCCTGCCTTTACCGCTCTTTTTAGTTGTTGCCAGTTAGTTGGGTGAAATGGTATCTGATGGTGCTTTGACTCGCCTTTCTTTGAATAGCAGGGCTAAGCCTTTTTCTGTGTGTCTGTGGCCAGTGTGATGCCCCTGTGAACTGTTGGCTTTCTGTGCAGCTTTTTCTCTTTCAGAAGGGAGGCCTCAGACCCCACTTCATCCCTGGCTTTGCTGCCTGGGTGTCATGGGTCTCTGGGGTCCAGAGGCTGTGTGGATAGTGGGCAGAGGCATGGGGTGAGGGTGGGGTAGTCCAGAGAGCAGTGTGTGCCACCCTCCCAGATTTCTCTGATTCCTTGGAGCAAAGTCGCTTAATTGGGAGTCAGCACAGCCTCCTCCCTCATTAGCACTGGCCTGCAGTGACAGGCCCCGAGGGCAGTGTGGCCCTCTTAGGTGGCTCCACACATGGCTCCATCAGTGCCTGAAGCCTGGTGGGTAGTTCTGGCATTGGCCTGAGTTTTGGCATTCACAAGGGTTTGCATTCCATGAAGGCAGTTGCCTTAAAAAAAAAAAAAAAAAACTTTGCAAAATTGTGAAATATAACACATATAGAAAATATTCAGTTTAACAAATTATTATAAAGTAAACACCATGTAACCACCACCCTGGGAGACAGTTGACTTTTAATAATACCGTGGCAAGTGGAGCTGGCACTTTGCCCTTGACCGTTGGGCTGATGTTACCCTCCAGCCCACCCCAGGGTCTCTGGCTGGGGAGGGGCATCCCTGAGTCATGGGAGGACCACTCAGCTGTGGGGGCTCTAGGTAGGGGGCTGGGGTCTGGTCCGTGGGGAGGGGGCATTGAGTCTGTGACTTGTGCTTTACCTCTCAGCCCTACTTCCCTGACTTGTGCCCTGATAGACTCAGGGAATAGTCAGACCTAAGGAATTTGGGTGGAACCTGAAGGAGCAGGAGAAGCCCAGAAATCCAGAGCAGGAAGCTCTGGGGCAGGCCGGGTTGGTTGGTTTGGGTTTGGGTCAGACACAAGGCATTGACCCCCAGAGGCAAGGCCATGTTGTGTGAGCACAGCCTCCTCCTCCTCTAGGAGTGTCCTCTGTGCAGAATATTTTCCTAGTGGGTTGGACGGGGCTGTGGGCAGCTGAGGGGAGACTGGACCTGCCTGCGCTGTGTGCTCCTGACTCCGGGCTGGGGCCCGGCTGGAGAACCTTCCTGTCTCATGGTTCACCTCCCTTTCCTGCACCAGCCCCGTGGTGCATCCCCAGAGGGGATGTCTTCCCCCAGTGACCAGCCCCGGGGAGGGAATGTCCCGGGGCATTGAGGGGCATCCCCTACACACAGTGGACAGGCCTCAGCCCTCACAGTGCTTGCCCACCTCCACTTCCTGCCCCGTCAGTGGCTCCTTCACTTGTTCAGCCCCCACACAGCTTCCTGCTGTCAACCAGGCATGGGGTAGCGGTGAGGAGCAGGGCAGAGTCCAATGCCTGCCCTCAGGGAGCTCACAGTCCAGTAGAAAGTTCTCTGAGGATGGGATGGGCTCTCTGGTACTGGGTGGTGCAGTGAGGGGGATGGAGGGATGAGCAGGGTGGCATGCGGGGCTGGGCACGGAGTAGTGTGGTCAGGGAGGCGTCGTCCTGCATGAAAGTAGACCTGAAGCACGAAGACTGCGGGCTAGGCCAAGGGGCTGGGAAGAGTGACTGTGGCAGGGGAAGAGCATGTGCAGAGGCCTTATGATGGGGGCGGTGCAGGGAAGGTCAGCGTGGCTGGAGAAGAGAGTGAAAGGAGGAGGAGTGAGAGCTGGGTGGGGCAGGTGAGAGGGGCTGGAGCTGCAGCCCCCATGAGCTACCCAGGGGACTGTACCTGGAGGGGGCTTTGGTTATAGGCACATTGGGTCAGATTTGCATTTGAAGATCACCGTGGCCACTGTGTGGAAGAAGGGTCTAGAAGGGGGAACTGGTTCAGTCACTCTTGCTGGGATCCTGGTGGGAGCAGTGTCAGGGGCATGAAGAGAACCAGGGTAGGAGGGGCAGGACTTGCCAATGGGATGGATGCTAAAGGAGAGGGAGGAGGAGGGGCTTGCATGAGGGCAGAGCCACTCCAGAGTTGGAGGTGCTGGTGGAGGAGCTGGTCTGGAAGGGAGACAAATGAGTTCCATTTTGATGAGCCATGTTTGAGGTTCATCCAGTAGGAGGTGAGGAGTGGGCCTTTGGGTGGGGCTCAGTAGAGAGGTCTGGACAGAGCAATGGGAGTCACCATCGTGGGAGTCACCCCTATCTGCTTGCCTACCTCTGGCTCTTCCCCCTAAGCTGTTGCTCTTGAGTCACCTGGACCAGCCCCACCTGGGCAAAGGGTGGTCCTGCCCAGGAGGCTGCCACGGCTCACCTGTGTCTGTCTACCTGTGGGGCGTGTGCACATGTGTGTAGTAGATGCTCTTGCATAGCTCCAGCTGAAGTTAGGTTGAAGGGGCTGGAGGTAGAGTAGGCAAGAGCAAGCAGAAGCAAGGAGGGACTTGCCCCAGAAAGATGAATTTTGCTGCATGGGGTTAGGCTCACCTCATGGATGCTGGCAGATCCTGGGCACTGGCTGAGGGGAGGAGGGTTGTCCCAGCCTCTAGGCTCTGCCCCATGACTGGATTGTTTGACAAACTCACTTCTCTCAGGGATGGTGTTCTGACCATCAGCCTGAGGGCTGCCTCATTAGACCAGTATCCCTCGGGGTACTAGAACTTTGGAGTACAAGCTGAAATTCAAGGCACACCAAACCCAATTTAAGCTATTTAGGTGTGGGTGGTGTTCTAGGACCTTACAGGGTATGGGGCAGCCTAACTCTCCCCCTTTTTGGCCCCTGTTCCTGCCAGTCTGTGGACAATGTGGACTTGTGGACTTGGCTTTAGCTTTTGGCAGAGAGGGAGGCTCAATGCATCCATTTGCTGTTCAGAGGAACAAAAATTGGCCACGTTAAGCCATATTCTGTTGAGTCCCTTGGATAGGGCTTTGGGCTAAGATTTTAGATGCCTTTTTCCTTTAACCCCCAGCAGTGCCTGGCTAGGAGAGTCCACTCTGACAGTGAGGACCCAGCATGCAAGGGGAGTTGTAGAGGGATCAGTCATCTTGGTCCAGAACCTTATGCTGGGGCACCAGCCACAGCGCCTGAATTGGCCAGGAGCATGGTGCAGGCCAGGTGAGAGAGCATGGCTGTCTCAGGAGCCTCACTCCAGGGTCAAGTTTGCTTAGCAATCAATCATTGCTTCCAGCTGGTAGCATCAGGCAAGGCTTCATGAGGGAGGTGGCCTATGGGGTAAGGCTTAGAATATGAGGAAGTGATTTGGTCCTGCAAAGTTGGGGTGGAGAAGACTTCCAGGGGGATAGTCTTGAGCAATTTTAAGAAGACAGGAAAGTGGGGACTTGTAGAAGGGACCAGGGGATGTTCAGATGATGTGCAGAAGTGAAATAGGAGACTCAGTCTGAAAAAGCAGGTAGGGGCTGGGTGTTGGAGGGATAGAAGAACTCCTTCTGGGGATGGAGAACTCTTATCAGTATTGAGAAGTGAGGTGTGTTGCTAGTTTTTTTTGCTTTTATTATTATTTTTAATTGACATAATAATTATACATATTTATGGGGTACAGTATGATATTTTGATATACACATACAATAAGTAACAAATCAGGGCAATTAGCATATTCATCACGTCAAACGTGTATCATTTCTTTGCATTGGGAACAAAGTCTCCTCTTCTAGCTATTGGAAAGTATGCAATAAATTGTTATTAATTATAGTCACCTTATGGTGCTTAGAACATGGGAACTTATTCCTCCTGTCTAGCTGTAATTTTGTATCTATTCATCAACCTCTATCTCCTGCTCCCCCACCTCCCAGCCTCTAATAACCACTATTCTACTCTCTACTTCTAGGGAATCAGCGTTTTTAGCTTCTCCATATGAATGCGAACATGTGGTATTTGTCTTTCCTAGCCTGGCTTATTTCACTTAACATAATGTCCTCCAAGCTTATCCATGTCGCTTTGAATGACAGGATTTCATTCTCTTTTATGACTGGAAAGTATTCCATTGTGGATATATATCACATTTTCCCTGTGTCCATTGATGGACACTTAGGTTGATTCCATATCTTGGTTATTGTGAATAATGCTGCAATAAACATGGAGATGCAAGTATGTCTTTGATACACTGATCTTTCTCCCTTTGGATATATTCCCAGAAGAGGGATTGTTGGAGCATACGGTAGTTCTATTTTTAGTTTTTTGAGGAATTGCCATACTGTCGTCCATAATGGCTGTACTAATTTATATTCCCACCAACAATGTATAAGAATTCCCCCTTCTCCACATCCTTGCCAACACTTATTATCTTTTGTCTTTTGGATAATAGCCATTCTAACTGGGGTGAGTTGATATCTCATTGTGGTTTTGATTTGTATTTCCCTGATGGCTAGTGATGTTGAGCAGTTTTTCATATACCTGTTGGACATATGTAGAAGACCTGAAAAGCACAGTCAATAAAAGTAAAAATACACAAATAGGATTATATAAAACTAAAAAGCTTCTGCACCACAAAGGAAGCAATCAACAAAGTAAAGGGACAATCAGAAGAATGGAAGAAAATATTTGCAATCTATTTGATATGGTTTGGCTGTGTCCCCACCCAAATATCATCTCGAATTGTAGTTCCCATAATCCCCATGTGTAGTGGGAGGGACCTGGTGGGAGGTAATTGAATCATGGGGGTGGTTACCTTCATGCTTTTCTCCTGATAGTGAGTTCTCACGAGATCTGATGTTTTTATAAGGGGCTTTTTCCCCTTTGCTCGGCACTTCTTCATGCTGCCATGTGAAGAAGGATGTGTTTGCTTCCCCTTCTGCCATGATTGTAAGTTTCCTGAGGCCTCTCCAGCCATGCTGAACTGTGAGTCAATTAAACTTCTTTCCTTTATAAATTACCCAGTCTTGGGTATGTCTCTGTTAGCAGCATGAGAAGAGACTAATACGCTATTCATCTGACAAAGGATTAATATCCAGAATATACAAGGAACTCAAAGAACCAACTAATCCAATTAAAAACTGGCAAAATACCAGAACAGACATCTCTCAAAAGAGGACAGACAAATGGCCAACAGGTGTGTTGTTATAGTTGCTGTCAATGTTAAAAAAAAGTTGAAGAAAGATGATAAGGTCCCATAAGTGAGATGGTTTGAATGGGGGAGAGGTGGCTGTGGGGAGTCAGGCAGAGATGTCTTGGTGTTGAGGACAGTGGTATGGAGGGCCACCCAGCACCTGTTGACCCCTGCGTTCTCGGTAGTTGCAGGTGGAACTGAATTGTGCTAGCTGTTAAGTACTCAGTGACTTCAAATGAGCCAGCAGAGTGTTGAAGGCCATAGGGTCTCCTGAGAAGAAAGGAGGAGGCCTCCCTGTCTGTCCACCGTGCTCAGGCTGGGGTTGGAGCTGTCACAGTATACTTCATTTACTTTGGTATCATTTGACATTCTTACAAAAATACATACTACTAATTAAAATGATAAGTGTTTTGCTTTAATTCAAAACAAAAAAGAAGACAGGGTGTCTGAAGTACCTGGGTGGTGATGGGCTGTGTGGGGCTGAGCTCCAAGAAACAGCTTTGAATTGTAGTGGGTCAGGACTATCTGGTTGCAGTGGGCAATGAGATGTCTTCAGAAAACTGCAGCACCCAGTCAATGCCTGGTTGGAAAAGGTATGTCAGGTTATAATACAAGACAAACTGTCATCACAGATTAAAACACATCTGCCATCCAACAGTAACAGTCATTTCTTGGAACATTTGCTAATCTTTTAAAATTCTACCAATGTGAAATAAATCAACTGCTTGAGACTGGCTTGCTTTAAGGTTGTTTATTCATTCATATATTCATTTAGCTAATATCTATTGATATTAACCTCTGCAAAACATACATCAGAAGGCAATGGATAGAAGGCAGGTCCTGAGAAGATGTGAGTTAGAAACAGTGCACTTTTCACCCCTATGTGTTTTCAGATCCTCTAGTTCCTGGGGGTATAAAAAGCAGCTTGAAATGCTGGTTTATTATTGTCAGATTAATGTGAAAAGCACTAAAAAGTGCAATTATAAAGGATAGTTATAGGCATGTGGCATTTTGTGGGGCTCCCACAGGCTACATGTTTGGATTCATGTATATAGAGGAGGAGGTAGGAGGTGGGAACAAAGATGTGAGGTGGGAGGGACAGGGGAAGAGACCAGCATGTATTGTCCTAGGGCAGTGAGTTTCATTGATGCCATTGTAAAATCCTGTGCTGGTTAAGCCTGAAGGTTGAGGGCCCACCCGCAAGATTCACACCTAGAAGCCTGGACTGGAGCCCCACAGTTTTACCCAGCCACCCACCCCAGGTGGTTCTCAGGAGTAGTGGGATCCATGGAGAAGTCAGCCCAGTCTTGCATTTTCTGAAGATGCCAAGTGGGGAATGGGTCCTGTCTGTTTCAATCACAGTGGATCCTTGCCCTTGGGAGGATAGAGATTTCCTGCCGCTTTGTATGTCCCCACTGCCAAATACCAGAGGCCTGGGAATTAAAGACAGTCTTGTGAGGCCCAGACAGCAGCCATGGACATGGTCATGGTGCAGGCTATGCAGGGTCATGGTGAAGCCTGTGCAGGCTTCCTGGAGGAGGAGGCCTTGAAGGGTTGGGAAAACCCTGTGAGCAGGAAGGCGCAAGGCTCTATTCTGAGTTCCAGATGGGCCCCATGCTGCTGCCTTTGGAATCTGCTTTGGGGTGTGCAGGATCTGTGTTACCCATTCTAGACCTTGACCAAAGCGCCCAGTGGAAGGTCTGATACCCCATAACAGAATAAGTGCTGACAGGAGAGTTGGAGGGGGTTTGAGCAACATTTTTTCCAACCATCTCCTTTAACAAATGGGTAAACCAGAGTGCAGACAGGAGATGGCCCATGGAAACCTGAAGATGGGCTGTGCAGTCAGACAGAATGGGACCCCCTCCACCTCTGCCATCCCAGCTGGATGACTGTAAACAGATCACATGGCCTCTCTGTGCCTCATTCTGCTCATCTGTAAGATGGGGAGAATAATGCCCACAACTTAGGGTTGTTATGAGGATTTCACATGACTTTTCTTGGAGCCTGGCACCCAGCAGGCACTACTGTTGTGGATGTCCAGGCTGTACCTGGGTCAGTGGTGGCCAGACTGGGACAGGCTCCCTGACCTGCAGCCCAGAGTTCTGGTCTGTGCCTACTGTCATGGGGGCCCTCTGATGCTCTGCAGCGTGGTCAGGGCCTTGCTCCTGTGGTGACGGCTGGGATTGGGATATGGGGCAGTGAGCGGTCTCTGTTTGCTAGCTTTGTATATTGCTTAATAAGGAAAACACGGCTTGTCCTGGCAAACAGTGGATCCAGCCATATATGGGGAAAAGGAATAACTTGGATACAGTCAGGGATGCAATTCTGAGCTCTTCCTATTTAAAACAAAATCAAAGGCAATATGGAGTTGCCACGTTTGCGTGTCCAGTTTGAGTATGGAGGAATTTCTGTTTATAAATGGGTAACATCTAGCAGTGTGAGCTTTAGAAATAGCTGTGAACTACTTGGGTAGCAAGTCCTTTCTCCACTTGAAAGAATGTGGCCTAGAGGAAGGGTCCCAGTGGATGGAGAGAAAGTGAGTTTTGCAGCTGTGTCGAGTGGATTGAGGCCTTCTCTTACCTGGCTGGCCCCAGGCTGAGTACCAGGCCCTGTGGGCTGGGACAGGCCAGAGCTGGCAGCTGCTAATCAATTCCAAAGGGGGGGCCTCCTGCCTCTCTGCAGCGGGCGCAGCTGACCATACACCCTCTCCTTCCTCACCCCGGTCTGCTTTGTCGTGTCTGCATCACTCCCATTCACTAGCCGTCACGTACTCATTGGCTCACTAATTAATTCAAGCACCTACTGAGCGCTCACTGTGAAAAGGACACCCCTGAGTTCCTTCATCTCCTCTCTCCTCCTCCCTGGGGGCCTCACTGCCTCAGGCTGCTCCTTGCCCTGGGCTCTGTCCTTGGTCCTTTTCTTTTCTCCCTCTTCTCATGCTTCCATCTTGGCTGCAGTTTCTTTTCTTTTTTTAAAAAATTTTAACTAGTTTAAATTTATTTATTTATTTATTATTTTATTTCAATAGGTTTTTGGGGAACAGGTGGTGTTTGGTTACATGAATAAGTTCTTTAGTGGTGATTTCTGAGATTTTGGTGCACCCATCACCCGAGCAGTGTACACTGTACCCTGTGTGTAGCGCTTTTTTTTTTTTTTTTAAGATGCAGTTTCACTCTTGTTGCCCAGACCTGAGTGCGATGGCACAATCTCGGCTCATTGCAACCTCCACCTCCCAGGTTCAAGCGATTTTCCTGCCTTAGCCTCCTGAGTAGCTGGGATTACAGGTATGCGCCACCATGCCTGGCTAATTTTGTATTTTCAGTAGAGACGGAGTTTCTCCATGTTGGTCAGGCTGGTCTCTAACTCCCGACCTCTGGTGATCCACCTGCTTTGGCCTCCCAAAGTGCTGGGATTACAGGTGTGAACCACTGTGCCCAGGCCCCAATGTGTAGTATTTTATCCTTCACCCCGCTCCCACCCTTTCCCTCGAGTCCCTAAAGTCCATTGTATCATTCTTATGCCTTTGCATCCTCATAGCTTAGCTCCCACTTAGGAATGAGAACATACAATGTTTGGTTTCTCATTCCCCAGTTACTTCACTTAGAATAATGGTCTCCAATTCCATCCAGGTTGCTGCAAATGCCATTATTTTGTTCCTTTTTAAGGCTGAGTAGTATTCCATGGTGTTTGTGTGTGTGTGTGTGTGTGTGTGTATCACATTTTCTTTATCCACTTGTTGATTGATGGGCATTTGGGCTGCTTCCATATTTTTGCAAATGTGAATTGTGCTGCTATAAACATGTGTATCTTTTTTGTATAATGACTTCTTTTCCTCTGGGTAGACACCCAGGAGTGGTATTGCTGGATCAAATGATAGATCTACTTTTAGTTTTTTAAGGAATCTCCACACTGTTTCCCACAATGGTGGTATTAGTTTACATTCCCACCAACAGTGTAAAAGTGTTTTCTTTTCCCCATATCCCCACCAACATCTATTATTTTTTGGTTTTTTGATTATGGCTATTCTTGCAGGAGTCAGATGGTATCGCATTGTTGTTTTGATTTGCATTTCCCTGATCATTAGTGATGTTGAGCATTTTTTCATATGTTTGTTGTTGGCTGCAACTTCTAGCATAGCAATTAAGAAGGGCCAATCTGCCTGGGTCCATTTCTGGCTCTCTCGTGCCCTAGCTGTGTGACCTTAAGCAAGTTGTTTAACCTCTCTGTGACTCAGTTTCCTCACCTGTAAACCTTTAAGGTGGTTATGAGCACTGACTGAATTAATCTACACGAAGCTCCTAGATCAGTGCCCAACAGGCAGCCAGCACTCAGAAAGCCCAGGCCACTGTTGCTCTTTGCTGATCATTCCCTGTTCGCTTGCTAGACCAGAGCTCTCTCCTGAGCTCCAGAGACAGACTACCAGCTACCTCCTGGGCATCCTCTTTACTCAGTCAGTTCAGGCTGAGTGCCTACTGTGTACTCTCATGGGCATGGCATTCAGCTCAGGGATAGGACGTTGAGGGAGACACATTCCAGGGGATAAGATGTCTGAGGACACGTGACCCAGCAGGACAGGGTGTGTCCTGCCCAGTAGTGGATGCTCCCAAGGCCCATGCTCATGCTGCAGTCTTTGTCCACACACCTTTCCCCAGGTCCGCTGCCCCTCCCATGGAAAGCTCCCTTTTGGGGCCAATTAGGCTAAGGGCATGGGGAAGAAAAAGAAAGTCCTGGGTTTCCAGCCCAGGCAGAGGATGCTGCCACCCCTTCTGCTTCTGAAGTATTTCTTGATTGTTTGTCCATGGCCCCTGCCTGGGTCTGGCCTCCTGCTGCTCACCCACCCATGTGGTCTCCCTGCCAAGCCTCTTCTCTTCCTCTCACTCATGCCCTGCCTTTATCCGGCCAAAGTCAGGCCAGCCTTTGTAAAGCTCTTCGGAGCTTTCTAGCACATGCCTCCAGGGTTAAGTGAGGGTCTTCCCTGTAGCCTCACCCTCCTCTGCCTGGGGCTGGTGTGTGCTCTGGATCCCTGGCAGGTTTGGAAGGGGCCCTGCTCTCCTGGGAGATGAGGTGTTGAGACCTGCTGTGGGTGGTTGTCCTCTGGTTGCCCCATGTCACTGCCTGGGGATGGCCCTAAACACCAGACCTGTGACTGTTGACATCGCCTCCCTCATGTTTGCTGAGAGCCCAGCCCCATGGAGTGCTGGGGTAACTGTGTGCTGCTTAGCTGGGGGCAGGCCTGGCAGGTGCACAGGTTGCCACAAGAGTGTGGGGCTGAGTGACACACTGTGGTCCAGTCCTGGAATTCCTCAGTTAAAGCAGAATTGGTAAATAATGATCCCTTCAAGCTTCTGGCCGTTCCCCAGGTCTGCTACCTCTCCCATGCTCTGTCTTGTCTTTGCCTCTGCTCTGGCCAGAACAGGCTCAGCCGCTTCTTGGCAGGGACCTCTTCTCGGACTTGTCCTATGGTTGTTTCTTCCCCGCATTCCTAAATGGAATGTGCCTGTTCCCCAGATTGGACCTTCAGACCTTCCTGAAACTGTCTCCATCTCCCTGGCCCAGGAAACCACTCTGACCCCAGCCAGCTGAAGGCCAAAGTGAGCGCTGGCCCCTCCCCTCCCTCATTGGGAGTCCTTGCTTTACACTACTTCTGGAGGGCAGGGCTCTTCCCTTCTTTCTCTTCTCAGGGATAAACAAGCTCAGAGCTGGCACACAACAGGTTGTTGGCCCCCGAGCCTTCTTCCCCGTGTGACTGCCTCCTGGGCTTTCATTGTAACTTTTGTTTGAACACAGATTTCTGTTGCTTAGGCCTGATTAGAGAAGGCCTGAGAATCCCTGGCTAGTGAGTCTGACCTCCTAAACTCCCTTGCCAGATTCTTCTATGTCCTGGGTTCCTTCTTGATTTCTCCCTGACCTCCACTGTAGTCCCTTAGTGCCACAGGCCAGGTGACCCCTGTCCTTTGTCAGTGGTGGATCCCAAGCCAAAGCCTGGATTCAGGTGACCTGAAGATGTCAGGCATGGCCAGTGCAGCAGGTGTGTCCTGTGTGTGTCTCGGCCAGAGTGTGGATCGTGGCCTGAGGGGCTGCCTGGGGGTTGGCTTGGCTCCTAAGTCACTGCATCTTCACCCAGTTGCTGAGCCCTCAGTGCTTACCTGTTCACCTGAGGGTAGGGGGGTCTTCCTGAGATGTTGGGGCACAGCCATAGTACCCACCCTTGCCTCCTCACTCTGGAGAGGACCGGCAACCAGGGTGGGATTCCCAAGCCTCCCTCCCTCCATCCTAGAGCGTGGAGGTCATCCCCTGTGGCGTGTGCAGCCTCTTTTCTGGATTGGGTCCCCAGGGCTCAGTGGAGGCCACTCTGTGTCCCCCACCTGTCACAGTGTGGGCAATGTTGAGCCTTTCCATTGTTTTCCAAGCATTGTGCTCAGACTTGCTCTCCCGGGCCCTTCCTACTCAGGATTCCATCTTGCTGCTGCTCTCGTGGCATTTGCTGATGGGGCTGTGGTCCTCCCAGCTCTCTGCCCCATCCTTAGACAGTAGTGGTTGAGAGCACAGGGTTTGGAGTTATGGAGTCTGGATTTGAATCCCAATTTCCAGTTGTGTGACCTTGGGTACGCAACTTGACTTCTTAAAGCCCAAGTTTCCTCATCTGTTAAGTAGGGATACTGACTAACAAATTGTGCATGAAGAGTACTGTGCTTGACACAGAGCGGGTGCTCAGTAACAGGCATCTGGGATAATGATGGGGATGGTGGTTCCCTTGCCCTACCCATCTCCCCTTTGGGGCCTGCCACCCAGGTTGCCTTTTATGTGTTCAGAGCATCTGGTGAGAGGGAGCTCCTTTTGGGAGCCAAGTTCAGAATGTAAAATCAGTGTAAGGTGGTAATGGGGTCCAGGAGGGATCAGAGGAATCTATTAGGAGGAGCCTGGGGTGATTTAGAATCAGGTGTCCAGGCGCCTATGGGCAGCTCAGGTGTTTCTCGTACCAGTGGGCAGAACTACTGAGGTGGGTGGGGACCTCCCCAGATATATGAGAACCAGAGTTGACTTTTATTTTTTAGCCATTCAAAAACCAGTGTTTTTCAAATCAGCAAGAACAAAACAAATAATCCCATTAAAATGTGGGCAAATGGTATGAATGCACATTTCTCAAAAGAAGATGTACAAATGGCCAAAAAACATGAAAATATGCTCCACATCACTAACCATCAGGGAAATGCAAATTAAAGTCACAGTGAGATACCACCTTACCCCAGCCAGAATGGCTATTATTAAAAAGTCAAAAGGCAATAGATGCTAGCGTGGATGCGGTGAAAAGGGAATGCTTACGCACTGCCGGCGGGAATTAAATTAGTACAGCCTCTGTGGAAAACAGTATGGAGGTTTCTCAAAGAACTAAAAGTAGATCTACCATTCAATCCAGCAATCCTACTACTAGGTATCTACCCAAAGGAAAATAAGTCATTATATTGAAAAAACACCTGTGTATATATGTTTATTGCAGCACAATTCACAATTGCAAAGATACGGAATTAACCTAAGTACCCATCAACCAATGAGTGGATAAAGAAAATGCGATATATGTACACCATGGAATACTACTCAGCCATGAAAAAGAAGAAAATAATGTCTTTTGCAGGAACTTGGATGGAACTGGAGGCCATTATTGTAAATGAAGTAACTCAGAATGAAAAATCAAATACTGTATGTTCTTACTTATAAGTAGGAGCTAATCTATGGGTACACAAAGTCATATAGAGTGGTATAATAGACACTGAAGCTTCAGAAGGGGAGAAGGTTGGGGGAGTGAGGGATAAAAAACTACGTGCTGGGTACAGTGTACACTACCTGGGTGGCAAATGCACTAAAATCTCAGACTTTACCACTATATAATTCACTATATAACCAAAAACCACGTGTACTCCTAAAGCTGTTGAAATAAGATAATAATAATATGAAATGACTTTCCATGTTCTTGCTAATAAAAAAAAAAACTCCTCTGCTTTTTGGACCTACTCTGTACCAGACACTTACTAACTCTGAATTTATAATGGTAAACTAAAAAGACACAACCAAAGGGAAACTATTCCTTGCTGTAGATTTTTCCTGGGTTAGGGAAGTAAAGTGAGAGTTAATATTATTTTTAAAAAATGATATCTGCTTACTTAAAATTTCTCAGACTATACATAAAAGTACAAAGGAAGGAAAAAAATAAGGAATTTAAACAAAATGGAAATTCCACTACCAGAAATGTTGACATTTTGCTGAAACTCCGATGAACATGCACTTGTATATAGTGTATTATGCTGTTTGTCATTTTTTTCCCCCATGAACATGCACCTGTATATAGTGTATTATGCTGTTTGCAATTTTTTTCCCTACACAACCTATATGGTAGATGGTCCATATTCATTAAGATCATATTTTTATAGGTATTTTATACCTTGAACATATTTTTCTGATTAGGAAGGTAGTGCACAGCCATTGTAAAATGTTCAGATATACAGTATCTTTCCCCTTCTCCAAGGATAACACGTTCCAAGGCCCCCAGTGGATGCCTGATACTGTGGATGGTACCAAACCCTATATACATTGTGTTTTTTCCTATATATACATATCTATGATAGTTCAGTTTATAAATGAGGCACAGTAAGAGATTAACACCAATAACTAATAATAAAATAAAACAATTATAACAATAAGCCAACATCACTACTCTTGTGTATTGGAGACCTTGTGAAGTAAAACAGAGGTTGCTTGAACACAAGCACTGCGCCACCACAGCAGTTGATCTATGTGACTCCTAAGTGACTAGCAGGCAGGTAGCATCTACAGCATGGATTTGCTGGACAAAGGAACAGTTCACTTCCTGGGTGGGAAGGAGCAGGATGTCTCAAGGTTTTATCATGCTACTCAGAGTAGTGTGCAATTTAAAACTTACGAATTGTTGTTTTCTTTTTTTTGAGACAGGGTCTCGCTCTGTTGCCCAGGCTGGAGCGCAGTGGCACTGTGATCTCGGCCCCTGCCACCTCCACCACCTGGGTTCAAGGGATTCTTGTGCTTTGGCCTCCTGAGTAGCTGGGATTACAGACATGCGCCACCGTGCCTGGCTAATTTTTGTATTTTTAGTAGAGATGGGGTTTCGCCGTGTTTCCCAGGCTAGTCTCAAACACCTGGCCTCAAGTGATCTGCCTGCCTCACACTCCCAAAGTGCTGGGATTACAATCACGAATTGTTTATTTCTGGAATTTTCCATTTAATGTTTCCAGAGTATGGCTGACTGTGGATAATGGAAACCGCAGAAAGTAAAACTGCTGATAAGGAGGGGCAACCGTAGACGTGTAGAACGGGAACAGTGACCATCTCTATCATCTCAGCCTCAGAAGTAGAATGGCTCATTTGCAGAGTTACAGTGTTCCACAAATATCATAACTTACTCGGCTAGCCTTCCCTTCATGTCTGTTTAGGTTGTTGTTTCCAATTTTCTTTATTATAAACACACTTCAGTGAATATCTTTGTCACAATATCTCTTTGCAGGGGCAGAGGGTTGCATGTTTATCATTCTGCTACATAGTACCAACTTGGCTCCTACACAGGGTACCGACTACAAAGAATGCCTGTTTCTGACCAATCTGGGCTTTGTTAATCTTTCTATTCTTTGCCAGTGTGGTAGTAGAAAATGATATCTTGTGTCTGTTTCCGTTTATCTGATGGTTGGTAACCATTGGTATTTCTTATTTTATGAATTACTTGTTCATGTCTGTTGTCAGGCCCTGAGCCGGGCTCTTCCCACTCCCCCTGAGTGATCCCTCTCCCCACCTTCCAGGGCATGTGGGAGAGGAGCCTTAAAGAATACCAGTTGGGGCCAGGCATGGCAGCTCACTCCTGTAATCCCAGCACTTTGGGAGACTGAGTCCAGGAGTTCAAGACCAGCCTGGGCAACATAGTGACACTTCATCTCTCCAAAAAAAAAAAAAAAAAAAAAAGGAAGAAAAAAAAGGAATACTAGCTGGAAGGTAATTGGCCCTCACTTCAGATCACTGAACTCTGAGCCCAGGAGGAACAGAGGCTTGCCCCAAACCACAGGTATGGTTAGAGGAGAGCCAGGTCTGTGACTCTTAGCCCACTGACCTCACATCCTCAAACCAGGGTCAACGCAGAGCTGACCTCTTGGCATGGTGATAGGATTATGTGTGCTCAGTCTCAGAGCTGTTACACAAGATTCCACTGCAGACACGGCTGACTGGCGGTCTCCCTTGTAGAAATAAGCAGGTCAGGCAGGTGCCCAGGTGAGCTCTTGCCCCACTGCTGAGCAGATGGGAATTGTGTGATTCCTTTGGGTCTTAGAGTTGTAGAATACACTGGTCCTTAAAGATCACAAAGTCCAATGCTGCCACATTTAGTTGAAGAAGCTGATGCTCCAAGATGGGAGAGAACTTTCCCAAAGTCCCCTGCCACGTGGACAGCAATTTCAACTTTCCTACATGCTGTAATGAGCTTGGGCGCACTCTAAGATCCATACCCTGCAATGAAGCCTGTTGAGTAAGCACTGCAGCCAGGACAGCTCTTGGCTGCCACGGACAGTGGTACGGAGGTGTTAGGTAACGCCAAAGCCTAATCTCCTGGAACTCTGGGGTGGCCCTGAGGATAGGCCTTGCTAAACTGCTGTGGGAAGGTGTTGGGGGGGTGGTATACTCTGGCTCCTTCTCTGGGCCTTTCCTGTTCTATGGTCTTCATGGTTGACACCATGGGTGTTTTCCAAGAGCATGATAAGGATCACTGTCGAGATTGGCACCTCCTGACTGCACTTTCAGTGCCCCAAGTACTGCCCACAGGCTGGTTCCCATGAGAGAAGCAGCCCAGCGTCCCATTATTTGCATAATTCACCTTGGCCAGTGATGCTGTGTGTGTGTGTATGTATGTATGTGTGTGTGTGTGTGCGCATGTACATGCACACCTATATACATGTGCATAGAGCTGTTGGTCTTTGGGACCCCAGCCTACTCTCTGGGCCAAATTGTAAAATCACTTGGCCGGGTCTGTGGGTGCAGATTTCCATCATTAGCCTGTCTTCGCTGTAGGCCTCGCTTTGGTGCTTTTCCCTTGGTCCTTCTGCACAGCGGCACTGACATCTCCCTTTTTTCCACAGATGGAAATTCTGGCTGATCTTGAAGGCTCAGCTCAAATCTTCATCTGGCTCTTTTTCGAAGTCTTCTCTACCTGGCCTCGTCCGAAGCTCAGGTGCCCTCCCTCTTCTGAATGCTGATCTCTTTCTTATGTGTCGTTCACATGGTCCTTAAGCACAGGATGCCTTTGAACGCCCTTCTCCTGAACTTTCCCTTACACCTTATATTGTTATAATGTTCCATGAGATGGAATTTGTTGATGCAATGAGGCGGTGAATTCAGATTTCCCATATTTGTGTGTTCTCAGCAGTGTGTGTTACATAGTAGGCCCTCATGAAATGTTGGTGGCCTGGTTGATTTGGAGTTAGCCAACACATAAACATGAACTGAAATGCTTTCAGGTCCAAGTGGGCTTTAGGTTCCTGCCTGCACATGCTGGCCCCCTTTCAAAGGGGTGAAGAGAGAGCCGCAGCGATGATGGGAGAGAGGGGATCACTGAGGACTAGGGATTAACAGGGTAACACAGAGCTGGTGTTAAAAACCTGGCAGTGCAGGTTTTTGTTCTCCTGTGTAGTGGGAAAAAGGTGCACAGGCAGTGAAGAGGGAGAGGGGCACTCCCAGGCAGAGCAAGGTTAGGATAACTTGGCTGCTCCCTTCACCTGGAAGCCCTCCTGGAGAAGGAGCAGTGAGGGTTTCGAGCTAGGCAATGGCATGTAGTTTATTCTCAAGGACTCTCTTTGGGCTCAAATCTTCCTCTTTTCCGGTCCTGTGAGCCCTCAGAAGATTGTACCAGGTGTAGGGGATACTTAACCTGGATCCTAGACGGACGCTAATTGCTAATGCTGACCCAGGGTCTGTTTTTGAGAGAGAAGCATATTGTGCCTGCTGTTCATTGCTTGCTTGTTCACTCTGTGTTGAGGCTGGTGATGCGATCTGATCTGCTAAAAAGCTCTAATGGGGCTTACCTTCTTACAAGGCTGGAGCAGTTGGTGACTGTCTCTGGCATGGAGGAGAGGTCTAACGTTGTGGTTTCTGCCATCCAGGATAACACCCGGGATCCTAAGGCTAGCATGCCGTGACCTCCTTCCCCAGGCTCCCCAGGCTGCTCTAGGTTCTCTGTTTTGTAGAACTTCTTATGGCCCTGCTGAACCTCTTGCATTTTCCAGACTCACTGCCTGTCTCACACTGCTATGCTTTTGCTGATGCTGAGTCCTCTGATTGGACCCACCCTGTCTTCTTCACCTGTCATCATGGGACTATGCCCCAGTTATCCTATTAGACTCCTGAGTAGACTCCTGTAGGAGAAAGAGCATGGGCTTTGGAGTCAGCTAGATGTGGGTTCAAATCCTGACTTGACCACTTGTTTACAATGCACTTAAGAGCATTGACCTTACAGAGCTGTTGGGAGGGCTAAACCGAGGGAGACTGTGGATGTCGCCTGCTCAGGGTGTGCCTGCAGCTTCTTCTCTCCTTTCTTAGCTTCTACCACCATTCTTAGTGCTAGGCCCAGAGACGCCTTATTCCTCTGCTTATTTTTCTCAGTGGAGCCCTTTCACCCCACAAATGTTTATTGAACAACGACAGTGTGCCAGGTACTGGACACTGGGAATAATTTTTGTTTGGGTGTCTGCTAGCAAGGAGTTGTGGAGGAACACGGTGCTGTGAGAGCCCTAGTGGGTGGAGAGATCTCAGCTTGTCAGGGATCAGGGAAGGCTCCCTGGAGAAAGTGGCATTTGAGCTGAGCTCTGGAGGATCTGTGGGAGGTAATTTGGAGAAAGTGGGAGGGAAGAGCACTTCATGCAGAGGCAGCAGCAGGGTGAGTGGCACCCAGTCAGCATGAGCCATGGCAAAGTCTTGACCTGAGAGGGCCAGGAGGCATTCAGTGCCAAAGCAGGACAAGATCACATGTGCATTTGAAAAAGTGGACAATGGATGGACAAGGGCCAGAGAGGAAGCTGGAAGACCAGTGAGGAGGGGCACTTGTCCCAGGGAGGGACTTGGCAGGTTGGGATGGAGGCCATGGAGAGAACTTTGGGGGTTCAGGAGGCCAAGGTGACAAGGCATGGTGATGGGTGGGATGTGGCAGTCAGGGAGAGGGAGGAAAACAACGACTCCCAGGTTTCCAGCTGATGTGACTGGATGGGTGGGTGGAGAGCTGTGGGAAGATCAGCCCTCAGCTCATCTCCCTGCAGATCTGTGAGGGGTGGGCCCTCAGACTCTCGTCCTTCCCTTGAGTGCCCAGGAGGATTCTGGAAGATGTATTCCTGGTTGATGTTGGAAGACTAACCCTGGGTCCCCTGTCGGTCTGCAGACTTGACTGTGGGTCAGACTTGACCTCGAGGTCGTGTTGGGGGGCTGGCCTCTGGCCTATCTGGAGGAGGCCCAGCTTCCCTCCAGGGGTCCATGCGGGGGCTGGTGTGCTGGCCTTCTTGGTCTCAGGCAGAGCTGCCTGTGTGTGGGGCTCTCACTGCCTCACCGAGGCAGACGTGGGTCGGCCTTCCTACCGGCTGTGTTGTATCCAGCAGGAAACATTTGGAATATGTGAGTGTAAGTGGCCGCACGAGAGAAATCTACAATTTCTCCCATTATCGGGAAAGAGCTAGACTACCAGAGGCTACCAGATGTTCTGTGTCTTATAATGTATGTTTTATGGCAAATGAAAATATATATAAAATCTGTACCCAGAGAGCTCCCTGCTCACTTAAAGGGGACTGGATTCTTCTTTTATTCTTACCCTCTTCAAATTTTAGGCAAGAATTCCCTTCCGGGCAATGAACTTATCTGCCAAGTTGGGGCCCAGAGGGAACCCTTATGGGGGACTCATAAACCCCGTCTTTTGAGGAAATCTTGGGGCTGAGGCCACATTCAGCCCCACATGTTTACACAATAGTCTCTCTCAGCTCCGAGGGGCCATTAGAGTTAATTGGGTGAATAATCTGTGTTTAAAAAGTCCCTAAATACATATTTGCATAATCCACACTTTGCCCAAGCCTGTGAAAACCTATTTGTGGGATCTGGAGTGGGTCCTGGGCTTAGAGTCTTCCCCTTGTGCTTCCAGAGCAGCTTCTCCTCTTGGTGACTGTCCTTTGGTAGGGAGGAGGACAGGCAGGCTCATCTTCTGGCTGATGCTATGGCAGTGCCTGTGTTAGCCACCTTAGCTATTTTTTTTTTTTTCGGAGACAGAGTCTCACTGTCACCCAGGCTAGAGTGCAGTGGCGCAATCTCGGCTCACTGCAACCTCCACTTTCCGGGTTCAAGAGATTCTCCTGCCTCAGCTTCCCGAGTAGCTGGGACTACAGGCACATGCCACTAGGCCTGGCTAATTTTTTTGTATTTTTAGTAGAGACGAAGTTTCACCGTGTTAGCCAGGATGGTCTCGATCTCCTGACCTCACGATCCGCCTGCCTCGGACTCCCAAAGTGCTGGGATTACAGGCATGAGCCACCGTGCCCGGCCCACCTTAGCTATTCTTGAGCCTTTCACAGATATGTTTTGTGGCTCGCTGGTCCTGGGAGATACTACGTGGGAAAAGGGTTCCATAGTCTAATATGTTTGGAAAATACTGTATCTTATCTACTGTCTTGGAGAATCCTCATGCACATTATTATATCAAAGGCTGTGAGAAGTCCTTCAGTAAAGAAACTGATTTAACTTTCTCTCATCTAGCTTCCTTCAAATATATTTGAATCTAAGCATGCCCCTCCTGTATGCCTGATGACCATCTACAGAACTATAGCAATCTGTAGAAAACATGTTGGGACACCAACAATGCCACTTCCTTTTTCACAGGGGACACTTTGTGTTTTGGCCACCTGCCCAAACAGTGCCTGGGAGGACTCTGGAAGACTTGTTCTTGGTTGAGTTGGAAAATTAGCCCCAGTCTCCTGTATTTGTGTTTGCTGCCCTTAAGTGAGGCCATAGCATAGAGTCAGGTAGGATGGGCAGGCACAATTCCCCACAGCGCTTTTCACACCACTACAGCCCAGTCTTGGTTCTTGGAACAGGAAAGGGACAAGGCATTTGAACTAGACACACATGGATGGTTGCATGAAGCCCCAGAATTCCTGGTCAGGGAGTTCTTACAGACCCTGGTCCTGGGCTTCATTGGTTGTTGGAATCCCCTCTGCAACATAGTATCTGTGGGTCCATGCCACAGGGGTCCACTGGCCTGAAGTTATGGCACTAGGAAGAAGGCATCTGAAGGCGGCCTCAGGCCAGAGCCTGCTGGGAGCAAAAGCCGAGCTCTCCCAGTCATGTTGAGCTGCTACTTTGAGTAGTCCTGCACATCAGTCTTCACCAGGTTCTCAACATTGACTGACTGCACATGAGAATCAGCTGGAGAGATAAAAAAATCCCGATGCTCAGACAGCACCCCAGACGTATTCAATCAGAATGGGGTGGGGATGGGAAGCTCAGGCATGAGTAGTTTGTCAAGCTTCCCAGGTGATTGTAATGCACAGCCATGGTGAGCAGATGCACCAGAGCCACGTTGGGAGAGTAGGTGTTGTAGGAAGTGGAGGTGAGCAGGAATTCATGGCTCTACCCTGGGCCCAAGCACAACTGCATCTATTTGCCCTTGAGAAGCAAACAAACCCATGGTCCTGCTTGGGCAACCCTTGGCAGGGTTGTGGCAAACCCCTTGGGTAAGGAAGTGGGAGCATCCTGCTGTGTTCAGATCAGAGATGAGGAGGATTGCCAACATTCTTGAGCATCTACTGTGTGCCAGGCACTGTGCCACACATGGCCTCATTTAACTCTCACATTCCCTCACGAGCTAAGATTTCCATTAGAGGTGTCGAAACTAAGGCACAGAGAGGTTATGGAATGTACCCAAAGTCACAGCGATATTCTTAAGTGATAGAGCAGTGAATTGAATCCGGGATGTCAGAGGTGAAGAGCTCTCCGTGTGGTACTGGTGAAGGGCTTGTTGTTCATTTGGGCGGAGTCATTTGTGGGAGGATATGGCTGGGGTCAGCAGAAGAGGTTTCTGTGTGTGTGTGTGTGTTCACTGAATTTCAGGGTTGGAAGTGTTTTTCTGTGGGCTGAGGGGAAGGAGATGGGACTAAGGAGAAACAGAATCAGTCGGGTATTGGAGCCAGCTCTCACATGCAGATTATGCATATTTCTTCCCATCTCTGAGTTCAGTGACATCTCGTTGGAAGCTTGAAACCAGCCAAGTGGGAGTATTTACACCACAGAAATTGGCAAACACTACAAATCAGGTGTTTATTTATTTTCTCAGAAAGTTGGCTGTTAAACATTTACCAGCACGCCACTGGAGGGAACCCAAATCCTAGGCCCAGCTCCTTTGGATTAAGGAAAGGGGGAGAAGATTGGGCCCAGAAAGAGAAAATTGAACAAGAAGCTGTTTGTACAATGGAGTAAATAGTTGCATCAAGGGAAATGAAACAAGAGAGGGGAATGAGCTTCTGTGACTTGGGGCAAGACAAGAGGAGCATGATTAGTGCTCAGTAAATGTTTATTTGTCTTAAAATTGGGATTATTGAAAAAACAGCAGATTTAGCCGCAGTAGAGACTGGGATAGAGATGAGGAAAAGGCAGGGGCCATTTGTTAAAGATCTGCAGACTGCCATGGAAGTTTTGCCACACCATGGCTAGGAGATGAGCTCAGAGAATCAAGTTGCAGCTTGCAGGTCTGTGGCCAGAAAGTGATGTGTAAGTCCATTTCCTGAGGCTGCCTCATGGAGGTGGGAGTGGACAGAGGCTCCAGCAGTGAGAGGGTTAAACCAGAATAACAAGGGGGTGATTTATCTCAGCCCCAACATTCCCTTGCTCATGGCTCTGACTGGCCCTGCTTATGCTCCCGGGTTGCAAATTTACCTATTTGTCAAGTCCCTCTCCACAGCCTGGCTCTCTCTGGCTGCTTGTGTGGTTTATTAAAGAGGCCTTTGCTACCTGTCATCTCAAACAGCCTCCTTTATCCAAAACAGAATAATAGAGATATCTCCCTCCAGGGACGCAGGATGCAAATGCCCGAGGACAGGTTGCCAATTTGCTGCGTGTATTAGGGGAAGGAAGCTGTCAAGGGAAACGGCCGGGATCCAGGCTCTTCTAACAAGCTCATTTCTGGGTTGAGGGGAGACCTGGGCTGCTCGAGTTTAGATTACGTGGGCACACGCCTCCGCTTTCCTATGGACAGCTGTCAGCAGCAATCGAAACAAAATTGGCTTTCTTCCTTTTCCCCTTCCCCCGCTCGTCCTCAGTAGCAAGGCCCTGCCAATAACTGTCAAGAAGCCATCCAGCTGCCGAGGTCGCCTTGCCCGCACCGCAGCACGCCCTGCTCTGCAGTGGGTTGGGCCCTGGTTTACAGTCTGTGGAAGTATGTCCTGGCTGGCGCAACCTTGTTTGCTGGGGGCCGAGGGGAGAGGGGTTGTTTCCTCCTCCCCTAGAGAGAGTTAATCAAAGAGGGAATTCTGTCCTGGTGGCACCTGGGAAAGATGTTCCTCCTGGCCCTCATCATAGGGGGATGCGAGGGCCTCCTTCCTGCCAGGAATCTTCCCACGACAGACTTTGGTTTGACTCTTATTCACCTTACAAAAGAGCACTGCCCTGGCTCTGGGGCCGGTGACCTGCCTCCAGGATGGCTGGGCAGCGAGAGGACTCAGGCACAGAGAGAAGGGTCTGGCATACCCACCAGACGATCGCTTTATCTCCTCTGCTCCTCACAGAAACCCTGTGCAGCCTGACCCCACTAATTTCAGAAAAGGAAGTTGCGAACCAGGGGCCTACTGGAAGCTGGTTAAGGGCCAGGCTCACAACTTGAACCCAGGACAGGACTGTTTCATTTCCTGCAGAAGATCAAGGCCTCTCTGGCCACCCTTGAGGGTCCTGCGGGGTCTCCTGACCGTAGGAAGGTGGTCTTGGTTGGGTATGCACGTGGGACCTTCTGGGTCCCTAAGAGCTCTCATGACCCACAGGTTCCCTGCTCCCCACCATGTCCTCCACTCCACTCCTGATGCTGCCTCAAGACTGAGGTCCCCAGGCAGGGCAGCGAGTGCCCAGAGGTGTTCCATGAATGTGGCAGGGGTTTGTCCTGGAGCTGGGCAGAGGTGACCTCAGAGCTTGGAGACACCTGCTGGGGCTCATGCTGCAGCTGGGGGGCCAGGGCTGGGCCAAGGAGGGCAGAGCCATGTGGGAGACTAGCTTAGCTCAGGGTCTTCCTTGATTGGGAGCCAGACAATGCTTTGGACTCTTTAAAATGAGCCTCAGAGTGGGGTTCAAGGCCCTGTGGGGCAGGCTGAGCATCTGTCTTTGTCAGGGAGGCCCCTCTGAGCCAGGAGCACCACAGGGTTGGCTGTTGCTTTTGAAGGTTTGATTTCTCTCCAGTCCTCTTACTGCACCTTGTTTTTGGCAGATGCTCAATGAATTCTTATTGCTAGACTGCCTTACTCCTTCCTCTTCCCTGGTGGTGTTCTCACCTGCTTGGGGCCTCTTTGAGCCACCTACCAACACTGATGGCAGGTCCAGCACTGCACATGCCTAGCCTCCACTTCCGTCACAGGTGTTCTAATTTTCTTGCTCACCTGTTGCAGCCTCTTCTGTCCCAGCTCCTCTCCCCGACGCTGATGGCTTAGCCAGCCCAACCCACCTCCCCTGTTAACATCCCCATTTTACAGATGAGAAAACCAATCCTCAGAAAGGTTAAGATCAGAGCAGGATTTAAGCTCAGGCAGTCTGACCTCAAACAGGAGTATTTCTCTTTCTGGTAGGGCTACATGTTGGGGGTGACAGAGGTTTGGGCTTAGGGGTGAGGACTCTGTCAGCCTGAAGGTCCTGCCAACCTTGACAGTCTTCATCATTTGGCTGTTCTGGGTGTCAACTCCTCTGTGAAGAGAGTCCAGGATGCTCCCCTGTAACCCACAGCTCAGAGTGCCTGGCAGGGAGAGGATAGGCTGGAGAAGGAAGGCCTGCCAAGCAGGAGTAAGGGGGCCCCCATTCTCTGAGGCTGGCTTTGCTGCTCTGGCCCAGCCCCATAGGGCTGCTGTGCTGGGGCTGCCCATTGATGGTGCTCCAATGCAGGAGGCCAGGCAGGGGCTCTGCATCGGGCTGGCCAGCCATAAGTAGGCCAACCTGACATGGTCCATCTGCACTCCATGGCAGGGTAGCTGTCCGACCACCAGCCCAGAGGCAGTCGATGGGGAGGCCAGAGGCCTCGGAGTCCAGCTGAGGTTCGCAAGGCCACGTGCATCTACCCAGAGTTCCTTCCATGGGCAGTGCATACTCCCTGGAACGCACCATCAGAAAGGCAGCTTCTAGGGTGAGGGAAAACCAGCCCAGGAAGGAAAGATGGACTGGTGGGGCCCCACACCCAGATGCCATCAGTGTGCTTGGGGTTATACCACAACTTGAAATGGACCTGGGGTAAGTACGTCACTGCTTCTCTCTGAGCCCCAGTTTTCTCATCTGGTGACTGACATGTAAGCAACTGCCAATGCTTATTGAGTAAAGAACAAATCTGTAAAGTGAGAGTTATGGTAGTTCCTATGTCAGAGGCTTGGGGGGAATTGAATGAGATGAAGGATGGAAAGCACCTGGTATGCAGTAAGTGCTCAGTAAGTGCAGGTGGCCCTTCTTTCTGTAGATGGGGCTGTAGTCCCCTTTCCCCTTTCACAATGTGTCTTGCTTGTTCTAGCTTCCTCTCTATCACCTGGGCCTCTGCGGCTCACTCTAGAATACAGACTGTAATTTCTCTGGAGGAGATTCCCTAGAGCAAAACTTAGGGACGTCTTTAAATAGACGTGAGAATGCCAGTGCTGGAGAGGCCCGCAGAGGCAGCATGGAATGGGCATAGACTGAGGAGCCAGACAGACCCAAGTCTCATCTCGGCTCTGTCAGCTGCCAGCTTTGTGGCCTTGGGGTGCCCACCTCCCCTCTCTGAGCAGGCTCAACAGTTCCTGCTCCTTGGGGCTCTTGTAAAGTTGAAGTGAGTCTTTGTCAAGTGAAAAGCTGTGAGTATATTTGTTAACATATGTGCAACCGTATTGGGAAAAGCTGCATCATTTATGATCTTTTCCAGTCTTCTTATTTTGCTGAGGGGGCATCTGGGACCCTGAAAGGGATGGGGCTGGCCTGTGGTCCCACAAGAAAGGAGCGAGAGAGACGTGGGGCTTGGATTGTGAGGCAGCCTTTTCTTCCCACGTGCTCTCCCTGCCTCTACTTTCTGCAAGCACCAGGAGGTAGAAGACAAAGGTATATCCACAGCTATTAGCATCCCCAGGGTCTGATGTCTGGCCCTTGCCAGTGGCGACTGCGTCCTCTTTGTCTGAACGACCTAGTCTTTGAGCCAGGGCCTACATCGAGGTCCTTCCAGACACCCTAGAGGCAAAAGCAAACCTCTCCCTCATCCTGCTGCTTTCTTTAGGGCTGAGAAAGCCTGGGCCAGCAGATGCCCTGTCAGAGCCTAGGGAACCAGGCTTGGCTTGGGCAGACGGCATCTCGGAAGGGCTTGTGCATTTAGGGAAAACCAGCCCCAAATAACTCCCAGATTCAGTCCTGAGCTATGCAGGTGAAGGCAGGTAGGAAATTACAGCCACTTGAGGCTTTCTCTCCCAGCGACTTGATTAGAGCTGAGGAGTGTTAGAGCTGAAATAGCTGGGAAAAGTGCCCTTTGATATGTTCATTTGGTTTTAATTTGGGGGGACACAGGGCAGCACCAGCTTATTTTATTTCTGCTTCCTTTTAGTGGCTTTCACTTGGCTCCTATCCCCCCATTTTCACCCCCTCCCCTGCTGGAATTTGTGAATTTCAAGGTCAGCTGAAAGTCAAGCTTTACCATGTTGGTGATGAAATGCAAGCAGATGTGGCTCGTTTGGCGGATGGTGGCCACACCCTGAGAACTGTGCTCAGTCCTGTGGGTGATGCCTGGCAAAATTAACAAAGTCTGATGGCTTACAACCCTGGGTTTCCATCTCGGAGATTCAGATTTCAAAGCAAGTGCCAATCAGCATGTGTTTATCTAGGGGAGTTGAGAAGTGATGCTGGCTGGGGAAGGTGTGGCTGCCTCATCTTGGCATGCCAGCTACTGAGAGCAGTCGGAATGGGTGCCCGCACTTGGGTTTGGACTCTGTCATGTGGTGTTGGCTTTGCTGGGGATGTTGTCTGCTGGTCCTTCTTGCTAGGGAGAGGGACTGGTGGATTTTCCAATGCTAGTTTCATATCACATGCCCATCGAGTTGCCCTCTTCTCCTTTGCAGCGGGTTAAGCCATTGGCGAATGCTTGCCATGTGATGAGCGCTGTGTTGGCAGTGACCTCAGGGAGAAGGTCAATTTTCAGCTCGGCTTCCTGGCATCACCCACACCCCTCTGTGACTCAGAAAGTGGCCCAGCCGGCTGCCTCCAGCACTCTGGTAGACCTGTTGGGTGGTGCAGGGGGAGAGCTTTCTGATGCCCCAGTTTCTTCTGGCACTTCATCAGATGCCTCCCCTTGGGCTTTGTACAAGGTCTCACAATGCCCCCTGACTTGGGTCTTGGTTCTACTGACGCACTGTGGCAGTTTTGTCTAAGGTACATGTGGGAATCCACCCTCCTGGCAATGTGCTGGGATTGACTTACTAGGAAAGCAGGGAGACCCAGCAGCCTTAGGTTTCTTTCTCTGTGTTCACCAGTTCTTCCCAGTCCAGCATCCTGTACTCTCTGCCTTCCAAAACCTAAGCACAGGGCAGAGCAGATGCCTGCTTGGCCCAAGAAGGGGATGAGCTTGGGAGCCCACGCTGTGTTGGAAACCCAGCTCTCTCTCTAGTCAGCTCTGGGCCCTTGGCCAACTCCCTTCGCCTCTCTAAGCCTCAGTTTCTTTGTCTGTAAGAGGGGATAATGGTGCCCACCTCACTGAGTTGCTGTGAGGATTAAAGGAAACGGTGCATGTAAAGGGCCTGGCACAGTGCCTGGCGCATGGTGCTCAGTAATGTTCGCTATTATAGCTATCGTCCAAATCCTGGGAGAGCAGTCCGAGAAACAGTGTGGGCAGGGACCTACCCAGCTCCCCTGTGGCCTTCGGGGTTTCGTAACTTCAGAGCCCAATTACCTGGTGTGCCCCTCAGCTGAGGAGCTCAGCCTCCTCCTCAGGGTCCTTGCCCCAGCTCATCAGGGAGCAGAGACAGATGTGGCTGGGGAGTGAGACTGAAATCACCCTCTCCACCCTGCCTTTTTGAGTGGCAGTGTGCTACAGAGAAGTGACATTTAAAAAAATGTTCCTTAAATTGAGGAGTTGTCCAAAATGGAGCTGGTTTCCACAGCACAGTCATTTTTGGATAAGAAAGCCTAAAATGAGAAATTTCTGAATGCAGAACAAAGCAGAAGAGCCTGCCACAACAGCACATGTGAGTCAGCCCGAATCCCCTCACAAACAGCCTGCCTTGTTAAAATCAGTCCCTTGGTGCGGAGGGGATTAGCGCTCTGCAAACTTCCCATCCCAGGCCTGCCTGCATTTTTACTTTCCCTGCTGCACGGTTCTTGCTGATCTTCTTCCTTACACACCCAGGGGATTTCCCCACACATAATGGGGGCCACTCCCATTGCTAAAATGATGGAGAGTTTTTTCTTTGCTCTGGCAGGAAAAGAGTAACTTCTGCTGGAAATACAGAGAGGCAGAGACATTAGCTGCAACAACTCCCCCTGCTTTGTTCCCTGGGTGTTTTGGGAAGGACTGCAAAGAGCTGAGTGAGGGTGCCTTGGTGGGGAGGGTCAGGTCCCTCTAGGTAACTGTGTAGGACTCCCAAGGGTCATTTTTGTTCTTCCTCATCCTCCAGGAAGTGCTACCTGCTTTACTTACTCTGTAGCATTTTTTTTTTTTTTTTTTTGAGATGGAGTCTCGCTCTGTTGCCCAGGCTGGAGTGCAGCGGCGCGATCTTGGCTCACTGCAAGCTCCGCCTCTCGGGTTCACGCCATTCTCCTGCCTCAGCCTCCTGAGTAGCTGGGACTACAGGCGCCCGCCACCATGCCCAGCTAATTTTTTGTATTTTTAGTAGAGATGGGGTTTCACCGTGCTAGCCAGGATGGTCTCGATCTCCTGACCTCGTGATCTGCCTGCCTTAGCCTCCCAATTCTTTAGGAATTTGTGAGAGTTGATGGGCAGAGTTGGAGCTGCCACTCTGGGGCTCAGAGTATCAGGGCCCTCCTATTGCATAACTCTGGGGACACTTTGCATGTGGCACCCCTGGGTGTGTGCAGTCTGAGGAGCTGGTTGGGGTTGGAGGAGACATCTATAGGATCTGCTGTCTGCCCACTGTCCAGGTCACCACCTGCTGGTATGGCTCATGGGCTCCAAGAAGTATGTCTAAGATAGAGCAGGGAGGCCACACCCAGGAGCAGGTTCCTGTCCCTCCACCCTAGTCCAGCCCCCTGCCCGCCTCTGCCCCTGCCCCTGCCCCATGGTGCTTTGGGCTAGCTGGAATAAGTCTGGCCAGCCAGCTGGCCTGAGTTCTGGAGCCCAAGACCTTGCTCGCCCTGTTGGCTGGGCCCCCTCAAGCTTGGGCCGCTCATTATTTCTCCACTGGCGGGGGAGTGGGAAGACCAATTATCGGGGCCTCACCGCCACGCACTGCCTTTGGATGCATTTTCTCAAATGGCGAAACCCTCTTTGGGGAGAGGCAATTTGTTGGGGAGCTCAAGGCAGTGTAATTTATGGGTCCCCTCTTGCCTGGCTAGGAGTGAGGTGGCTGTGGCTTAATTTAATTAGCTGGATTGAAGCCGAGCAGATCACCAGAATGGGCCTGGAATTCTGGTTTGAAAGGCATATTTCTCTTCAGAGCAAAGCATGGCAAGAGGAAAAGGTCTAAAGTTACTTCATTCATTTGGATCCTTTGGTTAGAGATGTCTTCCAGCTTGAAATATAAACCCACTTATTTTTCTTAAGAATCCAGCCCACCAGCTACAGTATTCTGTTCATGCATTTAATAGCAATAATTGAACAGAGCTCAAATTATCATAACCTAATGCTCTCCAAGTCAGATCCAACTGTGTCACATTTTTCCTATGGGGAAGAGAGTATATTTGGCAGGGCAGAGAGAAGCCGCCAGGGTCATGCACTGCAATGTCCTGTTGACTGAGTTTTAGTGGGTGCAGCCACGAGGCTGGGGACCTTGAGGGGCTGTGAGAAGGGGGCCAGACAGCAGGTGCTCCCTAGCTGTGATCCATAGCTCTCAGCTGGGCATGGCTGTCTGGATTGTAAAAGGACACTCAGGGCAAGAGTGAAAGCTAGAGCTGGAAATGGCCACCAAGTGCTAATACTTTTGATAGCAGTAACAGTCATAATGATCATTAGGGCAGCCCCCTTAATTTACAGTTGAGCTTCTCAGAGGCTGTAAGATGGCTTTTGACAGGCCCTGGATCCAGATTTTTAGCCTTCTCAGACAACAGAGGGAAGGCTCCAGGGTTGCCATTCACAGACAGACTCTGGAGGGGACTGGGAGACCTCTGCCATCAGCCAGCTGATCTTAGGTAAGCTTCTCTGAGGCTCAGTTTTCACATGTGTAAAACTGGGATTCTGCTCCCCTGTTCCCCCCCCCACACACAGAGTTGGTTTGTGACACCAGAGAGAGAATTAATGCAGGGGAGAGGGCCCCCCGCAGATTGCTGCCAGGGTGTCAGGATCATCAGCCCAGGGGACACTCACCTGTGAGGGGAAGCTGCTGGCCTCAACCCCAGCATCATTTTGAGCTTCTCAAAATGGCCAGCATGATCAGGATCACCAGAACTGGGGCTTCTGACTCGGGGTAGCCTAGATTTGAGCTCTGGGGCTTTCCCCAGATATGACCATTGTGTGGATCTTGTGTGGCAGAGCTGAGCATATTGTGTTTCTGAGCTGTTCCCCAGTGGTTCTTGTTCTCCCCAGCTTGTGGAGGCAAACCTTCAGGTGAGTCACCTGTGAGAGGCATTGGGCTGTGTGAAGGGAGGACAAGAACTTTTCCAGCCAATGTGCCCCAAATAGGAATTCATTCCCGGGGCCTTATGTAAGCTCACCCTCTCTCTCTTTTCTTTTTTCTTTCTCTCTTCCTTTTTCTTTCTGGAGCTCCAAGCAAAATTGCCAGGAAATCCATGCTAGGTTTGGTGATGGTGCTGGGGCTTCCATGTGGGGTGCTGGTGACGGTGTCAGGGCTTGTGGTGGCAGGTGCTGGGCACACAGTGGACACCATCATCCTCACAGGGCTGGGCTTGGAAGCTCAGGGTGTTTGCCCAACGCCATCAGAGAAGCTGGGTCTAGTCTATTGTTAGCAGATAAAGCAATGACAAAGGCAGCGAAAGTGTTCCGGGGGGTCATTTTGATCTGTCTCCCCCAAGGGGGATTGCTTGGTTATCCTTTTGTTATTTAACAAAGCAAATGGGGCCTCTGCTCTTCAATCACAAACTGTAATGTTGACTACTTCAAAAAAGCAGAGGGAATATTATTCCAATATTTATCTTAGCACAAAACTAACATTTCAGGGCCTGTACCCATAATTCAAATGTTGATGGGGAACACATTGTGTGAATGTGGTGCAAATATAAACAACGGGAAATTGCTTATATTTAGTAGGGAAAGATGAAGTAAACATTTTTGAATAAAATGGCAAAGACTTGGTTCTACTAGTTGCAGTTTCTCAGTTGAACATATCTAACTGGCACTGCTTAGGAGTTATCACGTGGTCTGAGGGTTCAGCGAGGGTTAAGGTTAAGTTCTTATTATCAAGATGCCTCTCTGAGCCCAAGTCCTTGATTTCCCGTCCCTGACGTGCTGGGCACCGGCTGGTCTAGAAGCTAGTCTGTGGCTCTGGGAAATTCAGTGTGGTTCCTTTCTCTCTCTCTCTTTTTTCATATTTTCTTCTACTCAAATGCTCATTAGTGGCAGAAGCCCCTATAAAGGCACATGGGAAGGGAAAAGAGGCCCCTTGTTAAGGGCAGTTGCCTTCCAGCTGCTTTATAAGAGGCTCACCCAACCCAAAGTCTATGTGACTCCCTGAGGGATCCCCCCCTTGGAAAAGGGAGGTTTGGGCCCCCGTGGTCTAGCCCTAGGAATTCATATGCAGTGGAAACCTCCACTGCTGGTGGCATCTTGCCTCATGCGAGGAGGGCCTGCAGGCCTTATGTAAACACTCAGGTGCCTGTCTGTACAAATGTGGGGCCTCGACACCGGCAGGCTCTGTTTCTGTTACTACTTCAGGGTGTGGACATGTGGGCACTCGCAGTTCTTTCTGGCGTCCTCCAGCCTGTGTATCTCCCATTGGGGAAGTGGTTCTGGGAGTGTTACTTGCACCGCCCACAGCCCCATTCCCCTGGCATGATTTGTTGGGTGATGAGCCTATGGTGGGTGGAGATGGGGTCTCTGTGATGCTGCAGGCTGATTCCTGGGACTTCAGTTTCAGTTCCTAAATGTGTCTTTCTTGTAAGGAGATGGCCCTTGTGACTTCTCCAAGTGGAAAAATGACACTTTAGGTTTGTCCCCATGGCTCTGTTCATGATCACCATCTTGTTTCCCAAACTTTCATTTCCTCATTGGCTCTGTTCAGTTTTTTGTTTTGTTTTGTTTTGTTTGAGATGGAGTCTCGCTCTCTCGCCCAGGCAGGAGTGCAGTGGCGTGATCTCGGCTCACTGCAAGCTCCGCCTCCCGGGTTCACGCCATTCTCCTACCTCAGCCTCCTGAGTAGCTGGGACTACAGGCGCCCGCCACCATGCCCGGCTAATTTTTTGTATTTTTTTTAGTAGAGATGGGGTTTCACCGTGTTAGCCAGGATGGTCTCAATCTCCTGACCTCGTGATCTGCCCGCCTCAGCCTCCCAAAGTGTTGGGATTACAGGCGTGAGCCACCGCGCCTGGCCGGCTCTGTTTAGTATTTTCAAGGGCTTCCAGAGATAAAGGAACCACATAAGCCTTGATGTCTCCTTTTCCAGGGGACAGAGATAAAGCAATACTCACTGAGAGGAAGTTCATGGGGTGGGAGGGGCCTGAAATCTCACTGGTTCAATTCAGGAAACACTGACCAGGCACCAGCTGTGTGCCCAGAGCTGTGTGATGTGCTGGGGTGGGGGCAGGGGCAGGGGCAGTGGTGGGCCCAGCATAGAAAGAGGAGAAGTTAGGTCAGCTGTGGTTTCTAAGATGTCACATGAGGAGGACAGAAGTTAGGATCTTACTTTGAAAATGCAGAGGCCATTTGTTGTAGGGGCTCTACTCTGGGGGCTAGTGGTAATAATAATTAAGCTGAAAAATGAAAAAAATATAAAGCTAACACAGTGCTTAGAAACATGCCAGAAAGGGTTCCAGGTGCTTTGTGGCATTAACTCACTTAACCCTCACAAAAAACCTGTGAGGTCAATAGTATTAGACACATTTTACTGATGTCGGGGGTAACCTCTTGTTCAGGGTCACACAGTTAGGCCAGTGGAGCTGGGTTCTGACCCCAGGCAGTCCGACTCGAGGGGTATGGGCCTTTAACCACTGTGTTAGTGTAAAGAAGGCCCCAGTACTGAACCTATTCCTTCTGCAGCCTTTTCCCTGGGAACTTGGTGTTGTGCTGAAGACTCTGAACTGGATGTTTTCCTTCTGTGCCCAGGGATGAGCATGATAGTGTTTGGGGCTGAGAGAAGAGAGCGGGTTGGGATATGATCTGCCACTCTCCAAACCCGGGGCTGAGCAGGCTTTCCTCTCAGGCAGGGTCTGGGATACAGAGCCGTGGGCCGCACAGCTGCTGCCTGCTGTCTAAGGAAAGTGTGGCACCCGCTCTTCCCAGCCAAGGCCAAAAGCCTCATCCTAAGGTGGGAGGCAGAGCTGGGGCAAGAGTTAAGTGACTGAACTGAGGCCACTCTGTGCCCTCCTCCTGTCTTTTGCAGGAGCCACTCTGCAGGAAGTAGGTGCCATTGAACCCTTCTCCCAAGCTAATTCTGCTAATTCTGCTCTCCTTCAGCAAGCTTTCAGAGTCGGGTTCTGATTTTGCACCCCTGCTGCGACCATTTTGTATTCCTATCTTAAATGCTGGCAGACAATCTGGCTGACTTGTGTCCGAGAAGCAGTTGGCCGTGCTGGGATTGTGACCCCAGTGTGTGGTGTATTACCCCAGTGAGGAGTAGATGGACCCGGCCTGGGACAGGAAGGAGGAGAGAGGCTACAGGGGTGTGTGATGGAGGAAGACGTGGTGGTGATGGAATGAGACACCAGTTTTGAGCATTTTCTAATTTGAGGCATCACCCAGAAAACCTCCAGATCATAGGAAGAGTGTGGTTTGGGGACATTTGGTTAAAGCAGATTGATTCCTCCTCGTTGGGGAACGTACATGTTGGGGTGTGGCTGTTGGGAGAGTTCTAGTGGGGCAGGGAGATGGAGTCCTGGCGAGAACTGCCGCCTGGAGAGCCTGGGAAACGAGGCTTGCTGGGAGAAGGCAGTTGTTGAATCTGAAGAATAAAGCAACACACAAGGACATCAGTGTGTCTGGAAATGTGATAAATGTAGAGCTGTATATGTAACATCATTTGCCTTTTTTTCTTACAACTTAATTATATTCTTCCTCTTCTCAACAGGGTTTTGGTCTTCTCTAGGAATAGCACAGGGACGTGTCACATGTCTGGTAGCCATCTGGTACCCAGGGAATGACTTGAGGGGACCCCTGTGTGATTTCTGAGCCAGGAGGCAATAGAGAAGGAAAAAGGAGTATCTGGCAAAAGCTCCCATTATTTGTTTCCGTCGGTTGCCAGTTGGTGCTGATGACGGATGTAGTGGGTGCCCTTGTGTGTGATGTGACACCCGTGTCTCAGCTGTGGAGGTGGAAAGGTCAGCTTGGGTGATGTGGTGACTGGCCTTCAAGGCTTGAAAAATCACCCGGACAGAGGACAGGCAGAGGCAGCTCATTTTAGGTGTCCTTCAAGAGAAATAAAAACTATGCTTGGCTTATCCATAGAATCATTTCCTGATGCCATGGAAACAGCCAGAGGGCAGGGCATGTGGTGGCGAGACCTCCTCTCGGGGAGGTGTTAGGGCAGGGCTGAGGGGTAGCCCTGTCCCCTCTATCCCCTGTGTCTCCTCTGTCTCCTTTGTCTCTGTCCTGCACTCAGCCTCTGTACTGCCAATCCCCTTCAAGGCCCCAGCAAAGGGCAGAGCATACCGGGCTGTGTTGCATTAGCACCTTGATTTCTCACTTTGTCTCTGAGCTGCTGGGCCAAGCGCCCGTTGTCTCTGCTTCCTGGCTCTTTTCTCCTTCTGGACTGGTCCTCCCAGGGCCAGAGTGATGATGGGACCTGTGATGGCTCCAGGCTTTTCAGGGCCACCCTCTGTCACCTGGCCTTCTCCTCACCAAGGCAGGGTTTTCTGGACTGTGGTTTGTGTACTACCAATAGTACCCCCAATGACTCTGGGAGGTCCTATGGGGAACTTTTTTGAAGTTAATAGTTATGGTTGTGTTTGATGCCTATTAGAAAATGTTAACCAACACGTGAGACCGTGTTTTCTCAGGTATTGGAACCAAGGATGAGACCCCAGGTCTGTAGAGGCAGCAGAGGACGCTGGCAAGAGCAGGGCTCCGGGGCCAGACTGCCTGCTTCAAATCCTGGCTCTGCCACTTATGGATTGTGAGGCCTTGGGCTTACTTCCTCTTCTTGTCTAACTTGGGGATAATAATAGCTCCTACCTCCTAGGGCTCTTGTGAGAATTGAGTTAATGCATGTGAGGCATTTACAAAGTGCTTGGCATATAATCAGGACTCAGTTGGTGTTAGCTGTTGTTATTACTGTCATTAAAAGTATTTAAAGAAAAACATTGAACAAATCATAGCGCAGGCTGGGCGTGGTGGCTCATGCCTGTAATCCCAGCAGTTTGGGAGGGTGAGGCAGCCAGATAACTTGAGGCCAGGAGTTCAAGACCAGCCTGGCCAACATGGTGAAAGCCCATCTCTACTAAAAATACAAAAATTAGTCAGGTGTGGTGGTGGACACCTGTTATCCCAGCTACTTGGGAGGCTGAGGCAAGAGAATCATCTGAATCCAGAAGGCGGAGGTTGCAGCAAGCTGAGATTGCACCACTGCACTCCAGCCTCGGCGACAGGGTGAGACTCTGTCTCAAAAAGAAAAAAAAGCATAGTGCACGTGGCCAAGCCCACAGTCAATGTTCTTTCTGCGTAGACAATCCGGGTGTACATATGACCCCAGTGTAACCCCTGCCACTTGCTGTCTATGTATCCTTGGGAAAGATAATCTTAGCTGGCTCCTCAGTTTTGTCTCTAATGGGGAATTGTAATACTTCACTTGTGGAGTTGCAAGGTTAACTGAGGCCCAGCTGGGATAGTAACTGGCACATAGGAGGCACTCAGTGGTAGCTATTGTGATGTTATTGGCATTGTTGGTACTGCCACAACCACCCTGTGAGCTCCTGAGGGATGGGACCACGTGTAGTCATCCTTGGTGCTAAACAGGCCCAGAACGGATCTGTTTGGAGCCGAGAGGCCCACCTTTGCAAGGGAATTGGTGCCTTCCAAGAAGGTACAAGGCAGATGGGGGATCCTGCCTAGGGAGGTCAGGTTGCTTTAGGGAGAGACACCTGAGGTGGGGCCAGGAGAAAGATGGTGTTGGGACTTCAGGCTGCCTGGAGCCTGGAACCCCTGTTCTGAGGAACGTGTGAGAAGAGAGGGGCAAAGTGGTTATTTGAGTCTGCGTTACCCTGCTTAACCCTAGTGGGCCACAAAGGCTCCAGCCTGCCCTCCCAGGGCCTAGTGATGTGATTTGTGAATTGAGGTTAATGTCTGCAGGGCCTGAAGGGTGCCCTTGCCACCATGCCCTGGGCCCCACAGCTGAGCTCTTTGTTCCCAGTGGGAACTGGGCTGACACCCACAGGTAGAATCCTCTGTGAGGCTGGCAGCATGGCTAGCCAGGCCTGCTTTTGGAGAAGACAACTGAAAGGAGAAAGGAGAGGCTTCTGGAAGCCTCATGTGGGAAAACCTACCAGGTCTTACCCTACCCTGATGGAGTTGGGGCGGCGGGGGCGCAGGGTTGTTGGGGATGCTTGCAGGGGCAGCAGCACTACCGTGTCCTAGGGCCGGTGGGCATGGGGCTCTAATGTCCTGAGAGGATTAGGAGGGCTCTTTCAAGCATCCTGGAGCCCCCTTGCGGGCGAAGAAAGTGAGGGTTCTGAGCTCTGGCCTCATGTCCCTTGATGGAAGAGGTCTTCATTTGGCTGCGTGCAGAGGATTAGAATGGGGAGTGAGGCCATGGTTTTGTAGTTGTGGGCTCTGGAGGTCTGTTGAGGCCATGGCTGCTTTTCTGGTATTTTTGCCCTTGTATTTTGCTTTTGTGGAAGAGCTTCATTTTAGACCCCAGGCTCTTTCTCTGTTGTCTTCAGTTGGTGTGTCCTCAGTTTTATTCTATAGCTATGTGTGGGGATAGGCAGAGAGTGGCCATTTCTACAGGGGAATAATAGTAATCGAAAGATATTCTTGCGGCTGGGCACAGTGGCTCACGCCTGTAATCCCAACACTTTGGGAGGCCGAGGTGAGCTGATCACTTGAGGTCAGGAGTTCGAGACCAGCCTGATCAACATGGTGAAACCCTGTCTCTACTAAAAGTACAAAATTAGCCGGGTATGGTGGCACATGCCTGTAATCCCAGCTACTTGGGAGGCTGAGGCAGAAGAATTGCTTGAACCTGGGAGATGGAGGTTGCAGTGAGACGAGATCATGCCATTGCACCCCAGCCTGGGCAACAAGAGCAAAGCTCTGTCTCAAAAAAAAAAAAAAAAAAAAAATATATATATATATATATATATTCATGCCATTTACTGTGCATGTCTCTGTGCTTTGCATGTATTTGCCTATAAGCCCCAGGAGGTAGGTGTTATCTCCATTTTACATATAAGGAAATTGAGTTTCAGAAACCCTCAGTGACTATTATTACTACTTGCTGTGATTGTTTAAAGGAAAATGTTACACAAATTAGTAAATGGACTAAAACTCAGGACTTCCGGCCTCTGAAGTCCATGCTCTTAATCTCTTCTAGTAGCCTTTATTTTCTCTTGTTTTTCATCATACCGTGGTACAAAAAGGTAAGAGAGGATTTCATTGCCTGCCTCTCCTGGACCTCATGGCCTGTAGAGTGAGGATGGTGCGTTGAGATGAGGCACTGACTCCTCCATCCTGGTCAGCGGCCATGGGCCCTTTGCTGTCCTTATAGACAATGCAAAGTGTGTCCAACTGCTCGGGGCTCTGCTGAGGTTTGTGTGAGAAGCATTTGTGATTCTGGAAAACTTTCCCTTTCCCAGGATGACCCCAGTGATGATGATGCTCTACCCAGGAGCTTGGCTTGGGTCTGTCCAGAAGGGCTGCTGCTGTGGCCATGGGCACACAGAGCCCTGTCCCTGGCCCAGCAGGTGTGTGGCCTGTCTCTGACTCCCTGCAGCACCTCCCCTGCACCCCAGACATCCTGTGTGTCTGTCCTTTTGATGCCAACTTTGGGGTGCCATGCAGCCATCAAGTCAGAAGGCGGTTGTGCTGTCACAGGGTGACAAGGAGATTTTCGTTCTCCTTCCTCTCTGCTTAGCCTCATTTTGCTGTGCGAGCCTGAACCTTAGGTCTCTGTTGCTTTCTCTATTGCATAGGGATGGAAATTCCTGCCAAATCTGTGACACAGTGTTGCTTTGAGGACTGCTGAGGTTTGTCAGTGCTAAATCTAAAAGGGCATCATGGTTGCCTTTAGACACCACCTGAGAAGGCTTCCCTGATCTCCCTCCTCGTGGCTTAGAGGCAGTGTATCCACAGTTCACTTATACTTACTCTATTACAGTCATCATCACACTGCAGTAAAACCACCAACATGTGAGATTGTGGCCCCACAATCAGAGAGCTCTTGGGGCAGAGTCTGTGCCTTGATCACCATTAATGGCATAAAGCTGATAATTACTCAGTAAATATTTGTTGAATCAGCAGATGATTGGATGAATCCATTTCCAACCCAGAGAATTTGCTGGATGTGCTTCTTAGGTCTTATCCTATCTTTCAATCAGCAAAAGATTCTTTCAAATAGAGGATTGGGAATGTTGAGGAATTGGATGTGATGTTTCCTTAGTAGCTCTATCTGAATAGTCCATAGATAGATCAGGTGTGACTTGATCCAGCACCCAAACTTTCTCCGTGACAGAGTTTAATTCTCCCCATTCCTTGGTTCCCTTAAGTAGAGTTAGTTCTGTTCTCAGTCCCCATATGGTTAAAAGATGGCTGCCGCAGCTCTATCCCTACATCCTATCTTACTCGATCCAGTGGGATAGGTTGAGAATCTCTATCCTAGCATTCCTAGTAGAGGACTGTGGCTCACTCTGATTGGATTGGCATGGTCATGTGCCCTCCTCTGAACTAATTACTTGGCCAGGGGAATGCCATGTACTGATTGGCCTAGATGTGGGACTTGTGCTTCAAGTGTATTGAGATGTGGGAGAGATGGATTCTCCAACAAAATTAGAGCTTTTGCTAGAAGGGAAGATGGATATGGGGAGAAATATAAGTATATTCATCATAGATAGCAATGTATATTTTAGAAAATCTGCGCATTAGTGCATCAATTCTAGGTTCCTTCAGGCTGAAAGGATATTTTCCTCTTTGCTTGTCTACCTGAGCTCCCACGGACCCATATGTGTAGTCTCGTAGTATGTATCTAGCTGCAGCCATATTGCCCCACAGATGCCAGCTTCCTGGCTTGACTGGGACTGGCTGTTGGCACTGGGCTCTGCAGTGCTGTCTGGCTTAAACAGCTCTGAATCTGCATGTGAGATTCATGGGTTGTCAATTTCGGGGTCATTTGTTCCAGATGTCCAGATGAGAAAACCAAGGCCCAGAGAGGTGAAGGCACAGCCAGTTGGTGTCAGAGCCAGGATCAGAACCAGGTGTCCTGGCCACTGCCTGAGCTCTCTTCCTTATACCTTCCCCGACTCCCTGATACCATTTCTACTTTGAGAAGAGATGTTAGAGCCATAAACAAAGACAGGAGGTATATGCAGGAGGATAGAGGACTCATGATGGGAGCTCCAGTAGCAGAATGAAACCCTGTGGGACCATTCTGTCTCCAAGGGCGACCCTGAGCCTTCCTGCCCTCAGGTGCCCAGCTCAGCCTCTGCAGCAGACCTCTGGTTTCTAGAAAGTCATCAGTTATTTTGACCAGCCTTTGCATTTCTCTTCTGTGAACTGAGTGATTAGGGTCTCTAAGAGCAACCATTATCTGCACATCTTGGGAATGCATGTTTTTCACACATGCAGCCCTTCCAGAAAGATTTAGCCTGGGGATGAAGCAGACGGGTTCTACACTGAGGGCAGATACCAATCATTTTTACAATTGTTTGCAACAGGAGAGGAAACATGAGCTTAACAGTTCTGTTGTGGATGGATTTGGGGGAGAAACACGAATGAATTGTCAACAGGATGGCTTCTGCTTTTATCCTGGGATTTGCTGCCGTTCCCTGCAATCCGGCTGCTCTGTGCAGAGCCCCAGGATTTACAGACATTCTTTGCAGGTGGGGGCTTATTGTGAGGTGCAGCCTCGGGCTGGGCCGGCATCTGTGGAAGAAAATCTGTCAGTTGTGTCGAGGAAGGGAGCACACTCCTTAGGGTGGAATTTGGAACAGCCCCCTGTACTACTTCCACTTGGGGGAGGTACCCGAGCAAGGGGCTCAGACCTTAGCGGGCACATACTGGCTTCCTGAGTTGGTGTAAGCCTCCCTAATGTTTTCAAAAGCCCTAGACAGCAGTAACTGAGAGGAACAGCCTTTTCAGACTCCTGCCAGGAAAAAAAAATCATGCTCAGAAATCCATTTGTGGGGAGTTTGAAGTTTGAAGCCCTCCAGCTGCAGACGGGCAGCTTGGGTGGTCGGGCGGGGTGGGGTGGGTGTCCTCGAGTGGAAGGAGAGTGTCGCGTGGGACAGCTAGGGAGTGTGACTAGGAGAGTAGCAGTTTATTTCATAGCAACAGTGGAGTTGGCATTTGACAGACCTAGGTTCAAGTCTTGGCTCTGGCCTGAGCCAACTGCAAGATCTTAGGCAAGTGACTTAGCCTCTCCAGATCTGTTTACTTATCTGTAAAATGGAGACAATAATACCTCATTGGTTGTGAAGAAGATTAAATGAGACTATGTATGTAAAGCTCTTGGCACAGTGCTTGATACAATTAGTGGAAGTGGGGGTTACTGATATTATTATACCAAAGAGATCCCAAAGAAACACAATCCGTGCAAAACTGTGTTCTCTATGCAAATGCAGCCTCCAGACAAGTTCCTAGCCCTACTTCTAAGCAGATGGCCACCTTCAAGCCTCTGTTTATGGAAATTCTGGTGCCATCATGGATTAATGTTGGCGCAGACAATAACATTTCAAAATAATTTGCCACTTTTTAACTGTCTGGCAGATCTGGGTGGAAAAGGACCCTGGATCTATGGTGCATGCTTCTTGGTTCAGGAGAAGAAGGCAGATTGGTAGCTGGTTACATATACCTGAGTAGTAAAAGATGGCACAGGCTGAAAGACCATAGGGAAAAGCAGAAATTGGGGCCCAGAATGGTTTCCCATACCCTACCCCAATAATAATTAGAAAAGGCAGCCAAGGGGAGGAAAATCATTGAGGGCCATCCTTGGGTTTGTATGAGCCTTTGCCATTTTTGTATTCTTGACATGGTTGCTGCCCCTCAGCTGACAGTTCTACCCCCATTTTACAGAAAAGAGATGGCTAAATCGTTTATTCCAGGTTTCACGGCTAGGAAGAAACAGAGCTGAGGCTCAAATTCAGGCCTGTGCCCCGCCCTCTCCAAATACACTCTTTCAGAAACATGCCATGTCCAGGAATGCCAGGTGGATGGAGGGGTGTCCACATGTTAACATTCAGGCATCGAGAGGCTAAGAGATCTCAGTTGGGCGTGGTGACCTGGGCGTTCTTAGAAGATGAAGAAAAGTGCCTGGCAGTTTGGGGTCCCACATGGCCTGGGCATTGCAGGGCCCTGTGTGTCTGTTAGTGCCTGTGGTCCCTACTGCAGCAGGCAGTACTCGAGAGGAGGCACAATTGCTCTAGGAGACCTTTTCCAGCCAATCTCATTCCCACATTCCCTGGGCTGCCACCCTGCCCCACCTTAGGTGGATGAGACGCTGGTGGTCTTTTGTGGTGATGGGGTGCAGGGGTGTTGGGGGAATTCAGGGAGTTGGGATGTGGAGAAGCCGCCTTGGATGAGCACACTGGGGTGGTGGCAAGCTCCTTTCCCGCTTAGTGGCTCCTCTTGGCCACCACATGGGGACAAGTCCCACTGTTACCACTCTCTCTATTTTGGCAGCCTCCGCTTCATGGTACCTATTATGGTTGCAATATTGCTGTCGTTGTCTGGCTGTTTGGTTAACAGTAGTTCCCACACTAGAATGTGAGTGCCGTGAGGCCAGGGCTTGCATTCAGTACTATACCCTTAGAACCTAACACCATGCTTGGTACTCCTTGTTTAATTTATTCTTTCATTCTCTTGATGTTCATATACTGAGTGCCGCTTGTTTTGTTTTTGTTTCATGCTGGGTGCTGTGTTGGGAATGGGGTGCAGTGGTGAGCCCTGCATTCACATCCCCACTCTTTTGGAGTTTAGTCTAGTGGTATCCTGGGAGCTCAAGTGTGCTTGCTGAGTGAGTGAGTGGTTCTGTAAGTGGTCCAGGAGGCCGCCTGGTCAGGACATGGTCACTGAGGCGGAGCCTCTGTTAGCTTTCCTGGGCAGTGGGCGGCGGGACTCCAGGGCTCCCCTCCTGAAGGTGTTCAGGACCAGTGCTCTGTTTCCCTCTGATGAAGGGGGCTGGCGGGGAGCCCAGGGCTCACCAGTCCGACCTGTTGGGGTTTCAGATTTGTTCCATCTGAGCAGTCGATTAATTAGTAACTGGAGCTACCCATCATCCCTGGCTCTTGTGTGAGTTGCTGGGTGCCCCTCTTTCTTCCTTTCCATTTGCTCAAATTGAGCAGCCTGATTCTGTGATATCATTTGAAATGTGGCCAAGAAGCAATTAATGTGCTGTTTGCTGACAAAGATTTGCCGCGGCTGCAGGGGCTGGGGATGGGAAGGCCTGCACAGGATTGAGGAGATGAGAGAGCAAACAAAGGTAGGGGAGGAGGTGCTGCTACTGGTCTTTGCAAGGGTGCCAAGCCCAGGCGGGAGTGGTTCTTCTTTCCTTGAACCTTCTCTCACCCTTCCCTGCCCAGACCCGAGTGCTGCCTGCAGGGAAGGGCCTGGGGGATGGAATGGAATGGGTTTCCTGTGGCCTCTTACGATGACAATTCTGATGGCAGCTGCCAGTTACTGAGCCCTTATCTTGTACGGAGTGTGCTGGGGTCATCCCATTCGATCCTTACAGCAACCCTGAGGGAGATGTGTCATAGGCCCATTTTATAGGCAAGGGCACTAGAAATGACAGGACTGGCCCCAGGTGACCCAGTCAGTGGTGGGGTGGGATCTGAGAGACTGGAAAAGCCTGCCTGTTCAGGCAGGTGCCTAGCAGGGATGGGAAGGGTCAGCCCCTGGGCCCCTGGTCAGGTCATGGTGACTTGTGTGGGGATGAGGGGCTAGATAAATGGCAGCATTGTGTAATTGATGGCTGCCTCTAGAGGGTGGTTAATAAGAACCAGGTGGGGTGGTGCTGACCCAACCCAGTAGATGGGGCAGAGGCCCTGGACAGAATGAGGGGCTGTGGTACGCCTGTCCCCACCCTGCGTGGTTGATGCCGTGGTGGGGCCTGGGGAGTCTTTCAAAAACCCCTGCAGAGGGAGCTTGTCTGATCCAAAGAGGGGGTGCCCATCCTCTATCTCAGTGGCTTGGGCACCTTGTGCTCTGCTTTTCATCTTTCTGAATGGCTTTTCGGGCCAGCCTGTGAGGAGTCCTGCCTGCCCTGACTGTTGACTCATCCTGGGTGGAATTATGTACAGAAATTAGTCAACAGAGGCCATTCCCGGGACCACAGGCAGCTGGCTGCAGGCATTGCGCAGGCGCCGTGCCTGCTGGGAGTGTCTTTTCGGACACAGAGCATGGGCTTCGTGGGTGCGCTTCCAGGGCTGGGATTTCTGCTCATTGCAGAGCCACATAGTTGGAGGCTGATGGCCTAGCCCATTGCCCCATGCCTAGTCTCATAGAACCTGGGTGGGACAGTGAGCTCTGGTCTCTTCCAGCATGCCAGGGAGAAGTGGAGACCCTTGGACTGGAAGTGCTGGCCCCTCCTCACTCAGCCCCTTTCCAAGTACCTCATTGCCAAGCACAGTGTGGGGAACTGAGGATTCGGGGAAAATAGCACATGGGTAAGTTGTCAGCGATCTTGGGGTAGGGGTGGGAATAATCTAACATAAATTGATGTAGGCAGGAGAAGCACTGTCCCATAAGCAGATCTGTGTGTTGATTTCCTTAAAGTAATACAGACATATGGTGAAACTGTCACAGAGTAGATATTACAAAAGGGTATGTGGTGATGAGTGCACCCCCCACCTGTTTCCAGCCATCAGTGTCCCTTCCCAGAGGCAACCACTGTCACTGGTACATCAGCTGTGCCCTCCCAGAGACGTGCTCATTCAAGCACTTAGGGGTCAGTGCTTAAGCGTATATTCCATGCACCCAGACTTTTGCTTTTGTGTACATGCTGAGCTGTCCTGTTATTTCCTTTCAACATTTGGTATATCTTGGCATTCATTTCATATCATCTTATACAGAGCCACCACGTTCCTGTTAACAGCTATATATTAGTCCATTGTATAGATGGACCATACAAGGTTGTTTTTTTTTTTTTTTTTTTTGAGATGGAGTCTCGCTTTGTCCCCCAGGCTAGAGTGTAGTGGCCCAATCTTGGCTCACTGCAACCTCCACCTCCCAGGTTCAAGTGATTCTCCTGCCTCAGCCTCCCAAGTAGTTGGGACTACAGGTGCATGCCACCACGCCCGGCTAAGTTTTTGTATTTTTAGTAGATAGGGGGTTTTTACCATATTAGCTAGGGTGGTCTCGATCTCCTGACCTCATGATCCTCCCACCCTGGCCTCCATATGAGTTTTTGACCAGTGCCCTATTGATGGGCTTTTTGGCTGCTTTCTGTCTTTTGCTATAATAAATAATGCTGCTTGCTGCAGCAAATGTCTCAGTAACCATATGCACCTGGGAGAGATTCCTAGAGGTGGAAATGCTGGTCAAAGTGTATATGCACATTTAAATTGGTTTGATTCTATCCTATTGCCCTGCCAGGAGACTGAGGTGATTTCCTCCCTCACCAACGAGGTACGAGTGGCTTGTTTCCTCATATCTTCACCTACACAAAGTGCTATCAGACTCGTGGATCTTTGCCAATCTGATAGATGACAAATGGTATCTCATTGTGGTTTTGTTTTGCATTGATTTGGTTGTGCGTGGCTCGGTGCAGCTTGCGTGGTGAACACATGTGCCGTCCCCGAGGCGGGTTCAGAAGGAGTGCTGTGTGACTGGCTTGCAAGGCAGGTCGGCACTCTCCAGAGGGCTCTCACCAGTACACATGCACTCAGTGACATGTGCTGAGCGACAGGAAGGGGCAAGGAGACCAAAGGCTGGGTGAGGAGAAGCTACTGCCTGGAGTGCTGGGGAGGACGTGGCTGTGATTTCACTTGTCCATGGTGACAGAGAAACAGAGTAGCCCCCAGACCAAGGGAAGAAAGTGAGGCAGCCTTCTCCCTGCCGTGCCTGGAGGGGAGTCCCACCTGCAGCCAGGGGGATAGATGCTGCATTGTGTCTCAGAGCGTTCTCACCCTTGGGACTCCAGCTAGGGCAGCTGCTTGTGGAACACGACTCCTTTCTGAGTTGTTGGGCTCCAGGCCTGGGCATCCTCGCAGCCCACAGCGTTCTGTGCTGCAGTGCCTACAGGGTGGTACACCTCCTTGGTGTCAGCCCGATGTATGGACCTGCTCTCCCTGTTCCTGGCCTAGTGAGCCATCTCATTAAGAGCTGTCTGTTCTCTATGCTCTGCCTCCTTCCCTTTGTTCCCCATGCCCCAGTGCAAGGGCAGCCCCTCAGCACATCACCCGAGGCTCCTCTCTGACCTCCCTGGCTGCAGTCTCCCCCCAGCTCATCCTTCTTAACCACTACAGCTGCCTTGGCTAATTCCTTGCCCCTTCATGGCAGTTCTGGGTATTGCCCCTCCTGCCTAGCAGGAGAACAAAGGCCAGTAATGGTCACTTCTGTGAGTGGCCCCTGCCTCCTGCTCTGGTCTCCAAATCCAGTCTCCCTCCATATCTACCTACTCACCCTCCCCCAGACAGACTCTGTGCCTTTTGGCCTCTGTGGCCTTTGTTCAAGCTACTCACCTAGACTGGGATCTTTCTCCTCTCTCATTTTCCTCTCCACTGGAGACTGAGGTCACGGGCTCTGTGACGGAGCCATTCTCCAGTGACAGATTTGCTCTCTGCCCAGGGATTGCTCTGGGATCAGTGTCCACAGTTCCTGGAACTAGTAGAGGTGGTGGTTGTTGCAGCAATAATGGCCAATGTGTGTGGTGAGTGGCAGCGGTGAGACTCAGTAATGGGTCTGCCTGAGCACTGGTGCTTTTGGATGCTGGAGATCCAACCTCCCTCTGGAGCAAGGGTTGCCTCCCTACCTCACTCATCAGCTTTGTATGTCTTGCCTGCTGTTGCGGCCACAGCTCTTGGCATATACCCAGCACATGTGTGCACTCAGTAACTGGTGAGTGAATGGACAAGGGGATGATGAGAGCATCGAAGGTTCTGAGCAGGAGAGTGACAGATCAGAGAGAGTCACTGGTCCTGGGTGAGGAGGAACTAGAAATGAGGAATCCATTTCAAAGGCAGTGAGAGAGTCTGAGGGGAGGAGGGCCTGGGTCAGGGAGGACAGTGGGGGTAGGAAGGAGGGGCCCACTCCACCTGATGCCTCCCGGGCCTCTCTGTCCAAGTGCCAGGCACAGTTCTGTCCCAGGCTGGGCCTTCCTGAAGGCAGGGCTGCTGCTTCCCATTGGTGTGTCCTTCTGTAAAGCAGCTCACACAGGCTAGCAGACAGCAGGTGCTCAGGGGATGCTGGCCCAGAGCTGACCTGGGCCGTGACTCCTGTTGAGAACTGGGTGGAAAGGCATTCCCAGTGGGCACTCTGTCATCCTTCCCTCTCTTCAATCACAGGTGAGAGCCAGATAGAGAAAGACAGAGATGGTGGCTCTGTGGTTTGGAAGCTCCTCCCATATGGTGGACATGGAAAGTTGTTTAGTCTGTCTAATATGATGATGATGCCGATTACCATGAGCATCACTGAAGGTACTGTGTGTACAGAGCCTAGCCTGCAGTCTGGGTGTGGGGAGTGCTTAGCTAATAGAAGCTTTGTGATGGTGATGGTAGAAGTCATGCTGACAAAGGACAAATCAGAGTGAGGACAAGGCTCTGGATCAGCCCCCAGAGCACCTGCTCTGCCCAGCCCCTTTGGGGTTGCTGTGTGACCTCCAGCACCCAGCCACATTAGCAAAAGGCCTGCTGTGCTGCAGCTCTCTGTGACCTCTCCGTGGACAGGGTTGGCAGGACATGGTCAGATGATTCTTCTTGTGCCCTCCTGGCCTATCCAAATGGGCAACCATGTCACTGACTTACCTGCCCCTCCAGACATTGACCCAGTCCCCAGCTGCTCTGGCTATTGGTGGACAGGCCGGCCTGAGGCTGGCATGTGGAAGGGAAGATTGCTCTTGGCCTAAGCTGGTGCCTTGAGTGTTAAGACATTCTTGGGACCTGGTGTTTGGCCAGGACTCGCACTCAGGCCCATGGGGCTGATGTCATCGAGTGTGAGTCCTGACACTAGGCATGGGGTGATGAGCGGGAAGGAAGGTCTTGAGAAGCCAGGCAGCCATTGTTGCCTGGCTTATCTGGATTAGGCCCTTCGTGTGGAGGGAAGAAAGGAATCTGCCTTGTCACAACTGGGCACCAGGCTAGAAACACAGTTGGTGTTCCTGGCAATCCCCGGCACTCTCCAAAGCTTATTTGTTGCTTTTCCGAGCCACGTCCAGGTGCTCTCTGTTATGATAACCAGTGGTGACACAGAGTTAGCTTGAAATGGGATAAACAAACAGACTAAAAATAACTGGATTTGGGGTGGCTTGGCACCAAATCTAGCGTGCAGGCTGTCACTGCTCAGCCAAAGGGTGAATATAGGCATCAAAGGCCTCCCACCCCTGGAGCCATGGGGGGAGCTGGGGTTGGGAGTGGCTGAGCCCCTTTTCTCTGGGCCCCACTTCCCACCACCCATGCAGCTATGAGGATGGAGGTGCCAGATGGTGCCTGGAGCCCGGAGGAGGGGTGTGGTGGGCCCGGATGTGAGCGAGGCATTTTATGTCTGTTTGGAGGAAGCTGGGCCAATGTTTGGACATCTTTATGGTTTTGGAAGTTTCTTGGCCTCACCCAGAGAAGCCATGGTTGCATCAGAATTTGAGGTCCTTTCCTCATGGCCCCAGAGGGAGAGAAGAGCAAAGAGAGCAAGTCAGCGCCTTTGAGGAAGGATGGGGAAATGGGACAGCTTTCTAATCCCAGGCTGCTGCTTTGTGGCACCTTGTGCCTCATGAAAGAATTGAGATGGTGTGTTTGGAGGCCAATCCAGGCAAGGGGGAGAGGCTGGAGGACACGAATCTAATATGTGTAGAACTTCCAAGGTAGGGCATTCATGATTGGGTATGCATCACAGCAAAAGACCTGGTCAAAGGCCATGCTCACAGTGGGGAAGAACGGGGAGATACGCTTGGTGTGCGGCTCCACTTACACTCCCATTTCCAAACTGAGTCTTGGCTTCCATCAGAGGCATCAGCACCTGTCATGATCAGGGTGTTCTTTCAGATCATAGGCCTGCCTCCCCATTGACTCCAAGAGCCCATTCAACCAACAAATGTTCTGCCTACCAAATGTCTTGGTTTCCTCCTGGCCATGTGGTAGGATTCTCCTTCTCTGTCACCTTGATGTTAAGTGTGGCCATGTGACTGGTGTGGGCCAACACAGCATGAACAGATACGTGTCACTTCCACTCAGGTCTGAGCTCAGCATCACCTCTCAGAGAGCCTGGTCCTGACCACCCAGTATAAAGCGCTCCCACTCTCATGTCACGTGGTCGCGTTCCCATATTTTGCCTTCATAGCACTGGTGTGTGCGCTTGTTTACTGTCTGTCTCCCCTCTAGACACTCAGCTCTGTGACAGCCAGGACCCCAGTCACCAGGTTCAAAGCCGCACAGGTAGTGTGTCCAGCAGCGCTGCCCAGTGATGGGAGACCCGTAAGCACTTGATGATTACTTGGATTGGAAGGTGTGAGGATGCAGAGAGATTTTATCGCAGTGACGTAAGGGTGGAAACTTTAAAACATACTTGTTCGGTGCTGACAATGGAGTAGGAACTTAATAAATACTTGTTGAGTGAATGAGCTCTGGCAGGGAGGGGGTGATGCCAATTTAGAACGTGGGAGAAGATCACATGCTGCCCATAGGCAGGAGCTGCGGTGCCCCTGCTTTCTCTCTGCCACCAGCTAGCTCTGTAAGTGCAAGGACCAGAAAAGCTACCGTGACTAGGGTGGTGACTGGGACTATCCCCTCCACCCCATCTCAATTTAGCTGGCACGAGGGACCAGAGAGCTGACAGAGGAGGTATGACAGGCTGGACAAGCCTCCCAGGCTGTGAAGCAGGGCCCTGTGACAGTTCTGGTGGGTGAGAGAGATTGAGTGTGTGTGTGTGTGTGTGTGAGTGAATGAATGAAGGAGCAAGTGAATGAATGAATGCTGGCCACCACCACAGCTAGTAAGCTTCACCCCTGGAGGACCCCTGGCTGATCAGGAGCCTTGGAGAAGGGTTAGGGGCCCGGAGCGGTGACTCAGTGGTGCAGAGGTGTGGTGAGCAGGAGGAGGGACAGGGGATCCCAGGCCTGTCCCTGCCCAGCCCCGATCTTGGTTCTCAGAGTCCCCCCACAGCCCTGGGCCTGGCTGCATACCTGCTCTTCCCTTTGCCACGTGGTGACTTGTTCCTCTCACTCAGGTCCACCCCCAATGTGGCTGCCTCTGTGAAGCCACCTTTGACCCCTGGGAGTCGGTGGCTCCCTCCTCTGCTCCCGCAGGGGTTGGTCACTGTATGTGGGAGTGCTTATCTCGCCAACCTGTGTTACCTCCTCACTCATGTCCTCCCCGCCAGACAGTTGGGGCAGGGCCCTTATCTGTCTTCCCTCTGTCTCCTCACTCACCGCCCGACACGTGGCCCCTACCCTGTCAATGATTATGGAGCGATAAGGGACACGGCATCTTCAGGGAGCTGAAGGGCTCTCGGCTGGAAGAGGAAACTGCAGACTGTGTGGCCTCAGGGGCAGGACGCAGGCTGCCTCACGGAAGCTCTATGCAGACCGATGCCAGCTCACGGGGAGGAGGAACCTCTGCCTATCAGAGTGTCCATCCATAGGCCTGGCCACCTTGGGGCCACCTCCCATCTCTCCTCTGTCAGCTCTCTGGTCCCTCGTTCCAGCTAACACACCTCCCATCTCTGGGGGTGTGTTAGCAGGGGTGGCTTGACCCCAGCCGTTCCATTCCAGAAACAAAGGGCAGGTGTAGGTTTTTCCAGTTAGTTGTTAGAGTTTTTTTGGGACCCTGCAGACTGGCGTCTAGAGCAGCTGTGACCTGAGGTGGCTGCCAAAGGGCTCCAGGTGTTTGCCAGATGATAGGGGTGTGGTCTGAGGGTCCAGCCCTGATGGGTGCCTGTGCCCTGACACACGAGGCCTCACCTCATTGAAAATTGGGGCTAGGCAGCTTTGTCAAACTGCCCAGAGCACTGGAGATTGGAGAGGAAGGGTGCCCAACCCACACAGGGTGTGACAGTGCTTGTTCTCTGTCCTCTGCAGCAGGTTGGGCAACCTGGGCAGGGCCATGCCATGCCATGTCGTGGCCCTGCACCCTTTAGAAGATCCACTCTCCCGTGCCCTGGTGGGGTTTCCTCAGGGAAGTGGCCACCCTATTCTCCCCACTGAGCTGGGGGTCCCCCTGGCAAATGGATGACCAGCTGCAGTCCTGCCCCGGCTCTGGGTTTCTGAGTGGTCACTAGGGCAGGAGAGGAAGAGTGTCCCAACACAGCAGGCGGCTGGCACAGGATAGTATCCCTGTGGCTCAGTGCCACCACACGTCCCATGCCCCAGGCTCTGTGAAGGCTGCTGCGCTTGACTCTTGGGACTCAGTTCTGCTGTGGCTTCAGGACAGGCTTCTCCCATCTTGCTGTGCTGCTGTACTGTTGTCCCCTGCCTGATTCACTCTGGGTTAACTGTTGGGTGGCTGCATCCTGACCTGCTACACCCAGCTCAGCCCTTGTCAGCATTGTCAGGCTGGGGCCAGCATTGTTGGTGGCCCCCAAATTCCTGCAAAGCCTTTCCATCTCAACATGCCATGTGCAATGGAATGCTGCTTGCACATGGCCCTTACACGTGCCAGGGTCTACCCACACGCACTGCGACCAGGTGATGCCTGCACCTGCCTGACCTGTGTATGCATGGGGTGCCAATCCCACCTTTAACCCCCTCCCACCAGCCTAGACACCCCTGCCTCCTAAATATGCTCCTTTCTTTCCACCTGTGCACCTTTTACGCTCTCTCCTGGCCTGTTCACAGGTAACTCTTGCTGTGCATGACTTCCTCTGGCAGAGCGACCCTGTGATGTTGATCTAGGATGTCTGCCAAATGAAGGCACAATCGCCATCTTCCCTCCACTGACAGCAGGAGCAGTGCTGCTTTGTCCCCAGGCCCGTCATGCTGCTCAGCCCATGGCCAGACATGGAGTGGAGGGCCAGTCTGTCCACTCAGGGTCAGATGGACCTGCCTGATGCTGCAGGAGATGAGGTACAGATGGGCCGAAGCATCTCTCTTGGGACACACTGCACACTGGTGTGGCTCCTTGGTGACCTTGCTCTACCTCTGTTGCATCAGCTGCTGCATGGGGTTAGTGGGTCTGGCTCACTGCCCTGATTGCCGGGGTGTGGTGAGCTGGAGGAACGTCAGAGCTGGCTATTGAGGTGGATGACACGGTCTTGGCAGAGCGGGAAATGGGTGGGAGGGGGGTGGCGCTCGACTCAACAAGAAAGATGGGCCAGAAGTAATCGAGATTATTGAAAGGGGAGCCAGAAGGGACTTGGCACTGCGACCAGCATATGACGTGGCATGAGTCTCTTGCCCTATCTGGATATTACAGTTGTTCTGGACAAAATGTGGCTTCCTTCCTCGGACCCTGCATCTGGGGTAGGTCTGTTTTGGGGGCTGAGCTGGGTCACACTTGCAGCACCACCTGATTCAAGCTCAGCTCCTTCACTTGTGCAGAGCACCTGCTGTGTGCTGGTCATTGAGCAGGACAGGCATGGGCCTGGCCCTTACAGATCACCAGGGAAGGGACTGGGGATCCTACAGACTCGCCCTGAGCGGAGGCAGGAGGACTTGGTGGCAGTGGTAGAGGTGGGAGGAGTATAATCTACCTCTGGGATAAGCCCCCCAGAAATCATTCCAGATAATGAAGTGGCAGCAGCAAAGCTCTAGGCATGCCATCAGCTCCCATGAGGCATCCCGAGTTTTTGGGTCTTGCAGGCACCTCACAATTCAGTAAGCCTAGTTGTGCTGTGATGCAGGATAGCACCTCATCTACACCATAATAGTACACTATTATAGTAGATATCTGTTCTAGCCATACTGTGCTCACATGCATAAACTCATATGACCCTAATCCTCACTCTGGAGTAGCACCCCTCCCCCCTCCCCCGCCCACAACACTACTTTGGCCCTGGTCTCATTGTCTTCATTATCTCAGATTTAAGTTCATTCATTCTTTCCATGTTTTGTGTGTGTTTCCTCCCTCTAGGATGGAAGCACTGTGGTGGCATGGATCTTGACAATCAGTGTGGTATCTCCTGTGTGCAGAACATGCATGGCACAGGGTAGGAACTCACCAGGTGTTTGTTCAATAATTGAATGAATGAATAAAATGCAAGTTGGACTTTTGTAACAGTCTGGTGAATTAAGTGCTTCTGTTATCCCATGTTCCAGAGCAGGAAAATAGGGCTCAGTGAGATGAAGTGATGGGCTCATGTTAGCTGGTAGGTCCCAGGGCTGGGATTGGCACCCCATGCATACATAGGTCAGGTGGGTGCAGGTATCACCTGGTCGCAGCGCGTGTGGGTAGACCCTGGCACGTGTAAGGGCCGTGTGCGAGCAGCACTCATTTTGTTGCACGTGGCATGTTGAGATGGAAAGGCTTTGCAGGAATTTTGCTTTATAGGCACACAAAGGCCTTTATTACCCATAATGTGGACATGGGTCCAAAGATGATTCAATTCTGCTTTCTACCAAGGGGTTTGTCAGAGGCCCCTGTGGAGGCTGGAGCTCCGGGCCCTGCTCTGAGGAGGCTTGACCCCAGAGAGGAAGAAGAACTGGCTGCCGTCAGGGCCTGGGGTAGCTTGGGATAGGGCAGGATGGGGTGGCAGCGTCCCTGGAGTGAAATGCAGGTTTAAGCAGCCTCAGTGGGAAATGTGACGTTATGTAGCTCATTAAACCCTACAGAAGCAGGGAGGAGAGCTGCTTCTAATTATCAGGATGAAAATTAATGGAATAAAATCTCTAGCCAGGCTGCCCAGTGGTGGAGTAGGCAGGGATTTTCCGTGGCCGGGAGATGTTTGGGGCAGTCATACTGGAAGGAAGGGAGAAAGCCCCTAACTGTTTGCAAATGAGGGGCTGGGGCTCCAGAAGGGGTCCTTGCTAATTCTCACAGCATTTCCCCCTTGACTCAGAATTAGGAGGGAATGAGCCTGAGTGGGAAGCTGGACAAGGCTTGGTTTGCAGAGACTTGAGTCAGGAGATGGCTGCTCTGGTGTCCTCGCCAGCCTCAGGGCTGGAGGGGACATTGGATTTGTCATCCTGCAGAGGTGGATGTGAGCCTTTCAGTTCCTTGAGGCTGCCAGTGAGCTTCAGACCTGGGGAAAAGCTGAGATGGAACTTGAGGGGCTTTTGAGCATTTGCCTGAAAATCTTGCCCTCAGGTGATTCAGAGAAGCTCAGGTGCTGTGTCTGTAAATGGGCAGCCCAAACTTGCCTTGATTCCTGTTTTTTCCATAGGTCCTGAGGACAGGTGGGGTACCTTGGTTGTGCAGATCATAGTGATTGTTTTACCAACCTTCTAGCATTACTACTCCTGATAAGGGTGGCACAGGCCTGGAGCTGAGAGCCGCGGGCTGAATCCTGGCCCTCTAGGTGAATCAGAGCCTGTTGCTTAAATGAAGGAGCAGGTCTGGTTCGTGTCTGCCCTCCTCCCAGCTCAGCCATGCACTGCAGGTCTCATGTTGGAAAATATTGCTCAAATGCTGCCTGGCACCATCTGGCACCATCCAGAGCTCAAGAGAGTGGATCATTTGGCCAGGCAGGAAGTCTGCTCTCAGATGATCTGACCTGGATTAGGATAGTAAATACTCAATACATGTTAATTATTGATAACAACCTAAGAGATGGATACTATATTATCTCTATCTTATTGATAAAGAAAGTCAGGCTCAGAGAGGTGAGGTGACTTGCCCAAAGACATATAGCCTAGAGGCAGTGTACTGTAACTCAGCAGTGTGACTCACTTCCAAGCCCAAGTACCGCATTCTGTTGCCTTCTTGATGGGTGAAGCAGCCATCTGAGCCTAGAGTTCCTTTTAGGACCCTCAAGCTTTCCTTGCAGCATATCTGGACTTCTCCCATCATTGTCAGGAGATGGAGAGGATAGCTTCATTTGGCCAGTGAAGAAACTAAAAGGCTGAGTGGCTTGTAGGGCTCACATTGTGCATGAATTGGCACTTGTCTATAGAAAATGGTGCCAGGACAATGGGTGTATTTTGGTTGAAGTAGTTGGAGCCCTTGGATGCTAGTGGTTCATTACAGGGGCCATTTCTGAGTTCCCTTGGTCTTGGGAAACTGGTTTTCCTGTGCCTGGAACCCAAGAAGACATCTGTGGTTCCCTGGGCTAGGAGCTCCCTTGGTGGAGGCTGCCTCATGGATGGGCCACCCATGGTGTTTGGTGGCAGGGTCTCATGGGTCAATGCACACAGCCCAGGACAGAGTGAACAGTGGGATGTGCAGGGCTCGACTGGCCAAGCTGAACTGTTTTCTTGGGTTGTGTTATATTTATTTCCACTAATCTACTCCTCTTGCCTGTTTATACAACACAGAGATCTAATAACATGTATCTGAGGCCAGAGTAAATGAGGAACTTTTTGCAAAGAAGCATAAAAGGAAAGAGATCTTGGAATACCTAGCTAATCTCAGTTGCTGTCTCTGCTCTGAAGCCCTGCCTTTGAAAGCTCTATTTCTCCTCCCATCCTCTGCGAAAGCCAGATGAGACTTCTTGACATTAAGCAAATGCTGGTATACTGACTTTGGTGTGGGGTTTGTACATGTGCCTGTTGAGAGCTGGATCCTTCCCGTGGGTGGATGCTGGCATGGTGGCTCTTCCATCTAAGGATCCATCTGGAAAAGTGGCCGATTTCATCACTTACGTGCCAGGACCTCAGATGCCGAGGCAGGGGAATGCTGCAATCTAAACATTTACATTCTAAAAAATGGGAAATCATCTGCTTCGATATAAATTAGCCAGGGCCTGACGGGTTTATTACATCCTGGAATGCTTTCATGAGGCTTTCAGAGGGGTCCATGGTGCAGGCGCAGGTCTCCAGCTGGGATTGCCTGTGGCATGCTCCTGGGGGGACCCACTTGGAAAACACAGGCAGGGGGCCAACTCTTCCTCAACTTCCCATGGGCTTGTAATGGATTAGAGTGTGAAATGGGAACAAGGACATACAATGCGGGACCCTAGGACAGTGAAGCACCCTGAATGACGAGCTTCTTGAAGCTGATGGGGAGAGGTCGGTCAGGGAAGAGAGGTGGGAGGAGCCAGGTGCACAGGCCCAATCAGAGGCTGTGGATGGAAAGTGGAACAGGAGAAATATGCTCTGGGATTTCACAATAACAGGGTATGTGATATGACTCATTGAGTGGGAAGAGGGCAAAGGAGTGTAGCAAGAAATGTTGAGGAGGGAAGAGTCGTACATCCTCTGGAGGAGTTTTCAGACAAGACTTGGTGTGAGCCCCTGGGGTCAGGGGCTGGATTTGAACTCTGCTGGGTCCCCTAGAGTGGACTGAGCCACCCTCTCTGCAAAGTCCCTAGGACTGGGCCGATGTTCCAAGGAAAGCTGAGTCCTACGCTCAGGAAGTTTGAGATCTCAGTGAATAGGTAGGAAAAATACACAAACATAAACATACATGCCTAACTGTAACAAGTTGTGAACTCATTTATTTTCCCTCCCTTTGTCGTATCTTATATGCACTCACATTTTTCTGTAGGTTTACACAGATATATGTAGAACAGATGCTGAATAACTGATTTTGGAGGAATTTGATTTGATGCTAATGATGAGTGATCTGGGATATCAGCTATTTTTCACTTGTTTGGAGCAAGAACCCTGCTTTGCACAAGGGGTATTATTTTGGTTGATTTTATTCAGAGCAGTGGTTTTCAAACTAGCATGCCTTAGAACCACCTGCAGGGCCTGTTAAAGAAGATCACTGGCCCCCACCCACCCTTGGAGTTTCTGCTTCATTAGGTCTCGGGTGGGTCCTGAAAATTTGCATTTCTAACAAGTCCCAGGTGACTCTGTGTTCCAGGGATCGCACTTGGAGGACAACTGATCAAGAAAGAGAGAAGTGCATGGGCTTTGGTGGGAATCCTTTACACAACTTTGCTGGGTCTGAGAACTTGTGATTCATGCCTTTCAGAGGATGAAAGAGGATTCACGATATCCACGGAACCACTTCCTTGTTTTGAGAAGGAAGCTGGTGCCTCCTATAATATGGGCAGAGCCGGCTTGCTGCCACATGAAGCAGTGCCTGGCTTTGTGGATTTGCAGATTCATTCAGCAGGCATCTGCCAGCATCCACTCTGGGTCCAGCCCTGGGTATGACGTGTCTTCAGCATTGGGGAAGACGCTCAGGCGGAATGGTTCCAGCATCAGTGACTCTAACAAGGGTGGGGGTAGGGTACTTCCTTGTGCCCAGCTGGGCTGCCTGCTGTGGGGGTATGGGGCAGAGACATGACACAGTACTTGGCGTGGGGATGCTGGCTGTCCTCTGTGCCCTCCCCACCTGCTGATCCCTGGCTCCACCTTGGTCTCCAGGAACAGCTCTGTACCCCTCTGGGAAGTCAGATGTTTCCCTTAAAGCTTGTGGGTCCCAGCAGACTCCCCACCCTGAATGTCTTGGCTATCAGACCTCAATCTGTCCCCTACAAACAAGTCCTCCTGCCCTCTGACCTCTGCTCTTGACAACAAACCATGTGTCACAGCATCTGTTTTGCATACATTTGCCACCATTTTCACTGAAGAGTAAACACAGAGCTGGACTTTGGGGACTTGTGGGCGGTTCTTCCTTGAAAATAGGCCAAGCCCAGAGCTTAGAATAGGACAAGGAGGGGCCTACTTGGAGGATCACTGAAGGGGTGCCAGAAGGTGAGTCAGGCCACCTGGGTTCCTGTTACATGATTCAGGCAGGCCCCTCCTTCTCTCTGGCCTCAGTTTCCTCCTCTGTCACATGAGGTGTGATGATGCCTGTCCTGCCCCTTTCCTGTCACGATGGGGAGGCTCCAGTGGGACATGCCCTCAATTTCTCCCAAATGTGCGTGAATTGTTGAGGGCACCTGGGATGCTGAGGGTGTCAGGCGAGCAGGTGGCTCTGAGGTTTGGGGGTGAGGGTGTGGAAGCCTCAGGGAGAGGCAGGGACTAGCTCTGAAGTTTAACATGGCTCTGAGAGATACACTGAGCACCTAGGTTGAAACCTGCAAACTCAGTAAGCCTAGACGGCAGGCCACATTTCTTGACCTCTCTGAGCATCAGCCTCGCCCGGAAAAAGATAAACAATAGTGCCTAGGTCTTGGGGTGACGTCATGTTTACCGGGCACTCGCTATGAGCCAGGCCCTGTATTTGGAGTTCAGTTAGGGGTGAGGATGACGACAGGGCTTATTGGGTGGCTTCAGGTATCAGCTGCAGGAGGCAGGTGGTGCCTTTAGATGAGAGACCTGAACTTCGGCACTCCCAATCATGCCATGCTTCCTACTCAGTCCTGGCTGGCCCCGTGGCTAGTGGGTAGAAGTCAGTAAAAACCCACTGAATGTTTATTAGGCTAAGACTGTGAGGAGGAAAGTTAGGCTCCTCTGGTGCCCTAGTAGTTTTTGATTTTTGTCAAAGGAGTACATATTCATAGCCCAGCAGCAATAAGTTTCTCATGAGAAGCAGCAGCCCCGCTGGGCCCATGGCCCTCCCTGCCTGGTTTCTGCTTTCTATCGGTAACTTTTTAATCCTTTTTTAAATTAAGTTTTTTTTAAAATCCTTTTAGTGTTTTTGATGATTACCATATTTCTTAAAAAGATTACTTATCTCACCTTTTTCTTGATTTTTAAATTTTAGTTATTATCTATTGACTTTCAATTATAGAGGACAGGGAGTAAGTTTTTCATACCAGTTCTCTTCTGACCAAATAGATACCCACACACTCCCCCTTCCCCAAAGCACAGCTGCCTCCAGGCCTCACTGTGCAAATACCCACGGTGGAGCTGTGTAGTGTACTGGAATCACATTTTCATTTTCCTCAAAGATGTTTTGTTTTCCTTGGAATTAGGTGCATAGTATCTGATTTTGTCATTTGCTTAGTTTTCTGTTATTTATTTATCCTCCCATTCTGGCTAAACTGGAGATGTTTTCTGAAGATGTTCAAACACATCAGGTAGTTGTCTCCTTTTTCCCTAGTTGGGAGTTGTTCTCTGGGCCCCGCTACTCATCTGAGTCCTCCCTTCGCCATCATCTGGGGAACCCTGTTGAATCGCCCATTTCCTGAAATCTGTGGCTTTCTCTCTCCATTTACTCCCTCACTTTCAAGACGTGCATCCTCCAGTGTCTTCCAAAGAAAGGGTCCATGGAAGGCAAAATCTTTGAGATCTTGCATGTTTGAAAATCTGTTTTACTTTTTTTTTTCTTTTTTAATGAGATGGGACCTCGCTCTGTCATCCAGGCTGGAGTGCATTAGTGTGATCATAGCTCACTGCAGCCTCGATCTCCTGAGCTCAAGCCATCCTCCTACCTCAGCTTCCTAAGTAGCTGGGACTGTAGGCTTACACCACCACATCCAGCTAATTAAAGTTTTTTTTCATTGAGATGGGGTCTTGCTAGGTTGCCCAGGCTGATCTCAAACTCCTGGCCTTAAGTTATCCTCCTGCTTTGGCCTTCCAAAGCGCTGGGATTCCAACATGAGGCACCATGCCCAGCCTGTTATACTTTTATACTTGATTAATAGTTTGGCTGAATGTAAAGTCCTGTGTTGAAATTACTTTCACTTAGAAACTGGTCTTCCAGCCTCCTGCATGACTGTTGAGAAGTTGCATGCTTCTCTGTGTCCCAGTCTTTGGAACGCAATAATTTCTTTTTTTTAATTTTTACTTTAGGTTCTGGGATACATGTGCAGAATGTGCAGGTTTGTTATGTAGGAAGCACGGCATACATGTGCCATGGTGGTTTGCTGCACCTATCAACCTGTCATCTAGGTTTTAAGCCCCACATGCATTAGGTATTTCTCCTGATGCTCTGCCACCCCTTGCCCCCCACCCCTGATAGGCCCTGGTGTGTGATGTTCCCCTCCCTGTGTCCATGTGTTCCATTGTTCAACTCCCACTTATGAATGAGAACGTGCAGTGTTTTGTTTTCTGTTCCTGTGTTAGTTTGCTGATAACGATGGCTTCCAGCTTCATCCCTGCAAAGGACACGAACTCATCCTTTTTTATGGCTGCGTAGTATTTCATGGTATATATGTGCCACATTTTCTTTATCCAGTCTATCATTGATGGGCATTTGGGTTGGTTCCAAGTCTTTGCTATTGTGACTTGTGCTGCAATAAACATACATGTGCATGTGTCTTTATAGTAGAATGATTTATAATCCTTTGGGTATATACCCAGTAATGGGATTGCTGGGTCAAATGGCATTTCTGGTTCTAGATCCTTGAGGAATCACCACACTGTTTTCCATGATAATCGATCCAATTTACACTCCCACCAACAGTGTAAAAGCGTTCCTATTTTTTTCCACAGCCTCACCGGCACTGTTGTTTCCTAACTTTTTAATAATCACCATTCTAACTGGCATGAGATGGTATCTCATTGTGGTTTGATTTACATTTCTCTAATGACCAGTGATGATGAGCTTTTCTCATATGTTTGGAACATGATAATTTCTACACCACCCCCACCCAGAAACTTTGAGGATAGATCCTTTATAACCAGGGTATTGAAATATAGCATTTTCATCATTCAAGATGAATTTTTAAATTCAATGTTTTGGGCACTTGGTGCAGCTCCTTTTAAATCTCCAGACTTCAATACCAGGGATTTGTGTTATTTATTTGATAAAAGTTGCCCTCTTCATGCACTCTGTTTTCTCTTTTTCCGGAGTTGTTCTTTTTTAACATTAAACCTCCTGAATTGATTGCTTCACTAACTTTTTCTCTTTTTCATCTTTTTGTCATTTTATTTTGATGCCAGCAGTTCTAATATATTTTGGTTTCAGGTCTTCTTTTGCCTCAGGACATCTTTACACTCTTAAAAATCATTGAGAATCCCAAAGAACTTATGTGGATTCTATCTATTGATATTTACTATAGAGAGATTAATACTGAGAAAATCTTAGAATATTAATTTAAAATAATTATATGTTAAGTATATAATTTTATGAAAATGTCGATATAGGCTGGGTACAGTGGTTCATTCCTGTAATCCCAGCACTTTGGGAGGCCGAAGCAGGCGGATCACTTGAGGCCAGGAGTTCAAGACCAGCCTGGCCAACATGGTGAAACCCCATCTCTACTAAAAATACACAAAAAATTAGCTGGGCCTGGTGGCACACGCCAGTAATCCCAGCTACTTGAGAAGTTGAGGCATGAGAATCACTCGAACCTGGGAGGCGAAGATTGCAGTGAGCCAAGATCTTGCCACTGTGCTCCAGCCTTTGCAATAGAGCAAGACTCAAAAAAAAAAAAAAAAAAAGGTAGAACTACATCCCAAAACAAAGCATTTAGTGAAAAAATAATTTTATATTTTTGCAATTCTTCCTAATGTGTAGCTTAATAGAGGACAGCTGTCTTCTCAACTGTTTCTGTTTTTAGTCTGTTGTGATATGTTTTGATTTAAAGTATTGAAGAAAGTCTGGTTTTGTTCAGATGTGTAGTTGGAAGAGGGAAAGAGTATTTTAATAAGCTTTTAAGTTAATTGTAGATACCCTTTGATACCACACCAGAACTCAACATTAGTGCATTCTTAAAGGTTAGTTGTGGTGTAGAATTTTAACTGTGGCTGTGTTTGTAACATTCATTGGTCATTTGGAAAATATTGATTCACTGAGTTATACAGATCTTTCAAATGTTGACACATTTCTTGATATAATATCAAACAATCAGATTTGTAAATATTGCCCCTGATCTCAGCTGAAAAGCACATATTTGAAAGTTCTCAAGCTCATTGTGGCAGATAAGTTTTTCAGAGCTTTAATTTTGCATGAAAGCTCAAATTTTATCATTAGTAATAATTATTACAGTTACATTAGTAACAAATATTAGTAACAAATAGTACATTCCTTGAAATTGACAGGTGTATGCTGTTCATTTTCTAGAAAAATATATGCCAGATACCCAAGTCTGAATAACTGTCATTTGACTGTTAGTTGTTTTTTCCGTAAAAATAGGACTCTGTGATAAAAGTGGCTAGTTTATCTCACAACTTGATCTGTCGCTAAAGTGCTTTGCTTTGAGATAGCCATTGATCCTACATGGTGTGCTGTGGAAGTGCTTTCTATGTCCTCAATTTTGTTACATAAAATAGTAAAAAATATGTGTACTTAAAGTTTGAGATTTAATAGAATTAATAACTTTTGCTTCTTCAACAAGTACATAATTAAGTGGGACTGATTTGTTTTTACTGTGAGTGTGTGGTAGTGAAGAAGGTAGTGACTGTGAGTGCAGTTGCTGCCACTGCCTTGATTTCTGTTAAGACTACAGCAACTCTACCCACTATTGCTATTGCGCCATCAGTGCAAATATCAATGCAGTGAAAAAGGCAAATAATGGCTTAGGATTATTATGAACATAATTTTGACTTTGCGGACCTCCTGAAAGGGCTTCAGGGCCCTTTGGGGTCTGAGGACCACATTTTGAGCACTGTTGTTCTAGACTAAGTCTTTGACTTTATCTTACAATCTTCTATTGGTTTTTTTTCTCCTGCTTTGATAGTTTTAAATTCTTAGAGCTTTTTGTTTGTTCTGTGTAGCTTTCAATTCTCATATATGCTTTATGTTTTCTTATTTCTCTGAAGATATTGTGGTTTTTTTCTGAAGTTTTCCTTTGCTCCCTATATTGTATCTTTCCTCTGGGTTCTTTTTATTTCCTCTTGGTTTTAGTCTTGTCTTTTGTGTTGGAGACTCTTCTCAATGTCTGGGGATTCTTGTTTTGTATTTGAGACAAGGCACCAAAATGCTGGTTGGAAGCTCTCTGGGCATGGGTGGGGCCTGTTGGCTAATGGGCTTCTCCAAAATGGTATTGGATAGGAAGCCACCTCTTTTGATGAGGAACACTCAAATAATGGCATCTTTAGGAGTTTTTCAGGGACTGGTTAGTTTCTGAAGAGGGATCATCCAGTCTTCTGCCTGACGTGTATAACTTTTAGAACCAAAAAGAGAAAAGGAATTTGGGGGATTTTGTTGTTCAGTATGTTCATTTTCATAGAATCCCCAGTTACAGCATCTCACCATAGTCTTCAGTTTTTTGTTTTTTGTTTTTTTAAATCCCTGGATCCAGAGGGATCTCTCTTGCAAGTTTGAAGAAGAAATTGTTACTTGGTTGTCAGGGCTGAGGGAAGGCACCTGGGGGATCTAATGATTCCTCTAAAGACTGTAAACCAGTCTGTTTTCTGTTGCAGTTGCACCTCTGCCTTCCAAGCACCTATTGGCTCCAATTCTCTTGCTTTTGTGAGATTCTTCACACACAGCCACTTGCGTCTTGAAGGTTGACCCACTGGAGGTGTAGCAGGCTGGAATGTAAGTCAGTATCACTGATTCATTTACTTGCTGGCTTCCAAAATAGCGTTGACATCACTTACCTGCTCTTGTTTTCCTTTCCTTTCTCTTCATCCTCTAGGACTTATGCAACAAAAAAAATCTCCTTTACTTTGTGTTAGCAGTTGTATTAGTCTATTCTCATGCTGCTAATAAAGACATACATGACACTGGGTAGATTATAAAGGAAAGAGGTTTAATGGACTCACAGTTCCACATGGCTGGGAAGGCCTCACAATCATGGTGGAACACGAAGGAGGAGCAAAGGCACATCTTACATGGCGGCAGGCAAGAGAGCGTGTGCAGGGGAACTGCCCTTTATAAAACCATCAGATCTCATGAGACTTATTCACTATCATGAGAACAGCATGGGAAAGACCCACCTCCACGATTCGATTACCTCCCACTGGGTCCCTCTCACAACACGTGGGGATTATGGGAGCTATAATTGAAGATGAAATTTGGATGGGGACACAGCCAAACCATATCAGCAGTGTGTTGGACACTCTAAGATGGTTCCAATATCTCCTCCTGCTAGTACTTATGCCCTTGTGTAATTCCCTTGAGTGTGGTCACAACCTGTGACTTCTTTCTAACCAGTAGAACATCCTGTCACTTCCATGATACGTTACATCAGATCGTAACATCAGCCTCGCTCAGAGACTCCCTCCCTTGCTGGCTTTGATGAAGCAAACAGCAATGTGGGAGGCCCACATGGCAAGGACCTGAGGGCAGTCTCCAGCTACCACCCAGCGAGGAGCTGAGGGTGGCCTCTAGCTGAAAGCAAGCAAGAAACTTTCAGTCCCATGGGCTATAGGGAACTGAATTATGGCAACCCCACATGAGATTGGGGGTGCCAATCTCAATCCTTCCCCATATTCTGCCTTGAGATGAGATTGCAGCCTCATTGACATATTTTTTGTAGCTTTCAGATGAGACCCTGATGCAGAGGACCCAGTAAAGAGCAGACTCCTGACCCTTAGAAACGGAGATAATGAATGTGTATTGTTTTAAGCTGCCATGTTTGTGAGGATATTATTGTGCACCAATAGATAATGAATACAGGCAGGATATGAGCTGCTGTGTTGAACTGGAAGTTTAGCCCTCATGCTTTGGTTTCTTGGGCCTGGTAACCATGTGTAGTGGAATGTCCAGCCCCAGTGGAATGGTCTTCAGGAGCTTCTCAGGATTCTGTTGTCCCAAGGCTTCATTTACATTTCTTCTTACAGAATTCAGAATACTGGAAAAGAGGGGCCTCCTAGGTTCAGGGGGGTACTCTCCCTCATGAGGGGTCATTCTTCCTGCATCATAGGGTTGCTGAGGTCAGAAAACCTTTGTGCCCAATGCATAGACTATGCATGTACCCCCAATTGTCATGCTTGCAAGGGGTCTGCAGCCCAGATGTCATGGGTGGGGTGGGTTGAGGGATGCTGTGTAAAACATCATTTGAAACACCAGAATTTAAACTATTGTGGATAAGAACTATGGAATGAAAGAAGGGCTGTTTTTAGGAATGTGAATGACTAGGGCGGGGGAAGCAACAAGGTACTGTGGCAGGTGCACTGGGCCAGGGGCCTGGGCTTGGCTGCTTATGTCTGTTTTGTGCTCACCAGCTGGGTCACCTTGCACAGGTGAGTTAACTGTTCTGCCCTTAGTTTCTTCACCTTTCATTCAACCAGTTACCCAACATTTAATGAGTATCTGATGTGTGCCAGGCCCTAGGCTAGGTGCTGGGATTATAGGGATGAACATGATGTGGTTTCTGTTCTCAAGGAGCTTGGTTTGAGGTAGGAGTAGAGGGACCCCCAAACAGGCAAATCCAGGACAGCAGAGCTTGTAAACTGGGGTCCTGCAGACACATTTGATTGATTCATCCAGTGTTCTACATTATTGGAATCTGTTTAAAAAAAAACTAGGAGATATTTGGCTAGAAATTTAGATTTCTGACTTCTCTAGAGAAATAAGATTTGGTAACAGTCACCAAGAGCAACCGTCTTTAAATGGGCATGGACCAAAGTCTCTATTAAGAGAGAGAAGAAGGGGGAGGCTGGGATAACTGTGTTTCAGGGAAATGAGCCAGTGCATGTAGAGCCACATTTTCCTGTGCCAGTGTTGAGATGCATCCTGGGCTGGCCTCACTTCTTTGTGTCACAGCTGAGCCCAGGAGCTTCTGAGTTTGGGACCCCTGCAATTCAGGATGCAAGTGTTGAATGGGGCCATGGGGGCCAGAGGATGAAGGGCATGTTATGTGTCCATAAGTGCCCCCTCCATTCTGGGTTGTTATGAAGAGCAGAAGGGCCACCTCCCACCTGTGGAAGCCTCTGAATGACTTGCGGCAGGCAGGTCATTCACTCATCAGAGCTCTGAGGGCCGCACGATGTTCTGGTGAATTGCCCTGTACCACGAGCTGCATCCTGTGCATGGCTCCTGGAGTGCAGGATTTAGGTCCCAGCATGATCAGAATATGGTTTTGGAAATGGCTGTGGGGTCCAGGTGACATGAGTCTTGTTTGCTCAGACACTTGGCCCTTCCAGGGTCTGGGACCCTCCTCCTCCTCTGGTGCCATCTTGTAGCCCCAGGGACCTCGTTGTCTTGTGGGGACTGCCTCTTTGTGGAGGGTCCTGTCACAGGAGACTTTTAGGAATGGCATCCTGGTGGGCTTGTGCTGATGGGTGCCCCCACCTTAGCCCTGCCTGAGGCAGCTCTGGGGAAGGCTGGGGAGTCTGGCCACTTATCTCACACCATTAGGCTTATAGCAGTGCTGCTAGCAGACAAAGACTCGAAGGGGATTAGGGGTAATTACCAGGCAGCTCTTTCTTCCCAGGGTTTAATGGGCCCAGCCACTGTAATTGTACCTGCTGGTCTTGGGCTGTTCCCTTCCATCCAAAGGCCAGGCCGTGGGCTGGGTTTGGGCGTTGAAGGGCATGTCCTGGCGCTTGTCCACCTGCCCACCTATTGCTGGGTGGCCAATGCATGACTTCAGCATGGCATGGCAGCCTGGCAAGGACTGATAGCAGAGCTCATGGTGAAGAAATCAGGGAGCCCATTGTGTGCTAAGGACGTGCTAATGGGAATGCAGGGGCCTTCCTGCCTTGTCAGGGCCTGAGCTACTCAAGAAATCTCCATCCTTATTGAGAGGGTTATCTCTGTGGCCTGTGGGAATGTCCAGAGGCCTGGGCATTCTGGGGGCAGGGCAGTAGGGATCTTTCCCAGCCAAGTGAGGTGGGACCTGCCTTAGGGATAAGGGACGTGTAGGCTTTGGCTCTGGGCAGCGTTGCGTGGATAGGGGAGCCCCAGTCTGTGCACCCCGGCTGCTCTGGGAGAGTGCGAGGCCCACGCAGCCCTGGCTGTGGCCATGGGCACAGGCTGGCGGGCTCTAGGGTTCCTGCTAATGGACCTCACCCCACAGCCATGGAGGGACTACTCTTTTCACCAGGGAATCCCCACTCAGTCCCTCTCCCTCTGAGGAATGTCTGCATCAAAAAGCCTCGAAAAGAGTTCAGCAGGGGCATTTGAAAATTCAAAGTATGCATCCTTTTAATCCTTTCAGGGAGGCTGTAAGGTGATATTGATGGCAATGTTTTTATTTCTTAGAATTATTTTTCCAGTCATTCACGTGAACTCAGAGCACCATATCGGTTTTCCACCTTAAGTAAGAGGATTAAAAACATTTCATAATGCAGGGCCTGAGTTAGGAGCCCAGGCCCCAGAGCCTTGTCACATTGTGTAATTGGAAGTAATTGCCAGTGTGGGGTTTGAGAAAGGCGCCCGATTGGGTGGTGGGGGCTGGTGAAACCTCTTTTGAGCCCTTGTTAAATGGGGAGGGCAGATTAAGCTGAGCAAGTGGGTTGAATGGACAGACTGATGTACTCACCCCTCTCAGACCTCAGCATCTTACCTGGGTGTCCTTTGAGGGGAACATAGGGCTGCTTTGGGGGTGCTGCAGGTGTGTGGGGGAGATGAGAGCAAAGCTGTCTCTGTGTACAGCAAGGCCTGTGCCTCTTCCTGGCTGCTGCCTCTTCATTCTGGGGACAGGAGCAATGCAGGGACCTGTTGTATCTTACAGAAGACCCTCAGTCTCTCTGAGCTGACCCCTGCAATATCACCAATCAGATGATATCCAGGTTATCTCTTGGGGAAATTGGAACCATAGGTTGGGGTGGGAGGGCTCACGTTCCAGGGGGTGTAGCTCTTCCAACATAGCATTTTTTGATTCCAAATTGAACTTCACTTGGATCTTGTGCAATACAGCAGCCTTGCCACAGCTGTGCAAATGCCTCATAGGGCCAGAGCCATGCCTATCAATGGGGGCCCTTGGTTGGGGAGGGAGACACTCGGCTTTCTGAGAAGTGATTGAGCCGCGTGGAAGTGAAGGTGTTTTGGAGTAGCCTGCTCTGGCTGGGTGTTGTTGTGGCCATCGAGCACCCACTCCTGTGTCTTTCTCCTGTGTGGTTCTCATTTAGCCACACTGTCCCCTGCTCTCTCCAGGTTTTGATGCCTCTTTCCCGGGGTGGGGAGTTTAAAGTGGGAAAGCAGGCATTGGCACTATTCACAATAGCAAAGACTCGGAACCAAGCCAAATGTCCAACAATGATAGACTAGATTAAGCAAATGTGGCACATATACACCATGGAATACTATGCAGCCATAAAAAATGATGAGTTCATGTCCTTTGTAGGGACATGGATGAAGCTGGAAACCATCATTCTCAGCAAACTATTGCAAGGACAAAAAACCAAACACCGCATGTTCTCACTCATAAGTGGGAATTGAACAATGAGAACACATGGACACAGGAAGGGGAACATCACACACCAGGGCCTGTCATGGGGTGGGGGGAGGGGGGAGGGAGAGCATTAGGAGATATACCTAATGTTAAATGACGAGTTGATGGGTGCAGCACACCAACATGGCACATGTATACATATGTAACTAACCTGCACATTGTGCACATGTAGCCTAGAACTTAAAGTATAAAAAAAAAAAAAGTGGGAAAGCAGGAAGGAACATGGCTGTTCCTCAGAGGTCCAGGCTGAGAGGTTTGTGGCAGCTTTCAGGGGAGAAGGAGGGCCAGGAGAGGGAATGAGGAGATGAAGCCCAGTTATGAGCCATGTATAATTTCCCAGGATTTTGTCCATGATGCTCCAGGATTCTCTGTGCCCTGGCAATGGGCTGGGAAGCCAGAGGGTGTCTTGACTCCTTTCTCCAAAAACTGTTCTCCGTCCTGGCCTGTCCTCTAAGGTCATCTCTGTCGCCATGCAAAGGGAGACGAGATCAGGGCCCCATCACAGCCATGATCCCTCTGTCCATCCTAGACTCACTTTCAGTTGAGGATCCTGGGCTCATGGCTCCCACGTGGATGTCCCGGGTGCCCCATAAGTGGCTGTGGCTGATCAGGGGTCAAAGATCACTCATGGGTCACCCCATCTGAGTCCATTGCGGAGGACAGGTTGAAATAGAGAGTGTGTGGCTATGTGTGTTGGTGGAAGGAGTTGGGTTCCCTACTCTATTTACTGGTGCCAGCCACATTTCTGGACCTTGTGATCACATTTTCTTTTCTGGACCCAAGAGGCTTAGGGAAGAAAGGAGGAGACCCTTGGTTTCCAAGGCCCTGAGTTTGATGACTCTTGGCTAGATTCTGAAGACTTCTAAGTTTTTCCTGAAAACCTCCCTTGTGTCTTATCCCCCATATCAGAAGAAGATCCCTTGGGAATGAAATTCTATAAAGTATGAGCTGGGGTTTTCCTAAAGAGGAAAATTTCAGAACTGTTTTTGCTGGTGAGATCTTTTTATTTTATTTTATTTTTTTGAGGTGGAGTCTCACTCTGTCGCTAGGCTGGAGTGCAGTGGCACCATCTTGGCTCACTGCACTTTCCGCCTCCTGGGTTCAAGCAATTGGTGAGATCTATTTTTACAATTAGATTGAAATTAGAAACTAATTAGAAATTGTTTCTTTTTAAAAATTAAGATTCTGCTTAAGAAAGCTGCTTTGGTTAAAATGGGGGAGGGGACTGGAGCCTCACCCTCTGCTCCTTCTGCTGCCTTTGGTGGCTCCTGAGGTGCCACCATGCAACTCTAGGGCTTTTTGGAAAATGGCTTATAAATCATCTTCCTAAGCTAAGTCCCCGGTGGGTTAAGGTGTGAAGATTAAGATCATGGGCTCTACGATCGAACAGCTTGTGTTCAATTCCTGGGTCTGCCACTCACTAGCTGTGTGACCTTGGGCGTGTTTCTGAACTTGTCTCCTTTTGCTTATCTGTGAAATGGGCATAAGAAGAATACCTGCCTTGTAGGTTTGTTATGAGGTTTAAATTAGTGTTTGGTACAATGACTTGCTCACTTGCCAAAAATGTTAGTGATTATTAACAGGGAACTCTCAAGCCTCCAAAACTCTCTAGCATCCAAAGAAATTCAACCTAGTGGTATGAACTGAAGTCATGCAGATATTGGGAGAGAGATTTTAAGGTGGAGAGAGGACCTTCCTTCACACTCTTGGGGTTACCTCCAGGTCAGACCAGTCCTGGTCTTGTGGGTAGTGACCTTGTTTGCAAGTGAGTCACAGTGAGGACCTATCTCCTTCCCCAACTCCGTCCTAGTGTTGAAGTTGAGCAGGATTAAACAGGGTGTTGAGTTGTGTCATTCTCCTGCCTCTGCCTGGGGCGGGAAGGGTGACTAGCTCTAGTCTAGGTTGTGGCACAGCTCTGGTGAGAAGAGGGGGAGGTGGCCTAGCCAGGAGACTTGTTTAGGGTAGGTGTGCACTGACAGGACGTGAGGACAGATTTGAGAGCCCTTCCTAAGGAGGGGACCCTTGTCCCTGGCTCCCTCTCCCTTCCTCTGCAGGAGTCATCCAACAGTGATGATGAGGGGCATCACCTTTGTTGTTTAAGCCTCCTCCTGTTGGCTCTTGGTGCTACCCAGGGCAGCTCCTTTTATCCCCATGATACAGATGGGATAGTCGAGGCCTAGAGGGTTGAAGCTGTTTGTGTGGCTGATTCTAGGTCAGAACTCATGATCTCCTGACTGTGCTCTGCGGTCTTGGCGATTGGCAGATGTGCCTGATTGGCCTCGGAGGGAGTCGTGGAAGGTGGGCACAGCTCAAGAGAGAGAGTGTTCCATTTGCTCCCTTCCCAGCGGAAAGGCCCTCATCTGCTCCCGCTGGACTGGGCGCTGCTCTGGTTCCTAGCCTGTGGCTTAGTAAGTGCTCAGGAGAAGTCAGTTGAATGAGTGAACAGTGTTTGGAGGTATTTCTCAAACATGACTAAACTGCCCAATGCACACAGAACTTGAATCATGACCTGAGTTGCATAACCAGCAGGGTTGTATGTTCTGCTGCAGTGGAAAAGGACTGAATTTCTATCCGGGTGGGAAAGAAAGATAAAGCTCTGTCAACTGAGGCATCTTATGGTGGACCTACCACTGCTACTTCCACGTCATCTATACCAGCCCTGGGTACTCTTGACCACTTCACCTGTGTAGATCCTCATCTTGGCCTCATTGGTTGTTCTGTCCCAGGGAAGAAATGTTGACTTAAAAAATAGGCTGGCCTTCTGGGATATTCTTCACTGCAGCAGCCCCATATTCAAGGTATGATGAGGTGGGGGTGAGAAGATGTGCTCTCTGAAGGACTTTCTAGAAAGAAAAGTCAGTGGCTTCCATCAAACCAGGAGCTTCCCACATGGTCTCTATGTGGTTGGCTGTGGGAGCGTCCAGGGTACCTGTTCCCTTCAGTGGAAAAGCAAGCCAATTAGCTTCTTTGGGCCCTGGGCCTCTTTTAAGATTGTCCTGGGTCATGGGCCAAGGCTGTGGTCTGCGCAGCTCAGAGTTCTTCCCAAGCAATGCCTTGGTTCAACTGGTGGAGCTTTTTGGAAGGAGGAAACCGTGGACTTGACGGCATTTGGCAGGTAAACCGTAGGTGCTTGGATGATTTTTAGAATTGGTATTGGGACCACAAGGGCAACACGTGTCCATCGTATACTAATATGTGCCACAGCCTCATGATAGACACAGGGCCTGGAGCTCGAGCATTGAGGAGGGAGTCCAGGTGTGTCTCCTCTGTTATGCCAGGCAGCTGACTCCCACTGGCAGCATTTTCCCAGGGCAGAGACCCACACTGTGCCAGGTCCTGTCCTGCTGACAGGCTACAGTGTAGGGCTCATAGAGCCAGCCCCCAAGGTCATGAGGACAGGGGAGACAGTTTACCACATACCAGGCCAATGATCAAGGTATCAACTCATCACAACCAGATTTGGTTTTATCTTGCAGAAATTTCAAAATTGAGCAAGATTTCAAAATAGTTATTTCACAGAGGTTTCAAAATGGGAAGACCTAAAGCCCTATCCTGTCAGCCTATCCTGGCCTGAGCTAGGCCAGGGTGCTGTCTGGCTCCTAACTCCTGTCTTTTCTCCCCAACCTCTTGCTACAGCTCTGTAGGATTGGGCTCCAGGTACTAAATCCTGCCTGATCTTGGGAAGGGATCATAAGCCATGTGCATAACAGCATGTCCTGAGAAAGGGCCCAGGGCATCATCTTCTGCCATGTACAGCAATCTCTGTTGGTGGCTGGGGCACTGACCTCAGATCCAGGCTTGGGCACCAGTTCCCACTTGACTGAGTGGTCTTGGGGAAGTCCCTTCACCTGCAGGCGTTGGTCTTCCTACCTGGACAACAGTGGCGATGGTGGGTTGCACCAGAAAGTCTCAGCCAGTCTGTGGTTCCAGGCTCAGTATCCTCACACAGTGGTATGCTCGTCCCCATTTTCTAGCTTAAGCCATCACGCTTCCTAGATTGCACCTGGCTATGCTGGAACAAATCCAGCCCCACTGGGAAGCCTGCTTTCCTTGTCTACTCCAGCACACAGTGATTTTCCTTCCTTGTGATTTCCATTGACCCATTCACTGGACACACTTCCTACCTTGTGCTGTAATCTCTCTCTCTCTGTCTCTCTTCTCTCTCTTTGTAAGTATGTTTTCTCCATCAAGATTGGGAGCCCAAGTACTTCCCTCCTCCATGGCATGTGGACATACTTGGAATCCACAAACATGACAAATAACTCAGAATCATGGTGATCTAGGGAGTGAAGTATCCTGTGCATCATATATTTTTCCTTGGGTTCTAACAGCTTTCCTTGGGGCCTAGCATGAAGTGATTTTGGTGGTTCCTCATCATGCCTGCAATTGTGTGGTCTTTTCCGCCTGAGGGTTGCCACAGTGTAGCTGCCCTCTATCCTGAGGTGCCCAGGGACTAGTGAAGGACAGGAATCGGGACAGGGCCCCTTGGGTCCCACTGCACAGATTCCCATGTGCTCACTGCTCCCCAGCCCTTCCTGGAGGCAGGCGTGGGATGGGTCTGGAGGGAACAAGGACAGCTAAGTCATTGCCATGGATTTAACCGGCTGGCTGGGCCCATATATGCACAGATTGTGGGGATGTGGACTCCTCCTTCCCATGCTGGAAATGGGCCCCAGAAAGCTACCACCTGCCACTTCTGTTGGGCGGGCGGGAAGAAGCTTGCACCATAGATACTGTGAAGTCTGCAGGTTTCACTCGGTTGGGATTTGTCATCTGGCAAACAGTCAAGTATCTGCCATACCTGGCCGAGTCAGCTGCAGCCTTCATGGCCAATCCGCATGATGAAGTATCCAGTCAAGTTTTGGCAATTCCAAAGGTGTGGCAATCTTGGTTGCAAGGGGCCAGTGGGGAGCATTGCGACAGAGGCCCTTGTGCTGGACCTGCAGGACGCCCCAGGAAGAAGGTGGAGGGTGGAGGGCACCCTTGACAGTTGACATCTGTGTCAACAGCGCCCAGTGACACACCGGGGGAGGACGAGCCTGCACTTGGCAGGCCAACAATGAGCTGATTGATGCAATGAACTTTCCCCTCAAAGGCCCCACCACTGCCTGGGGAGCCTGGGCCAATGGTGGTCTGCCTGCTTCCCCTGTAGCGATCCGCTGGCAGCCTCAGAGCAGGGAATGGGGGTGGGTATTGGCTCCTGATGGGGTCAAGACTTGTCCAGGATCCTCTAGGAGCCTGCTGTGGAGTAAGGAGAAGGCTGGCAGCTCCTGGACATGCAGGAACAAAGGCCTGGGAGAAATGAGTGGTGTATGAGTGGGAGTGGCTGGGCCCTGGGTGGGTGATGTGTCTACGGTGCCTCCCACCTGGCATGAGGAGGGAGGAGCTTCATGAGCTGCTGGGGAGGCAGGTATGTTTGTCCTCCCATAAAATGTGGCCCAATTTATAGGGGTTGCAAATGTTCCCTAGAAACCTTACCCATACTGCACGTCTGGGCTCAGTTCAGCACTGGGGATGAAAACCTTGGCCCTTCTTCTTAGACCCTGTCCCTCCTTCTCCATGTATACATGCATGTGTGTGCGCACACACACGCTCTACCTTGCCAGCTGAGGTTGTATGATTCATGTTGCTGGGGAGCTCAGACTACTCAAGGCCATGGTGCTGGGAGACTCCATATCTGGGTACGGATATTTAGTCTAAGCAGGCCTCAGGTCATGGGACCCTCTAGTTGACTCTGCTAACAAAGACTTCTCCACCTACTTTTTTTTCTATGCTGTATCCCCAGATGAAGCAAGCCCAACAGACCTAGGTTACTCAACAGGGCCCTTAAAACAGGTCATTGCCTCTCTCAGGGTCTCAGTGTTACCACCTGCTCAATGGGGCAATAGTGTTGGCTCAGTATGGATCTTGGGATTGTGTGAGTTTCCAGAGAAAAAGGGGAGAAGGTCCTTTCAGAGCTGAGCAGAAGACTAGAATTCTCCAAAAATCCAAGTTTGTCTAGCCCAACTCCTATTTGAAACCTTTCAAGGCTCCTTCAATGGTAACATTCAATGATTATTTTCAGGAGAGAGGCCAAAATGCTTATCAGAATCCACCCTCTGCTTATCTCAGTTCTTCAATGCCACACTATTTCCCTGTCCCCTTGTTTTCTACATTCCATCCATGCTGGCCTCTTTCTTAATATCTGACATACAGAGGCCTCATGGTGGGATAGAACGCGGAGACTATTGGCTTCTTTGCTGGGAATGCCTTTCTTCCTACATCCCTCTCTTTTTCCTTTCCATCTGGTTAACTCCTGTTCATCTCTTGGTTCTTAGAGCAGTTGTCCCTGTAGATATTTTCTACCTTGTTTTTTATTTTTTTATACATCATAAACATAATTTTTTTAATAGACTCTGAGAAAATTCTGTTATCTGAAATGTAAATCTGTTTCAGTATTTTGATTCATGATGTCTTATTTCCTTGTGTGCCTGGTTATTTTTGACTATGTGCTGGTCATTAATGCTAAATTATTTTAGAAATAATTCATTCAGAGAGGATTTTATTTGCTTCCTCTGGGCTGTGGAGTGCTGTCTGTTAATTTAAACATGAGATTCATTTAACTCTCGGGTTATTTGAACAGGAGCTACAGGCTCACAAGAGGGCTAGTTTATTTGTAGTTCACCCTCATGCTGGGAGTAAACCCCTTTATGGGCTCATTTTACATAGGTGGAATTGACACTTTGACTTTTGTACCCCTCATTTTAGAAGGTCACCACCAACTTCTTCCAGATCAGAAAATGTCCTCAGGGCTAATGTGGCTTTGAAGGTTTGGCTTATTTTTTTATGTCCTCACGTTTTTATAAATTTTGGTGTGGTAATTCTTAGCCATGTTATAGCTTTTTGATTCTTTTGAGAAAATTGAATTTATTCAGACTTTTTCAGGTATCCTCTGTAGGAGGTTGGTTCAAGTTCACTAGCTCCTCCTAAGGGAGCAGAAGTCTCTTGGTATAATTGTAACTTCTCTAAGGAAGCATTCTCTGACTTCCCACATGGATCTGGCTTCCTAGTTATGTCTTCTACTGATAAAATGAGGCTATCTCCTTACGAGTTCTCACAATGGTTGTACTAATCAGTTCGTCTGTATGGTTATTTGGTTAACACCTCTATCTCTACCTCCAGACTGTAAGTCCATGCAGGCAGGGGCGGGGCAGATGCCTATGCCTGTTTTGGTAACCATTGTATCCCGAGCACCTAAAGCAGACCTTGATGTGTTATGTACTCAAGGATTACTTATGATTGGAATGACTTCTACTTCCTTTACTTGGTCCAGCAAGTTTGTTTCTTGTGTACCCTCTTTTTTGCCATTACTTTAAATATGCAACTCAGTTATCCTCTACTTCTACCTTATATTTTTGATCCCTCAGAAATCAAGATGACCCTAAAATGCACGTGGTAGTTAACAACATGAGCTTTACATTCAGAGAGTTCTGAGTTTGATCCTTGCTTCTTCTTAGCTATGTGGTATTATTTGAGTCTCTTAAACTCTCTGAGCTTCAATTTCCTCATCTATAAATCAGGAAAATAATCATGTCTATTTTATTAAGTTGGTTTTAAGATCAAATAAAATGATGCTTAGCATAATGGGTGACTTTGGTGGGTGAAATGAATTGGCACTCAGATCCATACCACCCTCCTTCTAGTAAACCTTGCATACAAATGTTAAAAAGTATATGTCTCAGATTCCCTATGCCAAAAGTATGAATGCAGATGGGTTCTATCAGTTAGATGTATGTGTGTGAGATTTGGAAGGCAGATATGAAGTAGAGACTGTCTTCTGTCTTGGCAACAAACATAGCAACAGTAAACATGGTCATACAGCTGTTGAATTTTCCATGTTGGAGTTCTAGTGTCTGGTCTCTAGTTGTGTGGGTATTAAGAGGCAGTCATGGTAGTGACAGCACTTTTATACCCCTGGATTGTAGTTGTGGCAGTGTGTTCTTGATGTCAAGTAGTTGCAGCGGCAGCTTTTTGATTCCTTACTAAATCAGGTATGGGTCATTGTCTAGGTATAATCCATCCTGAAGCATAATTCCACTTTATTTGTGAACCTGTGAAACTCAGTAAGTTTTCCACTCTAAGAATATAGTGGGGGTACAGGCATAGGGTAATAGTTCTAGACATTTCTGTCCAAAAGGGGAGAAAATGTAAAGAAAAAAAGAATCACTGGTCCCAAGCAATTTTGAAATCCAGCTGGGCAAACTTCATTTGGCTTTAAAGCTTCTCCGTGATTCTTGGCTCACCATCTGGGTTCAAGACCCCACCTTCTGAGTCAACTTTTCTTTTTCATTAAAGGTAGCATCTGTTTGCAGCTGAGGAGTTTTATCAGCCTGTTTATTGCCTGGAGATTTTCAGAGGTTCTACAATCTTTTTTTCTTTTTCATCTCCTCTCAGCCCTCTTCAGTAAAAACTGCAGTGTTTCTGCTGGCATAACATTCTTAAGAATCTTGTAGGTCTTCTCCTCCTCCACCAGTCATTCCTAGATAATCTCATCTCTATTTTGGCTTCTGCTGAGATATTCAAGAGGATAGATAAGTCACACTCTTTTCAAAGAGGCTTTTGTGTGACTAATCTTTTGATCTTTCTGAGGTACCAGCAATGGGTTGTCAAGCCACACTCTTATTTTTTGCCTCTTGTCATACTTTCTTGAACGTAACTCTTAATTTTAGTGTTTTTACAATCTAGATAGGCTGAGACTTTCCCTAAATCAAGTCATGTTTCCTTAAAAAAAAAATACACACATACACAAAAACAAAAAACAACAACAACTAAAAACAATTTTTCCTTCAGTTTACCTCTTCTCTCTCTTTCTCTCTCTTTTTTTTTTTTTTTTGAGATGGAGTCTGCTCTGTTGCCCAGGCTGGAGTGAAGTGGCACAATCTCGGCTCACTGCAACCTCCACCTCCCGGGTTCAAGCTATTCTCCTGCCTCAGCCGTCCGAGTAGCTGGAACTACAGGCGTGTGCCACCATGCCTGGCTAATTTTTGTATTTTTAGAAGAGACAGGGTTTCACTATGTTGGTCAGGCTGGTCTCGAACTCCTGACCTCGTGATCTGCCTGCCTTGGCCTCCCAAAGTGCTGTGATTACAGGCATGAGCCACCGCACCTGCCCAGTTTATCTCTTCTCTTTTGCATTTTACTATAAGGAGCAAAAATAAACCTGGCCACACCTTTAACACTTTTCTTGAACTGCTACTCAACTAAATACACAAGTTCATCACTTGCAATTTCTGCCTTTTACATAACTGCAGGGCACAATTCCACTGACTTTCTGCCACTATATAACAAGGATCCTCTTTCTTCTAGTTTTGAATAACATTTTTTCATTTTCTTCTGAGCCCTTACCAGCAGCACCTTCAACATCCGTATTTCTACAAACAGTTCTTTCACAACAATTGAAGTGTTTTTTAAAGTGATTTTGGTTTTCTTTACCATGTTCCTCATTCCTTCTGAGTCTTAGTAAAGTTGTTAACATCCATATTTCTAATAGTCTGTTCAAAGAAACCTAGGCTTTTCTATCATGCTCCTTACAATTCTTCTAGACTGTGCAACTGCTGTTTCAAAGTCACTTTCACACTTTTAGGTATTTGTTACAGCAGCCCCGCTTCTGGTACCAAAAACTGTATTTACTTCTTGTGGCTGCTATAATAAATTCCCACAACAAAAATGTATTATCTTGTGGTTTTGAAGGTCAGGAGCCCAAAATGGGCTCCACTGGGGTAAAATAAAGATGTCAGTAGGGCTGCATTTCTTTCTGGAGGGTCTAGAGAAGACCCTTCTGTCTTCAAAGCCACTGGTTGTGTCTTTCTCACATTACATCACTCTGACACTGACTCTTCTTCATCTTCCACATTTCAGAACCCTCGTGTCTACACTGGGATACTGTAGTCACTGGATACACCCAGACAATCCAGGATAATTTCCTTACCTCGAAGGAAGCCATTTTACCACTGTAATTTCATCTGCTATCCTAAATTCCCTTTGTCACAAAAATGAATATTCACAGGTTCTAGGAATTAGGACATGGACATCTTTGGGGAGCCATTATTCTGTCTACAACACCTGACTTCCAAATTGGCAAGTCAGCTCAGTGGGATTCTGGAAGTCATTCCCAGGGGCCCACCTAGAGCCCATTTTCTAGCCCTTTCAATGATTTTGTAAGCATCCAGTCTCCTGACCATGGGTACGTTTTTTACCCTCTACAGGCTGCCATTTCTCTATCTGTAAAATGGGGTGATGATGACGTAGTCCCTAAGTAGCAGTGGAGAGCACAGAGGATACTGATTTATCTCCCAAACCCAAGGCAGGCATGCTGTGGGGACTGAGCAGCTGCTAGCCAAGAGTGCCTCAAGGAGGTGGCATGGCAAGGGCAGTGAGGAGTCCCTGGAGTGTCTGGAGCTTATGGGAAGGGTGGAGGATATTGAACATCTACTACATGTTGGGCACTGTGCTGAGCTTTTTTCACAACAGTTATATTATTTAACTTCATCTGTGATGAGTGAAATGCTCTATTCTGTGCTGTACAATATGGTAGCCAACAGCATATATGTGGCTATTGAGCCCTTGCAGTGGGAGTGGTGTGACTGAAGAACTAAATGGTCAATCTTATTTAGTTTCAATTAGTATTCATTTAAATTTAAATGGCTAAGGTGACTAGATGCTACCATATGAGACGGCACAGCTCTTACAGGTTACATTGCCCAGGGTCTTAACTTAGCATGTGACAGAATTAGGGCCATAATGAGAGAGGGGTTTGGAGTTGGGCAGTTCTGGCCATGTGGCCGCTTCCCTCTGACTTCAGCCCCAACCTTGAACATTTCCACTCCCTCTGCTGTTCGACCATGGGCTAGCACAACCCCTGTAAGCCTTCTGTGTAACCCTCCTGCAGCCATCCCTCTGGAGTTGGGGTCTGTTCCAGTCAGGGAGCTGGCAGGAGATGAGGGTGTGTAGGGTGGCAGAAGTGCCCAGGCTAGACACAGGCTCTGGATGCCAGTACTGAGACACATGGCGACACTTTTGCTCTACGTGAGCTGTGGCACAGTCCTAGAGCCTGCTTTCCCAGGCGCTACCACATGTCACTTGTCAGTTCAGAGTCACTGGTGTTTGTCCTCTTGGGGTCTCCTTTTCCACGGTGCCCACATAATCACCTTCCTTGGCACAGGGAAGAGTAGGTGGTGTCATAGGGTGGAGGCTGGCAGTGCAGTGCCGTGCGGACTTGTGGCACTAGAGACATCAGAGCCTCCAGGCTGCTCATCTCCGAGCCCCTGCCTGTGCTCCATGGGTGGCTTGTCAGAGCTGAGGAGCCATGTGTGATGGGGAAGGACCTGTGGTTGGTGAGCGTAGGGATCCTGGCAGAGTCCCCCCAAACATTTGCCCAGGTAGAGGTTTCAAGCCTATGGTTTAGGGGATGTGCCTGAACTAATCCTGTTATTAGCTGGATTATCTCTTCAAACTGAGAACCAGCTCCTGTGGGTCCCAGGTGAAACGCTCAGTCAGGAGCCAGAGTGACACGCCCCACCCAGGGCATGTGCTCGGTGTCAGTGAGCCTGCCGCCTGAGTGGCACCCAGGCAGGCTTCTGCTCCTGCTTCAGCCACTAGTTGTTCCACTCATTCATTCATCCATCAAACAGTTCCTGGTGCTAGCTGGGCACCAGGCCTGGAGCTGGGTGCTTGAGACCCAAAGGTGAACTACACCAGATAGAGTCTCGTGGACTTCACAGTTTAGAAAGGCAGACAGAGACAAGTGGAAGACGGAAAAATGGTAAAAGAGAGGTAGGTACAGAGAGATGGGACACTCAGGACCAGAGGCTGAGATGGGGCTGGAGAGGTGGACAGGGACCAGAAAGTGTGGAGGCCCCAAGGGTCCCACTAAGGCCATTCCAGAGGTGATGGAGTCCCTGGCACATTTGAGGAGCAATGTGATCAGATGTCGAGTTGAGGGTGCAGACTAGTGTCAGGGTGAGACCACTGAGGAGGTGGGCTGTTCATTCATTTGTTAATTTCTCATTCAGCCAATATTTGAGTTTCTGTTATCTGCCAGGCCCTATTCTAAGAGCTAATGCTATATCACCAAACATATAGACAACCATCCCTGTCCTCAGGGAACTTACATTCTAGGAGAAAGAAGGGTTGAAGGGAGAGACGGAGAGATTGGGGTTGGGGAGGGAAGAGAGGAGGAGAGGGAGGAAAAGGAGAAGAGAGAATGAGAATGCACAACTGTAATAAATAAGTGGATGATGTAGTATGCTAGAATGTAAGAAAGGCTACAGAAAACAGCAGGCCTAGAGGTTTAGGAAATGCTGGGGGTACACAGGGTATGTTCTGTCCCATGAGACGGTGAGATTTGAGCATAGACTTAGAGGTAGATGTTATTTGTGTAGAGAGGGGCAGGAGCAGGGTATTTCCAGATCATGAGAAGGGCAAAAGCAGAAACCATAAGGCAAGAATGTGTCCAGTGTGTTTCAGGAACAGCAGGGGAGGCCAGTATGCTTAGAGTGACGCCGTCATGGAGGAGAGGCACAGACAGGGCAGAGAGGTGAGGGGTGCAGATCACAGAACTCCCAGGGGCTTTGTGGATAGTGTTCAGAGGATCTCTGAATGGGATTCAGATTCCCACTTGGATGGAAAAAAAAATCACATCTTTATTTTTAATTTTCGTTAGACTTTAAGTGAAATTTAGTACACCTTTTGATTGAGAATGTAGGCAATAAGAAAAAAAACCCTAACAGAAAGCAAAACACAAAAAAACTCCCACAGAAGTATAGAGTTACTTGTGACTTTGTCAACAATAGAAACTATAGATTTTTTTTTTAATTTTGGTTTTGTTTATTGTGGTAGAATACACATAACATAAGATTACCATTTTAACTATTTTAAAGTGCACAATTCAGTGGCTGTAAGTATGTTCACAATGTTACGTCACCATCACCATTATCTAGTTCCAGGAACTTGTTACCACCCCAAATGGAAAGCCTTTTCTTTTCTCTTTTTTTCTTTTCTTTTCTTCTTTTCTTTTTCTTTCCCTTTCCCTTTCCCTTTTGCTTTCTTTTCTTTTCTTTTCTTCTTTTTTTTTTTTTAAAGTATACTTTAAGTTCTGGGATACATGTGCAGAGTGTGCAGGTTTCTTACATAGGTATACACATGCCATGGTGGTTTGCTGCACCCATCCACCCATCATCTACACTAGGTATTTCTAATAATGCTATCCTTTCCCTAGCCCCCCACCCCCTGACAGGCCCCGGTGTGTGATGTTCCTCTCCCTGTGTCCATGTGTTCTCATTGTTCAACTCCCACTTAATGAGTGAGAACATTCGGTGTTTGGTTTTCTGTTCCTGTGTTAGTCTGCTGAGAATGATGGTTTCCAGCTTCATCCATGTCCCTGCAAAGGACATGAACTCATCCTTTTTTATGGCTGCATAGTATTCCACGATGTATATGTGCCACATTTTCTTTGTCCAGTCTATCATTGATGGGCATTTGGGTTGGTTCCAAGTCTTTGCTATTGTGAATAGTGCTGCAATAAATATACTGTGCATGTGTCTTTATAGTAGCATGATTTATAATCCTTTGGGTATATACCCAAGTAATGGGATTGCTGGGTCAAATGGTATTTCTGGTTCTAGATCCTTGAGGAATCGCCACACTGTCTTCCACAATGGTTGAACTAATTTACACTCCCACCAACAGTGTAAAAGCATTCCTATTTCTCCACATCCTCTGCAGCATCTGTTGTTTCCTGACTTTTTAATGATCCCCATTTTAACTGGCGTGGGATGATATCTCATTGTGGTTTTGATTTGCATTTCTCTAATGACCAGTGATGATGAGCTTTTTTCATATGTTTGTTGGCTGCATTAATGTCTTCTTTTGAGAAGTTTTGGTTCATATCTTTCACTCACTTTTTGATGGGGTTGTTTTTTTTTTCATGTAAATTTAAGTTCCTTGTAGATTCTGGATATTAGCCCTTTGTCAGATGGATAGACTGCAAAATTTTTCTAGAAGAAAACCTATGCAATAAACAGTTTGCTAACTATTTCAGATATCTTGAAATATTTCTGCTTATCACTACTTTGAAATTACAATGCCCATGAGATCTTACTATTTAATGCATGTGCATAACAATATCACAAAAAAACATTATTTCAGTGTAACTGGTTTCATTTTAATGCTATGTAAGCTTTATGCATCTAAAACATTTCTCTGAGACAAGGTCCATAGGCTTCCCCAGACTGCTAGGGGTGTCCCTGGCTCAAAGATAGTGAAGAACCTGTGATGCCGAATCTGCTAACCCACCTTAAGAACTTGGGCTTTGAGGGAAATGAGGAGCTGTTGCGGGATTTTGAGCATAGGAATGAGGTCTGACTTAGGCTTTTTAAATTTTTTTAGACAGAGTCTTGCTCTGTCACCAGGCTGGGGTGCAGTGACGTGATCTCAGCTCACTGCAACCTCCGCCTCCCGGGTTCAAGTGATTCACCTGCCTCAGCCTCCCGAGTAGCTGGGACTGCAGGCATGCACCACCACGCCCAGCTAATTTTTTTGTATTTTTAGTAGAGATGGGGTTTCACCATGTTGGCCAGGATGGTCTTGATCTCTTGACCTTGTGATCTGCCTACCTCGGCCTCCCAAAGTACTGGGATTACAGGTGTGAGCCACCGTGCCTGGCCTCTGACTTAGGTTTTTAAAGCATGGCTCTGGCTGTTCTGTTGCACCAAGACAGGTGGGGACTGGGGAGGAGGCTGTTACAATGAGCCAGGTCAGAGATGGGGGTGGCTCAGGCTAGGGCAGCAGCAGTGGAGGGTGTGAGGAGGACATGAGTGCTGGATGATTTTGAAAAGAGAGCCATAGGAATTGTTGCTAGGTTGCATGTGGGGTGTGAGGGGCATTGAGAATGACTGGCTGCAGTGGTCTGGCTGCCCCAAAAGTTGGAGCCCTGCTCAAGAAGGTTTCCCAGAGGATTTGACATTTGAGCTGGACTTAGGTGGTGATTGGCTGGCTGTGCTGTGAGTTCTGCAGGGTATGTGCCTCATCTTCCCACCCTGGCAGCTTGCCTAGGACCCACCATCGGTCCTCATAACATATCAGTCCAATGCCGGACAGAAGGTGGAGGCTCCATGGCGTTCTTGGGTTTCTAGCTTGGGTGCTAGGATGGATGACTTTGCAGTGACAGAGTTCCTGCTATTCAGTGAAGAACAATGGGCAGAGACATTTGGTGATATTTAAACTCCAGGCTTCAGCCTAGGCTGAAAGTGAAAAGGAAGCTTTCTTTAGCTTCTCAGTTCTCTGTTTAGCTGGGACGACTGATTGATGGCAGTGGTTTTAATAACTCAGTAAACCAGGGCTACTCCATGCAGGATGAATTTGGTTGAGATGTAAATATTTTATATCAGAGTATTAACTGCTTATTAAAAGTGTATTGAGATTTATATGTTATATGGATATAATTATAGACACCACAGAGGGGTCATTTGCTTGTTGGAAACATCTCTAACAGAGCTGTTAATCCGGAAATGTGCGTCCTGCAGTCAGCTGGACTTTAGGTAGAACATTTTCCCTGTCTTATTAAGCAGAAATTAAACACAGGTATAAATGCTGCTGAAAATGCAGCTCTATTTTCTGGACCCACCACATGCAGATCACGTGGAACTGCCAAGCCTTGATGTGGCTCCCCTGAGATAGAAGAGGCTGTTCTGTGGCCACGAGGTCTTCACAGCTCATTGTGACAGGGGGCACCCAGGGGAAAGTTGGGGCAGCTTGGCTCTTCCAGTGGGAGCAGGCTGACAGCCCAGGTATGGGGGAGGAAGGATCCTGCCGCTGAACTCTACACCCAGGGCTCGGGATGTGTTGACCCCTTCTTCTTGCAGCTTGGAGAAAGTTGCCACACTGTCTGGGGGCAGTTTGGAACCTGATGCAGGTAAGTGGGCAATATACAGTTTTTTTGAGCTGAGCATCTAGAACTTTCTCTGTATGAAAAATTCAATCTGTACAAAATTTGGGGCAGGTGATCCATGGGAAAACATATATCTCTTGAATGACAAAAGGGTGTTGAATTTAGGGGGCAGCTTAGAGCACATCCACTCATCTAGCATGCTGAGTGCCAGGCACCATTGCCAGGCACTGGGGATACAGCAGGGAGTGAAAGAAAAATCCCTGCCTTCATGGAGCTTATATCCTAGGGGTAGGGGGGCGGGGGGAGGCAAATAACAGATAATATGGGAGGATCGCTTGAACCCAGGGGTTTGAGGCTGCGGTGAGCTGTGATTGTGCCACTGCATTCCAGCCCATGTGGCAGAGTGAGACCCTGTCTCAAAACCCCAAAACAAAGAAAAACAGACAAATAAACAAATAATGTGTCCAGAGATCAGGCTGCACTTAAGAGTAGTTTTGTCTACCAAATCTAAGTGATTTCTGTATTTTTTTGGATTAAATTTTTTTTGTTTGGTTTAAATCCACACACAGACACATGTCTGTGTGTCACAATGGTCATATCTTGGTTTTCTGGAGAATGGGCAGTCCTGGCTCTGGAGAGCCCACCAGCTTCCTTTTACTGTTCTGCATGGAAATCTTTGCATAATGTTTTGTTGTGTTCCATATTCTGCATTTCAGAAGGCAAGAAAGATTGTAATGTGCTTTTGTGGCACGTCCAGGTCCCCATGCCTGTTCTGGGCTGTGGTCCACGGCTACCCTCTGAGGGTGAGGTGTACAGTTTGTCCTGCACTAAATGGTCCCGGGGGCTATTCTTCTGTTGTCCTTGGGTCTGCTTTTTATAGTTTCCTCTGTCCTCCCTGTTGGCAGGCTGTCCCTCCCAACTTGAGCTCTCTCATCCTTTCTTCATGTCCAGATACTTCCAGCATGCACAGGGAAACAGTCAAACATTGACTGGTGTCTTCAAAGAGAAAGCTAGTTAGCAAATTGAAAAACATCTTCATCATTTTTGCCTTCGTGTTCCACGCCTAGTTTATGAGCAGTCTTAGACTGTGGACAGAGGCACATCCGTGTACAGTGCTGAGGGACCTTCCCCTGGTCACAGCAGCTGTGGAAATGGCGCAACGGGTGGCTTTTCCAGGGGACACTTCTGGAACAGAGCTGGGGGAACATGAGATGCTGTGGAGTTGAACGGGTGGAGCAATGGACCCAGTCGCGTAGAAAGGGCATGTTTCTGCTGCAAAGCGACCCTTCAGCATCTTGGTCTACGTCCTGCCCTGTCCAGGACAGTCCTGCTAGTCACATGAGGCTTTTGAGTACTTAAAATATGACTGATGGTACTGAGAAACTAAATTTTAAAAATTTAAATTTAATTTGAAAAACAGTTACAGCCTGCCAACAGGGAGGAGTGAAAACTATAAAAAGGCAGACCCAAGGATTCAAGGTATTGGGAAACTTTTAAGTATGTTCGGAACAACTTGGGTATGTCAATTTACCTTTACAACTGTAAATTTTATGAGTTCTAGATACTGATGAAGTATTTCAGGAAAATGTAGCATCTGCATTGAGATGTGCTGTAAGTGTAAAGTACACACCAGAGTTTGAAGACATGATATGGGAAAATGTGAAGTATCTCAATAATTTAAAAATATTTATTACATACTGAAATAACATTTGGAGATACTGGATTACATAAAATATTAAAGTTAACATCACCTCTTTCGTTTGCTTTTTAAAACGTGGCTTCTAGAAAACTTAAAATCGCATTTGTGACTCGCATTATATTTCTATTGGACAGTGAACATCTAGAGCCTTCTCTGACTCTTGTTCAGGTTTGAGGTTGTTACATAATTTTATGTGGTTGAGCTTGCTATTTATTGGACACTTACACGTGCCAGACTCTGTGCTAAGACCTTAACATGTTTTTAATCCTCCCAAGAGCCCTACGAGCTAGGTACTGTGACCCCCATTTTAAATATAAGGTTGCTGAACCTCAGAGAGGTGAAGTAACTTGCTCAAGGTCACACAGCTAATAGCAGAGCTGGGACCCTAGAATTAGACAGGTCTAGGTTAAAGCCTTCCTCCCAACCATGATACCACATTGCCTCACTGCAGTCCCATGAGTTAAATGCCCATCTTGGGGCTCCAAATCCCAGAGCAGGGATGTGGTTAACAGGTGACCATGAGGACCATGAGCATCCATGGGGGACCATGCCGTTGGGTTTGCTGTGCATGCGCCTGCAGTTCTCCTTCGAGGGGGTCACTTTGAGAGGAGGTGAGCCCTGGGGATACCTGGGGAGCATTGCCACCCTGCTTTGATGGGTGAGAGGGCATCTGGGGGCACAGTGTCTATTTCCAGCTGCAGCCTTGTCCCATTTTGTGGCAAAGTGTTTTCACCAACATCATGAGCTGGCAGTGCCAACAGAATTGTCATCTCCACTTCACAGATGAGCAAGCTGAACCTCAGACAAAATGAGATCCTTGAACTTGCAACCAGAACTAGAACTAGAACCTAGGGTCTGGTTCCAAATTCAGAGTTCTTCCTACCAATTAAACTGGGCTCCAGAGGTCAGATGAAAGGTATAACAGGGCTTGTGTGCTTTGGAGGAAAGTCCCAGAATGTCACTTTCATGGTGCCAGAAATGCTTCCATAAAGACATACTTCCTTCTGGGTAAGTTGACCTTTGAGTGAGAGGGTTTCTGAGGTCTTCTGACTGGGTGAAGGGAAATGGCAATGTAGTCAGGTGGGCCCCTGGCAGGGTGACAAGTGGGTGAGGCAGGGCTGCTCAGATGGGAAAGGATACAGTGGTGGAGTGGGCCACTTTCAGATCCAGGGTTTAAAAAAATTACTTTCAATGACACATGTTTTCTACATATTTATGGCGTACAATGGGATATTTTGATACACGTATATATTGTATAATGATCAAATCAGGATAATTAGCATATCTATCACCTCAATCATTTATCATTTCTTTGTGCTGGAAATGTACACAATCCTCTCTTCTAGCTATTTGAGATATTGTAGTGCCTTGTTGTTGACTATAGCCACTCTACTGTGCAATAGGATGCCAGAACTTCTTCCTTTCTAATTGTAACTTTGTACCCATTGACCATCCTTTCCACATCCTTTCTCCAGCTTCACTCCCCAGGCTGTGGTAACCACTGTTCTACTCTCTTCTCTGTGAGATTAACTCTTTCAGATTCTGCATATGAGAGAGATCATGTAGTATTTGCCTTTCTGTGTCTGGTTTATTTCACTTAACATTGAGTCTTTCAGGTTCATCCATGTTGTCACAGATGATAGGATTTCAATCTTTTGAATGGCTGGCTCGTATTCCATTGTGTGTATATACCACATTTTCTTTATCCATTTATTTATCATTGGATACTTAGGTTGATTCTTTACATCGGTTACTGAGAATAGTGCTGCAATCAACATGGGAGTGCAGATACCTCTTTGACAAACTGATTTCTTTTCCTTTAGATATGTAACCAGCAGTGGGATTGCTGGATCATATGGTAGTTCTGTTTTTTATTTTTGAGGAACTTCCATACTGTTGTCCATAGTGACTGTACTAATTTATATGTTGACCAACAGTGTGTTAGGGTTCCCTTTGCTCCATATCTTGGCTGACACTTGTTGTCTTTTGTCTTTTTGATAGTAGCCATTCTAATTTGAGTGAGGTGGTATCTCATCATTGCTTTGATTTGATGAATTAATGATTCTCTGATGATCAATGATGTTGAGCATTTTGTCACATACCTGTTAGCCATTTTGTATGTCTTCTTTTGAGAAATGTCTATTAACGCATTTCCTTTGCCCATTTTAAAATTGGATTGTTTTGCTTTATTGAGTCGAGTTCCTTATATAGTCTGGTTATTAACCCTTGTTAGATGAATAGTTTGCAAATATTTTCTTCCACTGTGTAGACTGTCTCTTTGCTCTGTTGTCTGTTTTCGCTTTGTAGAAGTTTTTTAGTTTGATGTAATCCCATTTGTCTATTTTTGCTTTTGTTGCCTGTGCTCTTGAGGTTTTATCGAAAAAAAAAATCCTTGCCCAGTCCAACATCAGGAAGCATTTCTCCTAATGTTTTCTTCCAGTAGTTTCATGGTTTTGGGTCTTACATTTAAGTCTTTAATCCATTTTGGGATGATTTTTGTATATGAGATAAGGACCTAATTTCATTCTTCTGCTTGTGGACGACCAGTTGTCCCAGCACCATTAATTGAAGAGACTGTCCTTTCCCCAATGTGTGTTTTTGCACCTTTGTCAAAAATCATTTGGCTATAGATGCAAGGATTTCTGGGCTCTCTATTGTGTTCCATTGGTCTGTGTGTTTTTATGCCAATATTATGCTGTTTTGGTGGCTATAGCTTTGTTGTACATTTTAAAGTCAGTAGTGTGATGCCTACAGCTCCCTGCCCACTGCCCCCACCTCAGGATTGCTTTGGTTATTCAGGATCTTTTGTGGTTCAGATCCATGTTTAGCTTTCACTCTACCATCACTGACACTGAAAATCTCTTTCCTAAGGGCTGCTGATCTTCTCCTGAAGTCTCAGAACAGATGGCTGCCAAGTAGGACGTCCTTGGAGAAAGCAGATTCTGGGCTTGCCTGGGTCTTGTCTCTCTGTTCAAGTGTCTTTTGGAGCCCTGGGCTGTGTCCTGACACTCCCATTTACTACCTATGAAAGGCAGTTGTTTTACCTTTCTGAACTTCAGTTTTCGCATCTGTAAAGTGGGACTTTACCTTGCTGAGTGAGGATTATTAGCACAGAGCATGTGAAAGGTATGGCATCCAGCCTGGCAGCTGGTGGTGCAGTGAACATTGGGGCTCAGTTGCATGTAGACACCTGAGAGTTCTTTGGGATCCTCCTTGTCTTTCCGTGGGAAGCTGTTGGCCGAGGAGAAAGTGCAGAGCAGCAGCTGTGAGGGGGCCACACACATGGGCAAAGATGTACATTCTGCTCAAGCACACTCCTGGGCTCTGCCAGAAAGGGTCTTTGGATGCCCTTGGAGACCATGGAGAAGGGGGAAAAGAGGGAGGCAGGGGCTCTGCAAAGCTGTGTTCAGCACCAGCCTGGCAGAGACAATGATCAAACATCCCTGCCTCCCCATGCAAGGCTGGCTGAGGGTTCAAGGAAGCAGGCTTGGGGCACTCCTAGCCTCAAAGGCTGGTTCTGGAGGCTTTTCTGGCAGAGCTGGCCAGGTTCTCTACCTTTTGAAGGCAGGTTGGCTGGAATAACGAAGATCTCCATAGGTGCTTTCTGGGCAGAGAGTGTTTACACAATCCAAAATTTGTAATCTCTTCTGGGAGACATGACTGCCCTTAGGGACTTCTAGTAGACCAAAAGAAAAGAAAGAAAAAAAAGAAATCCCCATGGCTCATATTTGGATGGATATTTTCAAGAAAAATATCTGGTCTAGCAAGGCAGCCCCTTGAGAAACTAATTGTGCATCAAGGTGGTACCAGGCAGGCATTTTCCTGGTTGGGGGAGGGGGGCCTCTCCCCTCGAACTCAGCAGGAACAATGTCTGAATCCTTTAGATTTTTGCAGCCCTGCCCTTCTCTTCCTAGCATACTTCTCTTCCTAGTGGTGCCAAATTTTATGAAGCTAAAGCACCCAAACTGAGCATATCATTTGTACCCAGAGAAAATTCACAGTTCGTTTTGTGCTTTCCAGTGAAGCTGCACCCAGCAACCAAGCAGAAAGCGCCCCTTCCCTCTGCCCTGGGGTCCAGTCACAGGGGCAGGATGGTGGTCAGACCAAGAGGTGACACTCTGGGCCCTTGTCATTTAAGCAGCTGGCCTCTCTGGCTGGCCTGGATTTGTTAAGCCCAGGCAGCTCCTTGACTCCACAGATGGTCACCAGGTGATAAGTGATTGCCCAGCCCTTCCTCCTTTGAACTGAGCATTGTGTCTCTTCTTCCTGGGAGCTGTTTTGCACTGTCAGTTCCTAGGGATTAGGTGCGTGTTTAGGCTGGATGAACTCATGAATGAAAATATTTTGCTTTGTTCTTTCGGCAGTGGAGACCTGTACAGTGAGTCCCTCTTTTCTCTCTCCTGTCTCCCCCAGCACCACCTGCTCAGGTCCACCCTAATAACATCAGCCAAGGCCTCTACAGCAGCCCCCAAGCTGCCTCTGGATAGTTCAGACAAGGCCTCTGTGCTGTGATGGAACCAGGTGACCCGCAGCCTCCGGGCCAGGTGAGTGCTTTCTTGATATTTTCTTCTGGTTCATGTTATATTCTTCAGCACACGATGGCAGAGGGGCAGCCCCAGCCTCTTCTGTGTTAAGAGCAAGGGAGGGGTTGGGGAGAGGAATCGGCCCCGTGTTTATGTGCTTCGCCCAGCTTTGATTCCGGTGCCGTGGACTTCCTGAAGGTCCTGGGGGTGTGGGTCATGAGACCAGGGAACTGAGTCAGCCCTGTCATGTTGGAAGTATGGGCTCATGGAAGAGGCAGGAGGATCAGAGTTCAAATCTTAGCTCTGCCTCCTTTTAGTTGTGTGACCTTGGGAAAGTCATGCCCAGTTTACAGATGAGGATCCTGGAGTCCCACATCTTCCTTGCCAAACTGCTCTGAGGCCTGTTAGTGTGTCTGGTGCCAAACATCATGCCTGGCATGGAGTTGGCATTATGTCACACCGTCCTTTTCCTGCCTTGTTTATGGGCTTGGCTGGACCAGCAGTCTGGGCCAACACCCACCTATGCCCCATCCCCATACCCTGAGAATGAGGAAGACCCAAAGGGGTGCTTATGGGACCTCAGTGTGATGGATGAAGGCATCAGCTCCTAAGAGAATTATCACTGCAATTGATAGGTCGATGATGTTGCTGGCTGGCTGGTTCACAGCCATGGCTAATTCCTACCATTGCGTGTCTCTGGTGCTCCCTGGGAGCTTGAGGTCGGTGGTCATTCTCCAGAGCGCAGCTGTCTTACTACCACCTCCTGCAGGGAGTTGCTGGGTACTGCCTGTAGAGGACATAGGCTGGTGGCTACTTGGAATCTGTTCTGGAGTGCAGTGGATTGTATTGCTTAGTTGTAATAATTTCAGTTGAGGATTAAAATAAGCCTTGGGCCGATGGCTGGTGAGTTGGCTTGGCTGGGTGGGTGAGAGGAAGTGTATGCATACACCTAGGTATATGCCTCAGTGCCAACTCCTGTGTATGTATGTTGCGAGGTGGGGGCGGGGTGGGGCTGGGATTATTATTAGGGTTTTCCTATTTTGACATCTAACCAGTGGCTTTATCAATGAACAATTGTTTTAAAAGTGTTATTCTGCACAAGTAATATATATTAATATTAGAAAAACCGGGAAAAGTAGAGGTAACCACTGTCAACATTTTGAAGTTTTTTCCCCTATAAATATATGTGTTACTTTTTCTTACAAAATAGTATGATCCATTTTTTTAAACTTGTTCTCTTTGCTTAATAATATATCATGGTGGCCTTTTACCCTGACACCATCATTTGTGATGGTTGCATGGTAGGAATGTTGGCCTGTGGTATGAATATACTATAGTTTTCAAAACCACACTCCTGTATTTGGATATATAGGTTATTTCTGAGTGTTAGCCCTCACAACTACATTGTAACTAACATCTTTGTTCCAGCATTTTGGTGTACTTTTCTCTAAGAGAAAAGTTTGGAAGTTGAATTTTGGGGTTAAAGGGTGTCTGTGTTTTTTGTTTTGTTTTATTTTATGTTTTGTTTTTTTTTTTTTTCTTTTTTGAGACAGAGTCTTGCTCTATCGTCCAGGCTGGAGTGCAGTGGCGCGATCTTGGCTCACTGCAACCTCTGCCTCCTGGGTTCAAATGATTCTCATGCCTCAACCTCCCGAGTAGCTGGGATTACAGGTGTGCGTTGCCATGCCCAGCTAATTTTTTTGTATTTTTAGTAGAGACAGGGTTTCACCATATTGTCCAGGCTGGTCTCAAACTCCTGACCTTGTGATCCTCCCACCTCGGCCTCCCAAAGTGCTGGGATTACAGGCGTGAGCCACCATGACTGGCCCAGGTGTCTGTGTTTTTTAAGCTTCTGATACTTTTAGCTAAATAGCCTTCTAGAAAGTTAGTACTGAGCTAAGTCAGAGGAAAACAATTCCTTTCCCCTTCTGCATATGTTCCCTGGGCCTGCCCTAAGTTTCTAAAGGAACAGGGGAGGGGACCAATGTGTCAAAAAGCCCCTCAGGTTCCTGCCAGATCTCTCAGGTGCTGAATCCATTTTACATATGAGGGATTGAGGCCCAGGGAGGTACAGGGACCAAGTGTATCTGCCTGAGGAGGGCCTGGGAGCCATGGCCTGGCTGAGCCAAAGGCATCATAGGGCGTGAGGGAGCCAGCTGCCTGCGCTGGGCCCAGTGACCTGGGAGGCAAAGGAAAGGCCTTGGGCTGGTGGTGAGAAGAGCCAGGCAGCAGGGTGGGAGAGCTCTGGACCTCCAGTCCCTGCTGGCTTCTTCCTCAGGGACAGGGAGCCAGTGCTGTCTGGGTGGGGTGCATGCTAGAGCGGGGAAGTCCATTTAGAGGTTCCAGTGAGTGCCAGCCTCTCAACCCAGCCCTTCTCCAGCTCCATCCTTCCCCTGTCCTGCCTACCGGGCTCTGGAGTGCATCATGGAGGCAGGGATGGGCTGGCACACAATGGGTTCTTCTCAGAGGCTTGAGCAAGTGCCAAGCCGAGGGGATGGTGGGACTGGTACCTAGAGGGACAACAGTCTAGTTGGGCGATGGGATGGAGTCCTTCAGTCCAGAGGTTAGGGAATGGTGTCTGAGAAAGTTTGGGCTGTGGGAATCCTTCTTTCGGGTGGTCCTTATCAAGCAGTAACTATGGGCCAGAGCCTGGCCCAGGAACTGGGGATATAGCCTAGGTGAAGAGGACACACCAGCCTCTGCCCTCAGGTGGTCACAGTCCCATGGGGATGACTGACTGGGACAGGCATTGGTGACTGATGACTGCACTGAGGCTGTGGGCATGCGGAGGAGGGCCGCTTGGGGAAGGCTTCTGGGAGGAAGGCACATCTGGCTTGAGACCTGAAGAAGCAGGGAATGGAGGGTATGGGGGAAAGGGCATGTGGTCACGGCAGAGCGGAGAGCATAGGGAAAGGCCTGGATGTCAGCAGCAGGCTGACGAGTGGCCTCTGGCAGACCTGGTACACTTCTCAGGGAAAGCCAGCTCTGTGAGGGTGCACAGGAGGTGGACCGCCTAGGAGGGAGCCCCCCAGGGCACCAGGCAGGGCAGCGTTGAGGAAGCTGCAGTGTTGGCCCACCTGTGGGTGCTGCCAGTGGCATCATGGAGCTTCTCTCCATGGGCCAGGCATGGCAGGTAGGGCAGGGTCCATGGGAGGTGGTGAGGTGGTGGTCAGGGGAGCCTAACCACCCTTCTCTTTACTCTGAAACATACAATCTCGATTCGCTTTGGAATGCATCCCTCAGAAGGCTAGGAAGACCATTTCTCTTGGTTCAGAAGCTCCATGTTCTGCACCTTCCTCCTCCAGTAGGGCCTGAGAGCCTCAGGTGAGAGAGAGCCCAAGGCACCCTTGCTATCTGGGGAGACTTCATCTTGGGGGAGGAAGGCAGGTCCCTGCCCAGTGCTGCTTCTCTCACCACCACCAGATCCCTCTCTGGTGCCTCTGGAAAGATGTCCCGACTTCTCACCCAGGCACACAGGCCCTGTGGAGTCAGCCTCATGTCCCACATCTCAGCCTGCACACCCACTACATCCACGGGTCCCGCTGTCTGCCCTCCTCCCCAGGGGACACTGGTGCCCCCACACCTCCACACCTGTGCTTATCTCACTTCCTCTACCCAGGTCCCTGTCTCTTTTATTTAAGTCCTGCTCATCCTCCCAGGTGGCCATAGATCACCACCTCTGAGAAGCCTCCCTAGCTTTCCTAGCTCTCTTAGGCCGAGTGCAGCTCTCCTGGCTCAGGGCACCACCCTTGGTGCTGGTGGTTGTCACTACCCCACACACTCCCTTGTGTTGGTGCTGGTTCTGCTGGCAAAGGACTGCAGGATGAGGGGCTCCTTCAGCCGGCCTATCCTTCCTGTGTGTGTCCCCATGGGGCCTGGCACCCCGACACTCTGTAGGGGCTCAGGACCCCATTTGCTGAGGTGAGACCACATTTCCTCAAGAAGTGGCAGGAGTCACTCAGTGGGCACGTCTTCACCCCCATGTTCTAGAGTAAAGCAGTGATGCCGCGCGGTGATGCCACTTTCTGAGCATGACATGGTTAGCAGCACAGGCTCAGAAGACAGCAGATCTGGAGGGAGGCCTGGCTCTGGCTCTGACTGTCTGTGTAACCTCAGGCAAGTCATTTAATCTTTCTGAACCTCAGTTTTCTCATCTGTTTAATGGAGACAAAAATCTGCCTTACAGGAGTGTTGAGAGCATGGACAAAGACAAGGGTGTGTCATCCTCCTAGCCCCAGGGCCCCTCATGGCCCAGTCTCTGCACACTCAGGCAGCCAGAAGTAATTAGAAAGCTGACCCTTTATTGTCTTCTGAAAGAAGGCTGAAGGTTGGGCATCCCTGTCCTGTGCCCCAGCAGCACTCTTGAGCCCTGGCCAGTGCAGGTCTTGGCCACCCACGGCCCTTAGGGTCTCTCCCCACATCCAGCTTTTCCTTTTCTCTTCTCCTGCCCCCTTTCCAGGACTTGATTATGTGGGTGGACCCTGTCTCTCAACTCAGCCCTTCTGCAGCTCCATCCTCCCCTGTCCTGCCTACCAGGCTCTTGAGTGCATCACGGAGGCAGGGATGGGCTGGCATCGAGTTCTCGTTAGAGTGGGTGCGGGGAGGGAAGGATACTTGCACATGGGTGGATGAGTTCTGTTTTAGATGCGCAAGGCCCCAGCCCATCACGAATGCTTGCTGGGAATTCAGTAAGCATTTATGAGCTACCTACTATATGTCAGGCACCGTGCTAGGTTTCAATTCCCCAGAAACTCTGTGAGGCAGGTGGTGGTAGCTTCATTTTACAAATAAGAAAATTAAAGCTCAGAGCGCACACGTTGACTGAGGTTGCACAACTGGTTCGAACATTTGTCACCCCCCATGCATGGTTACTGTCAGCTAGGTGCCGGGCTGTGTCGGGGAGCTCTCTGGGGAGAGAGAGCCCTTTGGAGTCCTGGGTCTGCCCCGGGTCTGGCAGGAAGACCATTTGGATGATGAGAGAACAGACTGGAGGCAGGTGACAGGCAGATCCTAAATGTACAGGATTAAATATTTACATTAGGTAAAGATGAGGGTTAAGTGCCTCAGAGGCAGGCAAAGGGAGAGTGGAGGGAACTGCTGCTGGGGCTTACCTGAAGAGCTTATAGAGAAGGCTGCAGGAGAGGGGACATCTCTGGAGGCTCAGAGGAGCCAGGAGGGGGCTGGGGTGGATGCCGGAGTCAGGCTGGTCTCCTGTGAGGTGTGTGCAAGTGTGTGGTGGCCCGGGAATGTGGGAGCCACATACTTTTGTATAATTAGCTCGGCTCCTCTGCAGTGGTGGCAATTAGCCGTAGGCGGGAGACAGGACTTCCTGTGGCCAAGGCCACTTCTGCACCTGGGGCCGCTTACCTGGGCTCCTGCTGTCCAGGCTTGGGCCCTGCGTGTTTCCGGCAGGGGCAGCCAAGAAGCAGGTGGGGCTGTTGGGACTGCAGGGTCACAGCTTCTACCTCGCAGCAGGAGGAGGGAATTGTCCCAGCCCATCCTGCCGCTCAGCCCTGTTTATATCTTCTCTGGGGCCCTGCTTTTGAGAAGGGCTTTTGCTCCCTCTCCTCACCTGTTGGGGGCTGTTTCTGAGCCTTTCTCACTCTTCCTGGCTGTGGGTAGGACTGGCAGCAACCTAGAGGGGATTAGTTCCCCTGGTGGTCAGTAGACGCCTTATACACCTCTTCCCATGGACAGCTCAATGGCAGGAATATTCTGAGCATTTGGCTTTTGAGGAGCCCCACCTATCCTGCCATAATGAAAAATGTCAAAAATGAGATAATTAATGCTGCCACTTTGTTTCTCTTTAGTGTCCAGGGAATATTACTTTATTCATCTAATGTTATCAGCAATAATAACAATCACTGTCTTTGTGTTTTCTTTTTTTTAACTGGCCCTGCCTGTTTCTCTTCTAAATTGTGAGATAGTAGATGTGAAAACTTGGAAGCGGGAGTGTAATTATTCCCACTTTGTAGGCAGGAAAAACCACAGGTAGGAGAAGTGAGTTGCTTGCTTAGCGTCACCTGGGGAAGGTGACTGTGGCCTAGGGCCACTGATGTGCCAAGTGCTACCATGCTCAGGCTTTTGCAGCTTAGCTGGGGTGAAGCTGAGGCTGGGAACTGGGCTCTCCCTCCACACCAAGGTGGGTGAGAGCAAGTTGCTGGTAGCTAAGTCACAAGGAGGGATGTCAGTATGGCACCTGCTGCGGTCAGCAGAGGGGCAGCTCAGCCCTGCGGTTGGCTGGGACTCAGTGGTACTAGGCTTGTGGCACATCCTGGGGATGAGCTGGCTGCCTGCTCTCTTAGCCACTGTCAAGCAGGCTGAGTCCCTGGTTCCTTCATCCTCCACTGTGCACTCCAGAGCTGGAAAATGTTCTAAAAATCCTTGAAGCAATGGCTTTTCCCAGCCAGGCACAGCCTGCCACATGAGAAACCCAAAACCCGGGACAGGTGAGTGTGCTGAACACTTGCTGTGAACAGCAGGCATGAGGCCTAAAACCCCCCAGGTTTCACAGGTACGGGAGGATTCGATGAGATCTGTGTGATCAATATGAAGCGTTTGGTATGTGCCTGGCTCACAGTGAGTGTTCACTTGGTGTTAGCAGCCATTATTATTATGTTAGACATGATTATTAACCCATTTATGCCTGAGGTTGCAATTTTTTGAATTTTTGCAATCAGAACTTGGTGGTGACCTTGAGCAGTAGGATATAAATAACTCCCACATGCTCAGTGTTCCAATAATGGAACACTAGGCATAAATGGACTAAAGAAAAAGACAGTGTTCTGTGAGGTAACAGGGGCCTGGCCCAGGAAGAGAGTGCTCCACGAATAGTAGTTGTCATTAGCTATTGGCACTTTGTCTCCTGCATCCCCATCTTCCCAAGGACCGAAACTCCGGTCGATTCTCATTACTTGCACTAGTTATGTTCTATAAAGTCCCCACCAACACCGAATTAGCAAATACTAAACCACTGCTCCTAGGGACAATACAAAGTTAGGTTCCTGTGAGCTTCTGGTCACATTTTTGTCAACTGATCAATACATAACCTTGTTTTATGTGTGTTACTGTTTAAAGCACCTTATTTAATATATGTTGATGATTCAGAAACATCGACTTCATGGCCAGTAGCGTTGTAACTCATGCTTATCATCTAACACAGCTTGTCCAACCCGTGGCCTGCAGGCTGCATGAGGCCCAGGACAGCTTTGAATGTGGCCCAACACAAATTCATAAACTTTTTAAAAACATTATGAGATTTTTTTTGACGATTTTTTTTTAGCTCATTAGCTATCGTTAGTGTTAGTGTACTTTACGTGTGGCCCAAGACAATTCTTCTTCCAATGTGGCCCAGGGAGGCCAAAAGATTGGAAGCCCCTGCTCTAACACAACTATTTTCTCTATAAAGTACATCATGGCCTTCTTGCTCTTAGGAACATTTCACAGAAGTATTCTTGGGGGCTATTTTAAACAGCAAAACCACCAACAAAAAGAACAATAATATAAGAAAAAAGAAAAAACACATAACCCTACACACAGCAGAAAGGATACTTGTTGTCTGGGTGTGGCGGCTCATGCCTGTAATCCCAGCACTTTGGGAGGCCAAGGCAGGAGGATCATTTGAGATCAGGAGTTTGAGATCAGCCTGACCAAACATGGTGAAAAACCATCTCTACTAAAAATAGTAAAAATTAGCTGGCCCTGGTGGTGAACACCTGTAATCTCAGCTTCTCAGGGGCTGAGGCAACAGAATCCCTTGAACCTGGGAGGCGGGGGTTGCAGTGAGCCGAGATTGTACCACTGCACTCCAGCCTGGGCAACAAAAGCAAACTCCATCTTAAAAAAAAAAAAAAGAAAAAAAAAAGAAAGAAAGGACACTTGTTTACAGTATGAGCTGAGACAAGAAGGCAGAGGGTTTAACTTCAGCTGGACACTTGTACATCAGGTGACTCAGGTGTTTCAGTACTCTATGCATGTCTGCAAATGACCATGAAAGCAATCATAAGTGTTGATTTTGGAGGTTACGAATAGAATTTAGTGAGCATGGCCTAGCCCAGATGTTTGGAGGTTGTTCAAGGCTGGGAGACAGTGGACAGAGCCATTGAGCCATAGGAAACATGGAGAGCAAGGAAGCCTCCACGTGGTCCCACAGCCAGCTGCTGGCCCAGCCCTGAGCAAAGGGAGGCTGAGGACTCTGAGGCCCTAGGCTAGACTAGGGCTGAGCCTGAATGGCTTTGTCCATAGTTACCCTGATGGATTTTCCACACGGAGCACTTCAGCTGTTTATGGCAGTGTGTTTATGTGGGTGGGTTGGGGGATATTTTTATTTTTTGGACATATTTTAAACATATACATGAGAAGGAATATACCGTTGCAGGATTTTCATTTTGCGTGCCCTTCTGTATTCTGCCCCCATTGGTTTTGCAGGGGACTGGCAGAAATGGGAACGTCATTTGAATTGGTTGTGTGTGGAGTTAGGAGCCTGAGCATTCATGCAGAGGAAGGGGATGTATATGAATTCCCCAGTAGAGAATCCCCCCAGGCCTGGCTCAAGGGGGAAGGTGAGGAAGGGTGGGAGTAGGGCTGGGGAGGAGCAGAGCAGGGCACCCCCAGTCTTCTAGGGCTCTTGGCAGAATTACCTACCCCCCATGAATCTTCTAGAGGCTGACTTTGAGACCTTGGAGGGTCCCTGGTCCCCACCAGTCACCTTAGCATCCAGGTGGTGAGGCCTCCCAGTCACCACACAGCAGAGCTGGTGCTGGGGCCCGGGCCTCTGGGCTGTGGACCTGTGCGCTTTTCACATCAGCACAGTGCCACGGCTGTTCCCTCTCACAGCGGCACTTCCTTTTCCTTCTTTTGTTAGAGACTGCTGTTAGCCCCATGGAGAGGCTAAGAACTTGGGTTTTGGAGTCAGACTGCGCATGTTGGAATCTTGGCTTAGTCGCTTACTGGCTGTTCGACCCAGGACAAGTAACTTCTCTGTGTCTGTTTGCTCGTTTTAAAATAAGAAGGCTGGGCGCAGTGGCTCACAACTGTAATCCCAGCAGTTTGGGAGGCTGAGGTGGGTGGATCACCTGAGGTCAGGAGTTTGAGACCAGCCTGGCCAACATAGTGAAACCCCGTCTCTACAAAAATACAGAAATTAGCTGGGCATGATGGTGGGTGCCGGTAATCCCAGCTACTCTGGAGGCTGGGGCAGGAAAATTGCTTGAACTGGGGAGGCGGAGGTTGCAGTGAGCCAAGATCGCGCCATTGCACTCCAGTCTGGGTGACAGAGCAAGACTCTGTCTCAAAAAAAAAAAAAAAAAGAAGAAGAAGAAGAATACCTATTACTCAGGGTTGCATTGAGGATTTAACCAGTTAATAGTTTAAAACCATTTAGAACAGTCCTGGCACAAAATAAGAGCTATGTGAGTGCTTGTAAAGTAAAGAAAATGTATGAAGTTGCCGTGTGATCTGGGGTAAGTTGCCCTTAGCCTCAGGTTATTCATCTAAACAATGGGGTGGATATTGATACCTACCACAAAGGGTGGCTATGACTCAGTATGATGAAGAATGAGCTTACGATGCTTAGCACAAGGTAAGCTTTACAAAACTGTCAATGATTTGTATCATTGATATTATTATTAATTGGCAGCTGTCTCCCGGTTCAATTGGCAGTGTCTTGCCTTGAGTTCAGATGAGGGAGAGAGAAAATGCAAAGCACGAGCCAGGAGTTAGGGAGGCGAGTCGAGACTGCCGAGTCTGCATTCACAGGAGGCCAGAGGTGGCTTTTGGGCTTCCCCCTGGCAAGGACCCTGTCCCCAGACAGGTGGTGGTCTCAGGAATGAGTGGGGACCAGTTCTGTGTCCTCCAGCCACATCCTAGAGGGAACCTACCTTCCCTCTCCCAACAGGAGCCCAAGAAGCTGGTCAACAGTGCTTCCTTGGCAGAGTCTCCTGCCCAGGCGTCTGGGCAGATGTGTGGCCACAGGCTCTGCCAAGCAGGGGGAATGCCATTTGGAAGAAGTGGGTACGTGCAAAAAATTCCCTTCTGAAGTTCCTCTGGAAGTCTCAGGATATGCTTCACAGGAAGCGTCAGCACAATTTTCTAATCAAGTTGAAGTCTGTGGCCCGTAGTTAGAAACAATAAATGAAATGCAATTTGAGCCCACACTTTGCCTGAGTTTCCATTTCTGGAAGTGGGTGTGGATGAGAAGCTGGCCTTTCTGAGGGAAGAACTTGATCCTTGACCCTGACCATTCAGCCCCCAGCCTCACCATCAGCTTGCAGGGGTGGGACCCTAGGACTGTATTTTGGGTAATCATTGCAAATCCTGATTTTGATCTGGCAGGTCAAAGTCCACACTTCTCTGTAAATCAATGCACACCATTAAGCCCACTCTTTGTTTTTTCTCCTTCCAGAGCCTTCTACCTACCATGCTTAGAGTTTAGTCTTGGAGATCATTGTTTAATCAATATTAAACCATTCACGTAGTTTAAGTGTTTACTTATGTGCTTTGAATCATTGCTTGCAGTAAGAACAAGTGATGCCCCTAATCTGCCTTCACTACACTCCCCAATACCCTAATTATGTAATTTAGAAAAGAACATTTCCTGACAGCAGTTTCTCAGTGTGCAGCAACAAATGCCGACTGGGGACGGGACAAAACAACCCTGTAATAGCTAGCACATGGAGCCCGCTGCCTTGGTCCAGGCGGCCCTGGCTTGGGGCAGACGCCCGTCCATTTGGGTTAAGGCTTTCAAATGATGGCATATTAGTGCCAGTAGACGTAATTCCACATGAAAGGAGCTGAAGCTAATAGCCCATCTCCAGTCTCTCTTAGTTTGTGGAATAGGCCCTCATTGCAAATTATTACTGACCCAGACAGTCAGGAAGAGATATCTCACCCAGCCGGGGAGACTGACGCAGCCAAAGACGTATGCAAGAGGCCAAGGTTTAGACTAAACTCTGCTTTATGTCCTTGCCAACCCCCACCTCTACAGTCCAGGGGCAAGGCCTGAGTGTCCCCAATACATCCTTATTCCTTTTGGGGGCAGTTTGGAGGCTAGTGTGCCTTTTCATTCAAGCAAAGTAGGTATTTGAGGGGCTATGGGGTATCATGTTATGTGAGGGGCAGAATCCATGGCTTTAGATTATATTAGTTTAAGTACCATCTAATGAGGGTGGTGGTTGTGGGGGATAAGGACCCCAAATGCCTTTCTCCTCACCAGCCTGCTGGTGTCAGTGACTCGTATCTCAAGGCTGCTGCCCGGTGAGCAGAGCCCAGCTTGGCCTTCTCTGGCCAAGTGAGGCCTAAATGCTCACTGTGACCCAAGCTGCTTCCATAACAGGAATGAAAATCTACCTTTCCTGCTTCCCCTTCCCCCATGAGTGGTCCAACAAATATTCCGTTGCTATAGAAACCCAGCGGAAGGCTGAGTGGCCTCACCTGTCTCAGCAGGGTGATCAGTCAGCATTTGGGCATGGGTGCACAGCCGCTTCTCCCAGGCAGAGCCCAGCAGCTGTGGGCTGGTGTTGCTATGCAGCCTGCCAGCTGCCTAAAGCCCCAGGCTCTTGAAAGTCCCAGAGGATGGGTAGGGGATGAGGGAGAAGCAAAGTGAGCTGAGGAAATTTAAATTTGGCTGTGAATCTTAAACCAATTCTTTAGCCTTTCTAGAAGCACCAGTTGCTATGGTGATGGAAGCGGTGCCAATTGCAAGAGTTGTTTTTGTGGTTAGAGTGCCTGTCTTAGACAAAGGCAGGGAGGCCAACCCAGCAGCTTCAGTCCTCACTCCCTTCTAAGGATTGAACGTTGTCAAGCCCTAGCTCAGGAGGAGGGGTGACAGCCTTTCAGAATGCCCATCTTGCCCTAGCAGTTATTCTAGGGGTCTAGGGTCCCAGAAGGGAGTGGTCGCCAGGCATTCCAAGAGAGAACCCACAAGTAGGCTTACCAACAGAGAAAGGGCTAGTCAGTGATGGCAGATTTTGGAGTTGAAAATTTCTTTCTCGAGGCAAACTCACAATACAGTGTTCTTTATGGAGCCTTCTGCCACCCAGAGTCTGGTCACCTGCCCTTAGGGGTCTGCTCCTTCAGGCCACATTTTGACTTAGGCCTCAAATATCAGATCCCCTGAAACATTTCCTAAGTGACGGAATGGAGGCCTTTTCTATAGCCGAGGTGCTTGTGTAGCTCGTTAACTCTCAAAGTGTTTTACAAATATTTATTCACCTTAGGTCATTTGCAAACCTAACCCCTGTCATCCCACCCCAAGGTTGTCCCCTCCAGCCTAGTTGCCCAAAATGAAGTCAGAAGCCTTGGACTAAGAATTCCACGTTGGCTGATTTTGAAAAGCTTGCCTGAACGGTTTATTTCTCTAGTCTGTTCTTCTTAGAGTTCCAGAATGTGTCAGGACTTCCCAGTCCAGGCATGCAAAGCCCTTTGCCCTCCCTGCCAGAGGTGAGAGTATTTTATTTATGAATTCATTTTAAATTACTTTCAAAATCACTTTTAATCAAATTAAGACGCTCCCTCTGGGATTCTGTCAAAGCATCAGAATAAGAGGGCATTGGCTTGGAGCAAGGTATTTTAGGACAGGTAACCAGTTCCCATTGACTTGCTTTCCTGGCTGACATGGACAGGTAGAGAAAGCCTATGTCATTTTGCTCTCTGAGATCCCTGAAGTGTATTTATTTCCTTGTAAGGAGGAAGGTCCCTGGGAATTGGAGGCCTGGATCCCTCCCAGGGGTGAACTCTGTGTGCCGAATGTTGGTGATATTTCTCCCAAGACTCACCCAGATGATTGCTGGGCTCCTGCCCCTCCCCATCTTCCCAGCAACCCACCACACTGAATTGATTGGGTTTACTGGCCTCAAAGTGGCCAAACCTGAATTTGCCTCAGCTTCTGGTCAGAACTTCTGACTAATGAAGGCTGACCCCTGGTGAATTTTCAGAAGCCATGACTTGCCTGCACTGAGCCTATTCTGCTGATAAGATAGGCTTTTGTGCAGAGCAGGCAAGAGGGTAGCAGCTTCAATAAGGTCCATATCAAGGTGATACTAATCCTTCGGCTGGCTAATGTTTGCCAAATAAATAGCCTCATTAGGAAGGGCTATAAAAGCCCGATAAGATTCTTCTAATTATCCCCCAAAGCACAGATACTTGGGGTTTCAGTTTAGCATAATAGGAGACGTGGAGAAAAGAGGGAACAATGTGTGTAAGTGAATATTTTCAACACCGGCCTCACCGCCGCTAACAGCGGCACATCTAGCATTTCATATTTTGCTTTGCCAGAGCAGCAAATTGCTGAACAGAAGGGAAAAAAAGACAATTACATATTTTAGGTTACTATTTCACCTTTGCAAATCAATATACAAGCCATTAAAAGTACATTTTTCCATGAATGATAAGTGTAATTACCTCTTCTTGCCATAAAAACTTGTCCTTATTAAATGTAAATATTTAAAAATGATTGAAATATACTTGAAGGGTGCTTTATAGCTTGATTTTATATGCTGACATCTGGGTTGCCTTTCCTAAAACACTCTATTTCTTGGAGAGTTATTAAATTAGTATTTTGAAAGGACTAACACTAGACTTGTTCCTTGTTTCCATTTTAATTTCGTACATATTTAGATTTACCAGGAATTCGGAGAGGGTTTATGTTTAGCTAATGCATCATTATGTTTGCGGGGCTTGCACACACGTAGAAGCCATGATATTGTTTGCAGAGGGAATCTTTCAAGAATTGGTAACTGCATCTCCACATTTATTTTGTACCCTTGCAAAGTATAAAAATTGAGATTCCAAGATTTCTGGCTGTAAATGTTTAATTTTCCAATTCTTCTTTTGAGCAAGGAAGATTGTTTTAAATATTTACTTAGCTTTTAATTGCACATCATTTCAGATAGCGAATGCCGATCAGTTTTATTGTAGCTCTGTCGGAGGTTATTTAACTCTTAGAAAGATGTACACTGTGATACTTTTTTCAGCTTCACTCTTTGGAAGAGATTTTTTTTTTCTTTAAACATTATTATTTTTAGTTGCTGCACTCTACCTCTATTTTTGGTAAGGTAAGACTGTTCAATTCAATACTTTGAGAGAATTTCAGACAATGATAGAAAATCTAATATTTGAAAATATAAGCTTCACTAACATACCTAATTCCAGATGGCAAAAAGACCTTGCCCAAAAATGTGAAAGAATTCAGTATGAGTGGCTCAAATATTTTTTCATGATAAACAAATATTTCTGGGATGGATGTGTTTCTGAGCTCTGCATAGGAAAGCAGCCATCCATGCAAGCCGTGCTGGGCTACCCTTCAAACCCTCTTTACTCTTTTCCTTTCACTATGTTAAATCCTTGAGATGTGTAAAGATGTTATGATAGGCAGTGGGTCAAGTAATCTGCACATGTAGCTTTTTATAAATTTTTCTTTGCAGAGGAAAATTTTTCTTCAAATAAACCTCCCCAAATAAATGGTTTGTAAAAACAAAAGTCTATTTGTTTTGAAATTGCACACAAGAAAACATGTTATAACAATATCTTTGAGTTCCGCCTGAGAAAAGAAATTTACCTATAGTCAGCGATTTCCTTCATGATAAGGCTTTAAAAAATAAAGTTGTCTCTTGGGAGAAAATAAACATAGCGAAGTGGAGATATTTATAATGAGGTGCCTTTATTCACTTGTCCAGTGGAACTGTTTAACTGTTGTTTTATCTCTCCTCTCTTTCTTTCTTTATAATTATGTTCATGCAAATTCCTGAACCTTAAGCATTTTAGAAATGTGTTATCTTAAATTACACAGATACTTCTTGAATGTGCAAATGTGCCATTTTTTCCCCCACTTGAAGTAGAAACTGTAAACAAGTCTTGAAATTTTTTTTTGCCCAAACTCGTGGCAAAATGTCTGGGGTTTGGGGCTATTTTCACAGTGCCACTGAAGGTGAGCAAACGAATGGGAACATGCGCCGATCACCAGTCAGTGACTTGGGAATTTTTCAGGAGGCATATTTTCTTACGTTAATGCTTTTGTAGATTCCATCGATGTTCAGACATCAAAGGGCATGCAATTAATAATGGGCATCTGGAGGGCCGATCACATGTTTCCGATGTTAAAGTGGTGAACGACAGGAAAATCGGCCACGGTCAGGTATTAGCTGTAATCATTTTTAACCAACAACGAAGGCTTCTCTTTTGTGCCTCTGCTCTCAGAAACGCAAGCCTTCCCATACAAAAGGGTCCCATAGATGCTTTTCTGCTAGTGAATGAGTGAGTGATAAATGATTTGTAGACCTACGTCTCAGTGTTGATTCAAATAACCTTAATTTCTCCAATAAACTCAAACCCAATTTTGTGTGAAACCCCACATGGACACAAGGCAACAGACAGTTGTATTATTTGAATCTTTAGTTAATTCTTTCAGGTTTGCTCCTTTATTTGTATTTTTTAAAAAAATAAACGAATATTTTCTAGTACTAGAATAAGATTGCTTCAACCAAAGGTGACCTTATGAGTTATTTATTTCCTGTCTTTTATAGTAGCCTGTTTATCTTTTCCAAAGTGATGTATGTTACCCAATTCCAAGTAATATAAGATATGCAGGTAAGACTGTGTTAAAGCTCAACAAAAATGTTCTAGAGAAATACAGTGCTTTGGGCTCTAAACACTCCAGCAGGTATAGAAACCTGCAACTCTTTAAAAATAATTCTCATTTGAGTAGGTCACAGATAATAAAGGAACACTTGTTTCTGGGAAATTAAAAAAATGACATGAGGGGAAAATATTTATTTGCTTTCTACATTGGTCAAATGACTAGTGGATATTAAAAACCTGTAAAATAGACAGATGCAACCAATTCTCTTTCATTAACAAATATTGCAATTTCACAATAAAGTAAATGCATTAAAAAATGTCTACACTTCTGAGAAGCTGAAATGGTCAGAACTTGAGCTTGCTTTAAATGTTTAAAGACTGATATTCTAATCAGTTGGGGGAAAATTATTATTATAAGTCTTTAAAGAACTAACTTGAATTTTAAAGCCTCCTTTGGCTGTTCAGGTAGCAAAAACTCTGATCAACTCTGTGTACATTTCTGTACATTTGCCTCTTGACTCAATCTGCCCGGTCACCAGCTTTGTTTTCTTTCTAAGTATAAGCCGTATGTATCGGCAGCACATTTTAAAGTTAATTTGAAGCAGGGTCTATATTGCCGTCAGCAAATATGTTATAAGCTTATTATTTAATAGTGATTCCGGGGTAAGGCCATCATCTCCTTCCTAAATCCAAATATAAAAGTTGAAATCGTATTTGTTAAAACTGTCATGTTGAATTTGTGGCCCAGATTGTTTTCCCGAGGCCTGCTGGGCCAGAGCTCGAATGCCGCTCCCAGCTGCAGACACCCCAGCCCAGGAAAACTGCTCGCGGCTGAGTCGCTGAGCCTCTCAAACCGCCTGCTTCCCCCAAACAGAGCCACGGCCCAGCCGGCTCGCTCATGGCTTTTCCACATTGTAAAATCATTTGATTTATTTGTTTGGTTTGGTTTGGTTTTTAGAAGCGCTGCAGAAATTATTTCCTACTGGCAGAGAGGGCACTTGGTGTTACACTACATTAGTTTCACATCATTAGTTTAGGGTTCTCAAACTTAAAATGGTAAAGTATATGCGAGGCTTCTAGAGACCTCAGTTCTGACCAGAGCAGAACAAATTAAACCTGATGGATTCCTTTCGCTGCCTGTGTAGTGTGGGGCAATGCAGAACAAAGTGCTGTGGCGTTGCGGAAGGGGTTCCCTCTGGCAGTTTTGGAATTTGGTGGTAGGAAATGTTAGTTATTTATAAAAAGGAAAAATTCCTCTGTTACCATTCTGGTTTTCACAAAAACCGTAATTTTATCATCACGGCTTGTAGCAGGAAGCCAACAAGGGGTGCCGATGACGGCCACGACCCCGTATCTCTGGGCTGTCTCTCTCACCTCCATCGGCCACTGCCTGCTTGCTCTTTAGGAGCAAAGGACATGATTTAGAAGTAATTCAAAACCCCGTCGCGGGACCCAGAACAGCCCAGATGGTCTGGCCCTGGCCTGGGGTCTGCGGGGGTGGGGGTGCCAGCCCCGGGGGTGGAGTCGAGGTCGGCTCCCGGCCAGGTCCCGCGACGGGTCTGCACGCAGCCAGGGAGGCCTGAGGGGGCAGCTGCGGGGCTGGCGGCCAGGAGCTGCTTCGCGGCTTGCGGCGCAAAGTAGAGGCCCCGCTAGCTCGCTCCCGCACGCCGTTCTGCGCCTTCTCTTCCTAGCCCCGGCAGGCTCTGTCTTCCCCCGTGGGTCGCAGCGAGAGGGAGACCTCGGCCTCTGCCGCTGCAGCCTGAGACCCAGCCGCGGGCCTCAGGTGCGCGCTCCCCGAAGCTCTCCTGCCACCTGTTGGCCGCCGGTGGTGCTGACGCTACGGGGAGAAGCCACGCTTCAGTGGCTTGCCTGGAATTCATGACTTGTGCGCTCCACGTCCTGGGCTGGCCGACCTGCTGAGGGTATCTCTGAGAGCAGGAGCCAGGCCGTCCCGGGCTCTCCTGCGACAGTGCGGTGGGAGAGCCTTAGCGGGAGCCAGGCTGCGCCATGGCTTCCTCTGGACAGTTCTGCTGGCGTGCCCTGCTTGGCGGGGTACAGTGGGGCAAGCGGGGTATAAACCCGCTTGTTCAGCTTGGGAGCAGGCTCTACTTCCCAAGAGCAGCACAGGGGCTTCCGCCGGAAGTCAGGAAGAAGGTTTGAGGAGCTTCAGATCCAAGGACGGTGCCATGCCTTTTCATTGGAAGTCATGGACCACCCTCAAATATCATGGATTAGCCATTCTGTTCCCAGGGGCTGGGTTCCTAGGTATCCACCACAAACAGGCTTGAATCTACCCACACAAACAACCCTATCAGGAAGTCTCCAGCAAAGTGGGGCTCTTGGTGGCTGTTTTGGGTTTTGGGTAGAAGGTAGTATAGCAGCTATATTTCTAAACCATGGGGGCAAAACTAGATATCTATGTCCTGAGGGGACTGAGTTTTGTGAATGGATTTGGCCTGTGAGGATGTCACATGGGGCTCAGTAGCACTGAGGGGAGAGGCTGTGTGTGGTGATACTCTCATTCCTGTCTTGGGGAAGGGGGCCTGGAGCCATGACTTTCCCCTAGGCCTTTTCAGAAGGGGCTGGGAATCACAGTAGATGTTTGTCAATGGAGGAGCCTTGGCCCCATTTCAGACGCAATGTTTTCTCGTTCTGTGGTGGTTTTATACACAAAGGCTGTGTCCTGCTTGGCCACGCCTGCCTGCAGCATGTGCAAGCATGATACTTGGCGTCTGGGTGCAGCAGGGCATCCGTGCTCCATGCTGCGCGTCCAGCATGGCTGGACTGCCCTTGCACCCTCATTTTACCAGCACAGGTCAAGCAGTTCCCATGGGGCCTTCAGCTGGTAGCAGCAGGACCCATGGGTATCTAACCCAGACACCTTCTCTCTCCCCTATAGAGGGAGTTGGCTGTCAAAGCCCAAGGATGTCTGTTTTTAGGTGATTGTCTCCTGGCTTATCTGAGGCCAAAATGTTCTTACCTCCTGGTCTCTGAGATCATAGAAAGAGACTCTGGTATTTGGCCAAATGGCTGCTCAGAACCTAGTCCTGAAAAGTTATTTTCTTAGTCAAGGGGCTCATGCAAGCCCTGGACTAGGGGTGATTTAGTTGTGTTTTTTCAGCTCACCTCATAATTTAATGTAGAAAAAATTATTTGGCATGTTTTCTCCTGGGTGCCGACTGCCTTTAGAGCCAGCCGTTCTGTACGGAGAAATGCCCCGTAGTCAGAAATCTTCTTGTTATGCCAGGTCTGCGCATTCAGGGACTGCGAGTGGCTCACTGAAATCTCTGAGGCTGGCCAGCCAAGGAGGGAGAGGAATCCTACCTACCCTGGACTTACATTTTTATGGAGAAGAAGGAATGTTAGGAAAGTCAGTAAACTTTTAGTCCCTCCTGGCCCCATGAACATGAATAGAAGAAGAAGAAAAACCCTAGCCGACTGGTTATTTACCCCGAGCACAAAAGCAGCCCCCCTCCCATCATCTCCCTTTTATTTCCAGCCACTCTGACAGAAATGCATTACTGGCTGAATACACCTTCCCACAATGCCATCCATCACACAGGTATTGGGGGACCAAAGGTAAGATGAACTTTAAACACACCTGGCACAGCTGGCTCCCACCTTTGTGCTTGGAGTGGCTGCCAGCCAGCTGGCTGCCCTGTCCCCCTTCTCAGGCTCTCCAGAGGAATCCCAGCAGACTGACTTCTTTTTGTGGCCACATATTATTCTAAAATCAGGCTATGCAACTGCCTTGGGAGAGTCTGGGCAACCTCTCTTGTAAGTAGCCCTCTCAGCCCCGTAGGGCTCCAAAGAGCTTAAAGCTGCTCAGTCATGAGAATTTTCCATGGGAGGAAAGACTCTCTGGGGTCCTCCACTCTCTCACCTTCAGAAGCAAATAGAACAGGTCTTCCAAGGCCCCCGAGTGATTCCGCCCGGCGTGTTGCTGATGCTGTCCCTCTAGTACTTGTGGATTCTTTGGAAGAGAAGGTGGGTGATTGAGCTGTGGACCGCTTCTCCAGTTTTATGCATCTGGAACTGAGAGACTTTCACAGAATTGTAGCAAATAAAGAGAGAAAGTACTTTATTAGCAGTTATTCTTTACATCACTAAACTCCTGTCTCTCACCCCAGGCAGCTTTAAGATGCAGCTCAGCTCTCAACCTTGCCTATGACTGGGTAGGAAATTACCCTGTCTGGAGGGAGAATGACTCCTGAGTCATTCTCAGTCTTCCTCCCCAGCTGCTGCGAGTTCATTTGTTTTAACTTTCCCTCTCCCAAGATAACATATTCCGGGGGCCAGTGAAAAGAAAATGTGGTGTTGGAAGGTCTTTTAAGTGGGAACATTCTTGGTTGTGAGGCTGAGCTGTTCAGGAAGACCTTGATGCTTTCCTGGTTCACAAAGCCGAGAGGTGATGAGGCTATAGTGGCACTTTGGATTTGGGGGTGATAAGACTGTTTTTTGTAAAACACTGGAATTCTCTGTGATTATCAGTTGGGGAATTCATCATGGTATTTATCTGGAGAGGAAAGAAGGCAAAATGGACTTCACAACAGTCAACTGGGTCACTCGTTGTCAAGCAATCACTTAGCATGTGCTCTGACCATTGAGTGTCATTGCTATTAGCCACTTAATCCCCACAAGAGGCCATGCTCTAGGTCACCCTCATTTTAGAGATAAAGTTCAGCCCTGCTTTTCTTCTCTACCTGATCTCAGCATAGACAGCTGAGCATTGCTTTGACTCCAGCAAGCAGAACACCACTCTCAGAGCCCTTGTTATTAGCTTGAATTGAAATTGCATCTTGACCTCAAATGAGATTCAAGAGCATAGGAACAAATACTTTTAGAAGAACTAAAGGAGATGATAAAACTGTCATCGCATATGTCAGGCCTTTCTCCCTGGATTTCCATGTCCCTGTTTCTCTCTCCCTCTCCTCTGGATGTCCTACTGGAATCTTGTAGTATTCACCTGGCTATGAGGGAGAACATTGTGAAATTCCAGAATTGCCACAGCAACTTTGGTAATGTGGACTCCTTACTTGGTCTGTCCTGTCTTCTGCCATTGCAATCTGATGGAGCTGTGGGCGTCCTGATGCCAGATATAATCCAACCAAATAAATCTCTAAGAACATAAAATAAAAGCTATCTCACAGTTTCCTTTTGTTTCCTGCACAAAAGCTATTCTCAGTATATGAATGGTGTCAGATGCAATAATCCAGAATAAATCTCCAAGAAGAAAAAAATGCATTTCAAAGTGAATGATCACTCATTTCCCATCCTCCCCACCATTTTTATATTGGGTGAGTCACTGGGGTGGCTGCCGACAGCTCCTGTGGGCCGGCCAGAATTGGGAGGAAGATTACAGGGGCTTGCTAAGGCCTGGGGTTGCTGCCAGATCTACACAGGTCATTGAGCTCCAGCTGGGGAGAGTTTTGGGTTTTGGCCCTCTGGGCCATGTCCATCCTGGCAGAGGGTCAGAAGAAGACCACACCCCTGGATTCTAGGCTTCCATAATGGCCTTGTCTTCTCCAGGGGATCCTACAGGTATGTTCTTGCCAAGTATATCCACTGTAGAAGGCTGGAAACACTTAAGTCATATATGCTCTTTGGGCAGATTAAACTTGATGATTCTGGGGCTGCCCTCTTCAGGGCCCGGCTGGTTGCCCTTCTTGGAACGCCTGCATATTCACTGGGGAAGGGCAGTGTGACATAGCTGTGGGGGAAGAATATGCTGGGGCATTTGCCAAGTCTAGATTTCAAAAGGCCCTTTCAGAATTGGAAGACTTTTGCCTTGAATGGTTAGTCTTAACTCTATTATTTACCCTAGTCTACTGTCTACATTCCAAATTTTTCCTTTCAGCATAAGATCCGGGCAATGATCACATATTGTTTCTTTTTTTTTTTTTTTTCAACTTTTAGATTCAGAGGGTGCATGTATAGGTTTGTTACTTGGGCATATTGCGTGATGCTGAGGTTTGGAGAACGAATGATCCCATCACCCAGCATAGTACCACATAGTTAGTTTCTGTTTTGTTTTGTTTGAGACAGTCTTGCTCTGCTGCCCAGGCTGGAGTGCAGTGGTGCGATCTTGGCTCACTGCAACCTCCATCTCCCAGGTTCAAGCGATTCTCCTGCCTCAGCCTCCTGAGTAGCTGGGATTACAGGCATGCGCCACCGTGCCTGGCTAATTTTGGTATTTTTAGAAGAGATGGGGTTTCACCATGTTGGTCAGGCTGGTCTCGAATTCCTGACCTTGTGATCCGCCTGCCTCGGCCTCCCAGAGTGCTGGGATTACAGGCATGAGCCACCGCGCCTGGCCTTTAGTTTTTTAATCCTTGCCTCCTGCCCCATCAGTGCCCAGTGTCTATTGTTGCCATCTTTATGTCCATGAATACCCAATGTTTAGCTCCCTCTTATAAGTGAGAACATGTGGTATTTGGTTTTCTGTCGCTGTGTAAGTTTGCTTAAGAGAATGGCCTCCAGCTGCATTCATGTTGCTGCAAAGGACATGATTTCATTCTTTTTTATGACTGCATAGTATTTCATGGTGTATATGTACCATGTTTTCTTTAGTCTACCATTGATGGGCATGTAGGTTGATTCCATGTCTTTGTTATTGTGAATAGTGCTGTGATGAACCTATGAGTGCATGTGTCTTTTTAGTAGAACAATTTGTTTTCTTTTGGATATACACCCAGTAACGGGATTGCTGGATGGAATGGTAGCTCTGTTTTAAGTTCTTTGAGAAATCACCAAACTACTTTCCACAGTGGCTGAAGTAATTGACATTCTGATCAACAGTGTGTAAGTGTTCCCCTTTCTCTGCAGCAGTGCCAACATCTGTTGTTTTTTGACTTTTTAGTAATAGCCATTCTCACTGGTGTGAGATGGTACCTCATTGTGGTTTTGATTTGCATTTCTCTGATAATGATGTGGAGCATTTTTTCATGTTTGTTGGTCACCTGTATGTCTTCTTTTGAGAAATACCTGTTCACATCTTTTGCCCATTTTAAAAAATGAGATTGTCTGTTTTTTGCTTGTTCAATGTTTCAGTTCCTTGTAGATCTTAGTTCCTTGTAGATCTGTTGTCAGATACATAGTTTTTGAATATTTTCTCCCATTTTGTAGGTTGTCTGTTTACTCTGTTGATCGTTTCTTTTGCTATGAAGAAACTCTTTAGTATAATTAGGTTCCACTAGTTTAATTTTTGTTTTCATTGCAATTACTTTTGGGAACTTAGCCAAAAATTATTTGCCAAGGCCAATGGGTAGGGCCTTGCCAAAAACCTAGGGTATTTTGTAGGTTTTCTTCTAGGATTTTTATATCTGAGGTCTTACATTTAAATATTTAATCCATCTTGAGTTATTTTTGTATACATTGAAAGATAGGGATCCAGTTTTATTCTTCTGTATGTGGCTAGCCAGCTATACCAGCATCCTTCATTGAATAGGGAGTCCTTTCCGCATTGCTTATTTTTGTCAACTTTGTTGAAGATTAGATAGCTGTATGTCTGTGGCTTTAATTTTGAGTTTTCTGTTCTGTTCTGTTTGCTATGTGTTTGTTTTTATACCAAACCATGCTGTTTTGGTTACTGTAGCCTTTCAGTGTAGTTTGAAGTTGGGTAATGTGATGCCTCTGGCTTTGTTCTTTTTGCTTAGGATTGCTTTGGCTATTCACAATCTTTTGGTTCCATATGAATTTTAGAATAGTTTTATTCCAATTCTGTGAATAATGTTGGTAGTTCGATAGTAATCACATTGAATCTATAGATTGCTTTGGGCAGTATGGTCATTTTAACAATATCGATTCTTCCAATCTGAGCGTGGAATGTTTTTCCATTTGTGTCATCTATGATTTCATTTAGCAGTGTTTTGTAGTTTTCCTTGTAGAGATCTTTCACCTCCTTGGTTAGATGTATTCTTAGGTATTTTTATTTTTTGATGGCTACTGCAAATGGGATTGTGTTCTTGATTTGTTTCTCAGCTTGAATATTATTGATATATAGAAATGCTACTGATTTTTGTACATTGATTTTGTATACTGAAACTTTACTGAAGTTATCAATTCCAGGAGCCTTTTGGTGGAGTCTTTAGGGTTTTCTAGGTATAGAATCGTTGTGAAGAGTTAGTTTGACTTCTTTTCCTATTTGGATGCCTTTTATTTCTTTCTCTTGCCTGATTGCTCTTGCTGGCACTTCCAGTACTATGTGGAATAGGGGTGGTGAGAGTAGGCATCCTTGTCTTGTTCTAGTCCTCAAGGGGAATGCTTCCGGTTTTTGCCCATTCCGCATGATTTTGGCTGTGGATTGGTCATAAATGGCTGTTACTATTTTGAGGTATGTTCCTTCAATGCCTAGTTTCTTGAGGGTTTTTATCATGAAGGAATGTGGATTTTATGGAAAGCTTTTTCCATGTCTGTTAAGATGATCATATGGTTTTTGTTTTTAATTCTGTTTATGTGGTGAATCACATTGACTGATTTGCATATGTTGAACCAACCTTGCATCTCAGGAGTGAAGCCTGTTTGATCATGGTGAATTAACTTTTTGATGTGCTGTGGAATTTGGTTTGCCAGTACTTTGTTGAGAACATATTGCGTTTATGGTCACACATTGTCAGGTCTCTTTAACCTTTCATCTGGAGTGGTTATTCAGCCTATGTCTTTTATGACATTGATGTTTTCTTGAAGACCAGGTCAGGATGTAGAATATTCCAATTCAGTTTAGGTTTGTCAGATGACTGTCTGCTTCTCATTGGTGATGTTAACTTTGATTTCCTGGCCAAAATCTTGTCTGGTTACTGCACTGTATAGTTACCATTTTCCCTTATAACTAATAATCGATCTGTGGGAAGACACTTTGAAGTGCAAATATTCTGCTTCTCCTCAAAATCTACACCCCACCCCTCCTGCTGAATTTAGTGTCTGTTGATGAGTCCTGCCTCAGCCAGTCTTTACTGCATGGTCAGAACATGGTGATTTTCCAGTGCTGCTACTTTCTGCATATTTCCCGCTTAGCGTTCTTCTCTGATTTTGAGTTTTCCCGCTTTCCCTCTCTCCTTTCTTCTTTTCTCCTCCTCTTCTGCTGCTGCTGCTGCTTTATCACTATAGCCTCATTGATTCCTGTTTTATTTAATGGGCTCAAATATATTATTGTCATTATTTGTTTTGTGCTCAAATTGTCCTAGGTTTAGCCAGTGAGATCTCCTTCAGGCTTGTCTCCTGTCTGCTTTTCATGTGCCACCATCATTACTTTCAATACTTCTTTATTTTCTGGCATAAACAAGATGTTCCAGGCTTACCTTTTACCTTCCCTGACCTAGTCCTGGCATCAGCTGTTTTGCTAAGGAACTCTGGTTCCTTTAAGTGGGGAATGGTATTTAAAAACCAAGATCTAGGCACTGACTATGCCTAACACTACTGGAGTGTCATTGTCTCCAGGCTCCTTCAAATCTAGGATAGATATGTACACACATACACATATATCCCCTATCCATCCCAGCTGTGAAATATACAAGTATGTATGCATACACATACACATTCAGAGTTACACATACATATTTGAAAATGTATGTGTGTCTGTGTCTCTTTGTGTATGTATATATGTGTCATGAGTGTCCCTACTCCCATATTTGGATCTCCCCTATGTTTAGAACTCTGACTTCCAGCATTATTTCACATTTACTCAGTCTCAATCCTATACTGTATATAGAAGATTGTTTCAAAATTGGTACACCCATACTGCTGTGAGAAACAAGTCTAAGTGAAAGAGTTCACAATTAGTTTGCAGTTCTTTTTCTTCTATGCTGAGGACATATAGTCAATATACTTTGTTCAACAATTACTAGGATTAGTGCTTTCCCACATCAGTGTGGTTCTGAATTTGGGTTCATCAGCAGTTTTCTTAGGATTTATTTGCAATACAGTTTGGCTCGTTTGCTTTCAATTTGGTTTTTGTTCCCCTCATCCTTGTTTTTTGATTCTGTAGTTTATGAATATGCTTCCAAAATTAAATGTTATACAAAAAAAATACCGAGAAAAGTGTCACTTCTGTATCCCTTTCACTCTATCTCCTCCGCCATTCCCCAGAAGGTAAACAATTTTATATTTTTCTGATTTTTCCTTCCTATGTTTTTTTTTGGCAAAAATAAACAAATGCATGTATGTTTCCTAGTTTCCTCTTCTTTCTTACATAGTGCTAGTATATATTATGTATTCTTTTGAGCCTTGCTTTTTCCACCTGACAATATATTCTAGAAATCACTCCATATCAGTTCATAGAGATTGTTCGATTGTTCCATCCTTCTTTACAGCAGGAAATTACTCCATTGTATATATGTAACATAGTTTTTTTTTTTCAACCAATTTCCTGTGTTTGAGAATTTAGGTAGTTTTCAATATTATGATGTAATGAATAAACTTGTATGTATGTATATTCTTGTGGGAGGTGTATCTTTAGGGTAATTTTTTTAGAAAAGTAAGATTGCTGGATCAACTAAGTGAATATGTAGTGTTGTTAGTATTGCTGAATTCCTCTTCCTAGGGGTTATATAATATGCATTCCCACTCATGATGTATGAACATACCTATTTCCTTCCTGCTTTGCCAACAGAATGTATTGTTGGGATTTTGAATTTTTGCCAATCTGATGGATGGGACATAGTATCGTAGGGAAGTCTTAATTTACACTTCTCTGTGTGTAAAGTTGAACATTTTTTTTCATAGGTTTCAGAGGCATTTTAATGTCTTCTTGGTGAATTGTCTATTTATATCGTTGATTGTCTTTCTATAGGATTTTTTGAGGTCTTTTTTTTTTTTAAAGGTGTATTGGCTCCTTACCAGTGATACATGTAATATTCTTCAAGTTGCAAATATTTTCTCCAAGTTTGATGTTTGTCTTTTGATTTTGCTTGTGGTGGTTTTTTTTGGCTCTGAAAATTTTTAAAATTATAGTTATCAGTTTTAAAATTTGATTTCATTTGGAATTTGATTCATAATTAGAAAGCTTTTCTATACCAAGGTTATAGAAGAATTCACTCATGTTTTTCTCTTAGTACTACTGTAGTTTAATTTTCTACGCTTAGATCTCTAGTCTATTTGGAATTTATTTTTGCATAGATGTGAGGAATGGATCTAGTTGTATTTTCTCAAATGTCTATCCATACCAACACCACTTATTATAAGATCATCTTTGCTTGAGTGATTTGAGATATCATTGTTATCATATGCTAGATTTCCACATGTAGTTGGGCTTATTTCTGGTCTTTGGATTCGATTCCACTGGTCTGTCTCTTTGTGTGCTATTACCATACCTTTAATTATAGAGGCTTTGTAATATTTAAAAATACCTGGTAGGGCTGGTTCCTTCCTTAGAGCTTTGCATTTTCAGTGTTTTCCCGCCTACCAATTCTTGCAAATTAATTTTTCCATATGAACCTTACTATCAACTTGTCTGGCTACAGAAAAAAGCCATTTAGAATTTTTAAGGCATCATATTAAGTTTATAAATTAACTGAGTAATTTTATAACTGTTTATAAATTAAATTTATATCATTAATTTAATGATGAGACATCCTGACTATGAACAAGGGGTATCTTTTGCATTTATTCAAGTCAACTTTTATGGTTTTTAGGAGGGTGTTATGGTTTTCTTTGTATAGGTTTTCAACATTTCTTGTTAGATTTATTTCTGAGTATTTTATTATTTTCATTGCTATTATAAATGGAAGTTTCTTTTCTGTTTACATCTTATAATTAGTTATTATTTGTGCCTATAAAGGCCACTGACTTTTAGTGTTTATTTTATGTCCTACTGACTTGCTGAATATTTTACTGTTTGAGTTAGTTCAGTGGCTCTCAGTATATGGTTTGGGTACCCTTGGGGGTTCCTGAGATTTTACTAGTGAATTCACAAGGTCAAAACCATTTTCATGTTACTAAGACTCTCATATTTATGATACTAAGACATAATTTTCCCTTTTAACTTTCATTCTCAAGTGTACAGTGGAGTTTTCTGGAGGCTATGTAATGTGTGCTATCATAATAGATTGACTACAGAAACATGAAAATCCAGCCGTTTTCTATTAAGCTCAACAATAAAGAAATATTTAAAAATGTAAAATGTTGTCATTCTTCTCACTGAAAGTTTTTGTTTATGGTTATTTTTCAAAAATATGCATTTATATTCTTACTTTAAAATTAATATTTAACATTTTCTCAGCTTTAGTTTCTAATCTGTAAATATCAATAGATATAACCCACATAAACAAAAGCTCTTTGAGGTCCTTGATTTTTAAGAGTGTAAAGGAATTTTGAGAATAAATGTTTTGAGAACTTGTGAGTTTTATCATTTATTCTTTAGGATTTCTTGATAAATTACTGTGTCCTCTGCAATAGAGTTAGTTTTTTGTCTTCTTTTCTAATCCTCAAGCCTCCTTTTGTTTTCTCTTGTCTATGTTAGCTAATACTTCCAGCACAATGTTAATAGCGGAAAAGTGCCTTGTTCTTTCCTTTTGTGGGAATACCTCTAGTGTTTCCATATTAAGTAGGATGCTGAGGTGCTGATTGTATTGTTTTATTTACTGAGTTTCTTTCTCTATTTGATGTATTTTCATTGTTGTCTAAAAATTCTTTTGGCATTTAGAAAGGCTTATGTTTTTGATCTAGTGGTTGCCATCATATTTATACCTTTTATAGTGCCCTTAATTCTCCCCTTTCTTAAACTTTTACTATCTAGTCTGTCAGTTTTACATGATATCCTTTGACTCTCACCTGTTACCTAAACGACAATCAATGGTCATATTTTGCTTTCTCCTTTGGTACTATTTTAAGATTACATTCTTTCTACTTTGTCAGAACATGTCATATTTACAGAATCTTCTGATACCATGACCCCACCCTAGTTTTAATCTTAGCTCTGTAATTAAATGTATTAAATGATTATCGGTTCTTTTGCAGAAGCTCCCCCAGTTATCACTTGGTTGGATGAAGGATGGATATAAAATCCCTACTCACTATAAAATCCCTACTCACTGCCAGGAAGTACCTTCCTGGCAGCCAGTACTGTGAACTAAGTTTCAGACTCATGTTCATTATTTTGCATTTAGTGCTATACTTTTTACCTCTCTGGGGTGATTCAGAGTTTCTTGAAAATGCTGTTCCACTCTTACCCAATTCCGTGTGTTGTTCTTAGAAAGCCTGAGGTCAGCCTACATTTTTTATCAGAATAAAATTTGACCTTTTTGCCTGAAAGTCATGAAGATTTTTTATTTGTCATAAAAATCTAGTAGTTTTACTAGGATATGTTTCAGAGTTGTTCATTCTAGATCATTTCTCCAAGCCACACAGTGGACCTTTTCATTATGTTGATTTAGGATTTATCTTATTTCTGGAAAGTTTTCTTGGGTTATATTTCAAAATATTTCTATTTTATTGTTTTATTTTTCTTCTTCATGGACTCCAATTATACATAGGTTAGCTCATCTTTGCCTGCCTTCCATTTCAACCACTTTCGCTGATTTTTTTTAACCTCGTTCTCAATTCATTTTCATTTGGTTTTTGTTTTACTACCTTTGTAAATGCTCCCTATTAAATTTTCATTTGAACTTATTCTCTCTTGGGCACATTGTAATTTGTTCTTCATTTCTGAAATAGTTTTGGTCTTTTTCTTAAATTTATTTCCTGAAATTGATCAACTCCCATTGCATTTCTTCCTGATTTTAAAAGGTTCTCTTCTAAGTTTTAAATCTCTGATTCTAGTTTTTTTAAACAATATTCAAATACTTATTTTATAATATTTAACTCAGTTTGGAATGTTACATGACAGTTTACTTCTGCTTCATGGTTGATTTTCTTTGTGGGGGAGAATTTTAATTAGTTGAAATGTTTTGGTGCATATTTTATCTTTAAAAAAAAAAATCAGCTCCACTGATTAGCCGAGGAATACTAATAACAATGTGGAGTTAGTACGAGTTTTCCCTTTATTCCTAGGCATTTTGTGGTGAGTGCCTATTTCAAGAGTGCCCTCTTCTGTCAATATGATGAAGTGCAGTTTATTGAATGAATAGAGGGAGTAGGAGGGCTTGTCTTGTTTTCTGTCTTTTTTTTCCCCTGCAGTATGCTTAATTTCTTCTTTTTCTTTACTGCCATATCTCTAAGAGACACCTATTTTCTATTTATTTTCTTCTCTTCCCAAAAGCAGTGCTTCTCTGACATTGTCACTTCTGACCCTACTCACTTTCAAGTACCTTCCTGACGGCCATTACTGTAAACTACGAAGTTCCAGACTTATGTTCATTATTTTGCATTTAGTGCTGTACTGTACCTCTCTGGGGTGATTCTGTTTGTCTTGTTTGTTCTCTCTCCTCCTTTTGTTTCCATGGAATTTCTTAAGACTCCCGTTTCCTGCCTTCTACACCTACAGATTTCCAGTAATGGTAGGTGCTTTGTTAGAATTTGGTACTTCTCTACTGAAATGTAATTTGGAATTCATAGTATTATGTGACTCCTAGTAATGACAAAGACATGAGTCATACATAGATTTTATTTTTGCTTGTTGTTTTTTCCCCTTTGTTGATGTTAATTTTTTTTTTTAAGCTGTTTGAAGTGGTTTGGATTTAGGAAGCCACCATTACCTTTCAGACTTATTGCTCTTTAAACAGTGAAAACATTGGTTTTCAAAGGAATCTTTGTCATTTCAACAAATGCTTTAAAAATTACTTGGATTAATATAGTTGGTGTTGGTAAGACCACCGAATGTGTTGATCATGTTTTCACTTATTTTCAGTGGGAGAAATGCCCCCTGGTGGAAGATTTTAGAAATCTTTTCCTACAGGAGAGGATGCAAACCTCTCTTGGGAGAGAGGAGGCCCTTATGGAAAGAGAATTGTTTCTCTTTTAAAAAATAATTTTAATTTTAATTTTTAATTTTTATTTTAAAATTTTATTTTTTTAGGTTCGAGTGTACATGTGCAGGTTTGTTACATAGGTAAACTCATGCCGTGGAGGTTTGTTGTACAGATTATTTCATCGCCCAGGTACTAAGCCCCAGTAGTACCCAATAGTTATCTTTTCTGCTCCTCTCCCTCCTCCCACCCTCCACCCTCAAGTAGACCCCAGTGTCTGTCGTTTCCGCCTTTGTGTAAAAACACTTGTCCTGTGGAAGTCATTTCAATTTTAATGCTAGCATTTTCTACCATTCCTTAGGGTTCAAGAACTCCTGCTCTCATCTATGAGAAGCTGGTCATTGGCATATTGTTAAGTATTTAGTACTTTTCTTTTAAGCATTAAAAATAGTCAAAGTTTTTACATTTTGTATCTTGGTAGAGATTACTTGTCCGAGCCGCCTTCTCTTCACCTTTACAGTTAAGAAGAGCTTTGGTGGCTGCTAACTAGGGAATCACAAAATCAGGAGATTGTCTTTCCAGTGAAGTAACCACATATTGATTCCTTCTTGGAGTGGCTGATTTGGTGTCTCCATCAGGGGTTTCTTAAGGCTTTTATTACTCAATTTCCAATAATTGCCTTTTTTTTTTCCCTAAAGGAATCTTCAAAACAACTGAAAGTAGTATAGGCAAAGATTTCTTGAACAAGTTGCTAAAACTATTAATCGTACAAGAAAATAAGCTTATACATTAGACAACATTAAACCTACAAACTTTTCCTTATGAAAAGACAGCATTAGGAAAATGAAGAAGCAAGCTACAGCATAGAAGATACTTGCAAAACCTACAACTGATAAGTGACTTGTGTATGTATATAACAACTTTTACAAACTGATAAGACAAAGAGGACAGCCCACTAGAAATATGTGCAAAAGACTTGAAAAGGTACTCCATAAAAGGATATGCAGATGGCCAAAAAATAAGAAAAACTGTTTGGCTTAATTAGTCATTGGGGAAATGCGCATTAAAAGCACAATGAGAGACACAACACATCAACAAGAATGACTAAAGTGAAGCAAAGCAACCCAGAAGATACCCAGGTGTTGGCAAGGATGTTGAACACCAGAAATCTCATACGCTTTGGATAAGTTAAACATATGTCTTCTTATGACCCAGACATTCCATTCTATGTGTACAACAAACAGAAATGCATACATATGAACCTCAAAAGACATATGGTATAATGTCCATAGTAATACCATTTGTAATAGCTCCAAATTGGAAACCACCCAAGTTCCCATCAAGAGTGCATGGGTAAGTGAATTGTGGTTTAAATTCATACTATGGAATACTATACCGTAGTGGAACTAAACAGTCCACAATTATATGTAACAATATGGAATGAATCTCACAAGTATAAAGTTGTCCTTCAATAAAAAGTAGAAACAAAACAAGGAAACCAAGGGACAAAAGTAGCTGGGTGAAAACTAGAAGCTGATGCTCAGATGGGAGGTATTCCTGTGGCTTTGTGTTTGTAACAAGATCCTCCACATTCAAAACAGGTTGGCAAGGACTTCCAGTCTTAGTTGGGCCCCCAGCCCACTGAAGGGGCCAACAGGGCCACCTGGCCAGCCTCTGAGCCGTGGTTCTGGGGCAAACAGGAGGGGGAAAGCCTTGGCCTGGATAAAATCTAAAAACAAAGACAGGGTCTCTTCACCATCAGAAGTTCTAGTTTTGAGAATTTCTTTTTGTTTTTAATTAAATTTTAATTACCCAGGCCATATAGAAATATAGTTTCTTGTAAATTTAAAACATACGATGTCTTGGGTTTGCCTTAAAATAATATAGGGCTGGGAAGTGGGTAGGCCCATGGTTGAAACAAGATTGACCATGAATTGATGATTGTTGAAGCTGGGAAATGGATACCTGGGACCTTGTTACGCTATTCTGTTTTTGCCTGTGCTTGAAATTTTCCATGATACAAAGTAAACACACGAGCATATAATTACTGCAAAGGCTAATGCCACTATAGATCGCCAAGCCTCAGCTACCAGTGCCTGCTGCTCTCTTCCTCCACTGCCCCCTCAGTGGATAACTTGAGTGTTGTCTTGGGAGGAAACAGATGGCACATTCTAACTAGGATAATTTTACTATAAGGACAAGATTGTAAAGTTGTGGGCAGGGGAATCCACAAAGCATAGTGCGGCACTCCAGGGCTTGCTACAGCAGAAAGCCTTTCTCACCTTAGGCCCAAAGAACAAGAACCTGGAAGAGGAGAGTGTGGGCACCTTGAAAGGAGCCATAATCTTTGGCTGAGGGAAGTGGCCAGTTTTTGGAGACCTCCTGGTGGGAGGACTGGGAAAATAACTACTTTTGCACCAACCTAGTAAGTATTCCAACCTCATTCTCTCCCCTTCCTTTGGTCTCCTGCTGGTGCTGCAAGGCAGCCCACTGATGCAGTTCATATAGAGCCACCTCCTGGGGCCCAGAGGGTGGATCGTGGCCCTGCAGGGGCAAGTGGAAGATATCTGATAGAGGGTGGGTCTTGTCAGATGTTTTTCCGTGCATTTACGTATGTGTCTATGAATCCAGAGACAGTATGTGGTTTTGTTTTCATTGCTTGTTTGATATCCATGGGATCATACAGCATGCTTCATTCACAACTGTGGCTCTTACTCGTCAGTGCCCCAGTGTTCTTCCTGTGCCAGTACATCAAGATCAGCCTTGTTCTGTTCTTGTGGCTGTTGCTGTTCCACAGTGTGAACATGATGTAGTTCATTTTGCCATTCCCTCTTGGCAGAACTTAAGTTGCTTCCTTCTTGAGAACTTGTTGTCTTCCCTCTGGGAGCTCTCTTGCCATCTTGGGAACATCTGGGAAGGAAGTTGCCATATGCAATATATCGTTTGCTCCCATGGAGTCTCATGCATGGCTGAAAGCTTTTTTTTTTTATTGTATATATTCTTTATCTGTCCAAACAGCCCTGATTTTTGGCAGCTGGGACTGGTAGGAAGAGAGTCAGGTGGGGAAGACAATGAGGACTAGATCAGGCACTGGAAGACTTGGGTTTGAGTTTGAGCTTTGCCACATTGTCACTTGTGACCTTGGGCAAGTCCCTTCGCCTCTCTGAACCCCAATTTTTCACCTGCAAACTGAAGATGATACTCATGCTTTCTCTGCTTGCCTTCCTGGATCCTTGTAAGGGTACCCTGAGACAAAGGATGAGAAAGTGCTTTGTGAAAATCTGCACAGATGCAGATATTCCTTCTACGCTCTGACTTGAAGTCTGGCCAGGAGACGAAGGCTTTTTGTTGTTGTTGTTTTTCTTTTTGCATGCTCCCAGCATAATCAAAGAAGTTGTTTGTTTGGTTTGGTTTTTTTGGTCTGAGTCAGAAGCCAGTAACAGTTTCAAAGTGCAAGGCTGGTGCTCCTCTCCTCCAAGCCCCTCTCTGCAGTGATGACAATGGGAGTGTTGCCAGGAAGCATACTGTCTCTCTGCCCCACCACCCCTGTGCCCTGACCCCCAGCTGTGGCCAGGCTCAGCTTCCTCGAGCGACAGGGCTACCCCAGACTAAGGACAATCTGACTCTGAACTTTTGGGCAATCTTTTCCATGGGCTAATTTGCTATAGGATTGCTCGTTTTTCCTGGAAGACCGAGTGGCTCTTAGGAGTGGATTTTTTTGTCCACACTTAGAAGACCAGCAAATGGTCTTTCCCTCTTCTGTACTCTGAATCAGAGAGGCAGTGTGTGCCAATGTCACCACCCCACAGACAAGATGACCAGCTAGGGAAGGGGTCTGTCTGTGTTCCTCACTTGTTCTGAATGCTCAGAACTCACCTTCTCCAGAAAGCTTCCTCTTGTAATGAACCACAGCTGATGTTTCTTGAGCACTTACTCTCTTCCAGGCATCATGCTAAGTGTTCTCCATGTACCATTTTGTTTAGTCCTCACCATAATCTTATTGCTGTCATCTCCGTTTTGTAGGTGAGAAAACCTAGGCCCAGAGGGTTTAAGCCACTTGACTGAGGTCACACAGTTAAAGGCAATTAGCATTCAAACCCCAGGCTCTCTAGAGGTGGCCCATGTCCTTGGACACTAAGTTCTATGCCCTCCTGGCTCACCCTGCCCTTCCCGATGTCACTCTGCCCTTGGTTGGGTTTTCTGTGTGATGACTCATAATATTTCTTACCCACATGTGCCTTATGCCCTAAAAGATAGTGAATGTATTTTCTGCTCTTTTCTCCCTCCCCAGAGTGACTGGGAAAGAGTTATGTATATAGCAGGAGCTTAGTGAATGCCAATTTCTTGTGAAAATCCCACTGGGGGTGCTGTTGGCAGGCCCAGCACACCAGGAAGGCAGCATTGGCCCTTTATGGAAGTTATCAGGAAGATGAATAAGGCTTGAAACGCGAGCCCCTGGCAGGCTGACTCAGACCCCACAGAATGGCTGGCCCTGGCCTTTGAAGAGCTGAGAGCTGTTTACATCCTACTAATGGACCTCGCTGGCTGCAAGCAGTCAATGTGGCTATATAAATACTCCAGCCTGGGGCCATGGAGTGAGTGAGGACATGAATGCGAGGAGAAACCCCCTCCTCAGCCTCATCTCCTCCTCAGTGAGGGATCCCTGGGCAGGAGAAGCCATGGGGACAGGAGGACTCTAATTTAGCAGGAAGCCCCACACGGCAGGCCTGTGCGTGGTAACAGAATGGTGTCTAGTTGATGATGTGGTATGTAGACGTTTCTCCCCACGTGAAGTTCTTTGCATAAATAAATGGTGACCAGCTGTTAGTCTTCCTATTAGCATGAACATCCATCACAGCTTGTTTCAAATCTAAGTCTGGGAGGGAGAAGCTTAGACTCCCATGAAAGGCAAATGTTACAATGGTAATCCAGCCCAGTCTGGCACACATCTGCTTAGAGAAACTCGCAAACTGGAAATGTTGGCTGGGATCTATATGGGGGGTTGGGCATGGGGTCTGATGTTCTCTGTAAGTGTCCCCACCCAGGGAGCTGCATTTTTGTCAGCAGGGAAGACGTGATGAGATCAGGCTCCCATTGGGGCCTGTCAACATGGTGCCGATGGCTGCTGTACTCTCCAGGGTGCCCTTCCCTATCTCCCACCAGTGACCCTGGCCCACAGCAGACCTTGAGAAGGTACAGGTAGGCTGGGAAGGGAAAGGTCTCCTCCCTTAGGGCTCAGACCCTGGCCTGCATGTTGTGGTCATGGACCACAGGCTGTTTGAGATGCCCTCTTCAGGGGTAGCTAGTGATAGGGCAGAATGTCACCATCGGTCCTATGGTGAGTTTTCTGGTGCCATTCTCTGTCTGTCCCACCAGTCTCTGAGAGGGAGGCAGGAGCCTGCCCTGCCTGCCCCATCCACACCTCCCCAACCAGGGAACCCCATCACTCCCTCTATTCATTGTGGATGATGGTAATTATTTTTAATATCTCTCCCTGGGAACTCAGTCATTCACCCACCCATTCTACAAACATTTATTTTGTACCTGTAGCGTACCAGGTACTAGGAATACATGGGTGAGCAGGACAGACATGGTGCCCATTTTACTGGAGCTGTTTCATTAGAGTGGGAAGGATAGTCAGATAAAGCACAAAGAGACTAAAAGACAATGGCAAGTTGTGAAGAGTGCTATTAAACAAATGGGATAGAGGGACCTAGTCTGGATACAGTGGCTTCTCTTGGGAGGTAACTCTTGAGCTGAGGCGTAAAGACTGGGATGGAACCCAGTAAGTGAGGAGCAGTGCAGATGAGGGACTAGCATGCTGCAGAGGCTCTGGGGTAGGGGCAGAGCTTGGTTTCCTTGTGGAATTAAAAACCATCAGTGTGGCTAGAGTGTGGTGAGTGAGGGCCAGCTAAGAGCAGCTCCTGGTGGAATTGCAGGCCGTGTGCCAGTCTTGTGGTTGTAGGAGCTTTGCAGGGGCCGATAAGGCCAGCAGGGTTTTATGGAGTTTGGGGGTGGGTGTACCGTGAGTGAATCGCTTTATGTGCATTGGTATAAAAGCATTTTTTGGGGGCCTAGTGCTTGCCAGACAGGGTGTTGAGGCAGATTAAATTTAGCTTGAATTTCCTCTTGAAAGCAAAGAGCCCACAGAGGTCTTTAATTTGGGATGACATGATGAGGCATGGAGGCAGAGCAGCAGTGGTCCTGGTTTCTGTGAGTTCTCTGCAAAATGGTTTCCCAGATACCGACACACTCTTCTCTCTCCCTGTCAGCCTGGGGCTCCGGCTTATATGAGTGCTTGCTGCGGATGTGACCAGTGGTCTGCACACAGTAGGTGCACAGTGCACTGGGACTCCGTGCAGTGCGAGCTAAGGAGACCCTGTCCTTGGGAGGAGGCCTCAGCCCAAATTGCAGATGGGGAAGGGGAAAACAGCACTTCCTCAAGCTATAGAGCATTTGGGTGCTTACTGCTTCCCCTGTCTGCACATGGAGAAACTGAGACCTGGAGAGAAAGTCACAAAGTTCATGACTAGCTGATAATTGTGTTTTCCATTTTGTGTTAGAAAAGTACTAAAGAAATCGATAGCTCAAATAGCTACTGTTAGTGCTGTTAAGATGCCTGGGCATTCCTAAGAGTACCCAGCAGCTGTGTCCTGGAGAACCCTCTGTGTATCCAGTGCCCTTTATTCCTAAGAAATGAAGTCATCTCTGGCCTGAGAGGCTCTGCATCCTTATATTTTAGGAAGGATGATTTCTATTCTTAGTCTTCTCGCTTTCCCTGCAGAGTGATAGAGTGTTTACAACTATTACCCACACTCGCCTCTGTTTAGCCCTGTAAAGAACATCCTCAGCACTTACTCCGCATTAGGATTTGAGCTTTAAATGGAAGACAGCAGGGTGTGGTGGGAAGGCTGTGGCCCCAGCAGTCACATTGCCTGGGTTCTAGCTGTTTGAATTTGGAGAAGTGACTTGACTTTTCTGAGCCTCCTGTCTCCAGGGAGACAGGAGGGGCAGATGGCGATTCTTGCAGTTGTGACTGTAGCTTGCGTGGCAGATGCCAGTTCTTAATCACCTTCCACACACAGCTTAGTGGTTCTCCAACCTACAGTGTACGTGAGAATCACCCAGAGGGCTTGTGAAGCAGGGATTGCTGAGACCCGCCCCGAGAGGTTCTGATTGAGTAGGTCTAAGGTGAAAAGTTTGCATTTTTACCAAGTTCCCAGGTGATGCTGATGCTGCTGGTCCTGAACTACAACTTTGTGCAGGGCTGCACACACTCACTGAATTCATCTCTGCAGCCCCTTAGTGTTGTATTGTTATTTTCCCTTTGTGGAGGAGGAAATGAAAGCTTAGAGAATTAGGTAACTTGCCCAGGGTCGCACAGCTGCTAGGTGGTGAAGCTGGAATCCCAGTCCAGGTCTGTGCTGTCCAAAGCCATTGCCTTCACCTCTAGCTCTACCATGGTGCTACCTGGCGGGATGAGGTGCTCAGTGAAGGCTGGCTGCAGTTCCTTTGCCTCTCTAGACCAACAACAGGCTTGGGCCTTGATCCAAGATTACAGTTGACACCAAATGGTTTTCATTATTGTTTTGTGATAAGGCAGACCAAATAATACTCAGAAAACTTAGATGAGAAAATCCAGGGTTGAAAGGATGGTAATTGGAGAGATGCCGATTCACTAGTCATAGGCCCTCAAAGCTAGAGGTGGTGGCTTCCTCCAGCCTCCACGCAGTGTCCTGCGATGTCCACAGTGCGAGGGGTCTTCCGGCTGGAAGGCTTCCAGTGGTGGGTAGCTCACTCCCCACTCTGACGCTGGGACAAGGAGGAAGGACTTGCTTCTTAAAGTGGAGGTTGGTTTGATGGAGCCAGCGCAGGCCCGCTGACAGAAGTCACAGCCTTCTGTCTTGCAGTGCCTCTTTACCCAAGTGGGTGAGGAACCTGGTGGCTCAAAGGTCCAACCATCAGCACTGTGAGCTCCACAACCCTGCACAGTCGGTGTGCGTACCATCTCAGGAGGCCTGAGCTCCAGGGCAGCAGCAAGAACCTTCCAGCTGGGCCTGATGGGAAGTGGGGGACTGAGACAAGTGCAGGGTGGGGAGGGCACCTCTGGCTGGGGAACTGGAAGGAGCAGAGAGGAGGGCAGGGGACAGAAACGCAGCTGGCATGCTCACAGTGCATTGTTTGGCCTCTTTCTGTAAACCCTCTCCTCACTCCCTGACCACGTTTCCCCTGTGGAAACTTATTTTCTACTCTGGTCAGACTTTTGGCAGCCTTGAATACGAAGTGTTCTAGAAGGAGGAGCCCCCATCCCCCAGCCTCAGCCTGAGCTCGAGGTTCCTGTGGGGGCATGTTGCCTTCCTTTCTGAATTCTTGGTCCAAACGTTTCTGCAGCTTTCCATGTGAGTTCTCTGGAAGCCAGTTTACCACAGATACTTCAGCCAGGCAACCCCATCTTCAGCCCCCACTGCCACCCCCACTTTTTTTTTTTTTTTGGCTGGCAAGAAGGAGTAAATTTAGGGAGGGCCGTTGTCTGTGTTCCAGCTCCCCCAGTCCTGAGCAGGCCTCGCTTAAGCTGGTACCTTCATCTCAGTGAGCTCAGCCCTAAACTCTCTGGGTCTTAGCTGGATTAAGGGCCTAGGTTGTTGCTGAGGAGGAAGGAGGTACCTCTGTAATTGCTGTTTAAATCTGCCTAACAATAGCCACATGTGGAGCCCGATTTGAGGGTTATTAAATATGAGCGCCCTTCTTCCCCCAAACATGCCTTTGTTTGCATAGCCGGGCAGCATGGGGAAGGGGAGAGACAAAAAGCTATAGAGTCAAAGGGGAGCTTCAGAGGCCCTGTTTCCAGGAAGCAATGGGTCCTTGGGTAGGTCACATTCTGGGGGGCATCAGAACCTGTCACCCGCCGAGCCCTCTCTGCCTGTAACCTCTGAGGTCCCAGGCAGAGGCAGCTGCTTCCGCAAAACTTGTGGGGGTCTCACCCCAGTGCCTGCTCCTGTGTTCGAAGGTCTCATCCCCCTGCAGCAGCCCCCTGCAGTCTTATGGGTGACGCAGAGGGAAGGGTGGGTGCTGTGGAGGGAGCCCTCCGACGTGGCCCCTCTGCAGCAATTTGGGGACAGATGGGCGTGTGCTGCTCAGTGTGTCTCTGGTACCCCTGTCCTACAACATGGGTGAGGGGGAAGAAAAGCGTGTTTGGAAGGCCTGCTGTTGGCTCCTGGCTCTTTTCTCGTGGGGTGTAGGGAAGGCCGGGGAGCTCAGTTTCCCTGCTCTCCATCCTGAGACCTGTGAGCAACTTTGAGTTGCACAGGCTCATTTGGATCATTGCTGTTTTGGAGATGTGCTGGGCACATGTGTGTGTCTGTGTGACAAAGAACTGGGTTGGGTGAAGGCCTGGAGTGAGCATGGAGCTGCCTCTCAACGGGGTGTGATCCCTGGGAGGATGCAGCTAGCTACCTAGGTTCCTGCGTGGCTCTCTTGTTTGGGTGCTGTGCTACTGGCTGCAGCTGTGGGGCCTCCTGATGCGAAGGTCAAGCAGCAGCAGCTGGCTCCAGGACCCTGCCAGCAGGACAGCAGGTGTCGGCTGTCTCTCCTGGGAGCACTTACCCACTGGCCACCACAGCCACTCTAGGTGAGCCCCAGGACAGACCCGCTTCCCTTTGGAGGGTCCTCACCTGTCACTCCCCAGACACGGTGGCTTTGTCAACCATGGAGAGTAGAATTAAAATCCTGCAGAAAGTTGTCTTTATAGGTGACAGATTCCTTGATTTTTGCTTTAAAGTATAAATTTATGCTAATTTGTAAGCTAGATTATTAAAGTTAAAATCTAGAAAAAGAACCTAAAGAATAAATGATGAAGACAAGAACCGACAGAGAAATTACATTTGTACCATATGATAGATGAAGAATATACAAGAGTTCTTACAAATCGGTAGAACTTTCTTGTTTGTGACGATGTGGGGGTAGGAACCCTCATGTAATGCAGGTGAAAATGGCCACGGCATCTCTGAAAGGTGCTTTGGCAAAATGTATTAGATATATTTAAACTATACACAAAGCTTTATCTTTTCTCTGTTTCTACAAAGGTATGCTTCTTACAGACTCTTCTCCCAGGTTTTTTTCTTTTTGCTAATGAGCAGTTGAATTTTCCTTCTGTGGGATGCAGTTGTGTGTTATAAGTTTTACTATATTTATAATTTGTATTGAAATGCTGCTACAGATTTTTTCTACCCTGCCCATAGCCCACGTTATTAACATTTCTAACAGCACGTTAGTACCAGGCTCTTCTCAAATAGAATTAAATGCTAGAGTGGGGAGGGGGTTGGAGGAGAAGGGGGAGGAAGAAGTGTGGGCTTTGGTATTAGGTAAGGGTTTGAATCCTAGCAGTGTACCTTTCTTCCTGTGTGGTTTTGGGTAAGTTACCTAACCTCTCTGAGCCTTAGTGTTGTATCTTTCACCTGGGACTAGTGTTCACCAAGGGCTATTGTTGCGATAATCAAAGGAAGGAGTGTGGATGAAGCCCCTGAGCGCTGTGCCTGGGAATACTTGGTGAATGGAGCTATTGTTACTGGGTGTATAGAGTTCCTGTGACTATGACTTAGTCACCTGGGTGCAGGGAGCCTCTCGGTTCGGTTCCTCAGGTCCAGTCCCCTACCTCTTGGCAGCACTGGATTCTAGGCATCCCCAGAGATAGCCATCTATCTTACCCTGTCTCAGAAACCCCCAGGGGAAGGGAAGCCCAGACTCCTGCTTACCCAAGCCTTTCAGCCTGCCACCCTCAGAGCCAGGGACTTCTCCTGAGTGTCTACACTTAAACCCCATTGCCAGATTTGAGGCTTCCTTCCTCTGTTTCCTCAGGGAGAGAAGACAGATTTCCCTCATGCAGGAAGACGTCTGACTCTGTGGCAAGCAGCTCTATGTTGCAATCTCCCTGTGAAATCGCCTCATAAGAAGAGTTAAAAGGAGGAACTAAAGGAGGCTGTGGAGAGAGACATGTGCCCTATAACATCCTGAAGGACCATAGGGCTGGATATGCCTGCATCTTCCTGTGGGACTCCGGTACTTAGCTGGCCCCTCCATGTCTCCCTCTGCATGGCTGTCTCAAAGGGATCTGAGACAGCCATGGTCATGGCTGCACTCCTGACCCTTCCACCCAGCATAGCACAGTCACCTTGCCTCTCTTCCAGTGTCTCCGTCTCAGGGGCCACCTGGGAGGCATCCCTGACATGCCCTCTCTCTAGCCCCCATGTCCAATCCATCCTGAAGCCTTGTCAGTTTTATGTCCGACAGCTCCTTAGTCCCTCCACCTCTGTCCATCATCGCTGCTGCCACCTCGGTCCAGTCACCTTTACCTCTCATCTGGACAGCACATCCTAGCTGGCCACCTGCTGTCACCTTGATCTTACCTTGCTCTTCTGCAGTCCTTTCTCCACTCAACACCCAGAACCATCTGTTCAAAACCCAAGACTGATCATGGCTCTCACTTTCTTAAACCTTCTAATGGCTTCCCACTTTTCTTTGAATGAAGACCAGACTGCTTAGCATGACCTATGAGCCCTCGTCTGTTATCACTCTGCCCCTTGCTCTCTGCTGCCCAGGCACTTTTTGCTTTCCTTTCTCAGTTCCTCAAACATGCCATGTTCTCTCCCATCCCAGGGCCTTGACACATGCCCTGGCCTCTTCCTGGACCTCTTTCTGCTCTACCCCTTGTTGTCTGGTTAACTGTCGCTGATCCTTTAGATCTCAACTCCTGCAAAGCCTCCCCTCAGGCTAGGTCAGGTGTCTTTATCGGGAGCTCTTCTGGAACTGAGTTCCTTTCCTTCAGGATCCTTAGGTGCCTTTGCAGTTAGATATTCATTAGTGTGGCTATCTGATTGATATTTGTCTTGATCTTTGCCTCCCCCCCATCCCCCCCCCCCCATGCTCTGGGAAAGCAGGAATTGTGTTGGATTTGCTGTCCATTTCACCCATGCCTAGCATAATGCCTGGCACACAGCAGATGCTCCATCTGCACCTGTGCAATGAACATTGCTCTCTGAGGTTCAACAAGGACCAGAGCTTTTCCAGCCCCCACTTTGGGGATTATCATGGAGCCCATGCCCACTTTCCCTGGCATCCTTTCTGTGGTCAAACATGCCCCCCACCCCCCATGATCTTTGGGGTTGGGTTTGGAGTTTGGAACAGCCATGAGCCAAGGATCTGGTGCTTTATGCAGGGCAGTTGTCAAGTCCCAACTTAATGAGTAGCTCTGAGCTTCTGAATGGCTGGGTGTACTCAGAGCCTTTGTGAATGGGATTATACTCAAATGCTAGAAGGGCTTTTGCTATTTATAAGAACTCTGGGATAAAGAGAAAACAATCCTTTGGTAAAACAAATAATTACCAGCAAACAATTGCCAGCTAATTTGTCCCTTTTGTGACTTCAGTTTATTATAGGTACTAAAAGAGCTTTGCCAGCCACCTATTAGAGAAATGAGTGACATTTGCTGGCTAAAAAGTCTTTGTGTGAGTAAGCTCAAGGGGTCTGGTGGTAATGATGTCTTATTGGTCAGCTGGCTCTCCCTTCCAAGTCTCTGAAGTGATGTAAAGGCCATTAATAAATTGTCACTGTTTACTACCACCCCCCCTCCACCCTGCCAGGCTATTGGACAGCCAGTTCTTTTTCCACATTCCCCTTCCTCCCTGTTCCAGCTAAATAATACCCTCTGGCAGCCCTAACTTGTCAGTATTGTTGGGTGACAGTGGCAATTTGACTGGCAGGTGGTCTATGGGAAGAGTGGCCTGAGTTTTCCTCCCAGCTTTGTCACTGGCTTGCTATGTGAGCTGGAGTGTCGCTTCACCTAGCTGACCTCAGTTTCCCCTACCTGATGCATCTCTTCCAAATGTGTAGGGCTTACCCTAAGATAGTGGATTAAAGTGCTTTGAAAAGTCCAACATAATTCAAATCCAGGGAACCCTGAAGATTGAAATCTACCAGTTGGCACATTGCTAACTTTCCAGTGTTACAACTTTTCAGCACTTGGTCTTCTGTTCCAATGTGACCACCTTGCATAGGTTCACCTTATGTCCCTGGGCCTCAGTTTCTACACCTGTGAAATAAGATGGGCTGATTCTGGATTGGTGAGTAGGAGAACTAGATGCTGTCATTTTTCTCTTCTCCCACAATTAAGGCAGCCATCGCTAGTGAACTCCAGGGATGCAGTACTCCTCAACAGAGCCCCCTGGAGGGCCAGCCAGGGTTGCACCTGGGGCCAAGCTGTTCGCCAGTTGTGGGGAGTGAATCTTCACAAATCATCGGGAGGTACAGTTGAGAATCGAGGCCCAGTGACACTAAGTGACTCGCCTGCCATTGAGGAGTGAGCACCTCTCTGGATGCTGTTGGGGGAGGCAAGAGGTGTTGCCCATCTCAAGTGATGGGCAAGTTTGGGACACATGAGAGGGGCCCAACTCAGGGCCAATGTGGGCCCGTTCCTATGTGTGTTTCAGGGGCATCACCTTTCCTCCTGCCCACCTCAAAGGTGGCTTTTGACTTTGTCCTCTAACTGAGGTAGCTGGGTTTGTGTCTTTTGACCTCCTGCCTCCTCTTCTAGGGTAAACAAGGCAGACCCCAACAAGAATCTTGCCAGTCCCTGCAGGAGCAGATTAGTGGCCATATCCCTTTCTGGGGTCGGGAACCTGAACCTCTTTCCTGGAACAGGTATTTGGGGCTGGGTGCCCTAGGAAGTGCTGTCTTTTTGAAGTAAGCTGGTTTCTCATATTTCGAGGTGCTCTTCCTCCCAGAGTACCCTAGGCAGAGGGTTATTTGGGTGTTGGGGGGGATGAGTTATGGGGCAAACGCGCTGCTTTGTGAGCATTAGGAAGTGCAGGTGAATGGGCTGGAGCTCTCCTGTCCTCCTTCCTGTGTTGGATAGCCTCTGCTGCGAGGGGTGGCTGGGGGTTGAGTGGGGAAGGATGGGGCCTGAGGAGCTGGGAGGGCAGGGCGATGTGCTGGGCTTGGGCTTCTGAGGGCAGCAGGCCCACCTGAAGCCCCCAGCTGTGTACAGTGGGGCTGGGCTTGGAGGCAGGGGCCTGCCTCCCAGTTCAGGACTCAATGGCTCGAGTTCCCACGAGAGAGGCAAAGGTCTTCTTTTGGTCTCTGTCCCTCTCTCATCCCATTCTCTATTTTATTTACATTTTGCTTAGGACATTTCATGAAGACATTATACAGCCAAATTCCCAATGTGACCTCCAAACATCAAACATATGTATTCCCCAGCCCCTCCCCAGGTGTTTCCCTGGCGGCCACAGGCCCCTGTTTGTGAATTCTGGGCATCTCCAATAGGCACTTTCCTCTGACCTGGTTACGCTGTTTAACAAATTCATTTGGGGGTGAGCTCAGAGATGAGGATTGGAGAGGAGAAAGAATTGTCTTTTCTTCTTAACTGTCCCCAGGACGCCCTGAGCAAGCTTGGAGGATTCTCACTAATCTAATCCCTGTCAGAAAAGGAACGATAAAACAATTCAGGCTTTAGAAGCCAAATCCCCTTCCTGCACTCATACTATTTCTATATCTCTGCCTTACCGTTTTTCTCCTTTGCAATGAAACTGAGCTTCGGTTTCTCAGTGAGGGTTTCAGTGGATAAGGATTTCATATTTCACTCTTCCATTTTTCGTATTTAAATTTGCTTTACTCTCCAGTTTGACTTTCCACTGACCCTTGAAGAATTGGCGTATTTCAAGGAGGGGGAAAAGATCTCATTATAGGAAATGAGAAAAATGGAGCAGAGTTTTAAAACTTTTAATGACTAAAACACAGTGTTCCCAGTCGGTATTGTATTGGGGTTGAAGTCACTGTTTGGTTACAAGTCTTTTAGGTCTAAACGGGGTTGATGACATCTGTTTAATTTTAGATGTCTGGAATACATTCGGAAAATAATGAAATCCAAATGTATGACCAAATTAGAGAACAATTTTATCTGCGACAAAGAAGTTTTTAAAATAAGAACAACTATTTCGACCAAACAAAGCTTTAAAAGACCCATCAAATCTTTGGTCATCTCGCCTTGTCTTTTCCCAGTGGGTCTCCATGGTTGAGAGAACATTGATTTTCTCGGTGTGTGCCTCAGACATTATTATGTAATTTTATACCCATTTTCCCGTCGTTTCTCTGGGCATGCGTTCTGCTCTGTGCCATCAGCCCTGGAGAGACCACGTTCAGGGAACTGAGGACGCTTTATGGGAAAGCTCCTTTGATAAAGCAAAGGTCTCCTGTCACAACACTCGAGGGCCACCTATCACCTGTTTCATAGTGACCCAAGCAACTGTGGGAAAAGTCCTGGGAAGATAAAAAAAAAAAAAAGTGCCAAGGCCTTGCCAATGGGGCATGGCGCTACCAATGGACATCAGGAGAAAGCAGTATTCCCAACTCTTATCGTGCCTGTGTGACCTGGCAGTGGGCCAGTGTGACCCTGTGTGACCCTCTATGCCTGTGTGACCCTCTATGGGCCTCGCTTGCCCAATCTGTATGAAGAGCTCAGGCACTCAGGGATCCTGAGAGGCTGGCAGGGGTTGGCCTCTCTCCAGGAAGATTCTGATGTGGTGCTGAGGCACTGCTACTGGGATGTGCATTAAGCAGTTCCTCCCATACTCCCTGGAAGCCCAGCATCTGGGATGATGTGGAGACTCTGGTCACATGGGTCTCCTTTATTGTCCCTACCCCAGGAAGTGCAACAAGGGTAGTGTCAGCAGACAGACATTCTCAGAGTCCACTCCACTCCAGACCAGGTCCAGTGTTCAGCCATATCCTTCATCCTTGGTGGGACTTTCATGTACAGATAGAAAGTGAATTATGGGCAAGGCCTTGCCTGATGCCTTAAAACACTTGGCTACTAGGCAAGGTAATTCCATCCCTCCAGGGTATTTGAGCCTTCCAAATGTTTGCAGACTCTTATCCTGCCCTGTCCCATCCCTCCAGTATTGGCTGAAGCCTTTCCCCGAGAACCAGCCCCTTCTGTGTTGAGGTGCCCCACCCCCATTCAGTGCTGTTTGGTCAGGCTCAGTCGTCCCAGAGTCAGCTTCCTGAACCACTGTCCCATGGAGAATGTCTGCACATTTCACTCGAGACTTGGGCTTGTTCGCCAGATGTCCCAGAAGTGGAAAAAGGTGTCCTAAGTGCTTGCCCTTGACTAGTGACCACAGATAAGCCTGGAGATGGGGATGATACACTTGTGATGCCCAGGCTATGCCTGGGTAAAGCTGGGTCTTGGCAGGGTCTCCAGCCTGGGCCGACCTCTGCAGAAATGAGCGGGCTGAGTGGCTGGCTGCATGAATAGAGGGGTGGAAAATGCTGAGGGGTACCCAGGCCCACCTAGAACTCTGGGCTGGGGTCTGTGTATTTTGTTAGCCCCTTGCCTGTGCCATCTGGCCCCTTCTTGATGCCCCACCCAGCTGGGGGGCATCATTGGCTGTGCTCTAGGAAGGGTTGAAGGATCATCTGATTGCTGTGATATTTGGCAGGTATGTTTCAGTACATTCATGGGGGCTTCCAGAGGATCCCAGAGGCCTCGTGGTCAAGGGCCATGGACTCTGTTTTCTCATGGTCAATGGGCTGAGGTTAGCAAGGAGAGAGGTACAGGAGAGGGCAGAGTGGTACATCCAACAACTGGTAGTTGGTGAGGAACTGTGGTTCTGTGGTTCTACGGGAAGCTAGGGTGGAGTTTCATTCAGGCCTGGGAGGTGGTGGGTGGAGATCATGGAGCACTGAGCTGGCAGTCAGGAGACATGGCCCCTGCCTCTGAAGTTCCACGTGACCTTGGGTGAGCCAGAAGCCTCGCTGGGCCTCAGTTCACAATCTGTAAGATGTGGAGATGAATACCAACCTGAGAGGCTTGTGGTGAAGCCCAGATAATAACATGGATTTGAAAACAATGATAAAGACAGCACATTGTGAAGAAGTTTTAATTTTGTTTTTACCAATGGAGATATAAAAGGGGTAGTAATGATAACAGCCAGTCCATTTCTGTTGCTTTTTTCACTCATTTAGGACAGAGGAGTTGAAAGAACATGGAGTTAGGGGTCAGGCTGTTGGATTTCTAGTTTTTCCTTCCTAACTGTTGTGTGGCCATGGGCAAGTTCTGCCTGTCTTTGGTTCTTTGTGTCCCTGCCTATCAAGAGGGACCAGCAACTCCCACCCCTCTTTCTCCCCTGGGCTACTCACATGCCAGTGGGTGGTGTGAGCAAGCTCTTTTACAGGCTGGGAAGCACTTGGGAGTGGCATTGATGGTGTTGGGCTGGCAGTGATGGTTTTGGTTGCTGGGAAGGGTGTTCAGGCCTTGGTGCCAGATTGACTCCAGGGGCCATGCATACCTTGCAGACTGTTCCAAGCTGGATATTTTCCTGTGGCCCAGGTATAACCTGCCAGGCAACGAGGCTGTAGGGTTCAGTCTCTAATTCTTTGGCTGGCAGTCAAGGGCTGGGTGGACGAAAGGTTTGTCAATGTGGCTGTAATTACAGCTCTTACTTTTTGGATATTAAGTGTAGCTTAATGTAATAACTATGGTACAATTGACCCAGCATGTAGGGCTGTGTCTAGCTACTTGGTAGGCTGAGGACATAAAGATGCACAGTCACATTTTACTAAATACATATCAGAAGGAACCCTGGGGCCAGGCTTGGTGTGCTGAGTTTTAGCTGGCATTGTCCCTCCGGAAGGGGCCCTGTGCAGGCCTTCCATCCCATTGTCCAGATCACGTTCCATGGGCTGGGCCTGGGGGTGGTGCCCAGATCTGGTGCTGGCACTCAGGGTGTGTGGGCCATCTGTCTTCTCAGTGCCTTGTGTGTCAAGGGGTGAATCAGTTCCCTGCCTGCCACCCTACATGGGAGGAGCTTGGGTTCAGCATAAGTAGGTTCCATGATTTGTAATGTCACCTTATCATGAACTGACTCAAGGCCCTGTCATTTGACTGAGAAGGAATGCAGGGCAGAGGAGGTGTGGCTGTTTGAACCTGTTGGTGGGATTAGCAGAGACAGTGTTGAGTTCTTAGTCTTGAGATCTGTTGGCTCCACTTGGCCCTGGTTCAGGAGGAACATGCGTGGAACCCTTGTTCTCCCCGAGGCCTGCTCCCAGACCCTATGATGGCTCCATAGTATCCACAACATCTCGATTTCATTGAGCAAGTGCTGTGTGCCAGGCCCTCCTTACATGATTATTTCCTTCAAATCATCACAATAACCCAAGAGGAAGGTGCTGTTCCTAGCTCCATTTTCCAGATGAGTAAACTGAGGATCAGAGAATTGAAGAGACTTCTACATAGTCCCCTGGCCATAAATGGGGGAGCCAGAATGTGGGCCCTGCCTGTCTGACTGCAGAGTGGGTAATCCCAAGCTCAAGGCTGCCTGCCTGGCAGTCCCCTGGCTGAGGGGAGGTGTGACCCAGGGCCACACACAGGTCTGAAGGGGTTTTGCCTGGTCGTGGGAAGGTAGAAGTGGCAGCTGAGGCTGGGAGATCAAAGATGGCCACTAAGATTTCCACTCTCTTCACCCCCAACCCCAGGCCCTCACATTATTCGGAACACTCAATCTTCACCATGTTGAGCCTCGTGGGAAAGACCAGGGTCTTATGGGAGGTAGGTGGGTCGGGGAGGAGGGATGCAGAGATGGGAGGAAGCAGACATTCATGCCATGGTGACTGAATGTCAGATCTAAGCCAAGCACTGTGCTAGATGCTGGGGCCATAGCCGTGAGCATGACAGACAAGGTCTTGTGCCCTCCTGGGGCTTCTATTCTGGTGAGATGCAGACAGCACACACACATATAAACAAACACGAAGATTGTCAGGGGTGAGAAGCATCCTGTAGAGCATTAAACCTGGGTGATGTGATGGGTGGTCAGGCTGGCTTCCCCAAGGAGGTGACATCTCAGTGGAGATCTGCATGGCAAGGAGTCAGCTGTGAGAAGATCAGGACAGAGCATTACAAGGAGACAAAGAAGCAACTGCAAGAGCCCTGGGGGTGGAACAAGCTTGGTGTGTTCAAGGAGAGAATGGACCATGAAATCCAGCTGGGCGTGGAATCCAGAAGGGAGTGGCACATGGTGACATTGATGAGACAGGCAGGGTTCAGATCCTCCAGGGCTGTCCTGGCCAATGTCTGGAAGTTTGGATGTCATCCAAGTACAATGGGATGGCGATGGCAGTGACATGATTAGATTTGTGTTTAAAAAGACCCCTTTGTTGAATGAACAATGAATTGTAGGGAGCAAAGGTGAAGACAGAGAGGTCATAGGAGGCTATTGTGGAGTCTAGGTGAAAATGATGATGGTGTAGGCTCACGTGGGACAGTGGGGAGGGAGAGAAGGGATGGATCCAGGTGTGTTTTGGAGGTAAAGTCAGTAGGACTTTGATGGATCGCCACTCTATCCATCCAATTGCTCAAGCCAAGAGCTATTCCTGACTTCCCCCTTTCTTTCACCCCAACAGCTGTTTGCTGAGATGGAGGAGAAGAGGAAGTGCAGGTTTGGGGCAGTGGGCAGTGAAGATCAGTCTGATTTGAGAGGCCTATTAGACATGCAAATGCTGATGTCAAGTTGGTTGTGCTGAGTCTGAGAGGAGAGGCAGGGGTTAGAGACAGACCTGTTGCAACATGGCATGGCAGTGGCACAGGACTAGGTGACACCTAAAGCCACAGGACTAGATGAAATGGATGGAGAGAGGAGACAAGTGAAGAGGTCTCAGAGGAGTAAGCCCTCAGGCAATGCAGAACTTGGATGTGGAGGAACCAGTAGGGGAGCCTGCGAAGGTACAGCCAGGGAGCTGTGCAGTGTTTCGGGAGGCAGGAGAAAGGACGTGTTCATGGGAAAGACTGTTGAGAGTTGGCTTGGACCTCAGTGAGAGCCAGTTTGGTGGAGTGGTGGAGATGAGGCCTGATTCGGGAGGGTGGAGAAGAGATGTCAGATCTACACAGTTCTCAAGGGGTTTTTGCCAAAACAGGAAGCATGGAAATAGGGTGGCAGCTTGAGAGGGATGTGGGGGTCAAGGCAAGGTTTTTTAAGATTAGGGAGAAATCACAGCAAAACTGTAGGCTGATCCAGGGGACAGGGGAAATGTAATGATCCAAAGAGAGTGGGGACACGGACAGGAGAGATGACTGAGAGGGTGTGGGAGGTGGGTTAGGGTGTGCAGAGTCAGGGGCCAGCTTGATTAGGAACAGGGATGCCATCTTCAGGCCTGGTCCCTGGAGGGAAGGCAGAGAGGAGAGGATTTGGTGGAAGGACCCTAAGGCTCTTAGGGTCTCTGCCTAAATATCTGTCCCCAGACCAGACCTCTCTCCTGATCCTCCTGCCCATCTGTCTCCTGACATCTCTGGCCAGGTGCCTGTGAGCACACATGTCCTTTTCCACCTGTGCAGGTCATTTGACCCACTTCTACTGTCTTCACTGATTCAGCCCATTCTTCCCCAGCCTGCCTCTTGTACCCTTCCTCCAAGGGGCCTTCCTAGGTTACTTCAACCCACAGGGCTTTCTTTCTAGCTGAGGTGCTGGAGCCTGTGGGAGGGAGGCTGCCTTGTCACATCTTTTATGCTACCATTATGAAGCTCTCTGCAGCTGGGGAGCATGCTGTGAGTTTGTGGAGTCAGAGAGAAGTTGGGGGCTTAGGCTCTGGAGTCTCACTGACCTTGGTTCAAGTCCGAGGTCCTTACTAATTGTGTGACCTTTGACAGCTTAAAAAAACAAAAACTTCTCTGAGCCTCAGCTTCCTCATCTGTAAAGTAGGACAGGATTTATCTCTCTGGCTTTTGGTGGAGGTTTAATGAGATCATGCATATCCATTGGATTGGACACATTAGCTATTGAGTGCTACTAGCTCAGTACATCTCATGGGTCTCAACGTTATCCAATGTTATTCTGTCCCTTCCATTTCTTCAATGGGATCTTAGGGAGTCACGTGAGTTTTCCATGCCTCAGTGTCCTCATGTGAAATATAGGGACAATAATACTCTCCTTAGAGGGCTGCTGAATTTAATGAGTTGAGGTGTGGAAACAGCACGTAGTAGGTATTTAAGAAACAGCCTGCTGCTGACAATGATGAAAATACTAGTTACTGCTTACATTCCTGTTTCCCCCACAGAACGCCGAACCCCTGGAACTGTGGAGCCACCTCTGCTCTGTGTGGCAAAGGTGACCTCCCTGTCCTCTCTGGTTAGCCTCTTCGCACATTTACTTCTCGCAGTTTCCCACGGACCCATTCATCTCTGGCTGTAAGGTTACAAGGCTTTGGAAATTAATTTTAAAAATCACACTCTCTGACCCTTTAAACTTCATTTCAAATCCCCTCAGTGCCTTAATGACGCTCAGGCTATTTCGGGCCCCTGGGAGAAGTGTGGCTGACAGTGGCTTTTTAATTTACAAGACAACATAGGAACACACATGGGCCCAAATATGTATCTGTATAATGAAGAATAAAAAGCATAATCCCCTAAGTGGGCTGTGTTAGTGAGCATCAGGTTTAATAGGGGATTAGGAGGTGGAATTAAAGTTGCCCAGGGGGTACACAGGGAGACTTCAAACACCTTTTGGAAAACAAATTAACGTGGTTTGCAAAAACCGTTTTCCAAGGGCGGCAGAGGGTTTTCCTTGGGCTTCCCTGCTTTCTTTTGAAATGTATTTTTAACACTTGTATAAACACTTTGGGCCCGTGACATGGGGCTTCCTGTGCTCCCTTCGTTAGCTGGTGTCTCTGGGAGAAGAATTCGGCTCATTATCTGGGTGTTTTGATCTCCATGACTGCCGCTGCTGCTGCGCCCGGCCCGGGGCGGGCCACCCTTTTTCTTTCCTGTTGCCTAATGGTATGGAACCAGTTCGTTTGTGGCTCAGCCTGCTTCCACATCTTCCTGCCAAGCCTGGCCTCCCAGAGGGGCTCTCAGTTTTCTAGAGAACCGGAGTTCTTGGGCAGGAGCAGTAGTGGCAGCTGGGTGGCTGGAGTCTGGCCCTGTCTTAGGCTCAACTGAGAAACTGGCAAAATCGGCCTTTGTACCAGCCTCCCTGACCCCTTCACTTATTTCCCCTTCCCCTCTCTTCAGGTGCATCTGGAGTGGAATGTGAGGCCTCTGTAGGTACTGAGTTCCCCATCCCTGGAGGTATTCAAGCAATGTCCTGGTGGAGGTTTTAAGGGCCTCTGTGAGCAGCTGTGGACCTGGATGGTCATTAGAGTTTCTTGTAAACCTGAGATTCTGTAGTTTACACTTTACAAGTGGAATCTGAGCAGGGCCATGCTGGCCCTTGATAGCAACAAGGATCCCTGTGATAGAAGACGCAGTGCTGGGCTCCAAGCAGACCTTCAGGAACCCCTGTTCTACTGTCCTTGCTGGAGACAGAAGAGACACAGGCTTTTCTCTTTGGGAGGCTCCAGGCTTAGGCTCACCCACAGCATTTCCTTTAGAGATTTGATCCTGCAGAGACTTGGGACAAAAACTCCAAATTATGTCTACCCAAGTTCCCTTTTAAAGTCCACTTTCTTCCTGTGTAAAAAGGGGGCAATAAATAATAACAGCTAATACCTATTAGGCACTTGTGTGTCAGACACAGCTTGAAGTACTTAATCACTTATTTCATAACTTCTTAGGAAAAGGTACTGTTTTTTCCCCCATTTTACAGAGGAGGAAACTGAGGCCCAAGGAGGTCAGCCAACTTGCTGAAGGCTACACAGCAAGTAAGTTGTGAATAATAACATCTGCCAGTTGCTGGGGATCTGCTGAGCTCTTCACAGGAAGGTGGAGGTGCCCCCTTGACCACGCTGGGTTCTGCTGCAGTCCAGCCCTCCTAAGAGGTAGAAATGACATTAGTCCCTCCCAGCCTTGTCCCTCTTCAGCTGCCCAGGGCTGGCAGGAGCCAAGCAGTGAGAGTGGCATTTCTCATCCCAAAGACAGCAGAGCTCCTGCGGCCTGGCCAGCCAGTGGCATCTGGGCTGGGCTGATGGGGGTTCACATTCTGGACGTTTCCCTTACCTTTGCAAGTGGGCTGGTGGTTGGAGGTGAGCTTTGTGAGGCTGATTCATGCCGAGTTCACATAAGGCCACATGTCCCACATGCTGTATCTCCCTCCTGCCACTGTCAGGAAGGTGCCTGCAGGTGCGTGAGGCCAGAAGGAGGGAGCGTCTCTATCCTAGGAAGGAGTTTTTTCTGTTATTTTCTTGTCTGTCTAGTCCATGGGTAAGGGCATGAGTGGTCCTGGTAGCTTTGTCAGCCCTGTAATCCTGCTTCTCATGAAGCTGCATGTAAATCCTGTCCCCCTCTCTTCACCCCTGCCCCTCACCTGCCAGCTGTCTGCTCTGCTCTCACAAGGGACTCTGGTCTCATGTCACAGAGCTACAGTCACCAGGGATAGGCTGCCAGGAGGGAATAGGACATTTCTGCTGGGTTCACAGATCTGGCTTCACAAAGGAGGTGGAATTCAGGCTGAACCTTGAGGCATGAAAGAATTTTTGCTAGTAGAGAAGGGGCTGTCATTGTCTGATCCCATCCTTGGAAAGCACTGTGCTGAACTTGCAACAGCTATGCTTCTATTTCATGTTCATGAAGGCCTGTGTTGCTGTCTGCCTGTTATAGGTGAGAGAACAGAGCAAGCAACTTGCCCAATGTTCCACAGATAGATCTGAACCCAGGATGGAAGCACCCTCATGTTCTCTCCCCTCTGGCAGCAGGGGGGAAGCATGAGCTTCCCAAGGAGGCTTGGGAAGACCTGGTGTGTTGGCTGAACAGCTGGGAGGGAGAGGGTGGGAGAGAGGATAACGGGACTTGAGACTGGGATTGGTGGTGGTGGAGGGGGCTAGGGTGATATGTGCCCAGAACATCAAAGACCTCATTTAGTGGTGTGTTGGTAAGCATTTAACAACCAGCTGCTCTTCAGGAAAAAAAGTAGAAAAGTCTCTGATGTGAGGCATTTGCCAATTTCCATGGTGTAAATATTCCCACCATGGCTGATTTCAAGTTATCAGTTTGATGTCACTGAATACTAGGTTCTTGTGAGCTAGCAGGAGCTGGCTTTGGCACTCCACTGGCCTCATCTCTCAGATTCTGGTGCTTGCAGTTTATTTGGGAAACAGCAGAGAGGTAATAGGAGGAGAGTTGACATTGTCAAGCCTTTGTTTGAAAATGCAACTCTCAGGGTTATCGAGTCTTGGGAAAAGGGGATGGAGAACATGGCCAATTAGAAGGCCACTGCTGACTCTTGGGAGCAGTAGGGCTTGGGGCCAGGCAGGGGTGGGAAGGGTCCTTGGAAGAGACGGGCCAGATCCCATCATATTCAGTGAAGTGAAAATCTTTCCCTCTGTCCAGGACCTCAGGAATCTCTTGCTCTAAACATGCATTTCTCAGTGAGTCTTCTCAGAGGCAGTGCAGCACTCCCTCCTCCTTTCCCCTCTAAGGTCAGGTTGGCCCTAGAGCAATTTTACAGGGGAGTGCTTGGCTTCCTTTTGTGCATCCATCCAGTCCAGTTATTTAAAACCAATGACAATGACATACATTTCCCAAGAAATGACCTGGGAATATTCATTTGGGAAAAAATAAATTTTCTTGGAAAGAAACCCAGCTGGGGAATTGAGGATAAAAGGCTCATCAGCCTTTGTGCTCAGCTGTGACAGAGGCCTGCTGAGCTTCAGGGACATCTATGGGACTGGAGAGCATGCAGTGGGAGCCTCCTGCCCTGATCCTGTATGGATAAGGGGGCACCAAGGCCAGAGTGTGGCCAGGCAGAGATCCAGGCTGGCCCAGAACCAGCAACCCAGGCTTCCTGGGGGAAGATGGTTTTAGCTGGATGTTGGCGTATGGGCAGGACCTGGAAGGGCAGGGATCTCTGGGGGTCTGAGAGTGGCTTCATGGCTGCCATTTGCCTCTTCGCTCTCAGATCCATTCTTGCCCTTCCCCTGCTTGGCTCTGTATCCCAAGGGCTGGCCTTGCAAACCACAGGTCCCAGGCTTCCTTGAAAACTGACTCTGGCCAAGTTTGGCCAATGAGAGGCACTGACAGATGGGAGGGCAGGCGGAAGAGAGAGGAAAGGGTATGTCTCCTCCAAGCTCTGGCTTTGGTGGTGTCTCTGCAGCAGTTGTGTCTTCTCTGTGTCTCTAGCCATCATTCATCAGCCTCTTTCTGTGGCCTCAGCTCTCCCAGATTGAGGAGGCCCTTAGGTGACCTTAGTTCCTCCTGGGTGGCCCTGGTTTCTGGGCTCTGGAAGCACCTCTTCCTGCTGCTGTTCCTCCAGAGGGCTCTGGTGTTGCTCATCTCTGTTTGCCTCACTGCTCCCTGCTTGTCTTTGTAGCTCTTGCAACTTTGTAACTAGTTCACTTCGTTGATTTATGGGGCATGGACTCTGGACTTGTTTTCCTGCCGAGATCCTGCTATCATTCTTGCCTGGCCCTTCCTCCCTCATCCTGCCCTGCTCTGCCTTGCCCAGGATGGAGGCCCGCTGACCTCTAGGCCAGGTCCCCATTCTGTGGCTTCGTGGAAGCCTGTATGTTAGTGGAAAGAAAGGGTGAGGCCAGAGTTCAGTCTTGTGAAGGGAAACACTTGCCCAGGGTTATGCACCAGGCACCAGAGGTCTCAGCTTTGATAGGCCTCCAGGCCCCAGGTGTGGCTGCAGAAGGGTTTGGGTTTAGCAACATGCCTGTGAAGGGGTCCCTGAGATCCTTCCTCAGAACTCCAGGGCTTCCAGGAACAAAGCTGGGAAACCACCAGTCTAGTCTCAGCTTCTATTTTATGCATGTAGAAACTGAGGCCAGAGAGGAACAGGGACTTTCCCAAAGTCACACTGGCTCCGAGCAGACTGGCAGAGCAGGAACTCAGGCTCCAGTCCCCTAGCCCAGCGCCTTGAGGCTCAGCCTCTGGATTCTCGGTAGCTTTGGGAAGCACAGGGGCATGGGGCAGATAAAGGTATGTGGTCAGGAGAAGGCACCCAGCCCTGCTGACAGGCCCGCTTGCTGTCAGCAGAGGCCTCAACTGAACTAGTGCTGCCTCGGACCGCCCTCCTCAGGAATCCCTGCATCCAGATGCCTGCTTCAGGGTTGGCAGAGACCCATCCAATGCCCAGGTGCGCCTAGCATCCAGCCTCCAAGTGCAGGGCATGAGTGTGGAGACGTGCCCTAGATGGGGCTTGAGAGAAAGCCCTGAGCCCACTCCAGCAGCACCCTCCAACACCCTTACAGAGAAGGGCCAAGTTGCATAAGAGCTGTGTGGCTGCGGCTGTGCTTTGTACAGAACTGAGAGGGCTGCGTGCCCATGGGAGAGGGATGACTCAGCATTGCTGTTGCTAAGGGAGGCCAAGATGGCGAGCCAAGGGGCCAGGGCAGGGGCAGCGTGTGCAGAGCCCTCTGGGAGCACCCCAGTGTGGAGCAGAGAGTGCCCACAATTCCCTCTTCAGGCCAGTGGCCTGCTCGTGTACGCATTGAGTCTTCTCCCACATCATGTTGCCCCTGCCCCAGCTGATAAGCTCTCTTCACAGTTCTGCATGCTCACCAGCTCCAAGCAGCAGCCTTGGGTTTGCACACATTTGAAGTCTTTGGGGCATGGAGGGGTGTTTCAGGCAGAAGGTAAATCTCAGGCAAAGCAAGGATCCAGGATAGTGTGCCAATGGGTAGTCCCATTGGAGTGGGAGATGGTATCCCCACAGGAGAAAGTCCCATAAAAGACCTCTAGAAAGGACAAGTCATTACCTAATCACGCAAGGCCTTCAGCGACTGGCTTGCCCACACTTGAGTCTGAAAATCAGGGGCCATTGAAGGTTTTGGAGTAGGTGAGTGCTGGTGCCAGAGATGTGCTCCAGGAAGGTGGAGAGGGAGTGCACAGGGCATGTGAGTGGAGCTAGAGGCCAGCGTAGGCCAGGCAGGGTGGGGCCATGCAGTTACTAACACAGCATGGAAGAGGGCTGGCTGAGGACTGGCCACAGAGGGCAGAGTCAGGGTTGGTCAGTCTCTCTCCCTGGGCCTCCAGGGTCAGAGGGAGGAGCTGCTTCCCCACTGCAGGAGGGTGTGGCTCAGGAGCGTGGAGTGGCAGTGAAGAACACCTGTGGAATGGCACCATGGGCCCCTCAGGCTGGGTCTCAGTCATCTCATCTGCTAATTGGGAATAATATCATATACTTCCTAGGACCATTGGGAAGGTTGAATGTCTGTAGAAGCCTTAACACAGCTCCCAGTTCCAGCAGGTACTTAGGAACTGCAGGCAGAGCAGGCCCCTGATTCACAGACTAGCTGATGATTCCTCTCAAGGGTCCAAGCCAATACCCAGCCTTTCAAGTCTTCCTCCACACAGTCTTTTCCAAGGCCTCTTCACAACTTTTCTGTGGCCCCATTGGGTCAAGGTGGGTGACTGCCAGGGCCCTTCCCCACCCTCGGGGCACCTTCACCTTACTGTGCCATGACTTCAGTGAGCAGGAACCAGCCTGCCCTTTTTACCCACTGGTTACCGAGGGGTCCAAGTCAGATTTGCCCCACCCATCCCGCCCAGTCTCCTGGCTTGGGGAGACAGAGGGGGAGATTTGCTGTGAGGTGGGCAACCTGACCAGACTGCATGCACTTGCCACTTCTATGTCCCCCCTCCTTTAATGATTGTCAGGAAGGGTTCTCAGAGAAAGGCTTTTTAGTGAGGAGATACGAAAAGAAGGTAGCAGTTAACCAAAATGTGTTTCTGGGAGGAGCCCTGGGTTCTCTTCCATCAAGAGAGGGGCTAGGAGGAGTTTGAGACCAGCCTGGCCAACATGGTGAAACCCTGTCTCTACTAAAAATACAAAAATTAGCCAGGCATGGTGGCACGTGCCTGCAGTCCCAGCCACTCAGGAGGCTGAGGCATGAGAATAGCTTGAACCCGGGAGGCAGAAGTTGCAGTGAGCCAAGATTGTGCCACTGCACTCCAGCCTGGACAACAGAGCGAGACTCTGCCTCAAGAAAAAAAAGGCGGGGCTAGGGCCAGGCACAGTGGCTCACGCCAGTAATCCCAGCACTTCTGGAGGCTGAGGTGGGCAGGTGGCTTGAGCCCAGGAGTTCAAGACCAGCCTGGGCAACACAGAGAGACCCCCTTCTCTACAAAAAATTAGCTGGACATGGTAGCATGCAGCTGTCGTCCCAGCTACTCAGGAGGCTGAGGTGGGAGGATCACTTTATCCCAGGAGGCTGAGGCTGCAGTAAGCTGTGATTGTGCCGCTGCACTCCAGCCTGCATAACAGCAAGACCCTGTCTCAAAAAAAAAAAAAAAAAAAAAAAAAAAAAAAAAAAAAAAAGGCTGGACTAGGTTGTAGGGGAGCTCGGCTAAACCCCTCTTCTTGAGACCCCAGACTCCTTTCTGGGGTTCTTGAGCTGAAACTAGGGTCCTGCTGGGAGGCATCCTGAGGGCCACTGGCAACATGGAAGAGCACGGAAGCTTCCCTGAGGGCAGGTGAGGGGCAGGTGGGCATGGAGCCAGGCCTTGGGGCCCTTGGCAGGGCGGCTCCGTCCCTGGGAGGTGAGGGCTGCTGCTGCTGGCTGCTGTGCCAGCCCAGGGTCCGTTCTCTGTTGCTGCTGGGTCCCGGCTGGCCTGCCGCCTGCCCACAGCTTGCTTGGGCTGCCAGGCCTTTGTCTTCGTGAGTTCCTGGCTTCGCCCCTGATTTGGGTGGTGGATACAGATGACTGACACAGAGCAATGCTTTCTGGACACACAGGGCACTCCCTCCTCCTCTTGGAGAACGGAGGGTGTGTGCCAGGACAGAGGCTGTGCCTGGCATGTGGGAGAGAGTGAGCCACAGGAGGGTAAGGGCTAGTCCTCAGGCCACATGGAGAGCAGCATGAGCTGTTTTTTTCTAGATTCTGTAAGAACTCTTCCTGCTGAGTGAAAAACTCTCTCCTACTGAGAAAGAAAAGGCTGGGGAGAGTTGTCTCCTCCCTGGATAGTTCCTGCACTGTCCTCAGAAGCTGGGGAGATGGAAGATGGGAGAAGGAGAGTTGGTTTTGCTTAAGACTGGGGAGCTGAGTCTTAGGAGAATCCACCAAATCCCATGGTTTTGCTGAGGACCTGCTGGCTGGCAGGAGATTGGACAAGATGACCCTTTGGTCAACTGAACCTGGCATCTGCCTCCAGGGCAGCTGATCTTGGCACCATCCCCCCCCCCACCAGGACAGGTGCCACTTCCGGATAAACATTTGGGCAGGATGCCGAGGCTGGCCCCATTTCAGAGCATGACCTCTGCCGGCATCCCTCCAGGTGCGAGGCTCGGGACTTAGAAGTTGTCATGAAACAGAATCATGGCACTCTTGTCCACACTGGCAGGGGAAATAAAACTCAAACTGAAGAGAGTGGATGTAATGTTCTCAAGCGTAAGTTTTTCTTCCATAAATTTTTAATTAAACCTTTGGCACCCATTATGCCTTCATCCCTGGAAAGCTCTGGCAGATGCCAGAATTGTAGAACCATTTTCAACATGTGTGAATCCAGTGAGACGATTCACAGCTCTGTGGGGCACAGCTGTGGTCGGAACTTGAACAGTTTGTGGTGGCTTACCAATTGCATTTTCGGATAGTAAGATTGTGCCTGGTCTGTGTGCTGGAATTTGGCACGTCAGTGCTTTGCTGCACTGCTCAGAGGGACCTGGTGACAAGTGTCCAGGCCCTGGAATAGGTGAAGACATCAGTGGCTTGGAGCCCTGTTTTTCAATTCTCAAAAGTCTGTGTTTTCATTTTGATAAAAATCTGTTAAAATTCATACAATCTCATCAAGATTATCTGAGTACTCACCTCGTAACTTGGATTTACGGCACCACTGAAGAGACCCTTTACATGTCTTCGTAACGGTGTTTGTTCGATTGCTCGCGTTTGCACCGAGGGAAGGCCGAACACTGCTGAGGTCCACGGTACAAAGGAAGTTCAGTTTGCTTGCATTTGTTTAGGTAAAGTGAAGGTGGAACAAAGCTCATGCCAGTGGGCAGGACGGAGGCCAGGCACCCATTAGCTGGTGACCAGGGTCACGTTCATATGGCAAACAGATTCTGGCTTGCCATGTGGCAACTTGCTGGAGTTCATTGGCAGTAAATGTGCTGGGAACTATGTGAGGAAGAGATTGCTGGGATTAGAATTAGGAAGAAATGAACTAAATGTCTATTTAAGGCAGATTTTAGTAGCACCATGGGCTAATGTGGCTTCAAGTGAACAGGACAGCTTTATAGAGTTATCAGGTAATCCCTCATTAAAACTGATGCCTCAGGGTTGTGTGCAGGGTTCTGGTGTTGTATCAAGGCTGGTTAACCCGAACTTACAAACAAAGCCTTAAAGTTATTAATGCTACTTTGTCTGTTTGCATACATCTGTTTGCAGGCAGTCACTCTCTGCGTTGGTATTAATTAAATTGAAATACAGAAACAGAACTGGCCCGAGGCCACATCTTTCTACTATTAAACCCATTCTTGGCAATTTAACTTTAGCAAAACACATCATCTAATTTTATTGGTAGTTTTGTTTGTATTTTATTTCCAAATTTGCTTTGGCTTTTATGTGTTCAAGGGTGATAAATACAAGGAGTGGATTGCACTAATTTTTGTTTCTATATACATATCCATTCATTTACCCGGGATATATTGCCTGAGCTCCTGCTCCGTGACAGGCATGTTCTAGGCAGGGAGGATGCAGCAGTGAGTAAAGATGAAGAAAGCTCTGCCCTCGTAGAGTCTACCACCTAGAGGCGGAAATAGCCCCCAAAACAAAAAGAACCCTGAACAAACCAAAACCCCACAAACAAATTAGTAGATATACAACAAAATATTCGGTGGAGATGAAGGAAAAGTTAGCTGGGTAAGAAGATGGAGCAAAAGAGGCATTCCCCTTAGGCGAGGTGGTCTGGGTGGGCCTGTCTGAAGAGGTGACATTTACTCAGAGACCTGTGTGAGGCAAGGGAGTGGAGCACACCAGTTGGGGAAGCGGGTTTTAGCTTAGGAAGCAGGAAGTGCAAAGACCCCTGAGACGGGCATGTGATCAGTGCATGTTGTATGTTTCAATTATGCTGAGAATGAAGATTTTATATTCGTCAGCACATGGGGGTTTGGGAGCCTGCAGCAAGAGGTGGGGTAGCTAGCCTAGTGTGGGGGCCTAGGAGGACCCCAGATCCAGACAGAGGAGAAGCCTGGGGGGCAGAAGGCTTCCCTCAGGCTTGTGAGCTGACAGGTCGGCATAGCACCTTGGCTGAGGGAGGGCAGAGGGAGGAGCCGGGGGGCACCCCTCCCCCCACCTGCAGCCTGTTCCCCCCACAACATGGGCGCATAGAGCGGTGGTTCTCAACCTTGAGCAGAATCACCTAGAGGGCTTGTTAAAACACAGACTGCTGAGCTCCACCCCAGGATTTCTGATTCAGGAGACCTGGGGTGGGGCATGAGAATGCAGTTCACCAAGGTTCCCAGATGATGCTGATGTTGCTGGTCCAGGGACCACACCTTGAGAGCACTGATCGAGAGCAAACGCAGACCGTGCCAGGATTTGCCAAGAATGACTGTGGAGAGAAAGTGAGGCACAAAGCCTTCACTAAAGGTGCCCCCAGGGGTTTGACTAGGTCTGCAGTGTCCCTTGCTGAACACCACTGCGTGTATGTGTGACAGGTGTTGCCCATGCATCTCAGTCCATGGTCACTACTGTCAGGGGCCTGACTACATAGGTCAGGGAAGAGGACCCCTGTGGGAGGGGAACATTGAACAGTTGATCGTGATGCAAAGGAAAGATATTTTCTTTTGGTAAAAAGTGAAGTGGGAGCCCTTATAAACCCTGATCAGCCCAAAGTTGGAAAGAATAATGTTATTATCATGAAGCTCGGGATGGATGGGGTTGGGGCGCAGCTCTGGCACAGGGTCCCGGGCAGTCGGCACTCAGTAAATATGGACTGACACTGAGAAGTGGTGGCTCTGATGTTACCACCTAGAGAATGCATTTGTGCCCTGTGAATCTGGGGTCCAGCGGCTCTTCTGTCCTGCCCCTTCTCTCTCTCTCTCTCTCTCTCTCTCGTCCTCTGACTCCACAGGCTTTAGCCTTGTCTCCTAGCCGGGGCATGTGTGAGGTCCTTTGCAAGTGACTGGGGACTCTGGAAACATGAGGTGGTGATATCCAGGGGTGAACTCCTGACACGTGGCTTGATTTTCCCAAGTCAAGACCCTCTGCTTTTCCTAGGGGTCTACCTTGGGTGTGGGTTTGAGCATTGCGGGAGGAAGAAGGAGAGGGAGGCAGTGGGCTGTGCTCTGCCTGGAAGCATGCAGGAAGCTGATGGGAAACAGCTGAGCCAATAGCTCTGCACACACAGAAAATAAATCCTGGCTTCCGAAGAAGCTGCAGAAAATTGATTTTTTGCAGCTTCAGTGGTCATCTTGAAGGATTTGGGGGATGGAAATGGGGCCCATTTCTCATCTCTGTTCTGTGCTGCTGGGTCAGGTGTTCCTCAGGCCCGGGTCAGTATCCCTCGCTCCTCCTTGTCTCCCCACCACTCTGTGTAGAGAGGAAGGGGCCGAGGGCTGGTCTTCCTCAGCTTACCCCTAGTGTCCAGCTGCTTTCTGCCTGTTGCCTGCCCTTTGGGCCCGCTGCCATGGATGGGAGAGGTGCGCATGTTCGTGCAGCCAAGCTGGGATTATGGCATTTGCACAGGGATGTAGCTGTGGGTCTGTGTGTCTGGGTTGTTGGGGGACAGGCTGGGGTGGGTGCCCTTTAGAGCTTGGCCTCTGCATGACTGCCTAGTCCCTCAGTGAATGCTGCAATTAATTGGCTACTAGGGAGACATTAGCCAGCTAGGTAGGTCTGCTGTAACCATCCCCCTGTGTCTGAGCAGGCTTGCTAGGGGCCAGGGCCGTGTCTGGGAACAAGGGCTGGCCCTCTGGCATGTTTCCCCTACATGTGTGGAGAGTGGACTTATCCCAGGCCCAAGGGATCTGAAGATCCCCACAGCCAGGGAGGAAGCTGCAGCTCCAGATGGATGGTTCCCGGAACTCCTGTTGGCTTTGGATGATTTCATGGAAAACTTGGCCAGGGTGCTGTGAGGCAGAGCTGTGACCTCTCAGCTCAGCAGCCAACACAAGGAGTTCCTTCACCTTGTAGAGACATGCAGTGTGGGCCGCCACAACCCTCCCCTGGCTCTGTGTCAGCCCTGCCCTGTGGAGCCAGCTGGGTCTCTCTGGTCCCCAGCCTGTGCCTGGCTGTCAGGAGGGATGCATTCTGTCCTGCTGGGCTGATGTGAAACCCCATGAGCTCAGGCCAAAAGAGCCCCACTCTTTGTCCACATGGGGAAGTAGGGATTAGAGACAGGAGTCTGGACTGCTGTGGTCGCTTTTGTTGAGGCTTGGAATTTGGAAAGGAATCGTCTTTCCTGGTGGTCCTCGCTGATGTGGCATACCAGTGTCTCTTTCCCCAAGTAGCGCTGCCTTGCATCGCTCGAATGTTTCCATCTTGCTTGACTTATTGGAAGGAGCCACAAAGTGAACACCCTGCCAAAAAAGATCAAGTTCATCGGGGGTTTTGATGCTGAAATCCCTGAAAAGTGGCAAGCGTTTCTTTTTCCCCGTCTTGTTTATAGTGGCAGCTTCTGTTGCTTAACACCTGGTGGCCCTGGTGCTTATGCTTGGGGTCACAATGGGGATGTGAGGAGGGAGAAGGATGGAAGAAAAGGAGAGCATTGGACAGTTGATCGTGATGGAAAGGAAAGATATTTTCTTTTGGTAAAAGGTGAAATGGGAGCCCTTATAAACCCTGATCAGCCCAAAGTTGGAAAGAATAATGTTATGATCATGAAAGTGTTACGGATATGGTTCTTTTCCCCCAGATTTGGCCTGATCAGGGATTCTATATGCTGGAATTTCATGTATCACCTATTAATGCAATAATGTTATTAATAATTATAAATTAAAGAGCAGCCGACTTAGTAGGTTCTTATTTGCAGACACCATGCCAAACCCTTTATTATCCATTATTTCATTTAATTACCTCAAGAACCCTATGGGTAATTACTATTGCCTTTTGAAAGTAAGGGAAACAGAAGCTGAGAAATGAAATAACTCGTCTGAACTCCACTGAGAGGCAGCGCAGGGAGGCCAATGGTGGGGGCTCTGGACTCAGACCCTGGATTTACCCTAAGAATACCACTTCCTGGGTGCCAGGTACTCCTGCCTGGGACAGAGAAGCAGGGAGTTTGAATGCTTTTGTTGTAATGATAATGAGAATGGTGATGGAGAGGTGATAAAGGGCAAAGGCCCTGGAGCCAGCCTCCTGAGTCCAAATCGCCATAGCACCGCTTAGCAGCTGGGTGACCTTGGGCAGGTGCCTCAGTTTCCTCATCTGTGCAATGGGATAGCGGCTGTACTTGCTCAGGGATTGTTGTGAGGATTAAATAGCTAATCCACGTGAAGGGCCTTAAAGGGTACATCAGTAGGTGTTGGTGGTGATTATTGTCATCCTCTGTGTGTTCTCCCAGGTCCACACTTTGCTATCCAGGAGGCCCTATGGGTTAGTGTGGTGAAGCTGGCACATGATGGATGTCCAATAGATATTCACTGGATGAAGGAATGCAATTTACCAGGTGCCCTAGAGCCTTTGGCAATAATTAATCTTCTCTTAAAAGGATCTTCCCCACAACTTCCTGCCTGAGACTGACCTGCAGGTGGGAGCCTGCCTCTCATCGACAGTGGCCAGCAGGCTTTTCCTGGGTCTTCTTGGCAGGAGGGTCACAGTCCCAGTGGATCCCGGTGGCTGCTGGAGGCACAGGTTTCTTGAGAGGCAGGTGACGGCAGACCCCAGCCCTCCAGCCTGCGAGGAGGGGGATGGTAGGAAAGCTATCGTTCTCTGAATAAGGGGGCTGTTCCGCAGCAATGTGCAAGCCATGGAGCTGGAGCCCTCCCCCCAGCCTCATGGGAAGGGGCTTGCAGAGAGCCCAGCCAGCCAGCGCAGGAGGCTGCAGGGCCTGTCAAGGTTAACAGATAGTCCTTGGCTCTCCCCTAGGAAGTAATTCAACTTCTCCCCTGACTTAGGCCACATTGTTTCAAAGCATGTGGTATAAACTACTGACCACTGGGGAATTGCTTGAATTAACAAACTCATTTTTCCCGAGACCTGAGGTTGAACTTGACTGAGCAGTTCAGGGCTCTTTTGTAGAAATCCAGTAGATCAGGAGAACTCATGTTACACCATGTTTTCAACCTTGATCAAATGCACATTTTGCATGATATGGCCTTCTCCATGCCTGCACTCTTCCAGCTGCACCAGATTGCTTGGAACTGTGGCAAACAGGCCGGTAGCTGGCACTGGAGCCTGAGAGAGCCGGCCTCCTGCCTGGGTTGGAAGGAGCTTCAGAACGACTCCTCCCTCCTCTTCTCTCACTCCTGCCTCTCCCATACCTACTTTCGGAGTGCCTTATACTAAGAAAGAAGGGGTATGAAGGGTTAGCTTGAATCATGCCGGTTCCCCTCCCTGCTCCACTCACTCTCCTGCATGTCTTGCTTCTGCCAATGAATACCTTCTGAGCCTGTCTCCACTCCACTGGTGCACCCTCCACAGAGCCCGCGAGAGATGCAAAAGAGCAACAGCAAGCCAGTCCTTCTCCCACCTCCAGCCCCGCCCACACAGCCCTCAGCCAGGCCTAACCTAGAGCAGAGCTCAGTGGAAGCCTAGGGACAGCTTCACACCTTAGAGGACACAGGCCTCTCTCCCGCAGGCCAGGAGCTCCCCAAAAAGGTTCCACATGTGATATAGGCTAAAACCGCAGGGGACAGTGGTTATCTAGGGCATGAGGAAGATGGGACTCAGATAAGGAGGGTAGGCTTCCTGGAGGAGGCTGGGTGGCATTTGGAAGCCCACAAGAGAAGAGAACAGGTTTTGCCAGGCTGATATGGAACTGGAAGACAGCAGCGCTCCCCACACTCTGTTCTCTGCCATCTACACACTGGGGATTCCATTTTGGTGAGGCAGGCAAGGGGGTATGTGGCCCAAGTTAATCCTGCCTAGCATCCTGAGCACCCGGGGAGCTTATAAACCTGTGCACGGACAGCTCCACTCCAATCAATTGCCCTTGGATGGGGTGTAGATATCTGCAGTTAGAAGTTTCCCAGAGGGTTAGGATGCTGGGCCATGCTCCAGACAGCCCTCCCTACTGCACGAGTTGGCTCTCTTTAGCCTGTCTCCTTTCCTGGAGAGGCTCTTTGGGGTTCAAAGACCTCAATCAAAGGAGACACATTTGATGGACTCTCCCTGGCTTTCAGTGCCCCCATGGCCCAGTTCAGCTCAGGCCATGGGAGGTGAGTTCTGGATCATGGTACCTCTGGGTCCCAGGGGCAGGAGATGGGGGCTCAGCCACTCCCTATGCCAACCTGTCTCCATCTAATGGTGGATGGCTCTCACCATCTCCTCTGCATGGATTTCTTTATTCCTTGGCTCCTGTCTCTTCAACCTAGAAAGAACCAGAGGCTGCCAGCTTTTGGAAGCATCATGATGTTTTGGCTTTATCTGCTGCTGCACTGTGGTTCTCCTGGAATTTCCTCACTCAATCAGGGAATCTGATTGGCCCAACTCAAAGGTCCATGATAGCCCATAGATTGGTGCCACAGGTAGCAGATGGGAGAGGAAACATACAAGGCATGTTGTCAGTGGGCCAGGGGTGGGGCCGGCAGGTGGTGGCCATGATCAATACAGATGTCTGTTGAGGCAGAATCTTCTGAGAAGCTGAAGCCTGGCAGAAGTATCTCCATCACGGAGAGCTGGCCAGATAGTCATGTGCAGGCAGGGAAACAGAGCTAGAAAACTAGGAGATTCATGAGCTAGAGTCCTCATTTCCATTTCAAGCATGAAGTCAGAGACTCTATGTGGGTGCAGAGGGGCTCTTGGGCCTTCTCACGGCCATAGATATGGTTCCTTCTTTGTGCATCCCAGAGCTTAGTGTGCTAGGAGAGTAATGGCAGGTTTGGAGATTACTTAGCTGTCTTGATCTTCTTGTTTTAAGGAATTTTCATGACAGAGTTTCTTAATCTGAGCACCGCTGTGAAGCTTCAGGGGCTTAGGAATCATTTGACATTGGATGAGTGTTGTGCTGTGTGAGCTTTTCTGGGGAGAGGGGTCCATGCCTCTATTAGCTTCTTCCAGGTGCCCCTGGCCCCAGGCATGTGACAAGGCACTGCTTTCTGGAACATTTGAGTTGCACTGGTTTCTTGTGTCCTCAACCACAGTGAGATCTGTGGAGCAAATGGCCTTGCTTGGTTTCATCAAAGGAATGTAGAGGTGTCTTCAGAGTCTTTGTCCTCCCTGGTCACTTTCCTGGTGGCTGCTGTTGCCATAGGCAAGTTCTGGGGGAGGTTGCCATCAGAAAAGGGTGTGCAAGACAAGTGCATAGGGGCTGTGTTTTATGCATGTGCCAAGAGAAAAGTCTCTTGTCTTTGCCTGTTTTGGTGTTGGCACTTGGCTTAGAAGAGCACAGAAACTTGGGCCCAGAAGTGTTTCTGCCTTCCTCTCCCTGTGCTTCCACAAGAGTACCCCTGGGGTCAGGGGAGCCACGAGAGCCTCCTGGAGTATGTGACTGCAGGGTAAAGAACTTCCTTTAGTTTCGTGGCCCTTGGAAGCAGGGGGTGTGGAATGACTCAAGCTGGCATAGGCTCATATCCAGAATATTCCCCTTGTGGCTTCCTGCCTGGGTCAAGGCCAAGCTTCCTGGGCCTTAAGGGGCTCTCTTAAGAGATCAGACCTAGCAGTGAATGCCTGCTTCACCCTCTCCTGAGCAGCTGTCATACAAGGTATTAGTTATGTGCCAAAAATGTTCTGACGGAGACACGCCAATGGCCTTGGTTGGAATGCCGGAAAACATTCATCCCGCTGGTGGCTGTGGTGCTGACAGTGGGTACTGTCACCCTCCTGCAGTCTGGGCTTCATGTGGACATGTGTGCACTATTTATGTGGCTAACAGGCTTCCTTACTGAGGGCAAAGTTTACATGCCATAAAAAGTCCATTAGCTGAATTTAAGCTTCTCCAGAGATCATGGGGTCTAATCTGTACTTGGCATTTGACGTGGAGAGAATTGAAAATCCCAAGGACCCTTTCTGCTGGGCTGTTGCTGGGATTGAAGAGAGAGCTTCGCTGAAGGCGTGAATAGGTGAATGGATGTATTAGGTGAGTGAGTGAGAGAACGATATCATTGGGGCCAACTGCTTGTCTCACAAGGCTGTGAATAGAAGTGAGGCTATTTTTGGATAGGTATTCAGTAAACAGCCTTTTATTTTTAATGCCAAGTGGCACAAAGTTAGCCATGGTAACAAGACAGTTTTGTTAAAGTGTTTAAAAATACCATTCCCTGTTTTTAAATCAATGGTTCGAAAGCTTTTTTGTTTTTACTCTTCAGCTAAAGACTTTGCCAGGCTGAGAAGCAGTACCAGTTGACCTTTTCCCAGTTGTACATCCTAAGCCTGAGTTTAAGATTGTCTCTGCACTCAGGCAGTGTCCTTTGGCTCATCTGAAAGTGGGCCAGTTCTGCTGGCTCCTCTCCTTTCTGGGAAGTTCACCCAAGTCCCTGAGCCAAGAAGAACAGAAGGTTTGTCTGAGTCAATACCTCTACTGCATGCCTGGGCCCAGCAGAGCTTATGTTGGGTCAGTAGTCCAACCTTCAAGGCCTCACTTGAGGACCCCCCGGTCCAGCAAACGGCACAGTGTGAGATGATGGGGGGCCGTGAAATGACACCCTAGATTATGAGAGGCAGAGAAGTGCTGTGTGAAAAAAAAAACCCAGAAGCTTTAGAACCAGTAGATCCTGAGCTTGAATCCTGGCTCTGCCACTCACTAGCCGCATGAGCCTTGTCAAGTGCTATGACTCTCCCGAGCCTCAATATGCTCACCTGTCAGATGGGGATGATGATATGCATACTGCATGGGTGGTTCTGAGTGCTTCATGATGATAATGAGCGTTAAGTGCCATGTAAAGCATAGATACATGAGGAGCAAGATCCTAACAGCCTGACTTCGGGTCTTGCACTACCACTCACATGACCCTGAAGCTCAGAGAGATCAAGTGACTTGCTCGGTTTTCTGTATACATGGGCATGCCTTCCCTTCCCTTCTAGTCACATCCTGCATCACAGGCGGTGGATGAGCCTGTCAGTGGTAATGATGGATCCTGTGATCAGTCCTCTCCTCTTGCCAGCCGGGCCAGAGGGAACACCCCATGGGCCGTGGGTGCTGACCAGCTCCTGTCTGCACACTGGGGCTGTAATGATTTCAAGACCATCCCCCTCACCTCAGGTTTGGGGAATTTGGAGCAGAAGGGATGTAGAGAGCACTGCCTTGCCGTGGCAGTCCCAGGGGTCCGCCCCAGCCTTCTGATCACTAGCAGGCCTCAGGACTAGCCAGGCTGTGGAGCTCGGCCTGACCCTGACCTTGGGCCCTGAACTCCACTGGTGCCCCGCTTGTCATGCACAGCCCCGTCAGAGCCGGCTCCCTGGGCTGAGGGGCTGCCCTGTGCTCCTCTGAGTCCCCGGCCGAGCGCACCGAATTATGTAATGCTGCTGAGCCAACATTTACGCGTCTCAGCCAATTTGCTGGCCTAGAGTTACACTGTGCAGATGCTCTGCCTTACGGCTTGCTTTTGTCTCGGAGGCCGTAAGCAGATAGCATAACCCTGCTTACCATTAGACATTTCGCAAATCATCTAGGCTCGAGCGTGCTGCAGCCAGACAGTTCATTTATGCTGCAAAGGGTATGATTTGTAAAGTAATAAATTTCCCATCTTTCTGCCAGCAATAAAGTACAGCAAGCCGGCGAGGCCAAAGCCCTCCAAAAATATACTGGCTCCCAGCGAGACCTGGAAGAGAGCTCTTTCTGGTTCTGCTTCTCTCTGTTCCTGAATTCGTTGAATTCTGGGAAGTCAGGTTTGGGCCATAAATCCCCCTACCATCTGGGTGACCCTGAGACCCAGCACAGATGTGTTACTAGCATGGGTAATTGACCGCTACCATGACACAGTTGTCACTTCCGGGTCCCTCTTGGTTCTGGCATTAGAAGAAGGCCTTGCTGGACCTCATTCAGACTGGGATGGAAAGTTGTTGACTGTGTCACCCCTATTTGTGGCTATGTGTCTGTGCTTGGGACCCAGGCAAGGCTCTTTCTCCTGTGAAGTTAGTGGCCTACAGTGATGGGTGTGTGTGTGCTGGTAGGAGCTCCTCTCAGTCTCCCGTGATGGCCCGCAAGGGCAAGTGTTTGGTCAGCCCCAAAGGGTTCTCTGTTGTGAAGGTGGCTGCTCTGAGCAGAAGGTCAGGGACAGGCTCAGAATTAGCCTTAGGAGTCTGGGTCCCAATTTCCTTGTTGGAGGAGGCTCAGTGGGTGGCGGGCACTTGCCACCAGCAGATGCTTCCTTAGAAGCAGGAGTTGTCAAGGAGCCCCTGGAGTTTCAGCCCAAAGTGGCAGCTGTGGTCTGGGACCCTGATGGGCAAACAGGTGGCTTGGAGTCCCCAGTTTTGGCCAGACCCTTTCTTCTTGCCCCCTTCTTCTGTTTAGAGGGGCCGGGCTGTGTCTCTGACCTCTGTTGCAGATGATGGTGAGGCCTCACGCAGCTCCCACTCTCTGCTTGTGGGAGCTATCACTGTTTCCTCTGAGGGAAAGATGGGCCTGAAAATGGCAAAAAGTCTCACATTTAGCTCTGATGGTTTCCTCTCGCCCTCACCTTCTCAATCTTCATATGTTCTCTCTTTTTTTCCTCTTCATTCTTCTTTTCCACATCTGCCTCCACTTGTTCCACCTTTGATATTTGCTAAAATTTTGTTCCATTTAAAAATTATATAATGTTTGGGGACTAGATAAAAGTAGGAAAATGAAGTTACAGTGAAATGGCTCAAACACAGTCACTGTGTCTGTTGTGTTCTATTGTTTCTAGGCTGAGGGTTTCCAACTGGGCTGTGGAGGCCCCAGAAAGGGACGTCCCCCTTCACTTAGGGCAGCCCTGCTATCACCTGTGGACACAGGGCCTCTTCTAGAGTTCTTTGTCCTAAGTGGGGTGGGTAGATAGAGTCTCCTCCCTACTGTCGTGAGGAGAGTCTGCTTTTTATAAAGTTGCTCCCAGCATCAGAGGCCAGCCCCAGTGGTGGGAAGGAAGGATGGCAAAGCCCCAGGAATGTCCCTGCCCTGACTTAGCTCCCACAGCCTCTTCGATTCTGCTGTCTACACCCCAGCTTCTCCACCTGACAGTCTCACCCTTCATCTCTTCCAGGTCTTGGCTCAGGCACCTCACTCAGCTCCAGCATTCGCTGCGTGTTGATCTCAGTTTTCTCAGGGGTGTGGGGGAGTTGATAGTTCCTGCCTGATAGGATTGTGAGGATTAAAGGAGATGATCTGGCATGCAGAAGGTTTCAGCAAATGTTGGCCAACAATGCAGGTTCAATGTATGCATCGGGCACAGGGCCACCTTATTGCTCAATCCGAGGGTGCCCACACATGTCAGTGTATGTGACCTTCCCTGACCCTATTGGGCAGTGCACAGCCTTTGCCCTGTATGTGGCAGCCCTGAAGGTGATGTTTCCAGTCCTGGGACTGGAAAATGAGGGTCTGGGAGAGAAGTTTGTTTTTGGAGAGGTAGGGGAGTCCGGTGTGGGGGTTAAAGTGGAAGACTCAATTCTTTTGCTCTGGGAGAGTGAGCAGGGAGGGGCAGGGTAGGGTGACTCAGGCCGCAGGGAGGAAGCTGCTTACTGCAGTCTTTAGCTCTTTGGAGAAAGATGAGGACCAGAAGCTGAAAGTGTGGTCAGGACCTGTTGGCCAAAAGACCAGAGGAGAAAGGCTGCAGAGAAAGAAAAGTTGCCATGGGTTACCAGGAAGGAAGACCTGAAACTGGTGCTGAGGCTCTAGGGAGCAGTTGTCCCAGGAAGGAAACCCTGGACCAAACTGCCCTCTCCTGCCACAGCTGCAGGGGTGCCCAGAGTTCAGGTCTGGGTGCAAAGGGGAGGGTAGGTGGGGATTGGCAGAGGATTCCCTGAACTCTGTAAGACATCACGGGTCATTCTCTCTCCAGTGAAAGGGCAAATGCTTGTTGAGCAGGTACAATGCACTAGGGACTGTGTGAGGGACTTGATGTATATTAGCTCTTTTAATCCTTAGGACAGCCCTGTGAACAGGCATTAGAATGGGGAAACTGAGACTCAGAGATGTTACATGACTTGTCCAAGTTTTTCCTAGCTAGGAAGGAAATAAAAATAGGATCCCAACTACTTCAAACACTTCCCTCTAGACTGTAAGCAACGCGGGGGCAGAGAATGGCTAGTCCTGCTCTCTGCTGGCTCCTCTAGTGTGTTTGTCAAGGTGCCTGGCATACAGCAGAACTGCGCGAGTGTGTGGTTGAGCCCAGGTCTGCGTGTTTCTGAGCCCATGCAAGGTATTTGAAAGTTCCTCTGAGCTCTTCTTTTTGCCCTGTGGCAGCCCCCTTGCCTTCCCTGGAAAGTACTGCTTGTTGGTGGGGGGAGGTCTCGGGTTGACAACACCCTACCGCCAGCTCGCTAGCCCCTTTAGGCCCCGAAGAAACTATTGAGTCATGCATTTTGCTTGGGTTTTGATGATTCGTGATTCATGCTTGTGAGGAAGGCAAGGGAGTGACTCATGCTGATTTAATAAGCTTAGGAATAGTCCTGAGAAGTGGCTGATAAAGTGCCGGCTGGCAGCCCACTCCCCCGTGGCTGCCAGCGCCAAGTGCTCAGAAATCACCAGGTTAAACAAGTCTGCAGAAAATTCAATCTTCCCGGCATGATTTTCCTTATTTGAGCTAATAGCATGAGGCGCCTTTCTCCTGGCACTGCGAAGTGCACCGGTGGCCTTGCCGTCTTCCCTGGGGGCGTGGGGGAGAAGGAGAGCAAATGCCTTACGTTTAGCGGATGCGCTAGGAACGGCTAGGACCTCCCAGGGTTTGCCTTGTGCCCATGGAACCAGCAGTTCCGCCCCAAGGGAAGCCAGCCGTGTGTCCTAGTGCCGGAATGATGGGGTAATGCCAGTGAGCCGCCCCTTCTCCACAGGGTACTGAGAACGAGGCCAGGCAGCAGCTGTCCTGGCCTCTTGGCCCTGTCAGGACTAACACACCTGGGTTGGGCCCACTGGGGTCAGGTTACTCACGGTAAGCAAGTGCAGGTGGAGAGAGGTGGCCCAGAGGAGCAGGCCAAGGTGGCAGGAGATGGGTCATTTCAAATGGCTCGCCAGCAGCCCAGGGGATCCCTGACATCTAGCAGGTATTGACATTGGGATTAACCCTGTGGGTCGATGGTTCCGTGCTGATTCCTCATGTGCCTCTGCGTCAGATTGCTCAGGCAAGAGGGCTGGAGAAAAAAATCAGAGATGCACCCAACTTGGTCAGTATCTGTGCAGCGATCCTGTTATGGTTGGCAGTCCCTTACTTTGAAGCTCTGATTCCTTTCAGAAGCTTCTGAAGTTCAAAGGAGCAGGTGGGGGTGGATAGGTCATTGAGAAAGGGCAGACCCTGTTCAAAAGTAAGATACTTCCTAAATCTGGTCTCCTTTCTGTAAGTTCTTTGGTGTCCCTCCCCATATGTGTTGAGCCCCTTGTGGCATGTTAAGCTCAGTGCTGGGACCAGCCAGGGGAACAAGGGTTCTGCCTTCATGAGTCTGAGACCTGTTTAGAGTGCAGCCTCTCCTCCCACTTTCCTCTCCTCTCCCCTCCTCCGATGCATCTATCCATCCAAAAAAATGCTATTGTGATAACACACATAAAGCATTTAGCATTATGATCAGCTTCATAATTGCTAGTTTTTATTTCATAATTAATATTATTAGGTCAGATGTGGTGGCTCACACCTGTAATACCAGCACTTTGGGAGGCCGAGGTGGGAGGATCACCTGAGGTCAGGAGTTCAAGACCAGCCTGGCCAACATAGCAAAACCCCATCTCTATTAAAAATAGAAAAATTAGCCAGGCGTGGTGGTGCACGCCTGTAATCTCAGCTACTCTAGAGGCTGGGCACGAGAATCGCTGGTACCCGGGAGGCAGAGGTTGCAGTGAGCCGAGATCATGCCAGTGTACTCTAGCCTGGGTGACAGAGCAGACTTTGTCTCAAAAAATAAATAAATAGATAATGTTTATTGCTATTATTTGACATCTCTTGCATGCCAGGCAAAAAAAAAGGTGAATACTGGTGCAAATTGGTGAGCGTGTTATGTGACAGCTGGAAATCCTAGAGCTGGTCTAGCCTCACCCCTCATGCTGCAGATGGGGATACTGAGGCCTAGAAAGAAATGAAGAGATTGATGGGAGTCTCATAGGGAGGGCATGGCTAGGCCAAGCCTGGAACTCAGGGCTCCTTCTGCCGTGGCATGCAGCTGTCATGCTGGGATGGGGTGGTCCGAGGAGGCTTCCTGGAGGAGGTGGGTTTTGAGATGAGCCTTGGGATGAGAGTAGGAATGAGATCAGCAGGAGAGGAGAAGCGAGAAAGGGCAGAGCACAGTGGCCCAGGATGGTGTGGAGGAGGGAGCCACAAGGGGAGAAAGGTCAGGAGAGACTGGGTGGGGGGCACCAGAGCCATCTCTGTAGCATCTTTTGAGGAGTGCCGCAAAGGCCTCACTGCTCCCACATCCTGCACTCTGCCACTGCCATCAGGTACTTCCTCCTGGCACGTGCAGATCAAATGGTGGCCCTGGGGCCCGAGGCTCCGTCTGCTTGCCTGCCTCAGCGCTCATGCTCAGTGGGGACCCATGGGTCCAGGCTGGAAGTCACAGGCCAGGCATCCATGCTGAATGCATCTCTCCTGGGAGAGCAAACCCATTCAGTCATAATTTGCCATTAACCCCTTATATTAGTTTCCTAGCCCTGCTGCAACAAATTGCCACACACCAAGTGGCTTAAAACAACAGAAATTTATTCTCTCAGAGTTCTGGAGGCCAGAAGTTCAAAACCCAGGTGTTGGCAGGGTTGACTCCTTCGGGAGGATGTGCGGGGTGATCTGTCCTGCTTCTCGCTCGTGGCTTCTGGAGGCTGCTGGCAGTCCTTGGCATGCTGTGGCTTGTGACTATGTAACTCTAGTTTCTGCCTCTGTCTTCATGTGGCCTCCTGCTCTGTGACATCTCTTCTTCTTATAAAGGCTCTTGTCATCAGGTTTAGGAACAACCTGGTTGAGTCAGCCTGGTCTTCATCCTGAGATCTTTAACTTAATTATATCTGCAAAGACTTATTTTTCCAAATAAGTTCATGCTCATGGGTCCTGGGTGGACGTATCCTTGGTGGTGGTGGGGCAGTGGGGCACCATTTTCGCTACACCCCTGGAGCAGTGTGACAGTGTGGCCTTGGGAGATGAGTCACAAGGGAACTTTTGTTGAGATAAGAGGATAAGTCTGGGTGAGACATTGCACTGGGGATCCTGGGCAAATTCCCAGAAGTGTTTGGGCCTTGGCTGTAGAGGTTTTTCTGAGACTGAAGACTCAGGACCCAGCTCTGAAGTGATGATCAGGGCTTCTTGATAGGCACCGCCATGTTGGGGATGGACCTCTGTGCCCATGGTCCACTCGGGGGCTCATCCAGGGCAGTGCTATCCATCAGAACCTTCCGTGGTGATGGAAATGTTCTTCAGATCTGAGCTGTGCAACACAGTGGCTCCTAGTCCTGTGTGTCTATTGAGCTTTTGAAATACCCGCTCTGGCTCGTGCAGCTGAAGGACTAGATTTTTTACTTCTATTTAATTTTAATTTTAATTTTAACTTAGATAGGCCTACGGGACTAGTGGCTTCTGTACTGAGCATCACAGCTCCACAGTGTCTTGATTTCACCCCTTCTCCTCGTCTGTTTTTCATTTCACTATCAAAAATGTAATTTAACACAAGAACTGAAATTGTTCTTTTGTTTTTTTTATGTACGTAATGCTTAAAGTTTTAACTTTTGGCTTAGAGACAGAGGCCAGATGGAGTTGACTGGTTTTAGGCCCAGTACAAGAAAGCATGGCCTCCTCTTGCAGTGAAATGGAAAAGAGGAGTGTTTTCCTGTGGACAGTGCTGTGGCTCACAATTGCCTGGTAGTTAAGCGGGAGAAGCAGTTGGAGAGGCTGCAGTAAAATCTACAGTCACTGGCAGCAAGGAGGTTGCTGCAAGGTTTCTTTGAGCCAGAAAGAAGGGATGAGAACCCATGTCCACATCCCTGGGCCTTGTTTGGAAGTCTATGAGTTAGGGGTTCTTTGCTCTTTATCATGGTTTCTGAGAAGCCACAGGTGAAATTTGGGTCTCATAAAGCAATTTTCCCCCAAATTACTCCTCGTATTCCTGCTTCCACAGATGGATATTGTATACTGTCTTGCTTTAGAGTGAGGATATTTATTTTTGCACACTGTTTAGACATGATCTTAAACAACACTTCATTTATTTACACGTTGGCATGTTTTTGACCCTTCTGGATGAAAAATAAAGTGTTTGCCTGAGAGCAGAAAATCTCCAATGAGGCGGCTCTTCATAGGGTGATGGGATCTTCATGGGCTTAAACTATATGGGCTTTAAGCTCAAGCTCATCTCCTTTTCCTTGCTTCTTCCTGGCAAACCAGACACAGTAGCATCAAGACTCAAAGCGCCTGCCTCTGTGCTTATGCTCCATGGGCACCCATGTGTCCAGGCTAGAAGTCACAGGCCAGGAAGAGGAGGAGGTTCTGGGCCTCAGACTCTGCTAATGCAGGCAGATCAGGCCTATTTTAGATGGGGATTTGTAGAGGTGTCTACTGCTTGGGGTCATGCTAGCACTGCGCTGTGTACATGTAAGACACAAATTAGGGATTTAGAGGCGCGGAGGCTGCTGAGTGTTGCTAGGCAACCTTTCAGCTGGGCCTGGCGGTAACACAATCTCTGGGAGCAGCCCGGTAGGAAGGCCTCCTAAGGACAAAACTGAACTTTAGAAACAGCGTCTTCTGCAACTGCACCTGCCTCGCTTGCCTCTGGAAAGGGTGGGGGCAGGTCAGCAGAGCCATGCTGTTATATAAGCTACTTGGGGGAATTGTGCATCCGTGGATTCTTTATGTGTTATGTCTTCTTTTCCTTATGTATTTATTTATATCCCACCTTGTACAAAAGAGGATCTGTGGTGGCTTTCAGAAACACTGATGTTGCGGCAGGACAAACATTAAATAAGAAGAACCTGGGGCAAATGGAAAGGAAGGGTAAGAAAATAGGAGTGTGGTTTGTCACTCAGCAAGGATACTGAGGATTTACCATGTGCTTGGCTCTGTAGATACAGCAGTGAACAGAAAAACAGCCATGGTTCCTGCCCTCCTGGAGCTTACAGTCTAATAGGAAAGGTGCAGGGGTAGGGTGGGGGAGGGAGGAAGAAAGGCCATTATGGATCCAGTGCTTTTGTTGAGGGTAGGCTGCAGATTAGACTGTGAGTCTCCTGGCGGCCAAAGCAAGAGGTGACTACAATTATGAGGGACTGGGTATGTTATCAGTGTTGTGTTGGTAACAGTACAGCGACAGTAGCTTCATCCTACTGTCCTGGGTGTGCAGATTATGACACAGGTGCCGCCAGGCCCTGTGCAGAGATGCTCCCTTCTTTCCTGCTTTGCTGTCAGCCTCCCTTTGGCACCAGCCTCCTGGTTGGGTTCATGTCATCCAGGACATCCTGGTGGCCATCCCTCAAGTGAAGGGCTTGGGTGCTCTTGGGCCCAGCCAGTCCCAGAACTCTTCCCTGCAACCTTCCACTCATGTCCTAGGCCAGACTGTTCTCTCCTTCTAGAATGCCACTTACCTCTGTTGTCTCTGTCTTCTCTCCTTGCCCATTTAGGGCCCTTTATAGTTTCTAATGTGCCCTTTACTGATAGCATTTTATTTGCTTCTTCCAGTGATATGGTTTGATTCTGTGTCCCCACCCAAATCTCATCTCGAATTGTAATCCCCATGTGTTAAGGGAGGGACCTCTAATCCCCACATGTTCAGGGGAGAAGTGATTGGATTATGGGGGCAGTTTCCCCCATACCATTCTCATGATAGTGAGTGAATTCTCATGAGATCTGATGATTTTATAAATGGTAGTTTTCCCTGCACTCTCACATGCTTTCTCTCCCTTGCCGCCATGTAAGACATGCCTGCTTCCCCTTCCACCATGATTGTAAGTTTCCGGAGGCCTCCCCAGTCATGCAGAACTGTGAGTTAATTAAACCTCTTTTTTTTTTTTTTTTAAATAAATTACCCAGTCTTGGGGAGTGTCTTTATAACAGTGTAAGAGCGGACTAATACATCCAGCAACCTGGTGAGCTATCTGTGATTTTAGTCATTTACAGCAAAAGGAAGCAGAGGCACAGCCTGGCCTGGGTTTGCCTGAGGTTCCACAGCTTCCTGACCCCATTGACGCCTATCTTTGGCTTCATCACATTTGGCATATATGACTTTGCTTCTATAGTGGGCATGCAGCTTGCTTATAGACTCTGGAAGAGCCTAATCCTTCTGCTTCTGGCATCTCTCTGGGAGGCAGGCCAGAATTTCATTACCCCTTCCATGATCAGGCCAGGGTCATCCCTTCATCCCATGGATATGAGTATCTGAGGTCTCATTCTCCCAAGGCAGTCGTTTTGTTTGTCTGTCTGTCTGTTCATTTGTTCATTCAACAAATATGTCTCGAGCAAGCCAGGCACTGTGTACTAATCACCCACCATCCTTGCCCTCAAGGAGCTCACAGTTTAGTTGAAGAAGGATCAACACATGTGAGATGACAGTGCAGAATAAAGAAAGTGTGAGTGTGAGTTAGGGTATTAGTCAACAGCAGCACTGGGTGCTTAGAGTGACAGGAGGTCTGGGACCAAGACATATGGAATGGTTGTAAGGTCTGAACAAATTTAGCCTAGTTGTGTTTTTATTTCAGTTGCTGTTGATTAACACTCTAACTCACACTCACACCTTCTTTATGCTGCACTCTAATCTCACATGTGCTGATCCTTCTAATTGGGCAAAGTTCACTTTAAAGTGCAAGGACATCGAATGCCATATACCCTTGTACGACTTACCCATAGAAGCAAGAAAGGCCTTACCTCCTGTGTTCTTAGAAGCATACTTCTATTAATGCACCCTTAATTTGCAGCAGCCTGGTGGTATAAGAGACAGCCTTGGATAGGTATGCCTGCATTGTAAGCCTCTCATACAAGAGGAGACTTCTTGAGCACTTGGAGACATAGGGCCCTCTTTTCCCTGAGGATTGTTGAAGGAATCTTATTTAAGAACATGAGGGCAAGTGCCTTGTGCGTGTCCCATTAATGAATGCTGCCCGCTCTCAGGTTACATAGCAGTGGTCTTGGATGGATTTCAATGTTTTGATCCCTCTTTAAAGAAAGCAACCGCAGCTATCCCAATTATGAATTTGGAAATACCCTTGAGCAGCCGTTGGGGTGAGAGTCGATTGGGCCATTGTGTTATCATTCCACGCATCTCCCAGAGATAGAGACCTGTATAAGTAAAACCATATTTCTGTTTTTTACGATCCAAGATACCAATCCCAGGACTATCGGGCAGACTCAGGAAGCAGCACATGGGGAACATTCTCAGACTTGGTAAGTAGCTGGCCTGCTGATAGAGGAGATTAAGGTGCTTTTGATCTCTTCTCCCCTAATGACAATGTCTCTAGTTTTAAAAATGACTGGGGGAAGTCTTTCTTTGAACAGTCAAGAGGCTGCTTCAAAAAGAGCTCACACTATTTCTAGACAATGTGTCTGGGAAATTATGCTGCTGAATTGTAAGTGGAGTTAGATGAATTTTCCCTTCTGCCCCCTTGAAATCATGACTTCGCCATTCAGATGCATTAGCTGATGACCCTCAGTGCACCAAGGCTCCCCACTTTCTCCTGGAGTCAGGCCACCTGTCGAGGCTCCAGCCCCTCAGAGGTCGGCTCTGGACAGTCACACCTGTCTGCATTTGCCCGAGGAGTCATTTGTATGCTTTAGGGCATTGCTTTGCTGCCATACTCTGCAACCTCCATCCAATCTTGGCCCTCTGCCTGTTATTTTGAGCAGGTAACCTAGGGAGAGGGACCTCCTGAAGACAGCAGAATGATGTAAAGGTATTCTGGTGAGATTAAGTCTGGAAGCAGCAATTCCTTGTGCAAGATGTGTGAGGGAAAAAAAAATATGTGAGTGTTGCTTTGGCCCTGAATGCGTGGAGAGCTATATGAATTAGTAGAACTCAGATGTCAAATCATCAGTGAAAGAAAATCTGGCTTAAGTAAACATTTAACACCTCACTCATGTCTTCATGACATGGAGATTAAGAGTGTGAACCTTAATGTAGACTGCTTGGGTTCAAGTCCCAGTGTCTCCAGTTATTAGCTGTGTGGTCTTGGGCAAGTCATTTAATTTCTCTGAACATAAATTTCCTCATCTAGAAAATAGCATCTAGCTCATTGAATTTTGAGAAATGAAATAATGCATAAATAAAACACCTGCTTTATCTGCTGTGTGCCCTACCAAATTTTGTTGTTGCTTTGTAATTATAATTATTCTAATGTTATTCTAATCCTTGATTGATTGTTCACAAGCTTTTTACCTTACTTACTGTGACTAAGCTCCACATGCAAGGAGCTATGGGACAAAGAGGGAAGGATGAGATTTCATTTCAATTTCATTAGAGAAGAATAAATGCACAAAAAGTAAAAGTGTGTTTTAAGGCATATAAATTTATACCAAAAGAGAGAGATTATTATTAATATTCATATTTAGTGGGAGTTTCCACATAGAATATAAAAATGCAAGAGAATGTTGCTTCCACCCTAACAGTAAAACAAACCAGACAGTTTATAAAATCACATATTTTTAGGTCTGCCCTGAGGACACAAGGTAATCTAATGAACTAAAATCAAAAGAGTAGCAGCCCCTCCGAGGATATTACCCTGGGCAGAGCAGCAGGAGGAGGAGGTAACCAACAGAGATAGTAAGAAGAAAACAACTGAAAGTGTAATCATGTTTTAAGAGCCAAGTATGGGCTAGCCTAATGGTTTAGAATTATTGTAAAGAGACAAAGGGTGTCTCACTCTTGTCCTTTGGCTTCCACTGAGAGCTTACACAAAAAAATTGGGGGCAGAGTAAAAGGATAGACAACTCTCTGTGGTGCAGGACCTGCCTAAGTCTGTAGCAAGAGAACTAATAAAAACCCTCCCATGCTCATGACCTTTTGTGAGTAAGAGGCAGAGGTTATCTGCCACTGGAAGTTCTGGGAGGTGCATGCCTGAGGTAGAGGTATACAAGGCCTGCCCAACACTAAGGCTAGGGCAGGGAAACCAAGAGAAACCCTCATGGACCATGCATGGGCAAGAGTCAGTGGTTATCTGCTGCTGAGAAAGGGGCAGAAAACCAGGTCTTACTCAGGATCTTGCACCGAGTATAAGGCAGCTGTTATCTGCTACTGGGTGAGGGCCAGAAACCTGCCCAAGCTCAAGGTTCTGCACTGAGTGCGAGATAATGTCACGTAGGGGAGAGAGAGGAGAGTTAAGAGTGATCCTCTCTAAGGCCCAGGTATGTAGGGCTGCCTAAATAAATCCTTCTGAATGCTGGGCCTTGCATTAGGCACCAGATGGTAGTATAACAGTAGGAGAGGGGCAGGAATGTTGAGAGACCTCTTCTACAGTGCAGAGCCTGCTGAAGTCTAAGGTGGTACGGGAGAATTGAGAGAAACTCTTTATTACACTAGGCTTCATGCTAAGTGGGGGCCAGCAATAGTCCACCAGTAAGAGAATCTGAAGATTGTAGTGCATTGAATGTAACTAAAACAATAGCACAGTCCAAACCCAGCTCAAATACAGATTAGATACTAATTCAGCTTCCTGCATCAACAGACTGATAGAGGAAGACAATTCTCCATTTTTTGGTGTATTTGCCTCATTGCTACTATTTTTTACATACAATGTGTTGCATTCAATATAAACTTACCAAACACATACACACCCCCAAACAAATGAACAATGATATGATCACTTGTCAAGACACAACATAGTCAATAGAACGATCAAAGTTGGCCCAAATGTTGCAATTATCAGACAGGGACTGTAAAGTAGCTAAGATAAATATGCTAAAGGATCCAGTGGGAAAAAGGCAACATGGGGATTTTCAGCAGAGGTATGAAAACAGTATAAAAAAAGATCTAAATAGAAATGCTAAAAAATAGAAAACATGATGTCAGACATGAAAAATGCTGTCAATGAAATTATTAGAAGATTGGATACAAGAGAAAAAAACTTAAAGACACATCAATAGAAATGATCCAATCTGAAACAAAGAAAAAAGAATAAAAAATAGTATCTGAGTTCTATGGTATAATATCAAATGTCTTATATATAATTAGAGTCCTAGAAGAAGGTGAGAGAAAACATGAAAGAAGAAATATTCAAAGATAAAAGAATAAAACATTTTCTAAAACTAAAGAGTAAATATATGCCTTATCAAGAAGCTTAGAGAATCCCAAGCAGATTCAGTCAAATTGCTGAAAACAAAGGATAAAGTATGTCAGTTTCAGCATGCTACCGGAAAAAACAAAAGATCTTGTCAACCTATAATTCTATATCCAATAAAAATATCATTCAAAAATAAAAGTGAATTGAAGATATTTTCAAGCAGAAAAAACCAGAAAGAAGCCATCTCCAGGAGATGCTAAAAGGAGTTCTGTAGGCTGAAAGAAAATGGAAGTAATAGAATATTTTTTTGAAAGCAAACTGTGAGGAATTAAAGATAAAGATTACAGTCACTAGAGAAATCACTAAAAATAATTCAGAGGCATGACTAAAATGTCAATAGAGGAGCTAAAATGAAATACTAAAAATACGTTTCATCCTAAAAATAATAGGAACATAAAAACAAAGAGCATAGAAGATAAAAACCAAACCAAAATTTGGTTTAAAATCAAAATAGATGAATAATTGCATTAAATATAAAGGGACTGACCTTCCCAATTAAAAGGCAGAAATTGTCAGACTGGATAAAAATGCAAGACTCAACTATAGAAATACACTTTAAATATAAAGACACAAACAGGTTGAAAGTAAAGTATTTGAAAAAGATAACCTGCAAATACTGTGCATAAGAAAACAGGTGAAACTAATATCAGGTGAAGTAGACTTCAAGTTGATAAAAAGATATAAGAAACAGAATGCTATTAAGGGCTTAATTAATCAAGAAGACATAAACATCCCCAAAGTTTTTGTACCTAATATCAAAGTTCCAAAATACATGAAGCAAAAATTGATAAAATTAAAGGAAATTATACATATCCAATCATAGCTGAAGAATTTAATATACCCTCTCTCAGTAATTAATAGGCTGAAAAACTAGTTGAGTATATGGAAGAGTTGAACAACACTGCTGATAACCTGATCTAATTGACATTTTTAGATTACTCCACCTAACAGGAGCAAAACACACATATTTCTCTAATGCATGTGAAGCATTTCTCAAAAGAGATCATGAACTGGATCATAAAACAAGTCTCCATAAACTTCTTAGATTGAATTTCTAAGTATATTCTCTGAACACAATGAAATGTAAAGTGGAAATCAATAACAATAAGATACCTAGAAAAATTATTCGAATGTTTGGAAATTAAACAACACATGACTAAATAAACCACAAGTCACGGAAGAAATCATGAGGGAATTTAGAAAATATCTTAAATTTACTGATAATGAAAATATTTTGATAATGAAAATCAAAATTTGATAACAATGATGAAAATCAAAATCTTTGGCATACACAAAATTTAAAGGGAAATGTACAGCTTTAAATGCTCATATTAGAAAATAAGAAAGGTATAAAATCAATGACCTTTGCTTCCACCTTAAAAAGCTAAAAGAGATGAGTTAACTAAACCATAATCAGAGTAGAAAGCAATAAAGTAGGAGACAAATAATCAAGAAAATCAGCAAAAACTGAAATTGGTTTGCTAAAAAGATTAATAAAATTGATAAACACCTAGGAAAACTAATGAAGGTAAAAGGTCAGAAGATACAAATTACCACTATGAAGAATAAAAGAAGGGACATCACTAAATAGCCTACAGACCTTAAAAGGATAATGTAGTCATATTATAAATAACTTTATGACAATTAATTCAATGATTTGGATGAAAGGGACAAATTCCTTGAAAAACATAACTTAAAAAATGGACCCAAGAAGAAATAGGAAATATAAACCCTATAGTCATTAAATAAATTGAGTTTGTAATTTAAAAAACTTCCCACAAACAGAAATCTAGGCCCAGCTAGTTTTCTCTGGCAAATTATTTCAAATATTTAAGGAAGAAATAATATCAATTCTACACCAAGTCTTTTAGAAAATAGAATATTAGAGAATACTTTCCAACTCATTCTATGAGGCTAGAATTATCTTGATACCAAAATCATACAAGGAAATTATAGAAAAGAAAGTTATAAACCAAAGTTTCTCATTATCATAACTAAATCTTTGATAAAAATCCTTAACAAAATATTAACAAATAAAATCCCATAATATAAAGAAAAAGATAAAGTAGGGTTTATCTCAGGAATGTAAGGTTGTATAACATTTAAAAAATCAATATAATTTACCACATTAACTTATTAAAGGAGAAAAATTATAAGGTCATTTTGATGTAGAAAAAGCAATTGACAAATCCCAACATCCGTTCTAGATAAGAACTCTCAGCAAACTAGGAATGAAGAGTCTTTTTTCAATCTGCCAAATAACATCTACAAAAAACCTATGGCTGACATACTTATTGGTGATTGAATGCCTTCCTCCACAGATTGGAGACAAGGCAAGGATGTCTCTCTTACAACTTTTATTCAGCATTTAACTTGGAGTCTTAGACAAAGCAATAATATAAGAAAAAGAAATAAAGGATATATAGATTGGGAAGGAAGATGTAGAATTGTCTTATAAGTGACATGATTTTGTACAGAGAAATTCCTAAGGAATTCTTAACTTTAAAAAAAATTATTTTAATTTTTGTGGGTACATAGTAGGTGTATATATTTATGGGGTACATGAGATGTTTTGATACAGGCATACAATGCATAATAATCATATCATATAAAATGGGGTATCCATCCCCTTGAGCATTTATCCTTTGTGTTACAAACAATCTAATTATACTCTTTTAGTTTTTTTTAAAATGTACAATTAAATTATTATTGACTATAGTCACCCTGTTGTGTTATCCAATACTAGGTCTTATTCATTCTAACTATTTTTTGTACCCATTAACCATCTTCACCCTCCCCTACCCTCCCACTACTCTTCTCAGCCTCTGTTAACCATCTTTGTACTTTCTATCTCCATGAATTCAATTGTTTTTATTTTTAGATCCCACAAATAAGTGAAAACATTCAATGTGTGTCTTTCTGTGCCTGGCTTATTTCAGTTAGTGTAATGATTTCCAGTTCTATCCATGTCATGTTGTTGCAAATGACAGAATCTCATTCTTTTTTTTATGACTGAATAGTACTTCATCGTGTATCTGTACCACATTTTCTTTATCTACTCATCTGTCGAGGGACTCATAGGTTGCTTCCAAATTTTGGCTATAGTGAACAGTGCTGCAACAAACACGGGAATGCAAATATCTATTTGATATACTGATTTACTTTCTTTTGGGTATATATACCCAGCAGTGGGATTGCTGGATCATATGGTAGTTCTATTTTTAGTTTTCTTGAGGAACCTCCAAACTGTTCTCCATAGTGGTTGTACTAATTTACATTCCCAACAACAGTGTATAAGAGTTTCCTTTTCTCTACATCCTTGCCAGCATTTGTTACTGCCTGTCTTTTGGATATAAGCCATTTTAACTAGGGTGAGATGCTATCTCATTGTAGTGTCAATTTGCATTTCTCTGATGATCAATGATGTTGAACACTTTTTCATATGACTGTTTGCCATGTGTATATCTTTTTTTGAGAAGTGTCTATTCAGATCTTTTGCCCATTTTAAAATCAGATTATTAGAATTTTTCCTATAGAGTTGTTTGAGCTGCCTATATATTCTGGCTATTAATTCCTTGTCAGAGAGTAGTTTGCAAGTATTTTCTCCAATTCTGTGGGTTGTCTCCTCACTTTGTTGATTGTTTCCTTTGCTGTGCAGAAGATTTTTGTCTTTATATGATCCCATTTGTCCATTTTTACTTTGGTTACCTGTGCTTGTGGTGTATTACTCAAGAAATTTTTGTTCTGACCAGTGTCCTGAGGATCTTCCCCCATGTTTTCTTGTAGTAGTTCCATAGTTTGAGGTTTTAAATTTAAGTCTTTAATCTATTTTGATTTTATTTTTGTATATGGCAAAAGATAGGGGTCTAGTTTCATTTTTCTGCATATGGATATCCAATTTTCCCAGCACCATTTATTGAAAAGACTGTCTTCCCTGTTTATGTTCTTGATACCTTTGTCAAAAATGAGTTCTCTGTGGGTGTGTGGATTTGTTTCTGGGTTCTCTATTCAGTTCCATTGGTTTATTTGTCTGGTTTTATGCCAGTACCATGCTGTTTTAGTTACAATAGCTCTGTGGAATAATTTGAAGTCAGGCAACGTGATTCCTCTAGTTTTTATTCTTTTTGCTCAGGATAGTTTTGTGATTCCATATATGTTTTAGGATTGTTTTTTCTATTTCTGTAAAGAATGTCATTGGTATTTTGATAGAGATTGCATTGAATCTGTAGATTGCTTTGAGTTTCCTAAGGGATTAAAAAAAAAGTAGAACTAATAATTTATTTTTGCAGTGTTGCAGGATATAATTAAATTATAATTCCATATGTTAGCAATGAACAATTAATTAACAATGAAAATGTCAAAATAGTAATTGTAGCATAAAAATTCAGCTACTTAAGGATAAATTTAATGAAAGATATGAAAGACTGGAAACTATATAATGTTGATGAGAGAAATTAAAGACCTAAATAAATTAAGAGATATAACATGTTTATGAATTAGAAGACTCAACATTAAGATGTCACTTCTCCCAAACTGACCAATCCTAAATAAAATCCCAGCAAGCTTTTATCTTGGACAAAATAATTTTAAAATTTATATGAAAAGGCAAAGGACCTAGGATAGCCAAAGCAATATTGAAAAAGTAGAGCAAATTTGGAATATTTACCCTACTTCACCACAAGACTGACTATATAACTACACTAATCAACACAGTGTGGTATGGATGAAAGGATGGGTTAAAAGACAAATGGAACAAAATAGAGTCCATGCATAGACCCAAGATATATGGGAAAGTGATTTTTGACAAGGGTGCCAAAGAAATTCAGTAGTGAAGGAAAATCTTTTCAACAAATGGTACAGAAACAACTAGATATTAATTTGAAAAAAAACTTTGTTCTTACCTCTAATAATATAGAAAAATCAGTTCAATATGGGTCATTGATCTAAATGCAAACACTAAAGTGATAAAATTACTAGAAAAAAACAGAGTATTTTTGTAACCTTGAGGTAGCAAAGACTTCTTAAAGAAATCATGGAAAGTACAGGCCATAAAAGCAAAACTTGATTAACTGGGTTTCAATAAAATAAAATCTTTCTGCTTATCAAAGACACTGTTAAAACAAATGAATAGGCAAGCCACAGATTTGCCAACACATCTCTGACAAAAGACTTCCATTCGGAATACATAGAGAAATTCTTGCAACTCAACAATAAAAAGACAAACAATGTAATTAAAAATTGCAAAACAACTTGGATAGAAATATCATTAAAGAAGATATACAAGTGGCCAATACACACAGGAAAAAGTTTTAAACACCAACTACTAGATATCAGGGAAATGCAAATTAAAATTATAGTTAGTGACCACTAGATATCAACTAGAAGTTGGTTAAAGTGAAAAAAACTGATGACACTAAAAGTGGGAGAGGATGTGGAGGAACTGGAACTCTTATGCATTGTTGGTGAGAGTGTCAAATGGTATAACCAGTTTGGAAAACTAATACTTCCTTTAAAAGTTAAAAATACACTTACCTATAGCCAGCATTTCTATTCCTAGGTATTTACATGAGAGAAATGAAAATATATTTCCACAAAAATCCTTGTATAAGAATGTTCATAGCAGTTTCATTCGTAAAAATCGAAAACTGGCAAACGGCCCAGTTGTCCATGAGTGAGGAATGGATAAAGACACTGTGGTTTAGTCATGCAACAGGATACCAAGCAGTGTAACAGAATGAACAACTAATACCATCATGGATGAATCTCAGACATATGATGAGTGACATAAGCTGCATATGAAAATGTGCATACGATGGGATCCATTTATAAGAAAATCCAAACTAGGAAAAACTAACCTACGATGACAGAAATAAAACCAGTGGTTGATTCTGGGGATAGGAGATTGCCTGGGAAGTGTGAGAAATGTCCTGTGGCTTTATGTGTATTCATCAAAACTGTTTGATCAGAACACTTAAGACCTGAGCACTGGACTTTATATAAATTATACTTTAATAAAAAATGTGAGATAAAAGTCATTTCTTTCACTGGACTTCAAATCACAATTAACAAATTTGAAGTTGCTACACTTAATATAACCGATGATGTAACTATCATAGTATGATGGACAAGTGCTAGGATAAAACTATTAGAAGCCTAATTCGAAATATTGAATGAAGGCTACATGCTTTAAAGAAATCTATCCTCCAGAAGCACCTGTTCTTGAACCAAAATCTGCCCATTCAGCCTAAGCTTTCAGGGAAGTCAGGGCAGGTAAGGATTGGGCCCCTGCCTGCCTCGTGACACGTGGGCAGGGTGTCCGTCTTGGCTGTGGGGCAGCGGTCACAGCCATAGCCACGGATACGAGCCTTAATGGTATCTGTTAATTATCTGCTTCTAAATCTGGAGTTTATGAAATGCTCTTCACTAGACTTCAAAAGCTGGGAGTCATCCCGGTTATCTATTCAAGAGCCCAGCTTATCCCTCTCTCTCAGTCTGTGACATCAAAGACTTAGTTTCATTGCAAAATTGTCTGGCACGATGGCATCAGGTCGGCTCCCCTTTGAAAGGGTTTGGAACACAGTGATGAGTCAGAGCTCCTCCGAGGAGCACCTGACCCACCCGCTCTCCTCCGCGTGGGCTTGGCCCAGGGAGACCCGGCCAGAGGCCTCGCTGATGTGGACGTGGGATTCATTTGGCTTGGCTCTGCTAGGATTTGGAGCAAAGCTCTCCTGCTTGCCTATAGGGAGAAAACCTCTCAATCTAGGCCTGGGAGGGTAGGGTTTATTTGCTTGCTTTTAAAATTTTATTTATTTATTTATTTTTGGTCACTGGTAATAATTTTTGGGGGTGGCGGGGGGGATGAAACTATACGCCTTTCTTAAACTGCCGGAGCATGACCAGGAAGGGTCAGCTTTGATTCTGGTCTCTCTTTTCACCCTTTTATTTGAATGCCATGAGGACATTTCCCTATCAGGTTGTTAGGTGAGAATCTATTTCTGTTTTTTCTGCTTTCCTTGTTTTCTTTGCTAGAATACATTTTGTCCTCCTAAAGTAATACAAATGTTAATGTGTATACAGGTTTTTTGAACTAAGGATATTAGTTGAATTTATTTGCTGACAAAAATAATGAAAGGTCGCTTCCCAATTGTTTCTGTACTCCCTGGTAATTTTGGAAGTTAAAATGCTGTGTTGTCACTTCCCAGGCTAACAAGTCTCATCTCACTAAATCATGCCACAGATGCGAAGTTTCAGTTTAATTTGAATCCTGGTACTGTGCTTATGGAGGTAAATGAAGACCCTGGCTTTGTAAATCTTCTTTGTTTTTCCACTTTTATTTTTAAGTGTAGCTAGATACAAAGTTTACGTCCATTTAGCTGACCTTTTCAACAGTAAGAGCTATTTTATAAGGCAGCAGAAGTGAAAGTTATCAGTGCGGCTGGGTAATGTAAAGTATTTATGAATGAATGTGCAAAAAACAATCTGGGGGTGTAAAATGTGGGGCTGGGCTCGAGCAGACCCGCTTGTGACTTGAGCCCTTCTTTGCAGTAAAGCATAATTCATGCTGCTGTTAGCCCTTAAAACAGGAAATAATATACCCATTTAACTTAATCACAATTTATATTACATGTGCATATTTCTAAACAAATGTTGTAGATGGAGAGTTTGGTAGCAATAATATTTATGAATTACACTTTTAGTTAGCAAAGGAAATGTGTGACCTCTTACATTTGGTTTGACATTTGAATTTGGTGTTCAGTGTATTTGACAGGAGTGATGGATTCTCATTAGCTCAATGTATAAACAGGAAATGCTTCCTCGGTGAATAGTTATTAATGTAGGACATCCCTGAATTTGAATTTTCAGTTGCTTATTCTGGTCCAGACTGTGACATTTATTTAATTTCTTTCTTAAAAAAAAAAAAAAGAAATGCATGGCATTAATTTTGTGTGTAGCAAACCTGAACAACATATGAATGTCAAGCTCTGAAAAACAGAAAATTGTTCACGAGTGGGGTGGCAGGCGAGGCTGTTGAAGGCTTAGACGAAGGGAGCAGCCCTGGCCGCAGACAGCCCCCATGTGGACTCGCAGTTGCTTGCCTTAATTTCTAACTAAGATAACCTACAGGAATTAGAACATGACGTGGGGGCAGATTTGAGTAAGCTCATACTTAACCTTTACCCGCAGCAGGATTAAAGCAGTTCGTGCAAAACGGGATCAGAGCAAATTTGCAATGTAGCTTGAGACAGCAATTTTATTTTGAGTTTTCTGCACTAGCTTGGTACTCTGTGACAATACCAAAAACACAGGATTCGGGGTGTGGGAAAGCTAGAAGCATCTGACTTCTAATGGGAATGAGGAGAAACCAGGCCAGTTGGCTGCCGTCCGCCATGGGCCCCGGCCCGTCCCCAGCCCCTTCTGAGTAAAGCTTAGAATCTAATTAGAAGTCAGTTAGAAACCCGGAAAGTGAAGCTGGCAGGCCCTTAATCTGAATTTCAGGTCTTCAGAGAAGGAAAGTAGCGTTTTTATTGTTGGAGGTCAAAGTTTAAATTTAGTTTATATCAGATTACCAAAATATGCTTTCGGTAAGGTTAGATTCTCATGCTTGGAGAGAGTGGGTCTGTAATGAAAGCAAACAGGGCGAGAAATAATCCCATTACAGATGAACTCTTCACTTGAACCTCAAACATTTGGGAACCATAATAACACCATCTCGGCAGGAAGATAAAGGCTGGACAGGCAGGAGCTGGGAAGGAACCTCCCGACCACCCGGTTGAACATGATCCCTTCCCACCCCGCCACGCCTGGGCCTGGCTTGATCTTAGAGCACTTAGGTAAATGACTTATTTATTAATTAGATTTTCTTTCTGCCTCCTCTGCTAAAATTTAAGCCCTGAAAGGCAGGGATTTTTGTCTGTTTTCTTCACTGCTACCTCATCACTGTGAAGATCACAGCCTAGCTCACAGGAAGCACTTGCTAAATATTTGTTGAATAAATGAAGGGATCTTGGTACCTCTGAGCAGAAAGCACACATTTTTAAAGCCAAAGATTTTGAAATTAAGAGAGAGAGCCAGTACTTTGGTGTTTTGGGAGAAGCAGTGAGTGCCTCGGAGGGAAGAAGGAGCCGTCACTCTCGTGGGTTCTGGGAGGGAAGCCACAAGTCTCAGATTGGGGATTGCCAGCTCGGAGTCCATGAGCAGATTTTCCTTGCATGGGGCTTAATGCTGAGTGGACACTCAACACTCTGGTTTTGAGCTAGAATTTATAAGGGGGTGGTTTGGACGAGCCCTCTATTGTGTGTGCCTGGGAGCTCCTGTCTGTCTTTCCTGCACCCTCTTAGGACAGTGAAGGGGCGCAGGCTGAGCAGGATGAAGTGAATACCTCCCGTTGTGAACTGGAGATGGGGAGGGAGCTGGGGGCATGATTCTCCTGGGTATTCACATGCACTGTAGCAAGGAGGCCTGTCCGCTTCCTGGTTAGGAATGAATAATCTGAAGGCTGAGAGACGGGACTGGCAGGAAGGGGATGAGTCTCACTTCATGGCTGGCCTTGCTGTTCCTGAGCAATCTAGGATCAAAACCCCACCAAGACATTCCTGGGCTTGAAACAAATAAACCGCCATGCTTTTCACTAAGGATGTGCTTGTGGGAAAACTGTCCTCTTTCCTCATTCCTCCTTTAGAAATCACGTGTGAAACAGACGGCTTGCTTGTGCCTCCGGTGAAAATAATTTGCAAACTCTCCCCTTTCCTCCTTCCTCATTGAAAATGACGCACAGCCTGCCCTCTTCCATAGTTCAAATACTCTCTTAAGAATATTGCTGTGGGTCACTATTTTCTTTTGGTCCCCAAAAACAAAACATTGTTTATCAGTCTTGTAACCCCCAGATTCCACCTCTTACTTCCCAGACCCTGGTGGTAGTATCCGTCTGCCAGAGACCAGAGAGAAAAGTCAGAGGTTTCAGCTGCAAAGACCAACTCTCTCAACAAACATTAATTCAGTGTGTGTTCCCTGAGCACCCACTCTGGCTGGGCACTGGACGTAGAAGAGTGAGCAGACAGATGTGGTTGCTGCTCTCCGGGAACTTTAATACCTGGGATGATAGCAACTGACTGTGTGTTTTGATGGGGGTGAGTTGACCTGGAGTTGGGGGTGGCTGTGGGAACTGACCGTGGCTGGGCCCCAGTGTGAATACTGTTCTTGTGACCCTAGAAGTGAGTCTTTCAGGCTTGTGCTTCCCTGGTGGGGCTCCCAGACATGCAGAGAGGCTGCCTTTGGCTCAGTATTTCGGGGCAGAGGGCGGTCTGGTTGTGAATCATTCCCTAGAGAACCAGGCTCTTAAAGGGAAACCAAAATGAGTCCCTTGCATAGGCGGTTTTCAGACTGATGTGCAAACTCTTTTTACCAGTGCCACCTTCTGAAGAGTAGGAAGTTTCCCAGGCAGAGCTTGGGAAGCATTATTGAGCACCTACTGTGTGCCAGGCCCTTCCTTAGGCCCTTGGCTTCTCCTTACCTCATTCAGATCCAGAGATCTTTTGTTTATGCCGTCATTATCTCTTGCACGGCCCTAATCCCCCATTTATCCAAGTCCTCCCGTTCTCAAGGCCTTAGAAGCCTCTACCATGAAGCCCTCATATCTGAGGCTCATATCTTGTCTGCCCCTGCACCCTATGGATTTTAAAAATTGTTCTCTCAAAGCATCATGTATTTTGTCTCCCTTGTCTGTGAACTCCTGTGTGTAGAAGCTGTGCCACTTCTCTGGCTGCTTCTTAGTGGCTATTGACGAGTGTACGCCATAGTATTTATTAATAGTAAGCATGCCTTGAGGTTCTGCAGCCACTTCCCCTCTACCAATAAACTTTGTATTTTGGTGTGACTGAAAAGTTTCCTACTTAAAATATTATGAAACTAATATATGTTTGCTATAAAAAGCCAAACCCAGCATAAAGATGGATAAGGAAAAAATCAATTATTTTGTGAGTCCCCCTTTTCAATCCCATCCCCCTGAAGTTACAGTGTCAACAGTAAATGGTGATTACCTCTATGCCTTTCTTCATGCAAAAACTTAAATAAAAATATAGGTGCATACTTAGAGATTTTACCTTTTTCTTCTTTTAAAAAAATAAAAATTTGCTCCTGTTAAACATTACATTCTTTCATTGTTTTTAATGAATGCCACATCATGGTATTACATTAGCTAGTAAACTTGCTGAAAAAACATCTCTCCTATCAGTAAGGGGCATGGGCAAATTCAAACCTTCAGATACATATGAATAACTTTTGAAAAATATGAAGGGATATAAAAGAACAATAAGAAAAAGAGATAAACTCGCTAATAAAGCAGAAGATGTTAAAGGAGAATGTGTTATATGAGGAATTAAAAATGAAAAAAATCCATCATTTTTCTATGTTAGTAAATGTAAATATTCTTTTTTTCCAATAGCTGCATATTTATATTCGATAGCACAGACATACTTTTTTCAACATTTTAACTGGTAGACATTCATTTTTAATTTTTGGCCCTAACAAGCAAAGCTGCAATAAGCATTCTTATAGATATGGCCTAAAGGACATATTCCTTAAAGTGAGACTGCAGGTATTTTAAATTTTACCGGATGCTGGCTGGGAGCGGTGGCTCACACCTGTAATCCTAGCACTTTGGGAGGCCCAGGCAGGTGGATCACTTGGGGTCAGGAGTTCGAAACCAGCCTGGCCAACATGGTGAAACCCAGTCTCTACTAAAAATACAAAAAAAAAAAAAAAAAAATAGCCAGGTGTGGTGGCAGGCACCTGTAATCCCAGCTACTCGGGAGGCTGAGGCAGGAGAATTGCTTGAACCCGGGAGGCAGAGGTTGCAGTGAGCCGAGATCACGCCACTGTACTCTAGCCTGGGTGACAGAGTGAGACTCTGTCTAAAAAAAAAAAAAAAATGCCACATACCTTTCCTAAAGGTTGTAGCAATTCATCACATTTAGTGATGAATGAGACCTCCTATTCCCCATACCCTTACTAGCACTGGGCATTACCAATCTATTTTAATTTTGTCCATCTGGTGGTTCACATTTGTTTTGATTTATATTTCCCTACCTACCAGTGGAGTTTCACATCTTATCATTGTTGGCAACTTGCATTTTATCTTCTTTAAATTGCCATTTCATGTTTTTTGTCTATTTTTCTGCTATTCTTTACTTTTTCTTATTAATTTGTAGGAGTCCTTTATTATGACAGTAAATAAACCCTTTGCCATATGTATTGCAAATATTTTCTCCCATCTATTGTTTTCATTTTATCTATGACAAATCTGGCTTCCTAAAAATGTAAAACTAATTATATTGTCTAAATATTAAAACATTCTCTTTCTTCATGACTTTTTAAAAATGACTTATGAAGCCCTTCCTACTCTGGCTTTACATATACATTCTTTTAAATTTATTCAAATATTTTTAATAGTTTTTCTTTTCATTTAGATCATGAATCTACCAGGAAGTTATTTATGTACATGGAATGTGGAAGGGCCTGGCTTTACTTAATAGATGGTGTCGGACTGACCATTCATAGGGGAGGAAAAATACAAAACAAAACATCCTTTTCCCACTGACTACGCCTGTGTCCTATATGGAGTTATTCTACCCTTCTGATCTATTGGGTTCCCAGGCCTTGCTTTCAAAACTTTGGGGTGGGAGGCAGCACCCACTGTCCCAACAGTGTCCCAGGCAACAACACGGGCACTGGCTCCCTGCTGAGGCAAATCTCTTTTTGCTTGATATTTAACTGTCAGAGGGAAAAGGGGAGGGTTTGGATTACACATTTTCAAAGTCAGATCTATTCAAAGTTCTCATAGCAGAAAATGCCCCTTCTTTTAGCTTGAAAAATAAAAACAACCCAAATTTTGAATTATGACAACCCCAACTGGTGCACGAAATCGCTGACTACTTCTGTGCTGGTGACCACAGAGCCCAGTGTAAGAGGTCCTGGTCACCGGCACCCTCGTCCTCAGGAGGCTCGGGGGTGGTGTCGCCTGGCTTTCTTTTCAGAGTCTACTCTCGGGCTGAGATTTTCCTTAGGCCAAGTTTCAGCCTGGAGCAAATTTTTTATGGCTGTGAGCTAATCCCCTAGCAAGCTCCGGTTTATACAGAAACGCTGACACAGTGCGAGCTCTGGTGATTCAACTGGGGCGGCTGGGCTATTTATGGCTCCCTGATGCCAATAGGGGATAATTCTTATTTAATAGATTCAGTTTCTGTTGGGGCAGGGATCCCACTTTTTCCCCCCACCCAGTGGGGCAGTGGAACATCTTCCCCAAGAGCCAAGCGAGGGGGAGGCTGCCTGTGGGGAGGGCCTGCCTTGGAAGCAGCCGAGCTGCAGTAAGTTATGACCAAGGTGGGCTTTTCAGCCTGGGATTGCTGGAGCCTTAGGAACAAATAAATATTTTCATCTCCTATTTTGTCTCTGGGCAATGGGCCCAAAAACTGCCTTGATTCTTCTCAGTGAAACCTGGGAGAAAGCTGAGGATGACTTAATTCCCTCTTCCCTCTTCCCCTTTCTGCACTTATTTCTTTGTATTGAGGACCTGGAGCAGGGGTCTGGAGCAGCCACTGTTTCTGGGCATGGCCAGGCAGGATTGGACTCCATGGCCTCTGGGAGGCGGGCATGAGCATGGCAGATGTCCCCCTCGCCAATATCTCCCCCTCGCCAAGAGCTCCCCCTCGCCAAGATCTCCTCTTGCCTATGTTCATGTGGTCAGCCTATCGACAGGGGGCTAAAGGGGCCACAGATGGCTTTGGGGGCTGGCAGGAGGTAGGCAGCTTTTGGCTTGGGCTTCATTTCCACTGTCAGCCTTCCCTTATGCAGCCTTCCCTTGGAAGAGCTAAGCACCTTATTTCTATTAGTCTCCACTTTTTTCTCTACCTGAGGGGAGGCAGAGGAGCCAGACTTTAAAAAAAAAAAAATTGTCGGCTGGACACAGTGGCTCACGCCTGTAATCCCAGCACTTTGGGAGGCCAAGGCAGGAGGATCACTTGAGGTCAGGAGTTCGAGACCAGCCTAGCCAACATGGTGAAACCCCATCTCTACTAGAAATACAAAAATTAGCCACACATGGTGGTGTACGCCTGTTATTCCAGCTACTTGGGAGGCTGAGGCAGGAGAATCGCTTGAACCCGGGAGGCAGAGGTTGCAGTGAGCCAAGATTGTGCCACTGCAGTCCAGCCTGGGCGACAGAGTAAGACTCCATCTCAAAAAATAAACAATTGTGGCAAAATATTCATAACATAAGATTTACCAATTTTTAAGTGTATAGTTCAGTGGGATTAAGCACATTCACATTAAATATTCACATTGTTTTGCAACCATCACCAGCATCCATTTCTAGAACACTTTCATCTTACTAAACTGAAACCCTGTACCCACTAAATGATAACTCCCTATTCCCTAGGGGGCAGATTTTTGTCACTAAAGGATGAGGGGCTTTGGAACCTGAACTCTGATGGGTCTGGGCATGTGGTGGGGAATTGGGAGTGGATGCTATGGATATCATGTGGCTGAGGTCCTTTCTTCATTCATTCTTTCCTGATGCACTCCAGAAAGGAAAGTTCTCTCTGCTACCAAGGGCCCTATAAAGATGGCTCTCAGGGGTCCTGAGAAGCAGCCATCCCTATACAGGAGCACACCTTCTGCACCATGTAAAGCCTTTCCCAGTGACATTTGGAGGACCAGATAGGAAAATTTCATTAGCACCATTTGGCAGGTGAAAACACTGAGGTCTATGAGGGTAAGTGACTTGCCCAGTTACCAAGTTGCAGAGCTGGAACTTGAACCAAGGCCGCTTTGGCTCCAGAGTCCATGCCGTTAACCACTTCTGTGCATTTATTGAGCAACTCTGGGGCTCTCAGAGTGATTCCCAGACCAGCAGGGCCATCCCAGGAGTACCAAGCATCACTCCTAACTTGACAAGGCATCTGGATCGACCCCAGCTAATGCGGGGCCTTTGAAGTCAGTGATGTCAAAAGTGGGGCAGCTTTGTCTTTTACCAGCTTTTATGGGGCCTGTCGGGGAATGGAAGCACTTAGGGATGGCAGGCAGATAAAGGATGGGCTGGCCTGCCTTGATAAGGTGGCCCAAGGTGGGGGTGGGCCAGGAGGACACTGAAGCCGCCAGGGCTGTGGTTTCTGCATGGGAGTAAGTGTGATTTCTGGCAGAGCCGGAGAAGCTGTGAAGACAGGCTGGCGGCCGTGGGATTTAGTGGTTTAGCTTTGTTGAAATCCCCAACTTCAAGGACTTCCCCTGGTGACTGTTTTTGTCAGGCCAATTAAGAGCGAGCTTAGCCGAGCTCTGGGAAGGGAGGAGGGAGAGAAAGGGTGGGCGAGGGATGCCCAGCGCGGCTGGGAGATGGCAGGAAGGAGCTGTTATTGCTCCCAGTGGACAAGGGCCCACAAGTGAACGACAAGACAGGTGGTGCGGAGGATCTGGCGTGAGGACTGTGCCACCTCCTCACAGCTTTTCTCTCTGGGCTCTCCCTCTTCTCAGGGGTCCTGCCAGGCTTGAGAATTCACCTGGGGATGGGAGCATGGTGGGGCTGGAGCTGCAGGGAGCCACGGCAGGCCTTGGACATTGGTCATCTGGCCTCTCCAGCAGGGCTTGGCTGTAGACTAGAACTTGTCTTGTCAGGGATCCCGGGCTTGCAATGAAGAAAGGGGGCTGGGCCTGCATGGGAGTGGCGGGGAGGCCGAGGGCCACTCCCCAGGGAAAGGGCTCCTCAGGGCTTTCGGCACTCTGAGGGCTCCATAATGCAGGTCCCTGTGGTGATACGAGACCAGTGCCTGACTACAGCGTAGGTTCCGGAAAAGTAAGGGGTCTTAACAACTAATCTAATCCTCCCCAAGCCCTTGTGGTGTGAGGTGGATACACTTACTGTCCCTGTGTTACAGCTGAGGAAACCTAGGCTCAGAGAGGTTGAATAACTTGTCCAATGGCATATGGATAGTAAGCGTATTTAAACCCATGTCTGACTCCAGAGCCAGGCTCTTCAGCACAGGTCACAGAAGTGGCAGGAATGCCTGCCTAAAGGAGCCGGGCCTGAGAGAGGGGGCCCAGCTCACTGCGGCCTCACTGCAGTTCCCTCAGGGTCAGGGGCTGTCTCGGCCAGACAGGAGAGGAAAGGGCACACCCGGTGGCACCTACACCCACTAAGCCATTTGAGGGGACAGGTCTCTTCTAGGCTAGGGAGGCTGCCCTTGAGGGCCCTACTGCCAGGCACATGGTGCTGGGGACAGAAGACAGGAAGCCTGGGCAGGCAAGCCCTCATAGAGAGTCCGTACTTGCACCCCAAGGAGCTTAATAAGACTAGGCTGGTCCTGCTGCGGCTAACAGAACCAGGAGCAAAGTCATGCCCAGCTGAGGGACCCCAAGGGCCATGGGTGGGAACTGGGACCCTTGTCCAGCGGGGAGGGCTGGAGCTGAGTCTGGAAGGATGAACAGGATGTGAGAGGTTTGCCCTCAGGAGAGGAGAGCATTGCTGCTGGGCCCTCAGGAGAGGAGAGCATTGCTGCTGGGCCCTCAGGAGAGGAGAGCATTGCTGCTGGGCAGAAAAGCCCAGTGGTGTGTTTGGGTTAAAGTCCTGGTTCTGCCCTATGTTACCCTGAGCAACTTGCTTAACCTCTCTGTGCCTTTCCTCACCTATAAGGACAATAATAGTGCATGTTGCATATGGTTGTTTTGAAGAGCAGATGAGTTAATGCAGGTAGAAAGCTGGGTCTGTACTCAGTGAACTAGGAGGTAACTGTGTGCTCGCTTTGGACTGCTGTTATTCTCAGCTGAGAAACATGAATGGCCACAATCTTGGGGGCATGGGAGGGGAAAGGGGACCAGTGACTTGAATTGTGAGTTGGGAGAGCCACCCTCATCCTCCTGACCTGTTTCCCTGGACCTCCAGCCCTTTTACCTGGGGTTTCCCCAGGGAGACACGTCAAGTGTTGTCCAATAAAATATTTCCTGGAGTTGGTGGTGTTCCTCCACCTGGACTGAAAGCTGAAGCTTGGCAGAGCCATCTTTCAAAAACGGTGGAGGGCTCACTGCATTCAACAAACATTGTTTGATTTTTCCCTTTCTGTGCAAGACACTGGGCTACGCTTTGGGGAGAAACAGCTGACCGGCTGAGTCTTTGCCCTCAAGGAGCTTGTGGTCAAGTGAGAAGTCAGGTAAATTCACTCATTCACGCTGTCACTCCGCCACCATTTGCTGCATGCTTACTTTGTGTCAGAGACCTTCCTAGAAACTGAGAACACAGCAGAGGACAGGACAGTTGGCTCCCGCCCTCAGATCCCACATGCTGGACTGGTGGTTTGCATCTCCAAGGTGGCATCAAGCTGCACCAGGTTTGGAGTGACCAACCTGACCTTCAGTCCCTACTTCCTGCCAAACATTGGGAAGCAGACAGTAGACAGTGTGGGAGTGGTTAATAGCTGGGTCTCTAGAATGGGACAAACCTGGTTTTGTGTCCTTGCTCTGCTGTTTACTGGCTGTGGGACCTTAGGCAAGTTACTTTACCTCTCTAGACCTGTTCTTTGTCTATGAAATGGGGGTAATGATACCTTCCTTATGGGGTTATGGTAAAGAGTAAATGAGATGATGTATGAAAAACATTTAGAACAGAGCTCAGCACACTAGTAGCACCTATTAAATGTGCACCTGTTAGCACTGCTGTTGTGGTTACTACTCTCTTGCTTTTAGGTGCTTCCATGAGACGGGGAGGACTCTCCCGTTTCTTATAGGACTTAATATTTAAGAAAGCATTTAATGGCTGGGCACGGTGGCTCACGCGTGTAATCCCAGCACTTTGGGAGGCCAAGGTGGGCGGATCACGAGGTCAGGAGATCGAGACCATCCTGGCGAACACGGTGAAACCCCGTCTCTACTAAAAATACAAAATTTAGCCGGGCGTGGTGGCGGGCTCCTGTAGTCCTAGCTACTCGGGAGGCTGAGGCAGGAGAATGGTGTGAACCCGGGAGGTGCAGCTTGCAGTGAGCTGAGATCGGGCCACTGCAGTCTAGCCTGGGTGACAGAGAGAGACTCGGTTTCAAAAAAAAAAAAAAGCATTTAATAAGTCAGGCACGTAATTCTTCAAAGTTGACTAATTTCCTGAGTTTATATGTAACCTTTAAAAATCAGAAAAAAAAGGATAACTCAATGGAAAGTTGGGTAAAGACTTGAGCAGGAAGTTCACAGAAAAAGAAGTATTTATAATCAAGCGAAAAGCTTATAAGCAAATGAAAAGAAACTTACATTTTTAAAAATGCCTATTAACACAGCAAGATAGCATTTAACTAGCAGGCTGATGAAAATTTAAAATTTGGTAATGCATTTTGTTGGAAAGGATGTGGGGAAACAGGCATGGTCAGTCAGGGCAGGGAGTGTAAATTGGTATAAGACTTTTGGAGGAAAGTTGGGCAATTTCTATGAAAAATGTACCATCCTTTTGATTTAGCAATTTTATATGTAGGAATTCATCTTATGGATATAGTCGTGTTCATAAATGAGTGCAGTGATATCAATTTAAGAACATCCATCATGTCACTGTTTATTACAGCAAAAAAAAAAGAACTGTAAATGTCCACAGAGAGAGGACTGATTAAACCAAGTACATCTATGCAATGGAATATCCTGAAGCTGTTAGAACATGAAGGGCCTATAATGTATTGAAGATCTTAACATATCATCAAGACATGTCAAGTACAGAAACAGAAAGGTACAGAGCATTATGTAGAGAATGTAGAGAATACTCCCATTGGTATTAAATGAAAGGTATATGTTCATACATATGTTTATATGTCTAGATTATACCCTCTTTGAATGCATAAGAAACTATTCACAGTGATTACCTTTAGACAGAGGTCTTGGGAGCCTGGCAGGGAGAGAGCCTTCTTATTCTACTTATGCATAGTGTCAGAATTTCTTATTATATGCCTGAATTACTTTTATAATTATAAAGGAAGAAGTCAAACCATGTGAACTACACATTAGTAGTTAAGAAATAAAATGCTGTTCCAAGTTTTGTGGGTGTGCTTGGACTGATAATGTTTTTCCTCTAAGATCCTACTAAGAACTATTTAAGAAATGGCTTTCAGGCATAGTCACCTATTTAGAAGGTTCAAGCATAAAATGGGGTCTTGCGGTGCTTGGACCAGTGTGAAACAGAAGGGGTTGGGTCTGAACTTGCCAGTGTCCAGGGAATCCTGTTCTTCCCAGGCCTTGAAGAATAGGCAGTGGGTTGTATGTTCTCAAGTCCCCCTGTTGAATTAGGATACACAGCTGCTGGGGTGAGGGCTGAGATCCGTCTGCGTCCTCAGAACCAACCCCACCCCTGTGCTGGTAAGCAGGTGTTCTCCAGGGGAGAGACCCTGGGGTCAGTCTGACTAAAATGAATCTTCCAAATGGGTGTGCAAATCTGCATTTCCTGTGAGGGCCATCCAGACAGTTTTCAAGTGTACGGAATTTGAGGAACAATGTATGCTTTCTGTGCTTGAATCTTTGGGAGCTAGCGGAGGCCTCTGTCGGGAGTGCAGTCAGACAGGTGGGAGCCTCTGGAAGAAGCCGCCTGTGCAGCTGGCCTGTGGCTTCTCATCAGGCACAGCAGCCATGCCTTTTTTGCTCTCATTCCCCACCCTGCTTCCCTTCCTCCTCCTCCTTTTTTTCTCTTAAAGTTTTTTTTTTAAATTAGTTTTTGTTTTACATTTAATTTCAAAATAAATGTTACCTTTGCACATAGTTTAGAGGGTAGAATAACTCTAGCATGCTTGTTGCAAACACACACGTGCAAGCACACAAAGTCCTGGACTTCTCCATCACCCCTCCACAACAATTTTCTACTATCTAGAGGCATCTACTTTTAGTAATTTAGCTAATTTTTAAAATATGTATCTCTAAATGTCATATTTATATTTCTGCTACTTGAATTTTCCATTTTCAGCATTGTGTATTGACTCCTCACTGGAGAAGAAGAAGAGTTAGCTGTTTTCCCCACTGCCTGTCGACACCCCTGCTTCCCATCTGCCATCTTTCCAAACAGTTATAGTGTAATTTTATTAGATCAATATTCAGTGATTATACTACTTTGACCCTGAAAACGCTGTTCACAGCTGAGCTGTGATGACTTGTACTTTCCTGATCCACATTTATTCCCTGGAGTTAATCTTTTTCCCCCTCTGCTTAGTTTTTTATGTATATGTCACCAATCCAACACCAAATTCTCCCCAAGTTGAATACAATTTGTCTCAAAATTATATCCACAATTCTGGTTCTACCAATTTCATCTTTTTGAGGACATCTCTCCTGGAACCTTTGGAGCTAGACTGGGTGCTTCCTAGGTCTGCTCTTCAGCTGTTGTTTGAGGACTACTCTTCATGAATATCTTGGCGATTCCTCAGGTTTCCTTTCCTACTAATCTTGTTTCCTGGGTTCCATGTTCTCTTCTTTCTTGAGTTGCTTCATCATTTTGATGAAGCACATTTTTTTTTCATTAACTTACAAAGAGGTAAGCAATTTTTTTTGAGACCTTGCATGTCTGAGAATGTATTTGTTGTATCCTCATTATTATTTTTATTATTATCTTTTTTGAGACGGAGTCTTGCTCTGTCACCCAGGCTGGAGTGCAGTGGCACAACCTTGGCTCATTGCAACCTCCACTTCCCCGGTTCAAACAATTCTCCTGCCTCAGCCTCCTGAGTAGCTGGGACTACAGGTGGGTGCATGCTACCATGCCTGGCTAATTTTTTGTGTCTTTAGTAGAGACGAGGTTTCACCATGTTAGCCAGGTTGGTCTTGATCTCCGGACCTCATGATCCGCCCACCTCAGCCTCCCAAAGTGCTGGGATTACAGGCATGAGCCACCGCGCCTGGCCTGTATCCTCATTCTTTTTTTTTTTTATTATTTAAGTTCTCATTGTTAATTGATGGTTTGGCTGGGTATAGAATTCTAGGTTGGAGATACTTTTCTCTCAGAACATTGGTGGACTTGTGCCATTGTCTTCAAGCTTCCAGGATTGCTAAGAAGGCTATTGTGTGAAAACTGTTTGTTTCTCTCTTACTATTGGAGTTTTTCTTTGTCCTCGTTATTTTGAAATTTCAGAAGGTTCCTTGATTTGGATCTATTTTTGCTCATTGTGTGAGGCATTTAGTAGGTCTTTTCAATCTGGAAACTCACATCCTTCAATTTTGGTTATTACTTGTGAAAATTATTTCCTTGATGATTTTCTCTCTCATTTTTCTCTTATGTTCCACCCTCCTCCCTGACCCTGAACTCCTAGTATTTGAATATGAGATCTATTGAATTTTTCTCCCATATTCTTATTTTTCTCTTATTTTTCATCTTTTTGCCTTCTCTGTTTTCTAAGCCACTTCTTTAAATCTTTGAGATTTTTATTGCATTTATTTCTACCATCATTTAAAAACATTTCTAAGAATTCTTTTCTGTTTTCTAAATGTTCCTTTTTAAAATAGCATCTTGTTTCATAGATGTAATATTCTCTAATATTAATAATTTTATCAAAGTTTTCTTCTCCTTACCTATTTGTTTTGTACACTATATTTTCTACTAGGTAGTTTCCTCAAATGCCTAGTGATTCTTGGTTGTTGCTCATATTTAAGAGTGAAGGTAACTACAAAGCTGACCTGAAAGCTCCAGGTACTTGGGTGGGGCTGTTTGAATCATAAACTTCATGTAGTGTCATCTACCTGGGCTGTTTTCGTAGAAAATCCTCTATGTTGGTCTATGTTGGTATCTTTTTGGTCTTTTTTCTGAAACTAATCAGATTGCTTGGAGAAATCTTCTCCGGTCTTCTGCCTGGAGGATATATATCTGACTACCAGCATTCTGGGAGCTTAGCAGGCGAAGGCTCATCATCTCCTTATTCAATATGCATATTAGTCCTTTGGGGCTGCCATAACAAAATATGACAGACTGTGTGGCTTAAACAACAGAAATTTATTTTCTCACAGTTTTGGAGGCTGGAAGTCCAAGATCAAGGGGTCAGCAGAGTTGGTTTCTGGTGAGGCCTCTCTTCCTGGCTTGTAGACAGCAGCCTTCTCACTATGTCCTCCATGGCTTTTCCTCTGTGCCTGTCCACAGAGAGAGAAAGCTTGCACTCTTGTGTCTCTTCCTCTCCTATAAGTAGACTAGTCCTATCAGGGCCCAATCTTTATGACCTCATTTAACCTTAATTACCTCCTTAAAGGCCCTATCTTTAAATATGGTCAAACTGGAGATTAGGGCTTCAACATATGGATATTGGTGGGGGGACACTATTCAGTCCATAACAGCATGTGAAACTTCACTTAATCTTTCTGTTTTCATTCTGATACATCCACCTTTAACAGTGCTTGGTGATCTTAATACTATTTCATCCTTTCCAGAAAATAATCTTATGGTCTTCTGCAGGAGTGGTGAAGAGGCTGTCATCTGGCTAGACGGAATGACGATAGGTATCTGAAGGTTTGGCAGATTCCTAAACCGATTGTAAACCAATCCTCCTCTTTTTAGATGCACATTGGTCTTCACTTCCAGAGATAATGTTGTGGCCATTTCCTGACTAGTTGATTTTTGACTTTTATTACTGTTGATTTAGGAATAAATTGTTTAGATCAGCTAAATTGGTTACCACTTGTCCAGCTTCCAAAATGTTCTTCTTGTTGTATTCTTTCCTGTTCTCATTGTCCATGGGGATTATACCATAACAAAATTCTTTTGACTGTTAATTAAGTGGTGTTTCTCGAGGGAGTACAGGTAAATGTATGTTTAATTCCCCATCTTTGACTGGAAGCTATATGTCATCTTCTGTTGAAAGCAAATAGAAGCCCGTCGGACAAGTTAGCTTTGATTCCAAGTCCATTTCTCCCTCAACTCTGGTGTTTTCACAAAATGTCTCTATCTTATTCAAATATGTTTGATTTTGCTGCATGATGCATTGACTGGCTTTTGAAGATGAGTGGTCTGATACCACTTGACCAAAAAATAGGGAGCCCACTCTGAGCTTATCACATGGATGCAAACGTCTTAATAAACTCAGAAAATGGTTTGTGTTTTCAGTTGAACAAAGCCTCCATATTTTCCTGAGTGCCATTTCCCTACACTTTAAAAGTTGATATATTTCCAGGGGAATCTAATCCATATGTTTCTTTCTTTCTTTTTGCTTTTAATACATCATAATATTGCTTCATAAAGCATTATTTAAGTCAATAGTCTTTATTAGCTTTTTTTAAAGCAAGGCTTTTACCTTAGCTTTTATTTAGAACCACATTTTTTGAAAACTTTGCAACCACAAAGTTGAGCTGAGCCCACAAAGATCTGAGTTACATTTGAAATTTTGAGTTTTGTTGGGTTCTAATTAGGGCAAAGCCATGCTCTCTAAAACCACATTCTCAGCTGAGCAAATCTGCACCCAGAATCCACTCCGCGAAGTATCTTATTTTGTGATATTTTTGGCCAATAACCAAAGCAGATATTTATTTAGGACCCGCAGCACACCTATCATTGTGGCTCACTATGTGGTCTGGAAGACAAGAATAGAAGCACCAACCTAGTTTGGGAGACTGGGGAAGAAGGGAAGGGTGTATCCCTTCTTCACTACACACTGTGTGCCTGATAGTGGACTAGCCACTTTGCCATTATTGATTTAAACCTAAGAATAAGCATTATTTTATCTACGTCGAATCCTTGTAATAAGTCCTCAGGATAAATGTTAAGTATTATCCCCATTTACATAAAAATAGTACTGAGGCTCTGGAAAGTTACTAAACTTGCCCAAGATTGTGCACTAATAAGGGATAGAGTCTGGTTTGGAACACAGGCAGGATCCCAATATATATAAACAGAATCCTGAGAAGAGGAAAATGATCAGGTACTTGGCATGGATGGCTGTCGATAGTGTTTGTAGAATTAGTGCAATGGGTCCCATGGTGCAATACTGTAAAGGGGAGAGAGGAGATTTATGAGGGCTGTCATCCCAAGAGAAGATGCTCTAGAGAAGACTATCATTCCAAATCTGTCTCATTCCCCACTGCTGCCACTGCGTCCAAGTCGCTGCCGTCTCTGCCCTGGGTAACTGCTGCAGCCTGCTGACTGCTCTCTGCCCATACTCCCTCTAGCCTGACTGTCTATTCTCATGCAGCAGCCAGCATGATCACTTTTTTAAAAAATCTGAAGCAAAATTTACCTACAGGGAAATGCATATAGCTTAAATATGTAACCTGATGAATTTTGACAAATATACACACCTTTGACCAACACCAGAGCCAAGACATAGAACACTTTCATTACCACTGAAAGTCCCTTGTGTCCCTTCCAGTCAGTCCCACCTACTTCTAATAGGCAACTATTCTTATTTCTAGCACTATAGGTTAGCTTAGTCTATTCTTGAGTTTTATGTAAGTGAAGTCACACAGTATGTACTCTATGTACTCATTTGTGTCTGGTTTCTTCATTCAGCATCATATTTTGAGATGCATCCATACTGTCACATGCATCAGTATTTCATTATTTAAGTTGTTGAACAGTATTTTCATTGTATAAAAATACCTGTTTGTTTACTGATTTTCTTTTTGAAGGAGGTTAGGTTGTTAACAGTCTGAGGCTATTATGAGTGAAGCTGATACAAACATTCTTGAACAAGATTTAAAAAAATTCAACTTTCATATTAGATATGGGGGTACATGTGCAGGTTTGTTATATAGGTATATTGTGTGATGCTAAGTTTTGGGGCATGGATCCTAATATGGTATGGCTGTGTTCCCACCCAAATCTCATCTTGAACTGTAGCTCCCACAATTCCCCTGTGTTGTGGGAGGGACCTGGTGGGAGGTAACTGACTCATGGGGGCAGGTCTTTCTAGTGTTATTCTCATTATAGTGAATAAGTCTGATGAGATCTGATGGTTTTATAAAGGGGCATTTGCCTGCACAAGTTATCTTCTCTTGTCTGCTGCCTTGTGAGATGTGCCTTTCACCTTCTGCCATGATTGTGAGGCCTCCCCAGCCACGTGGAACAGTGAGTCCGTTAAACCTTTTTCTTTTGTAAATTGCCCAGTCTTGGGTATGTCTTTATTAGCAGCATGAACACGGACTAATACAGATCCCTTCACCCAGTTAGTGAACATAGTGCCCAATACGTAGTTTTTCAACCCACATTCCCCTCCCTCCCCCCACCCAGTAGTCCACAGTGACTATTGTTCCCATGTTTATGTCCATGTGTGCTCAATGTTTAGCTCCAACTTATAAGTGAGAACATACGGTATTTGGTTTTCTGTTCCTGCATTAATTTGCTTAGGAATATTGTCTCCAGCTGCATCAGTGTTGCTGCAAAGGACATGATTTCATTCTTTGTTGTGGCTGCATAATACTCCATGGTGTATACTTACCACATTTTGTTTATTCAATCCAGTTGATGGGTACCTAGGCTGATTCCATTTCTTTGCTATTGTGAACAGTGCTGCAATGAACATGTGAGTGCATGTGTCTTTTTGGTAGAATGATTTATTTTCCTTTGGATATATACCCAGGAATGGGATTGCTGGATCAAATGGTAGCTATTTTAAGTTGTTTGAGATATCTCCAAACTGTTTTCCACAGTGGCAGAACTAATTTACATTCCCACCAGCAGTGTATAGGCATTCCCTTTTCTCTGCAGCCTCACCAGCATGTTTGTTATTTTTTGACTTTTTAATAATAGCCACTTTGACTAGTGTGAGGTGTATCTCACTGTGGTTTTGATTTGCATTTCTCTGGTGACTAGTGATGTTGAACTTTTTTTAATATGTTTATCGGCCCCATGTATGTCTTCTTTTGAGAAGTGTCAGTTCGTATCCTCTGCCCATTTTAAAAATGGGGATTATCTGTTCTTTTGCTTGATTGATGTAAGTTCCTTATAGATTCTGGAGATTAGACCTTTGTCATATGCATAGTTTGCAGATATTTTCTTCCATCCTGTAGATTGTCTGTTTACTCTGTTGATAGTTTCTTTTGCCATGCAGAAGCTGTTAAGTTCAATTAGGTCCCACTTGTCAATTTTTGTTTTTGTTGCAATTGCTTTTGAGGACTCAGCCAAAAATTATTTGCCAAGAAAAATGTCAAGAAGGGTATTTCCTAGATTTTCTGCTAGGATTCTTATAGTTTGAGGTCTTACATTTAAATCTTTAATTCATCTTGAGTAAATTTTTAAATATGATGAAAGGTAGGGATCCAGTTTTATCCTTCTGCATATGGCTAGCCAGCTGTCCCTGCACCATTGATCGAATACGGATTCCCTTCCCCATTGCTTATTTTTGTCAGCTTTGTTGAAGATCAGATGGTTATAGGTTTATGGCTTCCTTTCTGAGTTTTCTGTTCTGATCTGTTGATCTATGTGCCTTTTTTTTTTTTTTTTGTACCAGAACCATGCTGTTTTGGTTACTGTAGCTTTATAGTATAGTATTTGAAGTTTGGGTAGTGTGATGCTTCGAGCTTTGTTCTTTTTGCTTAGGATTGCTTTGGCTATTTGGGTTCTTTTTTTTTTTTTTGGTTCTATATGAATTTTAGAATAGTTTTCTAGTTCTGCAAAAAATGACATTGGTAGTTTGGTAGAAATGGTGTTGAATATGTAGATTGCTTTGGGCAGTATGGTCATTTTAATGATATTAATTCTTCCAATCCATGAACATAAAATATTTTTTCACTTATTTATGTCATCTCTGATTTCTTTCAGTGTTATTCTGTAGTTCTCCTTGTAGAGAGCTTTCACCTCCTTGGTTAGCTGTATTCCTAGGTATCATATTCTTTTTGTGGCTATCATAAGTGGGATTGTGTTCTTGATTTGACTCTCAGCTTGACCATTATTGGTGTATAGAAATGCTACTGATTTTTCTATATTGATTTCGTATCTGGAAACTACTAAAGTCGTTTATCAGTTCTAGGAGACTTTTAGCGGAATCTTTAGGGTTTTCTAGATATAGTATAATATCATCTGTGAATAGAGATAGTTTGATTTCCCCTCTTCCTATTTGGGTGCCTTTTATTTCTTTCTCTTGCCTGATTGCCCTGGCTAGGACTGCCAGTACTATATTGAATAGGAGTGGAGACAGTGGGCATTCTTGTCTTGTTTCAGTTCTCAAGGGGAATGCTCCCAGCTTTTGCCCATTCAGTATGATATTGGCTTCGGGTTTGTAGTAGATGGCTCTTATTATTTTGAGGTATGTTCCTTCGATGCTTAGTCTGTTGAGGGCTTTTATCGTGAAGGGATGTTGGATTTTTATCGAAAGCTTTTTATGCATCTCTTCAGATGATTATATGGTTTTTAATTCTGTTTATGTGGTGAATCACATTTATTGATTTGCATATGTTTAGTCAATCTTGCATTCCAGGAATGCAGCCTACTCGATCATGGTGAATTAACTTTTTGATGTGCTGCTGGATACAGTTTGCTAGTATTTTGTTAAGAATTTTTGCATCTATGTTCACTAGGAATATTGGCCTGAAGTTTTCTTTTTTGGTTATGTCTCTGCCTGATATTAGGCTGATGCTCGCTTTATAGAGTTAGTTAGGGAGGAGCCTCTCCTCCTTGATTTTTTTTGGGAACAGTTTCAGTTGGATCGGTACCAGTTTTTCTTGTATGTCTGGTAGAATTTGGCTGTGAATCCTTCCAGTCCAGGGCATTTTTTTGGTTGGTAGGTGATATGGTTTGGATGTTTGTCCCCTCCAAATCTCCTGCTGAAATGTCTTTCCCAGTGTTGGAGGTGGAGCCTGGTGGGAGGTGATTGGATCATGGGGACGGATCCCTCCTGAATGGCTTAGCACCATCCCCTTGGTGATGAGTGAGTTCTCATTCAGTTCACGTGAGATCTGGTTGTTTAAATGTCTGGGACCTCCTTCTGCTTATTCCCTCACTCTTGCTCTCACCATGTGACATGCCTGCTGCCCCTTTGCCTTCCGTCATGATTGTAAGTTTCCTGAGGCCCTTGCCAGAAGCAGATGCTGGCACTATACTTCCTGAATTGCCTGCAGAACCATGAACCAATTAAACCCCTTTTCTTTATAAATTACCCGGTCTTAGGTATTTCTTCATAGCAATGTGAAAACAGACTGACACAGTAGGTTTTTTAAATTACTGATTTAATTTCAGAACTTGATATTTGTCTGTTCAGGGCTTCAATCTCCTCTTGATTCAATCTCAGGAGATTCTGTGTTTCCAGGATTTTATCCATTTCCTCTGGAGTTTTTAATTCATGTGCATAGAGTTGTTTAGAGTAGTCTCTGGGGATCTTTTGTATTTCTGTGGGAACAATTGTAACGTCAGCTTTGTCCTTTCTGATCATACTTACTTGGGTCTTTTCTTTCTTTGTTAATCTAGCTAGCGGTTTACCAATCTTATTGTTTCAGAAAACCAACTCTTGGTTTCATTGATCTTTTGTGTGGATTTTTGTGTCTTAATTATATTTAATTTTTCTGAACAAGAGTGTTTTTGCAGACATATGTTTTTATTCTTTTGAGTAATAGAGTAGAATTTTGTGTCGTAGATAGATATATATTTGCTGTTTTTAAGGACATTGTCAGTTTTCCAAAATGGTTTCACTATTTTACAATTCTACCTGCAGTACATGAGAATGTTGTTTGCTGCTCTTCCATGATAATATCAATGTGTAAAATGAAAAAGACTAACAACACCCAGCACTGGAGAGGAAGAAAAGCTGACACAACTGGTTATTATTGATATGGGTAAAAATGAATTTTGACCCTATCATCAATTTCAAATTCATTTTCCTTCCATATCAATATTCAATTGTTCATCACTATTTTAAAAACTGTCTAGCATTATTTGTTTAAAATAATGCTTTCTTCTATCAGTTGAATAGTTTTGGCTCTTTTGCCAAAAATCAGACAGGTGTGAGTCTATTTTTGGATTATCTATTCTATTCCAATGATATATTTGATTATCTTTATGCCAACATTATGCTGTATTAATTACTGTAGTTTTATAAGTCTTAAAATGAGGTATGTTAGTTCTTCAAATTTGTACCTGAATTTGCATTTTTATTATATATATTTAAGATGTGCCACGTGACGTTTTGATGTACATAGTGAAATGGTTATTTTAGTCAAGAAAATTAACATATCTGTCATTTCACATGAGATCATGCAGTATTTTCCTGCATGAAAAATAAGTGAGATCTTCAGTATTTTTCTGTATCTGTGTTATTTCACGTAGCACAATATCCTCCAGGTTCACCCATGTTATGACAAATAGCAGAATCTTTTTTTTTAAGACTGTTCCATTTTACATATACACCACAATTTCTCTATCCATTCTTCTGTCGATGCACATTTAGGTTGTTTCTCAAGTCTTTGCTATTGTGAATAATGCTGCAGTGAACATGGGAGTGCAGGTACCTTTACAAAGTGGGGATTTCATTTGTTTTGGGTATATATCCAAAAGAGGGATTGCTGGGTTATATGGCAGTTCTATTTTTAATTTCTTTAGGAATCTCCGTACTGTTTCCCAGAATAGCTGCACCAATCTACATTCCTACCATCAGTGGACAAGGGTTCCCTTTTTTCCACACTCTTGCCAACACTTATCATTTATCTTTTTAGTAATAGCCATTCTAACAGGTATAAGGTGATATCTTATGGTGGCTTTGATCTGCATTTCCCTGATCATAAGTGATGTTGAGCACCTTTTCATATATCTTTTTACCATTTTTATGTTTTCTTTGGAGAAATGTGTATTCGAGTCATTTGCTTATTTTTAAATTGGGTCATTTTTCTGCTATTGAGTTGTGTGAGTTCTTTATATATTTTGGATATTAGCCCTTTATTAGGTATACAGTTTGAAAATATTTTCTCCTAATATGTAGGCTGCTTTTTCATTTTTTACATCATTTCCTATGCTGTACAGAAGTTTTTAATTTGCTATAGTCACACTTATTTATTTGGTTTTGAAGGCTGAGATTTTGGTCTGACATCTCAAAAAATAATGGCCAAGATCAAGGAGTTTTCCCCTATGTTTTCTTCTAGGAGTTTTTTGGTTTTAGATCTCCTCTTTAGGTCATTTATCCAGTTTGAGTTAATTTTTGTGTATGATGTAAGGTAAGGGTCCAATGTAACTTTTTTTGCATGTAGATATTCAGTTTTCCCAGCACCATTTATCAAAGAGACTTCAATAAATAAATAATTCTCTTTCTATTGTGTCTTCTTGGTGTCCATGTCAAAAATTAGTTGAATGCATATGTTCGGATTTATTTCTGTACTCTGTTCCATTGGTCTATATGTCCATTTTTATGCGGATACCATACTGTTTTGATGATTAGCATTATAATATAATTTGAAATCAGGAAGTGTGATGCTTCCAACTTTGTTTTTGTTTTGCAAAATTGCTTTGGCTATTTGGGGTCTTTTGTGCTTCCCTATGAATTTTAGAATTTTTTTTTATTTCTGTAAATAATGCCATTGGAATTTTGGCAGGAGTTGCATTGCATCTGTATATTGCTTTGCATGGTATAGGAATTTTTCTAATATTCTTCCAATCCATGAACATACACTATCTTTCCACTTATTTGTGTATTCTTCAGTTTCTTTTATCAGTTTTAGAATTTTTAGTGTACACTTCTTTTACCTCCTTAGTTAAATTTATTCCTTTTTGATGCTATCATACATGGTATTTTTCTTGATTTCTTTTTTGGATAGATTATTATTGGTATACAGAAATGCAATTAATTTTTGTGTGTTAATTTTGTGTCCTGCAATTTTACGGAATTTGTTACTTCTAACAGTTGTTTTATGGAATCTTTGGAGTTGTCTACATAAAGGATCATGACATCTGCAAATAGGGTTAATTTTACCCCTTTCTTTCCAATTTGTGTGCCTTTTATTTCTTTTTCTTGTCCGATTGCTCTTGCTAGTACTTCCAGTACTATGTTGAGTGGGTGTGGCAATAGTAGGTATTCTTTTTCAATACTGATTTTTAGAGTAAAACTTTTCAGTTTTTCCTTATGATTATGATATTAGCTGTGGGCTTTTCAGAAATGGCCTTTACTGTGTTGAGAAAATTTCCTTCTCTACCTAAATTGTTGAGAGTTTTTATCAATAAAGGATGTCAGACTTCGTCAAGTGCTTTTTCTGCATCAATTGACATGATTATGTGGGTTTTTTAATCTTTCATTTTCTTAATGCAGTGCATCACATTGGTTGATTTATATACTTTGATAATGATATATAATCTTTTTGACATGTTCAATTTGCTTTACTAGTATTTTATTGAGGATTTTTACATATATGTTCATCAGAGATATTGGCCTATAGTTTTCTTTTCTTACGGTGTCTTTGTCTGGCTTTCATATCAGTGTGATACTGGCCTCATAAAATATGTTCAGAAGCATTCCCTCTAGTTCTGTGTTTTGGAAAACTTTAAGAAATTTTGATAGGATTCAGCCATGAAGCCATCTGGCTCTAGACTTCCTTTATTGGGAGGTTTCTAATTACTACATCGATCTCTTTATTTATTATTGTTTGGTTCAGGCTTTCTATTTCTTCCTGATTATTGATCTTTAGTAGGCTGTATTTGGAATTTATTCATAAATCTATCCTCTAGGTTATCCAATTTGTTGGCATATAATTGTTCATAATAGTCTGTTATGATCCTTTTTATTTCTGGGGTATCCATTATAATGTCTCCATTTTTATTTCTAATTTTGTTTATTTATTTGAATCTTCTCTCTTTTTTTCTTAATCTAGCTAAAGGTTTGTTGATTTTGCTTATTTTCTTCAAAAAAAATTCTTAGTTTTGTTGATTTATTTCTATAGTTTTTCTATTCTCTATTTCTGTTCTGATTTTAAAATTTTTCTTTCTTCTTACTTTAGGTTTAGTTTGTTCTTCTGTTTCTAATTCCTTGAGGCACGTAATGTTAGGCTATTTATGTGAGATCTTTCTTCTTTTTTGATGTAGGTGTTTATTGCTATAAAGTTCCTTCTTAGAACTGCCTTCGCTGCATCTCATAGGTTTTGGTACATTGTGTTTCCTTGTCATTTGTTTCAATATATTTTTAAATTTCCCTTTTGATTTCCTTTTTGACACATTGATTGTTTAGGAGTGTGTTGTTTAATTTCAACATTTTTGTGAGTTTTCTAAGATTCCTCCTGTCATTGAGTTCTAGTTTCATACCATTGTGGTCAGAAAAAATACCTGATATGATTTCAGTCATCTTAAGTTTGTTGAGACTTATTTTGTGTCCTAACATATAATTTATCCTGGAAAATGTTCCACATGTATTTTAAAAGAATGCATATTATGCTGCTGTTGAATGGAGTACTCTGCATAGGTCTGTTTGGCCCAGTTGGTATCCAAATTTCTTTTGTGTGAAGACTGTTTTGGCTAATCTAGGTCCTTTGAACTTCCAAATAACTTTTTTGAATCAGTTCGTCAGTTTCTACAAGCGAGCTTGCTAGTATTTTGATTGGGATTGATGGTGTTAATTCTCTAGATCAATTAGAAGAGAATGAACACCATAGCTATGTTGAGTCTTCCAATCCATTAATATGGTATAGCTCCCCACTTATTTAAAGCTTCTTTAATTTCTCTCATAATATGCTGTAATTTTCAGTGTAGAGGTCTTGCACATCTTCTATTAAATTTATTCCTAAGTATTTTGTGTTTATGATGTTATTGAAAATAGTATTGTGCTTTTCCCCAATTTTTCATTGTGGTTAAATATACATAATAAAGTATTCTGTTTTAAGCATCATTTATTGTTTGGTACTAGAATATGACAATATAATTGATTTTTGTATTTTGATTTTTATTCTTGACTTTGTGAAATTCTCTTTTTTCTAGTAGTGTGGATTTTTTTGGTATATTCTTTACAATTTACCCTGTAAACAATCATATCCTCAGGAGAGAGGCAGTTTTATTTCTTTCTTATCTTTATGCCTCATTTATTTATTTAGTTTTGGTTTGTTTATCTAGTTTTATTGCACTGAAAATAATCCTCCAGTATAATGTTAAATGGAATTAGTGAGACTGCGTATCCTTTTCTTGTTCTCTATCTTAGGGAGGAAAGCTTTCAATTTTTCACCATTAAATATATTAGTACTATTAGTTGTAGTTTTTCATGAGCCCTTTGTCAGAGGCAGTCTCTAAGATAGTCCCCAAAGATACCACCTCCTTGAGTGGTACAACTTCCTTGAGTGTAGGCTGGACTTGTTGACTTGCCTCAATTAATAGAATACAGCAGAAGTGATTGGCTATCACTTTAATGTTTAGGTTATGAAAAGACTGTGGCTTCCATCTTGGGGCTCACCCTCTCTTGCTAGCTTGCTGTGAGAGAAACCAACTCGGCCATGTCGTGAGCTGCCTATGGAGAGGCCCACAGGGCAAATAACTGAGGGAGGCTTCTAGCCAACAGGAAAGAACGAAAGAACGGAGGTCCTCAGCCCAACAGCCTGTGAGGAACTGACTCCTGCCAACAGCCATGTGAGAAACTGACTCCTGCCGACAGCCATGTGAATGAAGTTGGAAATGTATCCCTTGCCATTTAAATCTTCAGAAGAGACTGGTTGTAGCCCAGGCTAACAGTCTGACGACAGTCTTGTGAGATACTGGAGCCTGAGGTACCTAGTTAAGCCACACTCAGATTCCTGACCCTGGAAATTGTGAAATTATAAATTTTTGTTGTTCCTTTTCTTTCCTTGTTTGCTGAGAATTGTCATCTTCAACTGGCACTGAATTTTGTCAGTTTGTGTCCATTGAGATGATTATATATATTTTTATCCTTTATTCTGTTAATGTGGTAAATTATATTTATTTTCAAATAAGCAACATATGGCCATTTTATCCTTTTTATATATTGTTGGGTTCAATTTGCTAACATTCTCTTAAGGGTTTTTGCATCTGTGTTTAAGACAGATATTGGTGTGTGGTTTTCATTTCATTATTGAAATATAATTCACATACCATAAAATCCACCATTTAAAGTTAACGTACAAATCAGTGGTTTTTAGTATATTCATAAGGTTGTTCAACCATGACTACTCACCAGTTCCAGAACATTTTTATCACTCCCAAAAGAAACCTCATACCCATTAGCAGTCACTTGTCATTCTTTACTTCTCCAAGCCCGTGGCAGCTACTAATCTACTTTCTGTCTCTGAATTTTCCTATTCTGGACTTTTCATATAAATGGGATCATTATGCAGCCTTTTTTTTTTTTTTTTGAGATGGAGTCTCGCTCTCTTCCCCACGCTGGAGTGCAGTGGCATGATCTCAGCTCACTGCAAACTCCACCTCCTGGGTTCAAGTGATTCTCCTGCCTCAGCCTCCGGAGTAGCTGGTATTACAGGCATGCGCCACTACGCTTGGCTAATTTTTGTATTTTTAGTAGAGATGGGGTTTCACCATGTTGACCAGGATAGTCTTGAACTCCTGACCTCAGGTGATCTGCCTGCCTCGGCCTCCCAAAGTGCTGGGATTACAGGCGTGAGCCACTGCGCCCAGCCGCATTATACAGCTTTTTGTATCTGGTTTCCTTCATTTAGCGTACAATTTTTGAGACTCATCCATGTGTTAGCATGCAATAGTACTTCATGCCTTTTTATGGCTGAATAATATTCCCTGGTATATCAGTATACCACATTTTATCTGTTTACCAGCTGTAGACATTTGGATTGTTTCTACTTTTTGGCTATTATGAATAATGCTGCTATGAACATTCTTGTACACACTTTTGTGTGGACATGTATTTTCAGTTCTATAGGGGATGTACCTAGGTATGGAATTATTGGGCCATATGGTAAGTCTGTTTAACATTTTAAGGAACTGCAAAATTGTTTCCTACAGTGGCTACATTATTTTATATTCCCACTAGATGTGTACCAGAGCTTCAATTTCTGTACATTCTTGTCAACACTTGCTATTACCTTTTTGATTGTAGCCATCCTAATGGATATGAAGTGGTATCTCATTGTAGCCTTATTTTCATTTCTTTCATGGCTAATGATGTTGAGCCTATTTTCATGGGCATATTGGCTATTTGAATATCTTCTCTAGAGAACTGTCAATTCAGATTCTTTGCCCCCCCCCTTTTTTTAAAAAAAAATGGGTTACTTATCACTTCGTTATTGAGTTTTAAAAGTTCTTTACATAGTCTAGATATAGTCTAGATACAAGTCCCTTGTCAGGTATGTGATGTGCAAAAATTTTCTCCCATTCTGTGGGTTGTCTTTCCACTTTCTTGATGCTGTCCTTTAAGCATACAATTTTTAAATTTTGATGACGTCCTGTTTATTTTTTCTTTTGTTTCTGTTGAAATCATATCTAAGACATCACTGCCTAACCCTAGGTTGGAAAGATTTATGCCTAAATTTTCTTCTGAGGGATTTACAGTCTTTGATCTTACATTTAGGTTTTTGATCCATTTCAAGTTAAGTTTTGCATATAGTGTGGGATAGGAATCCAAATTCATTCTTTTGCTTGTCAATATTCTGTTGTCCCAGCACCATTTGTGGAAAAGACTACTCTTTCTCCCGCTGAGTTGTCTTGACAATTTAGTTATCAATTGGCCATAGATGTATGGGATTTTTTTATACACTGTCAATTCTATCCTATTGACCTATATATCTATCCTTTTGCCAGTACTACACTTTCTTGATTACTGTAGAAAATATGAATTTTAGAGTTAGCTTGCCAATTGAGTACCTTGTAGAAAATTTTGAAACTGGGAAGTGGGAGTCTTCCAACTTTGTTATTCTTTTTCAGGATTGTTTAGGATATTTCAGTCCCTTGCATTTCTATATAATTTTTAGGATTAGCTTGTCAATATCTGCAGAAGGCAGATGGAATTTTGATAGGGTCTACATTTAATTAATTTAGGGAGTGTTGCCATTTTAACAATATTAAGTCTTCCAACTCATGAACATTGAATGCTTTTCCATTTATTGAGCTTTTCTTTAGCTTTTTTCAATAATGTTTTATAGTTTGTGGTTTTCTTGCATTGCTTTTATTTTTTGTTTTTGTATTAGGATAATGCTGGTTTCAAAAAATGAGCTGAAAATTGTTTCTTCTTTCCCCATTTTCTGAAATACTAGGGTAGGATTGGTAGTCTTTCTTTCCTTAAAAGAAATATTGAGATATAATTCACATACCATAAAATCCATCATTTTAAAGTTAATGTACAAATCAGTGGTTCCTAGTATATTTATAGGATTATACAACCATCACTATTATCTAATTCCAGTATGTTTTAATGACTCCAGAAAAAAATCCCGTACTCATTAGCAGTCACTCCCCATTCTTCCCTTTTCTAAGGGAAGAATTCTCCAGTAAAGCCATCTGGGCCGGAAATGTTAGGAATAGTTTAAGTTATGAATTTGATGTTTTTTAAAGGATATGAACAACTATATACCAAAAGTCAGTTTTACTGTATATGAATTTAAAACATAAAATTAGAAAAGATACAGGCCTTTCAGATTTGTATCTTTCTTTTTGAGTAAGTTCTGGTAATTAGTATCTTTTAAGGAACTTTTGTATTTCTTTTTAATTGCCAAAATTGTTGGTACAAAGTTGTTTGCAATAGTCCCTTATTATTTTTAATGCCTGTGAACATTTTTATTTTTAATTATTGTGGGTACGTAGTAGGTGCACATAGTAGGTGAATATTTTAATGTCTATCTTCTGTTATTTCTGGTATTAATTTGTGTCTTTTTTTCTTTAAGAGTCTAGTCTAATTCTGATTTCTAAAAGATTATCCACTTTTAGTTTCATTGGTTTTCCTCTATTGTTTATTCATTTTCCAGTCCATTGATCTCTGCAGTTGTTTTCCTCCTTTTAATTATTTTGAATTTACTTTGCTCTTATTTTTCTGGCTTCCTAAGGTAAAGTCTCAATCTTTATTTTAGATCATTTGTCTTTCCTTATGTAAGTATTTAAAATTACAAATATCCCTTTAAGCATGATGTTAGTACTCTTACACAAATTTAGATATGATGCACTTTTCATTGGGGTTAAAAATATTTTCTCATTTTGTTGTATTTTGAAATACTGCCATTTAGTTTATTCATATTTAGAATTACAGTTTTTAATGAATTAACCCCTTTATCATTATGAAATTGCCTTTTTATCTGATATTATTGCTTTTTTAAAATCTGCTTTGTCTCAGTAATAAAGTCACTTCAGATTTCTCATGATTCAGGTTTGCCTGGTATATCTTTTATGTATTTTAATGCATTTTTACTTTAATATATCTATGTCTTATTTTAAAGTAGGTTTCTTATAGAGAATATATAGTTTTGATGGGTTTTTTCCCCCTATACTGAGAGCCTCTGCCTTTTATTGGGCTGTTTGGAATTACATCTAATGTAATTATCAATATAATTGGATTGGGTTTAAGTCTACCATCTTGCTGTTTCTTTTTCTATTTGTTTTTACTGTCTTTGTTAAAAGTATCTTTCTGCCTTTTGGGAATAATTGAATTTTTTATGATTTATTTCCATTCATGGTTTATTAGGTGCATCTTCACTTCATTTTAGTTTTTAGTTTTTAGTGGTTGCTTTAAGTTTTAAGATATGCATCTTTAATTTTATACACTTCATTTATAATGTAAGAACTATACAACAGTACAGTTCCATTTACTCCATTCTATTCCTTGTGCTATTTTTAAATTATGTTTTACTTATATATATGTCATTATCTCATATATATTCGTGTGTGTGTGTATGAGAGAGGGTGCATTAAAGAGCCAAATCCCTCTTAAAGGAAGTTCTAGGCCTTTTAATTTTGTAATAACTTAGACTTACAGGAAAGTTGTAAAATTAGCATGGAAGAGTTCCTTCACTGAGTTTCACTTAATATTAAGTAACATCTTGTATAACCATAGTATAATTATTAAAATTAAGAAGTTAACATTGATACAGTACCACTAACTCAATGACAGACCTTATTCAGGTTTCCGCAGTGTTTCTAGTATGTCCTTTTTCTGTTCCAGGAGCCAATTCGGGTTCCCACATTGTGCTTTGTTGTCATGTCTCCTTAGTCTCCACTAATCTATGATAGTTCCTTATCTTTACTGTTTTTCATGATCTTGACAGCTTGAAGAGTTATTTTGTAGACTGTCTCTCAAGCTGGAACTAATGTTTCCTCATGACTAGACCGACATTTGTGCATTTTAGGCCAAGATCCTCCAGAAGTGATGGGCCTTTTCAGTTTATCCTATGGCGAGGGGCACATAGTGTCATTAAGTCTTAATACTGTGGTGGTGTTGACATGGATCACCTAGTTCAGGTGGTGGTGGCCAGGACCCTCCACTGGAGGTTACTACTTTCCCTTTGTAATCCATAAATACTTTGAAAGATATTTTGAGGTGATGCAAATATCTCATGTCTGCTCAAAGTTTCTCTCACTAGTTTAAACATACATCATGTATCTTGTTTGCAACAGTTACTATAGTTTTCTAACGGTGATCTTCTCTTTCCCTATTCCTTCTGCTTATATTAATTGCAGTTTTTCTTGTAAAGAAGAGCTATCCCTTCTCCCTTATTTACTTATATCAGTATTGACCCATGTCTATTTATTTTATTCTGTAGGTTATTCTATTTTGCGTTTTGTTGTTCCAAGTGTTTCAGCTTTGGCCAGTGGGAATTCTTCAGTGCTGGTTCCCATGCCCTGCATGCATGTCCTCATTCTGTTTTGAGCACTTCTTTACTTTCTGGCACCATGAGATGCTCCAGGTTCCTTCTGTATTTTCTCTGTTCCAGCCCTGGAATAAAACACTGAATCAAGAAGCCCTGATTTTGTTGTTGTTATTGTTTTAAATTAGAGAATGGTATTTAGAAACTAAGATCTGGGCAGTAGATGTCCCGTTGCTACTGGGATGTCATTGCTTCTAGGTTTTATCAGTGCACAGAACTTGGAAATATGTGTGTATATTAACGCTTGCATATGTTCATTTCTGTTTGTTTTTACCTGAGAATATATTTTAAAAATTGTTAGTTAATATCGATGACTCTAATTTTACTACCACAGTGTTCATTCTAGCCTTCTGCATTTGCTTATTTGTAATTGCTTTCTCAGAGTATGAGAAACCTAGGGTTTATTATTTCCAGTTACATCTATTTATTTGTTCAACTCTAGCACATAGAATGTTGTTTCAAAATCGCTAACTCATACTCTGTATGAGTTGCTTACATGTTATGTGACTCTCATAGTTCATAACTGAGAAACTAAGTTCACAGACTACAATGTAGTATTTGAGTACAGTTCTTCTCTTTAGCTTTACAATATATTAATACAGTTGGCTAACAATGAATTGCATTGATTTTCAGATACTGATTCAGCCTTGCATTCCTAGGATAAATCCCACTCAGTTGTTATTTTTTTAAAATGTATTGCTGGATTTGACTTGTTAGTGTTGTTTTGAGGATTTTTGTGTCTGTGTTCAGGAGAAATATTGGTTTATAGTTTCTTTTCTTGTAATGTGCTTCTCTGGTTTGGGTATTAGAATTACGCTAGCCTCATGAAAAAAGGTAAAAGTCTTCCATGCTTTTCTATGTTCTGGATGAGATTTGTGCAATTGGTATTATTTCTTCCTTAAATATTAGGTTGAAATGACCAGTGAAGCCATCTGGGCCTGGAGTTTTATTTATTGGAATGTTTCAAACTATCTGTAACAGACAAAGGACCTACTTTTTCTTGGGTGAGTGTCTTTCAAGGAATCAGTTCATTTTATTTAAATTGTCTAACTTACAGATACAGAGCTGTTTGTAGTATTTATTAATTATTAATGTGTAAAGTCTATAGTTTACTCTCTTTTTTAATATTAGTGTTTTGCATGGAGCATTTGCTAGGCACTAAGCACTTTACATGCATGTCTCATTGAATAACTGAGCAGGACCAAGATTTCTATTTAATTTTATTGCAGAGAAGACTGAGGTCCAGGCAATTAGTGACGGGGGTGGGTCTAGAACCCAGGCTCAGTCCAGGGTTCTCTCCACTGTCTCCTCAGAATCTGCCCTGTGGACATTCAGGTGCCTGTTAGGGGTGTGAGCCCAGCCACCTCCCAGAGGCCTCCTAGTTCCCTCCAGGGACCTGCTAAGCCTTGTCCCCTCCTCCTTACCCCCACCTCCCTCCATCTCAGGCACAGGCAGATTCACAGCAAAGGTCTCTGTGACACACACATTTCCTGGGTGGTGACCTTGCCCCCAGTCTGGGAGTACAGGGTGTGGATTAATGTATCTGTCACTCCCACTGGTTACCACCCAGGGAGGTGTTATGATGGGCATTTTGACATGACTGATTCAGGGATGCCATTTAGAAGCAGGACATGTTGACTTGGCTGTTTTGACACTGGGACATTTTGACATCTAAAGAAAAACATTTACAAATATATTAAAATTTCAGCTTACAAGGCTTGTTTCATTACTGAATGATGGAAACAATAGATATCCTTGACTCCACCCCCACCCCTGAATAGGAAGCTGTAAGAGTGGGAGAGGCCCTGGGTTCAGGTAGGGGTGAGGAGGATGTGATGAAACTTCTTAAAATTGTATTTCTTGGTGATAGGCAGACATTAGGACTTGGCCGATTTATTTTTGGATGTTTTATCTAAAAGTCCTATATCTTACGAGAGACGCCTCTTCACTGCAGGCCTCCTTACTATCCAAGGGAATCCAGAGGTCAAGCCTGGGGTGCAGGCGCTGGTGGGGCCCAAGGCTGGGATGGCCTATGACCCAGCAGAGAGAAGCACCCCAGGCCACAATGGCACCTGCTTCATTCCTCTTGCTGTTCCCCCTCCTGCCCCAGTCTCATGAACTTTCCCACAAGAGACCTTCTTGGCATCAGGAGTGGTATGGGAACATGAACCCCATGCTCTTTCTTAAAGCTGTTGCTTGGTTTTCATGCTCAGCTTCGGCTTTCTTCAGTGAATGTGTTACATTAGTAAAAGCAGGAGCTCAGACTTGGAGGCTGTCTCAGAGCCCAGCTTTATTAACAGGAGATGCTATCTACTGAACACATGAGTTTTCAAGTCAGGTAGGCAAGGGCATAGCCTGGCCTCTACCACTTACTGATCAAGTTAGCTTTTTTGAACCATGGTGCTATGGACTGAATGTATCCTTCCAAAATTCCTCTGTTGAAGCCCCAATCTCCAGTGTGATGGTATTGGAGATGGGGCCTTTGGGAGGTGATTAGATTTAGATGTGGTCATGAGAATGGGACCCTCACGATGGGCTTAGTGCACTTATAAGAAGAGAAGACTGGAGGGCGCGTGCCTCCTTCTCCCTCTCACCCCTCACCCTCCCTTGTTCTCCCCCATGTGAAGACATAGCAAGAAGCAGGCCTCACCCGAACCTGATGATACTTGGCACTCTGATCCTAAACTTTTCAGAACTGTGAGAAAATAAATATCTGTTGTTGAAGCCACCCAGTCTCTGGTATTTTGCTATGGCAGCCGGAGCAGACTAAGATACTTGGTTTCCTCATCTGTAAAACAGAGGTTATAAGATCTATCTTGGAGACTTTAAAGAATTTGAACTGAATATAGAAAAGTGACTAGCAGCATGAATACACTAGGCATTTCTTTTCGTTAATGTCATTACAATCATCATCGTGATAATTATAAATAGTTTTATTTCAGGGAATGGGATGTTCTGTTGAAGTGAATTTTTGAGGTAATAAGTTTAATTTCTTAGGCAAAGAGTTCTAAAAACACATTTCTAGACCAAATAGTGTTCATCACATACATCTCTGCTTTTTAAAATAGTATGAAGATAGTATTTCATAGTACATAACATTAATAAGAATATGGTTTTATGAAAGTTTTGTTTAATGAATTTATACTACGCATGCACACATGAGTGTACTGAAATGTGTGGTAAAATGTATTTCTAATGATATGTGATTTTAAATGTCGTTTCATATGCTTGTTTGCCATCTGAATGTCTCCCTTGGTGAGGAATCTGTTCAGATCTTTTACCCATTTAAACAATTGGTTGGTTGTTTTCTTCTTGAGTTTCAAGGGTGTTTGGTATATTTTGTTTACAAATTATTCATCAGATATGTGTTTTGCAAATATTTTCCACAGTCTGTGGCTTGCCTTTTCATTCTCTTAACCATGTCTTTTGTAGAGCAGAAGTTCTTAATTTTAATGAAGTTTGACTTATCAGATTTTCTTTTCATGGATTGTGCTTTTGGTGTCATATCCAAGGACTCATTGCCAGAACTGAATAGGCCTCTACTTGTCAAAATAATTGAATATGTTATCTAAAACCTCCTTATAAAGAAAATTCCAGGCCCAGATGGCTTCACTGGTGAATTCTATCAAGAATTTAAGGGATGAAAAATAGGAAACTTACCCTAACTCAAAAAATAGTGAAAGGGTAAGAATAAGAATAAACTTATTTATGAGGACAGCATCACCTTGATACCAAAACCTGACAAAGATGTACAAGAAAACTTGAGATCAACATCTCTCATGAACATAGACATAAAAATCCTTAATATAACTTTATCATATCTAGCAATGTGTAAAAAGAATAATATAGTGTGATTGAGCAGTGTTTATGCTAGGAATGCAAAGTTGAGTTCATATTTGAAAATCAATAAATGTAAGTCACATTAACAGAATTAAAGGGAAAAAACCATGTGATTATCTCAGACAGAAAAAGCATTTGACAAAATTCTACACTTGTTACTGTAATAAAATATATCAGCAAATTAGAAGCAGAGGGGACTTCCTCAACCTGATAAATGGCATCTACAGAAAACCTCCAGCTTACCTCACACCTAATAGTGAAATAGTAAACACTGTCTATCCCTCTACATTAGATGCAAGGTAAGGTTATCTACCCTCATCACTTCTGTTCAGTGTTGAACTAGAGACTGCAACCAGTACAATCAGTCAAGGAAAAGAAGTGTGGCACACACAGGTAGAATGGAAGAATTCAACTGTCTTCATTCATGAACAATATGATTACGTGTGTAGAAAATCCTAAGGAATCTACGAAAAAGCATGTAGCACTAATAAGTGAGCTTAGCAAATTCAGAGGATAAAAGGTCAATTTACAAAAATCAGAATTTTCCTGAATGCTAGCAATAAACAATTAGAAAACATAATTCAATAGACAACTCTACTTACAATAGCATTTAAAAACTACATAAGGGGCTGGGTGCAGTGGCTCATGCCTGTAATCCCAGCACTTTGGGAGGCTGAGGCGGGTGGATCACCTGAGGTCAGGAGTTTGAGACCAGCCTGGCCAACATGGTGAAACCCTGTCTCTAATAAAAATACAAAAAAAAAAAAAAAAAAAATTAGCTGGGCGTGGTGGCGGGCGCCTGTAATCCTAGCTACTCAGGAGGCTGAGGCACGAGAATCGCTTGAACCCAGGAGGCAGAGGTTGCAGTGACCCGAGATCACGCCATTGCACTCCAGCCTGGGCAACAAGGGCAAAACTCCACCTCAAAACAAAACAAAACAAACAAAAAAACACTACATAAGGAATAAGTTTAATAGAATATATGTTAGACCTTTACTCCCAAAACTACAAAGCATTACTGAGAAAAAGCAACTTAAAAGGTATTGAGCAGTGTACCATGCTCATGGTTGGAATGCTCAGTATAGTTGAGATGTCAGTTCTCCTTAAATTGACCTGTAGACTCAATGCAATCCACATCTGTCACAGCATATTTTTAAATAGAAATTGACCAAAATGTTGATTCTGAAATTTACATGGAAACACAATAGGATATCCAAAGCAATATTGAAAAAGAAGAATAAAGTTAGAGAACTTAAACTACCTGATTTCAAAACCTAGATTGCTATAAATGTACAGCAATCTTCAGTGGGATACTGATGTAAGGACAGAATATAAATCAAAAGAATGGAACAGAGGGTCCAGAAATAGAGCCACATATACAGTCACTTGATTTGCAGCAGAGGCTCTAAGGGAATGAATATTTGCTTCAACAGTTGTACTGGAACAACTGGCTAGCTATATAGAAAAGAAGAGGCAGCTTGATTTTACTACTTTACATCATATACAAAGATTAACTCAAATGAATCATGGACTTTAATGTAAAGGCTAAAATGTAAAAGCTTCTGGAAGAACCAATAGGAGAAACTCTTCACAACAATGGAATAGGCTAAAGTTTCTTTGAGAAGAAAGAAGTCACTAATCATAAAGATGTCACACTAATCATAAAAAAATCATAATCTTTTCTTTGAGAAGAAAGTCACATAATCAAAAAAAAATTAACTGTCTTAATAAAAAAGACAGTTAATCAGGCAAATGACAGACTGGGATAAAATATTCACAAAACATATATCTGGTGAAGGACTTTTAGCCAAAATATGTAAAGAACTCTTAAAACAGCGGAAGAAAAAAATCCACTGTTAAAACAGACAAGGTATTTGGATAGACACTTCACATAAGGACATATATGAATGGATGATAATCATATGACTGTAGGTTTAGCATCTTTATTTAGCAGGGAGATGCAATAACATCCACTGAATGGCTAAAATTTTAATGATTGACAGTGCCAAGTGTTGTTGACAAAGGCATGGAGCAACTAGAATGCTCATACCTTGCATTGTGTGAGGATGCAAAATTAGACAAAATGGAAAAGAGTTTGGCTATGTATTTTAGTTTAGTTTAGTTTAGTTTATTTGGCTGTGTTTTATAAAGTTAAACATGTTTGCCAAGCCCAGCAATTAAGCTCCTTATTTACCCAAGAATAATGGAAGCAATCTGGAAACAGTCCAGTGAGCATCCACTGGTGAGTGCATAAACAAATTGTAAACGATTCATACTATGAAATACTAGTTGGCAATAAAAAGGAACAAAATATTCATACACACAACAAAGTGGACGAATCTCAAAAAACAATAAGCTAAGTAAAAATGACTACATATTGTACAATTCCTTTTATACGAATTTCAAGTAAAGGCAAAACTACAGTTAACAAAAAGCAGATCAGTGGTGGCTGAGGATCCGGGTTCAGAGGAGGGGATCAGCTGCAGAGAGGCTCAGGGGAACTTTCTTGCGTGAAATAAATGTTCTCTATCTTGCTTGTGGTTACACAACTATATACAATTACCAAAGTTAATCAAACTGAGTCCTTGAAACAGGTGAAATGTTATTCACTGTAATTTATACCTCACTAAATCCACAGAGTAAGAATATATTTCACATGGTAAAAAACCTGCCAATTCCAAGTGCTAGTGAGGACATGGAGTCACTGGAACTGTTGTATTTTGGTGGGTCAGTAAAATTGTACAGCCTCTCTGGGAAACGGGCTGGCAGTTTTTTTTAAAGTTAAACACACACTTAACATATTCCAATCCTTGGTATTTATTCAAGAAAAATGGAAACATGTGTTCACCAAAAGACTTTTATATAAATATTAATAGCTTTATTCACAAGAGTCAAAAACCAGAGACAACCCAACTGTTCATCAGTAAGTGAATGGACAAATTGTGGTACATTCATACAATGAAATACTACTTGGCAATAAAAAACAATAAGCTACTGATGTACATGACCTCGTAGATGGATCTCAAGGACATGCTGAGGAGAACAGTACAGTACAGTACGTAGAGCACAGGAGTGTGCCCTTACCTAAGGGTTCGCTTTCCCAGGCCAACCATCATGGAAAATAGGTGGGTACGGTACAGTGAGGTATATTTGAGAGAGAGAAGGACCATCATGTTTGCATAACTTTTACTAACAGTATATTGTTATAATTGTTCTATTAATTTCTTACTGAGCCTAATTTATAAATTAAAGTTTATCACAGGTATATACGTATAGGAAAAAGTTAGTATATATAGGGTTTGGTGCTATCTGTGGTTTCAGGCATCCACTGGGGGTCTTGGAATGTATCCCTCCTAAGTAAGTGGGACTACTGTAGACCTTGCAAAATTTCATATATATGTCATTTCAGAACAAACAAAACTATTGGCTGGGGGAGGGGATTTGACTGCAAAGGAGCATGAGGGAATATTTTAGGGAGCTCTGTTCTAGATCTTGCCTGTGCTAGGTTGGTCTTGTCAATATTCCACAACCTGTACACTCAAAATGGGTACATTTTACTTTAAGTAAATTGTGCCCCAATAAAGTTTAAAAGAAGATGCCAACCAAACCCTTCGGTGGACAGAAAGTTTCACTAAGTAACAAGAATCAGGGTCTAATTTAGAAATTCTGATTTTAGACCCTCCTACTCTCATCGTAGGTATTCTCACTTAAACATGGAAAATACAAATCAATTTTCAAAAGCTTCTTTTTAAGGTGAAGTCAAAAAGTAAAGTCACATTCATTAGGACTTTTAATTTCTACTATCTTAATATGAATTTTGTATCTCCCCAGGGATTCTCTAGCTTGGTTCTTTGTACTAAACAATTATTGTGAGATTGGGAATTGCATTTTTATCCCAGTTTCTGAAAAGGTAAGGTTGTCCTTCTGTCTTCTGGAAATATGACCAGGGGTTAGATTTTCATCCAGGGCGAATAAGTCCCTTGTTTATCAGTCCATGTCTATTGCAGCCACAAGAAACTTGAGACTTATTTAGATAATTTCCATGGGGAAAAAATCCCTTATTTCAATTATCTAGTGGTGGTCATTGAAAAATTATTTTGCCTTATCTAGAGAATTGATTCACTGACCCACTTTGGTGTGGGGGCGTGTAGATGTGCTTTGTTCCCACATGGACACTTGTTGAGGGAAGGGGACAGATACTTACGGAGTGCCAGTGATGGGCCAGGCACAGGGCTCAGTACTTTATGAGCATAATCACATTTAATTTTACCCTCAGAAGAGGCCTCACTGGTAGCTCCCATTTTCTCCATGTTTTACCTGTGGCTGAGGGTCAGATTGGGTAAGCAATGTGGTGTTTAAGTTGTGAAATAGGATTCAAACCTGGGGTCTTACCCACCCCCAAACCCATGATCTTTCTGCTACATCGCACTATAGGAAGTAAATTGTGACCCAACTATGGCCAAAGAAATAGTCCCCCTCTTGTCAGATGTGAAATGCCATCTTGCTTGTGTTTGCCCATGGCAGATTGCCTGCATGTTTCCATGGTTTACAAGCCACCGAGGACCATGCGAGGGAGCAGGCCACTGCCACATCACCAAGAACAGCAGCCAGCAGGACTTGTCTCTGAAGTTCCTGAGAGTCTGGGCTGATCTGTTTCCCCGATAATTTTGCAGAGTGTGTGCCTCCCAAACTCTTGGTCCACCTGGAAGATCCCACAGTTTTCTTGTGAAAAGACCAACAAACCGTTCTCAGGGTTTCAGGAGCTTGTGTTACCCCCTCCTCTATCAAGCATGTTTTATGCTGGATTGAATTTCTCTCTTTACGGAGGAACTCAGCGCTGTGCTCAAAAATACCACCAGAGTCATGAATATTAAGAACACATTTTTCTTTCATTTTTTCTTTCTTGCGTCCCAGAGTTGGTCTGAGGCAGCAAACCCAGGCAGGTGTGTAATCCTGCACAGATCACCCTGGTTCCATGGGCTCCCCAGTGGGGCAGGGTGAGCTGGGCTGGGTGGTGCCTGTGTTGCTTAGGTAGACGAAATGCTTTTGTGCATGTTTGGAGGCTGGGGGGAAGGTTCACGGCCAGGTCACTGCGCCAGCATTCTTTCCTTGGCCACAGCTGCAGTGGTGGGCCCCCAGCAGGAGAAGCGCGGGCAGGCGGGGTGCAGGTCTTGGGAGGCTGAGCAGCAGCTGCTGTGTTTGGTTTCCCTTTGGTCCCGGGGATTTAGATAAAAGGGCTGCTTTTATTGATTGGGGAGATTGAGGGAGGGAGGAGGCTCTAAGAAGTCAGCCTTTGCCTTTTTGTTTTTTAAGCAAACATTTATTGAGCATTTACTGTGTGCCAGGCACCATGCTAAATGCTTTTCATGCATTATCAGGTTCAATCCTCATGACAGCCCTGCTGTTTTAGTCTCCATTTGACCCAGGAGGAGACCAAAGCTCAGAAAGGTTAAGTAATCTGCCCAAGGTCACACAGCTTGTAAAAGGTAAAGAGCCTGGAGCCCTCTGCGGCCTGAACTGCTGTGATGCCCGATTACTGCCGTTCTCTTTCTGCCTGCGTGCTCCATCCACCTGTTCCTCTGCCCCCAGAATGGTCTCTGGAGAACTCAGCCCTGCTCTGCATCTTCAGTGGCTTCTCCTTTCCCATGGTGCACAGTTTACCTGTGATCTGAGCCCGGCATGTCCTTCCCCCAGGAAGTCCCACTGAGTTGTGCCTTTTCCTCCCTCACATCTTGCCTTCTCCTGGGATACCTGTGCCCCAGACCTCCTGCCTGTCTCTCAAAGCAGAACCCAGAGGCCCCACTTCTAGGGAGCAACCCCCCAAAATTACATCTCAGCTACCAGCCCCTCCCGACCCTCAGCATGCTAAGCCTGGGTTGGATGGGGTTCCAGAGGGCAGGAGTTGGATCTTGGCTGTCTCCCCACCCCTGCTGCCCACGTAGGGGCTGGCATGCACACTGAATTGCATGGAAACACCTACCTTTGTGTCCCCTTTGTCCTTAGCACCCAGAGTTCCTTGTGGTCATGTCCTGCCTGGTATCATGCCAGTGTCAGGACTATCCCAGACCCCTTCCCCAGTTGGCATGGGCCTCATCCCTAAGGGAGGGCTGGCCTTAGTGGCCATTCCCTGCCTGATAATAAAGTCACAGGAAGAAATTGGCCCATTATTTGAGATGAAGGTGTTGCTCTCTGGCCCAGTGGGCAGGTGTCTTCCAAAGTGGGTAGGCTGGCTGCCTGAGGCAGTAGAAAAAAGGACCCAAGGGACTGCAATCCCAAAGGTGGAATGGGGCCAGGTCCTGGGCTGAGGGTCTAGCTGGAGTAAGATACAAGAATGGTTGTGGGGTGGCAAGGAGGGTGGCAGACATAGATCTGTGTGGGGCACAGTGAGAGGGTGGGGAGGGTGTTGCTGGGGAGCACAGGTGTTACCTGGCCAACAGGAAACCAGAAGTGCAGGGATTATCCAACCCGAGATCACAAGGACAGACATGCACTGAATGTCATTTGCTGAAATGAATTAGGACCCCAGCTGGCTGTTCAGGTTGCAAACGAATCTCAAAGTGGTATTATTGGGGGATCAGTGTTACTCACTCTAGTTAATGAGCTGATAATGCTTCCATGGAAACCCTTTTGCTAAGAGCTAAGGGGAAATCTATGTTATTTCCTTGATGAAATATTCCTGGGCCTCAGTTTCCTCATCTGTGGAATGAGGCCTATGTGCCACAGCCCTCTTGTTAGCAGACACTGCTCAGCGTTGCAGAGCCACACAGGTGGTGCCCGAGGTAGAGAGGCTTCCCTAGCCCTGTGCTGTGGGCAGTGTTGAAGGGCTGCCTGGCATGCACCACCTTGGATCAGCACTCCAAGGACAGTCAAACGTGACTTTCCTGCCTTGTTGCTATCAGACAGTTACATTTCATTGGTAAGTTACGTCAATTCTGAGTTTTAACAAAAGTTTCTGGGTGGGGCCTCTACTCTTAGGGAGTTGAGTCTGTTGCCATGGAAGGAGGTTAACCTACATTTAGGGTGCAGGTTGGTTCATTTAATTTCTATCTATCCTGGGAGAGCAGGGTAGGGGTGGGTGGCTAGTATTTTGTTTGTAAAATGAAGCTGATGTGGCTCAGACAGGGTAGGTGACTGTCCCAGGGTCACAGGTGACTGGTGGAGGTATGTGGAAGTCAGGTGTGGCCCACTTGAGTGCTCCTGCCATGGACTGCCCTCTGCTAGCCTCATCTGTGCTGGGCATGGGCCGGGCTGTGACTGGTCCGTCCGTCCGTCCGTCCGTCCGTCCGTCCATCCATCCATCCATCCATCCATCCATCCATCCATCCATCCCCTCCCTGCCTTTTCTGCCTTCCCTGCCTGCAAGCTGTCCCAGAGCACATGGATTACAGAAGGTACCAATGGGGCTTCCCTGCAGCCAGCCCTGTGGGGACCCACGGATTGTGGCCAGGATGACCCTTTTATTCTTGACCTGATGGTCCCCATGTGTGACAGTATCCTTGCCTTCTCTTTGGACATCACACTCTGGAAGGCTCTCGGTGCAGGCAGCTAGGGACAGCCTTGCCTTTGTTTATAGGTTAGTTCCCAATCATGGTGGTTTAGATAAAAACAAAAGAGAATGATGCCCTTTGGCCTTGCTGCTGGCTGCCAGGTGTGTGTGGCTTGCAGAGCATTTCTACACCTATGGTGGTATTGAGGACTGCTTTGCTGACGGATATTGGAGGGTCATCTGGAACAATGGCCAGGGCTTGTGTCACACTGACCACAACAGTCTGAACACCAAGGAGGCAGGATGTGAGGGCGGGCAAGGGTTGAGGCCTCAGTGTCAAACAGACCAGCGCCGACTCTAGATTGTACCGTTTTCTTCTTGTGTGACCTTGAGCAAGTTGCTTAGGCGCAGTGCCTTTACCTGTGAAATAGCAGTAGTGATGACGATGATGACGATGACGAAGACGACAGGCACTCACAATGTGGAGCACGTAAGCCCAACCAAGGACCTGGATTGTGCAGGGAAAGCAGCCCCTACATGGTGCAAGTGGTGGTCAGGATTCTAGTGTCGCCCTGGTAGCAGTGGGTCCTCTCAGCTCTCTCCCTCCAGCAGCCTGGGAGGCCGATGATGCTGACCCCACAGGACAGGTTCCTCCACTAGGCAGGCCCTGCATCTGCCCAGAGCCTCTTCTGCACGGGAGCCACATGGAGATCGTGTTAAAGCCTCGGCGTCCATTGTTCAATCAATCAGGCTAATCTGCCTGCCCCTCGATAAGGGGAGGGATCGGGTTTCAGGGAGATTTTCCCTGGATTACTTCTAGTAGCCGCTCAGTCTAGACAGGCCTCTCAGTTACAGGGGTGCAGACAAAGGCGAGGAGCGGGAATGCCTGGCCACGAGGTGGCCCAGGGCCCTGCCGGATGCCTCCTCTCCCTCCTTCCCTCCCTCCACTGCCCTCCTCTCTCCTGGGGGGCCAGGGCAGGGAAGACACCAACCTACTGACCTGGGGGCCCTGGTCAATCCAGGTGAAGGTGCTGAGCCCTGATGGTGTGCCCAGGCTGGACACTGAGGAGCAATCATAATACATTGAGCTGATGTCTAGGGAGCGCTTCACCCTGTGCCTGGCATGGCGAAGAGACCCACGTGGGCTTTATCCTTCTCAATTCCTGTGGCGCTCTCATGAGGAAGCCACTCATGATGTGTGCATTTAAAGATGAGAACAGTTAGGTGCAGGGAACGTGGGGTGGGGATTGGCTGGTGAAAGGATCGTCCCAGTGCTGACGGGACAGGCAGGGAGGTGTATGTTGACCTCCACCATCTCTGGAATTGAGGTGGAGGCCAAAACATTTCTGATGTGTCACTCTTCAGCCCACTTTTCCTGCCACAAGAGGACCCCGACGGCTCTGAAGCCTTGGGCGGTGTGGCCTGCATGGCCTGCCTGCACATCTGTGTTCTGGGTTCCTAGCCTGGCTTTGCTACTCCCTTGCCCTGTGATCTGGGCAAGTCACTTCTGGACATCAGTGTGCTCATCTGTAAAACGGGCATGACATTTACCCTGTCTGGCAATAGGAGCCCTGTGTGAGTCACCAGAGAGAACGTGTGGGAAATAAGTAGTTTTGGAAACCACGAAGTGCTGTGCCAGTGATAGTTACCAGCTCCTAGTACGCTGTCTGCCAGCCCTGGCTGGGGCTGAATGAATGAATGTGAATAACCTTCCTTCTAAAATAGGGTTGGGGTGTCTCGTCTGTTCCCCTTTTCCATATCCCCAACTTGTCCTAACCCTGGGGAATGTGGGGAGCAGCCCTGGAGGCCAGGTGATCTCAATGGTCTCACTCCAAGGCCACAAGGGAGAGCTGCATATGTGGCCTGTCTCTCCAGGTTTTCTGGAAGATGAGTGGGGGATGCTCCCTGGCCCTCACTGGCATCTGAGGTCATGCAGGTGCAGCCCTTGCCACTAAGCTATTGCAGTGTCCAGGCGGGCTGTCAGTGCAGGACAGGCTTGAATGCAGGGACTGCCTTCTCAGGCTTTTGGAACAGCTTGGAGAGGGGCCTTGAGAAAACATCCTTCAGGGCTGGAATGTGAACTTTGGTCATGTATATGTGTGCATGCGAGAGAGGACGAGGAGACAGAGGAGACACGTGGCTCTTCATTTTCTGACTCATCTATCCTGGATTTTAAACAGGATCTAGTATAATTCCACATTACTTTCTTGTTCTCCGTGCCCTCTACAAAGTGAAACACTTGATTCAAGAGAACGAGGCATCGCTCATTTAATGGATTAGCTTTTCCCAGAGCAGCAAACCCAAAAACCATATGAGAACAAAAAACGATAATAGCAATAGTAAAACTGACAAGTTCATGAGACCCTGAGGCATTGCTCCTCTGTACCCAGTGTCTTCTATCTCCAAGTCTTCTTTGTTTCAAGGGCGTCAAATCAGAAATTAACCTTGTACATGAACCTGGGGAGGGCAGAGGCTGCACAGAGATGGCCTTGGGTGGTGGCTGAAATGGTTCTGCACACCCCTTCTCTTGTACTATACACTTATTTAGCCTGTACACTGTGCTCTTTGGATCAGAGGGGGCTTAGCAAGGAATGGGCAGGAGGAGGGGGTCTCTTTATCAGTGAACACGGGAGCAGCATGAGAAGTTCAAAGAATTTTGAGACCTGACTCCACTTGCCAGCTGTGTGTCTTAGGAAGTCAGTTAACCTCTCTGAGTCTCTGCTTCCTCATCTGTGAAATGTGAGAGGGACAGGACTGAAGCTGTAAGGCCATTGTGAAGATTTGTCTAAGATGGCAGGCCTGATAGGGCTTTGTGCTGGGAGGCGAGCCCTTCGGAAGGACTGAGCATGGGAGCTGTTGGCAGGGCTGTGAATCTGCAGGCAAAGCCTTTGCTGTGGGCTCTTTGGGTGTTTGACTTGCCTGTTTAATCGGCCTTGGGTACCTTGACTCATTTCCATTTTTATAAATGCATTAAAAATGCCACTGGGCTCAGAACAAACGCCAATTTAACCTAAGCATAGCTTACTCTTTGTAATGGTGAGTCTTGAATCTCCACCAAGCCAGGCATGGCTGCTTCCAGCAAGAGGAGCAGGATTATAATAAAATCAGTATGTGTTCATAGACATTAAGTGTGTTATTAGCATCTTTGAATTGGATGAAAGCTAATCTTTTCCACATTCAATGAACAAACATGAATGATGTCAGTGAGAGAGAGGAGGAAACCATGCCCGTGGGCAGAAACCAGTGACATGCAATGAAGAGGAGGAAATGGAAGCAGCTCTGCCACCTCCTTGCTGTAGAACCTCGAGTGAATCACTTGACACCTCTGGTCCTCAGTTTCCTTAATCTGTCAAATGAGAGAATTCTTGGTTTATCTATCCACTGGGATGAAGACCTTGTGAAAATATATACTGAAAAGATGTTTAAAAAGTATAAATCATATACAATTGTATAGGGTTGTTATTGATGGAAGGACATGGTGGTGTATGGATAGTCATTGGCAACAGATGACTTGTAAAATTCTGTAGTTAGATTTTAGGTGCCTGAAGTGAATGAGTGAGTTGAAAAATATGCCAGGCAAGACAGCTGTTTACATTTCTAGGAACGCATACTCTGTGGTTTTTCCAATTACACATCTTTTACTTAAATAGAACAGGATATTACAAAATTTAACCTGTTCTTGTTGCCCTTACCATTAAAAACATTGTCAACAGTTGAGAGCTCTTAGGGGCCAAGCACTGACTATGTACTTTGACTGTATTATCTAATCCTCATCACAAACCTAGGAGGCAGATCCTATAATTGCCAGTACTATTTTATAGTGAGGAAACAGTCTCGCCGAAGTGGGGCAACTTGCCCAGCCAGGGTCATACAGCTAATAAGACACGGGCAGGTGATTGAACCCTTGAAATCTGTTGCCCTCCAGTATTGCCAGTAAGTCAACACAAACATTTGACCTTTCCCCGCTTCCTCCCTCTTTTCCTCCTCTTTTCTGTAGATAATTTAATCAAAAAATCATTGGGTTCTGGTATGGTGGAATGAGAAGTTTGAAAAATCCTCTCCCCCAAAAGCAATGATAAAACTGGAGAAAATCAGTAAAAATCACCTGAAAGGCTCTAGAAACTGAGCAAGATCATACATTTCATACAAATATAAAATGGCACAACCACTTTGAAAAACAGCTTGGCTGATTCTTAAAAAGTTAAACATAAATTTACTATCCAACCAATATACACTTTTAGGTATCTACCTGTATTGGTTTTCTATCGTTGCTGTAACAAATTACCACAAACTTAGTGGTTTAAAACAATGCAAATTTATTATCTTACACTTTTGGAGGTTAGAGTCCAAAAGGATCTCACTGGGCTAAAATCAAGGTGTTGGCAGGGCTACGTTCCTTTCCCTAGGCTTTAGGGAGAATATTTTTCCTTCCCTTTTCCAGCTTTCAGAGCTTGCCCACAATTCCTCGACTCATAACCTTCATCTTCAAAGCCAGCAGCAGCATATTGAGTCCGTCTCACATTGTTTCACTCTGACCTCCTCTTCTGGCTCTTCCACTTTTAAGGACTCTTGTGATTATACAAGGCCTGCCCAGATAATCCAGGATAATCTTGCTTTCTTAAGGTCAGCTGATTAGCAACCTGGACATCTCTGGGAGCCCATTATTCTGCCTACAGCACTACTCAAGATAAACGAAAATACGTGCCTACACAAAGACCTGTACGTAAATGTTCATAGTGGCATTATACACAGTAGCCCCAAGCTTGCAATAATCCAAATCCAGTCTATCGATTGGTAAATGGCTAAACAAAGTGTGATATATCCATGAAATGAAATATAATGTAGCAATGAGAATGAACTACTTATACATGTTACAACATGGATGAACTTCAAAAACATTATGCTGAGTGAAGTCAGTCATATGCCAAAAAGGCATATAATTCCCTTTATATAAAATTTCTAGAAGAGGCAGATCAGGGTTGCCTGGGGATGGGAACTGGCTGCAAATGGACACTGGGAAGTTTGTTGAGGATGATGGAAGTACCTAAAACTGAATTGTGGTGGAGGTTACACAACTCTATAAATTCACTTGAAAATCTTTGAATCATATACTAAAAAGTGAGTTAATTTTATGGTAATTTATAATTTGTTCAAATTATTTTTAAAAAGAAAAGCATTTATGCAAGCCAAACAGGGAATAGGGCCTGGCAGAGGTTGAATGCCATGTGAGGAAAGTAACTGAGTGGGTGGCAGCCTGATGGGTCCAAGAACTTGGTTACATATAGGAGGATTGACCAGATAAGTAAACATACTGAGGATAACAGACCAGTTCTCTCATTGTTAGAAAACAAGAGTTATAGATATGGAAGTGGGAAAGTTAGAAATGAACCCAGTGTTATTGGAGGTATTGATGTAAACTCATGGTTTTCAATGTAGGTATAGAAATAAGTGTAGATGTAAATGTATGATATACATATACACACACATATATGCACACACATGTGTTGCTTAACTTCAGGGAGATGCTCTGAGAAATGTGTCATCAGGCAATTCCATTGCTGTGTGAACATCAGAGTGTACTCACACAAACCTAGATAGTACAGCCTACTACCCAGGCTATGTGGTATGGCCTGTAGCACTAGGAACAAACCTGTGTAGCATGTTACTGCACGGAATGCTGCAGACAACTGTAACACAATGGTAAGTATTTCTGTATCTAAACATAGAAAAAGTACAGTAAAAACATGGTATTATGATATTATGGGACCATCTTTATATATGTGGTCTGTCATTGACTAAAATATCATTATGTCACACACACACACACACACGCGCGCGCGCGCGCATACTTCTGAGCTCTTTCGACAGAGCAGGCAGGCCTAGAAGCAATGACACTTATACAACAAATAGCATACCTAGTTGCTCCAATGATGGTTTCTAATGTCATTTTCTGCTAAGGACACCAGGACTTTGGAGAAACGGTTGATTCCAGGACTGGGACAGGAAAAGTACAAGATAGGCCAGGAGCACTGCATTATGCCAGAGAGTAAAGAAGTGCTCAAAGAAGGATGCAGACATGTCAAAAGGACATGGAAACAGTTTGAAGGGGCTCCCGTTGGCCCAAACTGGGACATTTGAACATCAAAATGTACAATATGGTGATGGAGTAAAACCCATTAAACAGCAGTCCATGAGCCCACACTTGGATAAATAAATGTGGATGAAGAGAAGCTCCTTTTCATTGTAGAATGCCAACTGATCAATGTGGAAGGAACGATGTGGTTAGAAAGGTCTCTATTTGGCAGTCATAGTAATAATCATTAATTCAGGCAAAATTAATTACAGTTGTTTCCAATTAAAAAGTTAAACATATTTGCATGTTATGATGTGCCAGGCCCTGTTGTGTGCTATAATTCAGAGCTTAGATATGTGGCACTGTCCCTGCCTGGAATGGTGGCAGGCCACGTTTTAAAAGTTGCTTTTCATCTGTTTGGATGGTCCTGCATGCCTTTGCTCCAGTTGGCAGCTGTTGTGTTCTGCTGGTGTCGGTGTCCACCTGCAGGTAGTCCTGCTCACCTTCTCACCGCTGCTCCTGTCTGCACCCGCTTGCTAGAGGAAGCATCACTGGCTCTCACGGAGGTGTCTTGTGAGGAAGAGGAATGAGCTTTCAGTGCATGGAAGTTGTGACAGTTTTTTGGGCTATTCAAAGACCTTGTGGCCTGTTTCTTGGCCCCTAAAACATCCTGAAGAGGTAAGATTGCCTGAGAGTTGCATTCCATGTTATCAACTTGTAACCACATTTGGTTTAGGGGGACTTTCAGTTTCTTTTCTTGGAGGTGCTTCTTCTGCATTAACTTCAGCAGGTTAATGTGAGAATTCACACCCTCTAGCCAACACAGGAGCCCAGGAGTTGACCAAGTGTGAATGGATGGTCCAAGTCTGTCCACGGAGTGAATTCTCCATAAGTAGCCACTTGTGAGGTGATTCCAGGGGTGCCATCTAGTGAAACACTAGCCAGATGATTCTTCAATGAAAGTATGGAAACCCTTGGTTGTCACTGAGCTGAGTAATGGCCTCAAGTCACACCTCCAGGCCCAGCAGCTTCTGCTCAGAGACAAATGCTGTTTCTTCACTTGCCAGTCCACACATTCCACAGCCTCTTCATTTGCATCTGGTATCCCATGTTGGCTGGGCCATGGTAAAACCTGCAGCTGTGTCTGTCCTTTCTTCTCGGGGCCCAGGAGGAAGGTGTGGGAACAGATTCCCGAGACAACTGTTGTCTATGGAGACCCCATTGCACTGACACCTTTGGGCCTATGGGACATGGCAGATGGCCCTGGGCTGTGGGAAGCTATCCCAGGAAGTTGGGTCCACCACCCACAAATAGATGTTCATCTTTCTGGAGTTGGGGATTTTGTTCCTGGGCTCATTTTTATGTGCTGTTTCTGTCGGCTACTCTCCTTAGAACAACCTCGGCAAGGTGGGGAATAAGAGAGAGATTATGCTGTGTCTGCATTGAGAGGGTCATTCCAAGATGGATGAGTGGCTAGCTGGGGACTTTTTGAATAGGGTTGGGCATGCCTTTTCTTGGCAGGGATTGGTTTTGGTTTGGACTGTGCGCTCTCTTGGGAAGGGTACTGGGGGTGTGTAGTGCCAGGAGAGGCCCCAAATGCCAGCTATCACGTTGAAGGCAGTTTCTTCCAAGGCACATCTATCATGAGTCAAGGAGGGTCTGCTTACACAACCCATGCATCAGGGTCTTAGAGGGCTCTCCTTGCCTTCTTAGACCCTGTCACATGGCTTGGAGAAGCACCTGTTCTCTGTGTGACCACCTGGGCCAGGCCCAGGAACATTCAGCCTCTGTGATAGGAAACACAGGCTGGGAGGTGGGTGTTGTGGCCTCAAGTCTCATATCTGCCAAGAAAATGGGACAACAGATGCAGACATTTCCTCTCTCCCTTTTTGAACCCAGTGTCCTCATCTCTCATTGAGGGGGCCAGATTAGAGGCCTTCCAAGGTTTCTTCCAGATAACATAACACCCATAAAGCCACCTGCCTGGCAAATCTCCTCAATAAAGGGTGTAGGTGTTTGTTCCCATGTGCAGCCCCTCAGGCACGGAACTCATGCAGGCAGGAGATATGTTTCATCCTTCCTGGCAACCGTTCAGGTCTTCTCTTTGTCTTCAGAGCTTTACGGTTTCACTACAATATGTCTAAGTGTGATTTTTAAAAAATATTTATTTATTTATTTTTATTTTACTTTTCCTACTTGGAATTTGTTGGCTTCCAAAACCCGAGGGTTAACAACTTTTACCAATTCTGGAAAAGTATCTGCCATCATCTCTTTAATTCTTCGTCCTCCTCCTATTATCTTTGGGAAATCTGATTAGATATATAATAAACTTTTTCAGTCTATCTTACAGTAAATTTTTGAGAGGAATACAACCAAATACAACAAAAACAATTACTTTTTGCTCACAGGTTCGTGGGTTGGCCCTGGAGGCTCTGCTCCATCCAGAGCCACTTGGTTCAGGTCTGATCCACCTGGCTCTCCTTCCAGGACCCAGGCTGCAGGGGCACAGTTACCTGGGTGAATTCTCAGGCCTTATAGGGCCAAGACAAACCACAGAAGTACATTTAACTTCTGCACATATCATGGCCACTCACACTCCATTGGCTGAAGAAAGTCACGTGGCAAAGCTCCAAATAAGGGGGTGAGAAGTCCACTTCAGCCATGGAGTCAGTTGGGGATTATTTGCTGAGCAATAATACAATCTACCTCAGCCTGTCATCTTTATCACAAATATTCACTTCCCTCCCTCAAGCAAAATGTACTTACTTCCTCCCCAGATGGTTCAAAAATTTCCAATCCAATCACAGCATCAGGCTGGAAGTCTTGTCTCCATCAGTTCCTATTCACCCAGAGGCCCATGAACTAGAGACAAGTATTTGCCCCCAGTTCACCCACCAAAAAACCACAATATACAGTTGAAGAGCTGGGACAGAGTAGCCACAACTGTCCCATTTGAAAGGGGGACAAGCAGGAAGCACAGAACAGGGGTTCACAGCAGATTCTTCCTTTGGGGAAAATACCGTGAGGTCTTCCTACCCTGGGGTTAGACAATATTCCTGGATTAGGTCCTGCTTCTGCTCTCTGGGAACAGCTCCCAGATCCACTGGCTCCTGGTTTCACCCTCTGGGAGTTCCTTCCTTTCCACCATGTTCCTTGTCGACTTCCAGAAAAAAAAGCATTAAAAATATACCCTCCCTAGAGTGGCTGAGTACCTTTCTCAGCCTACCTTCTGCCAATAGAAAGTGGGAGTCCGAGGCTTTTTTTTTTGTATGGGTCAGTTGTTATTGGTTGCATTTTATAAGGTGCTACAAGAAAGAAATGAACTCAGTAAAGAACTGGCTGGTTTGCAAACAGAATTGACAGTCCTGAAGTTCTTAGACTTTTGCAGTTGCAGAATGGAACTGTTTCCTCACCAAATTCAGGGTGTAGCCATTAAGATATAGCCATAGGTCAAAGACGAAATTAAAGCATAGCCATTAAGACATTGTCTCAGAACAAAAATCAGATTGCAGATATGGCCATCACACAACTTTGGTAAAACCTTAAAACCTCTGATTAGATTAAGGTCATACCTGGTAGATTGATTTAACAGGACAAAATGGCTCCTGTGGAAGCCTAAAGAGCCCCAAATACCTAGAATTAAGTTGAGCACATGTGAGAGACTGTGTGAGTGCATGCACGATGGATGGCTCCAAAGAATGGTGGGTCTGGCTTTTGGCATATTGAGTTGGGCTTGGCAGATCATGGAGGTGACACAGTCATGGCTGCCGTGCTCATGCAACTCTGGCCTCAGCTGCAGCTTTTAGCACTGTGGATTTCCACACCTGTCCTTTTTTCTTTTCTTTTTCAGCTGAGTCTTACATGTAAAGTTATGTTTATTATGTCTTATCCAGCATTTCTGGCTGTTATGGTGGGAGGGTGGTCTGCTACATTGTCAGGAGCAGGTCTCCGTTGCACAGCACCCTGACCTCACTCTTCCTGGCACACAGTATGCACTGTTTCTCAAGAAGCCTCTAGGACACAGCCCTGGACTCAGCCCAGGGGCCATCCAGAGGAAGAAAAGACCCAGTTTCTCTTTATGGAGGCTATTGTCAGAGAGAGGACAGGACATATAAACAAAAGGTGCATGAATTACATCTTGCGTGCAAGAGGGAGGCTCAGATGAAAGAACCTAGTAATTCATGCATTTTAAATGCATCTGCTGTGTGCAAGACCCTATGTTAGTGTCTTGCCTATTCATATAATTGTATTGAAACAGCAGCCTTTTGAAGTGTTTACAAATGAGGAAACTGAGTCTTAAAAATGGCAAGTGCTGTAGAAAAAGCCACAAGGTTAGTAGGTGGCTGAACTGAGAAGCCAGGTTTGCCTGGCTCTGAGGTCCACCCTCTCTTCACTGCCCTGTGTTTCTTCAGAAAACAAGGCATGGCAAGGCATAACGGGCTGGGCCAGGCTATGTGGCTGGCAGCGCAGACAGAACGACCCTTGGACAGGCAGACAACCCTGCACAGCCACGGCTCTGAGTGTGGCATGTGCAAGCTGACTGTGGATGTCAGCTGGGGTGGGCCTTGACAGAATTTCTCCTCTTCCCTTTTCATGACAGTAGTAGACACTCAAATGACACAAAGAGTAAATCTTTTAAAATGAGGGTGTGGGATGCAGTACACACAGGCAAAGGGCTGTGTGGTGTGGTTAGGACTGGAGGGGTACCGAGGCATTGTGGTCTTTAAGGTCAGGATCTGGAGCCTCTGGTGACTAGAGTGTGGATGCAAGACATTGAGGGACAGGTGGGTGTGGGTGTTGGTGGCTATTTTGTTGAGTGACTCCCAAATGCTCACCAGCAAGATCTTTTGGGGCCCTGGGCTCCTCAGCTTTTGTTTTAAATCAGAATTCATTCCCAAGGATCCCAGTGGGTTCATCACATAGTTTGGACTTAAATCTTCTCCTGCACCAGCAGTGTCCGCTTATACCTTTTCCATGATGAAAGCCCCATTTCCATCTTTTTCCCCAAGCACTACTCTCTGCCGCATGCAGCCTGTTCCACTGCTTGGTCACTTCTGTTGATACTAGGATGTCCCCATCACTGGAGGAAAGGCTCCAGCAATGTTCGTGGCAGAGGAGGAAAGGAAGCTGATCAGAGCAGCCTGACAACTGGTTTTACTTCCAGCCTCAGGGACTAGAGGGGCCCTTATTCTGTGTCAGCCTCACTTTCCTGGGCTGGCAGGGCCGGGTGCTCTGCTCGGGCCCTGGAATGGTCTGGTGGCCCAGCTGCTGGATGCAGTGTGCTGAGTTAGGTTCAGAAAGACTTTCTCAGTGCAGCAGACTTGAAGCTGGGACCTCTGGATGGGATTCTGTTTCGATGGGGAAGTGCCAGGGCAGGGAGAGGAGTGTAGTGATTAAGAAAGTGGACTTGCCTGGGTGTGGTGGCTCACACCAGTAATCCCAGCACTTGGGGAGGCTGAGGTGGGCAGATCGCCTGAGGTCAGGAGTTCAAGACCAGCCTGGCCAACATGGTGAAACCCCATCTCTACTAAAAATACCAAAAAAATTAGCTGGGCATAGTGGCGGGTGCCTGTAATCCCAGCTATTCAGGAGGCTGAGACAGGAGAATCGCTTGAACCTGGGAGGCAGAGGTTGCAGTGAGCCAAGATCACAGCATTGCACTGCAGCCTGGGCAACAAGAGCGAAACTCCGTCTCAAGAAAAAAAAAAAAAAAAAAGGGGGGGGCGGGGAGGGACTTCAGAGTCACACAGACCTGGATTCAAGCCCTGGTTCTGTTGCTTGCCCATATGAACTTGGGCAGGTCCCTTAAATGCTCAAAGCCTCAGCTTCCCTACCTGTGAGAATGAGGGTCATGGTTCTTCCCTTGTTGTGGTAGGGCCTGTAGCTCAGTGCTTGACACATGATAAGGAATTAACAAATGCTACCTGTCGTTGCTGGTTTTGAAAGGCCTCCTAGAGTCCATGGTGCTGGGTTCTGTTGGCTCTGGTCTGAGCGATGGAAGGGAGCTCAGATGAAAGAACTAGTAATTCAGACTGTGAGTTACAGCCTGGCCAAGTGATGGCCCTCCAGCTTTGGGAGCAGGGGGCTTGAAGGGGGCAGGCCCCTTCCTATAACTTCTTCATATCCCTGGCAAGTGAGTCCCCTGCTCCCCACTCAGCTGGGGGTGGTCTGCCCTGGCCTGCCCATGTCCAAGTCCTCCTGGGAGGCTGTGGTGGCTGTGCTTATGTGCCTGTGCCTAAATGTGAGTTGGGTTGCAAGGGCTTTTCCTAAATGAAGGCTGTGGAGGAGGCTGATGCTGAGGACAGAAATCTAAAGAGAAGGCAGGCACTCTAGGGCCCCTGAGGGGCCCTAGAAAGCCTGCATGCCCCATGTGTGGAAAAGGGTAGATGTTCATCCTCTGGGTTGCACTGTGCCTGGGATTCTGATCATGTTGGGTCTTGTGGGCTCAGCCAGGGAGGAGTGCGGGCGATCCATCATTGATGCTCCATGTGGTTAATGAAGGCACCTGAGGCCCTAAGGAGGTCCCTGACAAGAAGGCTCAGAATGTCCACACCAACTCCATCCCATGCAAATTTTGCAGATTGATGCTTGACCTGCCAGCTGGGAATGACTACCCTAGTCTGCGCATATGAAGAACAGGTGGAGAGCAGCAGCAAGATTGTCTGTGGGAGGAACCCCCAGGGCAGGTGTGATAGGGCATCTGTCCCCTTCAGTGCCCACAGTGGGGCAGATGCAGGGACCTGGAATTGAGGGGCAGAGGGAAGCCCAATGTATGGTCTTCTCACCATGCCCGCTTTCTGGAAGGCATGGTCGGGTTTCTTGGCTACCCACGCCACGGTTCATCTGGGACAGGGCACCTCAAAATGCAAACGAAAAATGTTTCAAATATAATAGCAAATATGCAACGAGGATGCACTGTGTGCCAAAATCTCAGGATTTAAAAGTGAAACAAGTGCCACCACTCACCATCCTGAAGGCTCACTGTTCATCCCCTGCTCTATTTTGCCATCTTCCCCCTCCTTGCGTTTTCATGGTAGGCCTGTGGGAGGAGACCATGAACACCCCCACTTCCCAGCTGAGGAAACTGCATCTGGAGAGCCCAGGCCCACTGCCCACGGTGGCACAGCCAAACAGCGGCGGAAGCAGGAGTGGACTTCAGAGCCAGCACTGCTGTGTCCCCTCGCTGCCCTGGGGAGAGCCTAGAGCCTGCCCCACTGGACTGCCTGTGGCTCTGCTGCACTCATATTTCACCCCCACCAGGAATTTGCAGTGTTGAGAACTAACTTGAAAAGCAGGAGGCTGGAGCCCGTGTTTGAGCTTTGTCAGGCGGGTGCTATGAAAGATTGGAGTGAGGCATGGCCACCTGCTGTGAGAAGACACAGGTTAAGAGGTACAGGGCCTGAGCCCTAACCCCTGCAAGGGAGAAGGGCCCAGCTGGCCTTGGGACTAATCCAGCCACAGGAGAGGGGCTCTGTGCTCCCTTGGCCAGCAGGTGCCCTCGCAGTCCCAGTCATCCTGAGGGCACAGGATGCTCCTTCCAAGGGTGGACAATGCTGGGAGAAAGAATGGGGAAAGCAGAGCCTCATCTACTGGATTTCCTTCTCTCTGAGAACAGAGTGCATAGATCCCATTACCTTTCCTGATGACGACACTTCATCCATCTTTCTGGTGGTGTGAGGCGCACTTATGCCCCAAGGACCTATGAGGATGTCATCATCCTAAAGATGTCCACATCCTAATCCTCAGAATCTGTGCCTGTGATCCCTTCCATGGCAAAGGGACTTTGCAGATGTGATTAAGTGAAGGACCTTGAAGCGGGAGAGTATCCTGGACTTTCCAGCTGGGCCCAATGTCCTCCCCTTGATGGGGTGTCAGAGTCAGAGAAGGAAACATGATGACAGTGGAGTGAGAGAGGGAGACGTCTGAAGATGCTCCACGGCTGGCTTTGAAGATGGGGGCAGGGGCCATGAGCCAAAGAATGTGAGCTGCCTCCAGAAGGTGAAAGAGGTGAGGAAACAGATTCTCCTAGAGCCTCCAGGAGAGCACAGCACTGCTGACGCCTTGATTTTTAGTAGAGTGGGGCCTATCGTGGACTTCTGACCTCCAGAGTGATGAGATATTTTGTGTTGTTTTAAGCCACGAATTTTGTGGCAATTTGTCACAGCAGCAGCAGGAAACTAGTACAGTCATGAAGACCCAAGGATAGGTTAGAGGAGAAAAACAGCAGAGCCCAGTCCTTGACACGCACCAGAGCTGCCTCCCTCCAGGCCCCGCTGCCGTACCCAGGCCACTGTTCCTAAGTGCTCTTTCTGTGGAGGCCTGGTCCCCCTCTTGCTGCCAGCTGGCTGCCCAACCACCTGCAGTGCCTCAGCATCTGTCTCCTTTGGAATTACACCTGACAGCGCATGGAGCAAACAGAGGGATACAGTTCACGGGGACAATGTCCGCGTCACCGCTGTGGGAAGGTGCCCCTTCTTTCCTATGGAATCACGATTGTGAGCATTGTGAGTGATTTCTCTCCATTTGGCTGCATTTCTCAACAATTTCTGGCCCCGTGGCTGTGCTCTGGAGAGCTGGGGCTCCCAGAAGGCTGACTGCCAGCCAGAAAATGGCTTCTGAGCAACATCAGGGAACAGGAAGGAGAATTCACTCTACTTTTGTCCCTGTATAGAAAGCCAAAACAGTGGTGGGATGTGTGAGCTTTTTTCAGAAATACCTTTTGGCTTTGTTGTACTCAGAGAGCCAGCACTAAACCAACACCTTCATCCACAGCTTTAAGAAGAGAGCGTGTGATCGGCAACTGACTTTGTTGAGAGGGACTGTTAGGCTGTGGTGATGGACACGGGGGCAGGGTGGCCAGGGACAATCAACTTTGGTGTTCTGCTTTGTTAAGGGGGTTGGGAATCTTCCATGAACAGACCAGCCTTTGCTCATAGTGGGCCTCCTCCCAGAACCCATGGATCCACACATCCCCAGACCTTTGAACAACTTAAGAAAAACAAATCACCTCTTCATCCAGAGGAATTTAGCCCAGACAATTGCCATGGGATTTGGGCATTTCAAGGCTGTTATAAAAGAGGCACAGACAGAAAGCCAAACGAGACTGTGACACCTGTCTCCCGGTGCTGACAAGTGTCGGTGATGGGCTGTGGAGCAAGTCCCTCTGCACCCTGGGCCTCAGTTTCCCTACCTGCTCCGCAGTTGTTCTCCATGGATCCATCCATTTCTGACTTGTACAACTGGTTAATTCCAGGCTGGAACATAATCCCAGTCCTAGCTTTATACGTTAACACTGAGGACTTCTTGATGCATTCAGGGGTAAGGAGAAACTCTTTCATGAAGAGTCCCAAAAAATTCCACAAAAAGGCTCAGCAGACAGTCCTTAAAATTTGCAAAGAGATCTCAGTTTCACAGAGAATTCCGGACCAGGATGTGGCAGAGCGATGACAGCTCTGTGAGGAGTCACTGGGCAGCCTTGACATCTGCCTGCAATGCTTCCCTCTCCACCCCTCCCTGGGTGCACGGCCAGTCAGAGACCTTCTGGTGGCCTGGCCTCTCAGGAGCCATGTCCAGTTGATCTGCATCCGATAAAAAATTGGCCCTAGACTCCTCTAAGCATCAAAAACATTGTAGTACTACTCCTACCATCCCCACTATTGCCAACCCCAGACAACCAACACTGAACTGTGACGCTGAAATTAAAATAATCACTTTGTAGATTTGATGATTGTAAGTTTATTGACACTGAACTTTTCTCACTTATCGAGGGACCTGCATTGCTTCTCAAGCCTGGAGTGTTTTGCATGACAGCGTTTAAGGTTGTGGGCTTTAGAGTCTGAGAGGACTGGGACCCAAGCTCAGTTGCGTCTCCTTGTCCCTGTGTGACCTTCAGTAAGTCATTTAACCTTCTAAACCTCAACTCCTTCATTCTCAAGAAAGGGATAATGGCATTTCCTATTTCTTAATCACAGGTTTGTTAGAGTTCCACATGACCATTCACTGAGTACTTACTATATGCTGCGCACATATACCGTGCCATTTAATCTACGCAACAGTCTCACGGTGGTTGTGTATATGTGTGTGTGGGGTAATTATTGCTCCTATTGCATAGATAAGTTATAGATTCAGAGAAGCTATATGACATCCAAGGTCATAGTAGCAAGTGACAGAGCTGGGACTCAAAACCCAGGAACTGACTCTGATGTGTCCTTTCTGAACCACTGAGCTAATACCCACCAAGTGCCCAATCGGTGGAGGCTGCCGTTGGCATCACTCATTTGTGCCTGGCACATAGCACATTGGTACTGTGCTCAGTACCAATGACTGAACGGAAAGCTGTGTGCAGATGTATGCAAACCCAACCCTGGAGCACGTGTTGGGTCTCAGTCATAAAATCTGGGTTCCCTTGACCTTGACAGGGTGGCAAGTGGGCAGACGATGTCCTTAGGGACTGTTCCAGGACAAGGCTTGGCACGAGAATGCCCTCTGGGGTGCCCTGAGCAGTCTCCTTCTCTTCCTTCTGGGTAGGCAGGCACTTTTGGAGTCCGAGTCTGGACCCTGGATCCTGGAGGCGGGCACAGGGTTGCTTAGCTTTAAGGGGTAAGTTCAAAGCAAATAGGAAGCTCTCTTAAAAATGAAGGGCAGCATGAATGTCGGGGCCAAAGGAGGATGGTTGAGAATTCCTAGTAAAACTTTACAGCTTCCATGTTTCCCCTCCTCTAAATCTTCCCATGAAAATCATGCATCTGGGGGGCCGTCTTGGCTGAACGAGGGCGGGAGCCACCCATTAGCCCAGCTGAGGGGGGGCTTTCTGGCTTCATTAGTGCCCGCCCATGGCCCTGGTGGACAGACAGCCTATGAATTGGGGGCCATGCTCCAGGCCCATGGGCAAGGAGAAGCAGCCACAGGTGCCCAACAGAGCTGGATGGCACTGACAGGGTCCTCCAGCCCTGCTGGACTGCAAGTGGGCAGCGGAAGCTCAGCTGCTGTCCCTTTTATGCGTATTGACTTAGTGGAGTGCAAACATGTTAAAAGTTCACTTTCTCCTTTATAGGAGTCTATAAAAAGTCTCTTAAACTGGAGCCCTAGGGCTTCAGCGAGACAAACGTAGGATCAGGCTTTGTGGGGGTGCAGTGCTTCCCTCAGCCTTCAGCACAGAGGTGTGAGCCTATTTAAGATAGAGCTGCGGCAGGCTCATGCCAGTGGGCAGAGGGGTCTGGATGTGAAGGCTGCTCTGAGGCTGCCGGGCTGTTTCTGGTGAGTCCCTGCTGGAGACTGACTGGCCCATGTGGCCCTCTGGGGTATGAGGGTGAGAGAGTTCCCGTGCCCGGGAATATTGGGCCGGGCCTGCTGGGCCGCCTGGCGTTTGGGGTTTCTAAACAAGCAGGTGTCTGTGGGAGAAATGTCCTGTGTGCAGTACTCAGGCCAGATGAGCTCAGCAATCATCCTCCCTGGTGACTTGGGTCCTGGGGTGGCCTGCAGGGGTGAGGGAGGATGGCAGGCCTGGGGCAGAGAGGAGGGCACCTGGAGCTGTCCCTCTGGTGAACTCGTTTGGCCTTGGGAGCCATAGAGCCCACAGTTGCGCGCCTGTGGGACACACCCTGGAGAGGACGGCTGAGGGAGAGGTGACGAGCCTCATGGACAAGCCCCGGGAGGCAGTCATGGGCTTTGGAAACAGCGTTTGCTCACTAGGTCTTAGTTTCCACATCTGTCAAGTTGGAGGGTGGTCCCTAACTCTGCATGCGAGTCTCTTGGGGTTGCCACGAGGATATAGTTAGAGGAGTTTGGGGATGGCAGGACAGGCGTTTTGTGGCCCAGAGCGATGAGCTCTGCAGAAGGCTACTGCAGGGTGACCAGGTGACCCCAGCAGGTGTTGAGACCAGAGCCTAACACTCATTAATTCACCCACTAGCTAATGGGTGGCCTAGTGGATGCAGGTGCAGGGCTCACTCCGAGGGCCTGGCCACGGCCACCCTGTCCTGCTCTCCATGCCTTCGTGTGTGCCACACCATGGCGTTGAGCAGGAGCATGTGGGCCATCGCTGCTCACAGGCACGTGCGTATGCATCGGGGCATCCACCTGACATCTGCGTGCCTCTCAGCTCTGCTGACCTGACCCGTGCAGGGGGCTGTGTCACTGAATGGGTTTTGCAAGTACAGCTGTGGCCTCAGTCCATCAGCTCGCACTCCCCAGGGTACCTGGTACCTGGCCTCAGGTGGCTGAAGCCAGGCAGTGAGCAGGTCCCTCTAGAAACTGGGGATGGTTGGTGGGACCAGACTAGCCTCATTGGCCCCTTGCAGGCCTGGCTAGGGCATGAAATTCCACACCAGCCCCTGAGTGACCTTTAGCCCAGGTTCAAACAAGTCTGAGCTTTCCTGAGAGGAGGAGGTGTTCAAAGCTAAATGAAAGCCAGGAAGGGAAACACAGACGCCTTTTTAAAAGGACAGTCATCCCTCTGGGTGCACATCTATTCAAAACACAGGAAGAGGTTAGACAGGTTCTGTGCCTGAGAGGCAGGCTGGCTTTGAAGTCAGAGCTAGTTTCGCGACACCGCCTTGCTGGAGTTCCTTAGCTTGTCTGAGTCCGTAAGATAGAGGTGTGTCACTCATGATAAAATCTTTTGGAGGGAGTTGAATGTGATGTGAATGTCGGGCACCCAGCACTGTGCTGGGACATAGAAATGTTCAGTCCATGGGTGTTATGGTTTCTAGCATCATAATATCACTGTCATCGTTATTACTAGCATAGAACCATTTGCTTGGGGGAAATGCCTTGGTTGTGGCTTTTGCTCCATACACTGAATCAAATGATATGGAAAACATGGGGTGTCGCCCTGAAGGGCTCCATGGCTAAGTGTTCTAGAACAGAGCTAACCAGTGCAATTCCCTGCAATGCTGGAGATGTCTATAATCATTGCTGTCCAACATGGTAGCCACTAACCACATGTGGCTGCCAAGCATTTGAAGTGTAGCTAGTGTGAATGAGGAACTGAATTTTTAATTGTATTTAACTTTAGTTTAAATACACGTGACTAGTGTCTACTGTATTAGTGCAGTTCTAGAATGTTCCTTCCAAGTGGATGTTGCCCAGTTCCCCTCTGAGCTGTGACAGCGCTGCATGGAGGGGCTGGCCGATGCCTCCAGCACCCTTGGCCACATGCAGTAAAGATGGGCTCTGATGGGGTGTGGTAGTGATCGCCACCTGGGCATGAGCTGGCTGCTCTGGAGCACAGACTGCAGCCAGACCCTGGGTTTCAGATGTGGCAGTTACACAGCTTCCACCCTCCATGGGAATCAAAGTAAGAGTCGCGGTTCCCATCCACTAAGGATTTCCGACTGATGCTGTGTGGCCAACTCAATTTTACAGAAGAAAACATGCCCTGAAGAGGGGTGGTGACTTGTCCCAAAGCGCACGCGATGGTGGCCTACCTCTTCCTGCCTCTAAACCAGCTCCTCATATCAGAGTAAAGGACCAGCCGGGTTTCCTACTGAAGGAGAGCCAAGCGCAGAGGCTCAAGGTCACCGGTGCAGATGCCCAGTGCTTCCCTCACCTGGCTCCCTCCTGGCCCCCCCCACCACCACACCCCACCCAGGCCACCTCTACGGGGCCCCCTGGATGGTGAGACGCCTCCCTGTATCCTGTTATCTATTCCTGGCAATGCCCTTGACAGCGGGGTGGCCTGGGCCGTGAGTAGCTTCCCATGTTACAGCTGCGGGGATGGAGGCTCCGAGGGATGGAGCGACCTGCCTGAGATCCCACAGGGAGTTGGCCAATCTGCCTGCAGGGAGGCAAGGCCGTCTGGGGCCTTTCTGTTGCCCAGCCCAGTTCTCCCGCCAGGCAGGTCCTCCCTGCCTTGTTGGACTTCCTGTGGCATTCACTGGGTGGACGGCCACACCCGGGACACATCCCCCAAAACTGGCTTCAAGCTGTACCGTCCACAGAGGCTGGCCAGGGCCCGGAGTGGGGTGGTCCTGCTCAGAGGGTGGGTGGGTCGGCGGCGGGGAGGCTGACAGGCCTTAATGGGCACATTGTCCCCTTGCTGTGAGAGCGCCGTCCCGCCACCTCCTCACACGCGTCGTGCTGGATGAGCTCATGTCTGAGGCTGTGGGCGGCACGGGGCAGCCGAGCCGGGCTGCAGGGAGGCCCGTCCCAGAGAAGCCCGCGCGGGCTGGGGCAGGCGGAGCCGTGAGGCGGAACCTTGTAATGAGCGACGCCGGCTGGATTTATGGGGCTGCGCACGTGCGCCTGGCCTTCCTGCGAGGGCCTCCGCATGGGAACAAAAACAAGTCCTGGCCCGGGAATGGCGCGACTGAGTCTTAACAAGGGCGCACTAATTACTGGAAGGCCCGGGCCGGGACCCCAACCTGGGAGGAGCAGAACTTGGGCCCCGTTGTGTGTCCATTTGGGCTTTGCTGGGGTCCCTGGTCTTTTTACCCAGGAGGCCCAGAAGGAAGCCCAGACTCTCAGGGCCTGCCCGGGGTCCTCCTCTCTCCAGCTCTTTGGTCTTGGACGAGGTGCTCATCCGAACCTCTCGTCCTTTTTGAGGCCCTTGGGAGGCAGCATACCAGGATGAAAGAGAGTTGACCACAGAGTCGCAGGTCCCTGGCTGTGAGTCCTGGTTCTGCCAGGTTCCTGCTGTGTGGCCTGGGCAAGTCACTTCACCTCTCTGATCTAAGCTCCCTTTACCTAGAAAGCGGGGCTATGATGTTCCCTTGGCAGGGCTTTTAGGAGGATTTGATGAAATGATGCACGCAGACTCCTCAGCTTATTGCCCACCCACGCTGACTGGCACACAGGCAGGGATCTCTGCTGCTGTAATTCACAGGCATCTCCTGCAGACATTGCCCACTGTTTTCCCTGTTGATTGACACTGGATTTGGCATCTATCCAGGAAGGTCCCATGTCCACTCCCTTTTCAAGTCAGGAGCTTGCAAGAGCAGAAGCACTAGATGCCATGAGACCCCGACTGTGGTTAGCAGTGGCAAGATGGGGCCGAGCTGTGGCCTGGTGCCAACATCAGACTCCACTCTGAAGCCACCATGCACCTGCTTGAAGCGAGAGGTCCAGCATGATGGGTTACCCCCAGCTGTCACCCGGGCTGACTTTCACATGGGCATGTTATTCCCATGCTCCTCTCTCTGAGTCAGGCCCTCTGCCTGCTGCTTGGCCTTTGAGTCCTGTTGTTGATTCTTAGAGCCATCAAGAGAAAACCCCTGCCCTGCCCTGTGCCCTTGGGGTGAGGCAGTGAGGGCGCAGCAGGTGTGCGGCCCCTAGCTTCTGCCTTCATGGAGGGCAGGGTCTCCTTTGCTTGTCCCCAGAGTCTATTACAGAGCTTGGCCCAGTGGGCTCATGGAATGTGTGCATGAGTGGTGCTCAGCATCTGATGGGGTAGATGGCCACGTAACCACATGACAGCTGTTCAGAAGGCACAGCACTGTGGCTGGCAGCAGTGCAGGGTGCACTGAGAGAGAGGGCACCTCCCCACTGACAGAATGGTCAGGGAGGGCTTCCTGGAGGAAGCATAAGGGATGTCTAAGAGCAGAGCCCTGCAGGGTTGAGTAGGATTACAAATAAGTGGAGGCTGTAGTGTGTTCTGGTGGGGAACTGGTGTATGCAAAGGCCTCAAGGTGAGATACGAGTAGCCCTAGGGAGGAAGTATAGTAGAGAGCATGCGAGGGGATGGTGTGAGATGAGGCTGAAAAGGACCCTCCTTTCTCCATTCCCAGGCCTGCCAAGGTGTTAGAAGGCAACTTCTAAACTTCCATGCACCTCAGATTCCTCAGCTATCAAATGGAGACACTGCCATCACTATCTGCAGGTGTTGTAGGATTACACGGGCAGGGTGAGTGTGGGTGTTTTGTATGTGTAAAGGGCTGAGTGGGGTGTGGCCCTTTGAGATGACCCGGAATGACTAGGGACACATAGGAGGACAGGAGAGGGCCCCCTGGAAAAAGATGCCCCTTGGGTGGAATCTCCAGTGGATTTGCCCATAATTAAATCCTGGAGGGGCTGTTAGTGACTGCGGAGAAATATATCATAAGCACCTTGAGCTCAGTGAAAGTTCCTTAAAGTTAGCCCAGCAGTGGCCCAAGGTGGCATTTCCCTCTAGAGGATGTGGCCTCGCGGCCAAGTGCATTCTCTCTGGGGTCCAGCGGCCTCCTTGAGGTGGGAATCTGCAGCCAGGACCTCCATGGGACCTAATGAGGAGCTGCTGGCTTTCAATTACGTGCGCGGCCCTGGCTCTGCGCCGTTTGACTGACAGCTCATTACCCCACTGCCATTTCTGGGCACTGGAATTTAATCTCCCAGATGGGAAGCAAATCAATTTGCCCATCCGCCGCAGCTGAGCCTACTTGAACTCAACTCTAATTTATTCTCTTAAGCTTAGGAAGCCTTGTCGTTTCAAGGGACAGAAATATCAGGTTTCCCAGCCAGTCTGGCCAGAGAGTGAACAGGGAGATGAGCTGAGAGGGTCATGCCTGGGGCCCGACCTGGGTGAGCAGTGGTGGTCAGCAGGGGACGTGCCATCACCCTGTGTCAGAAGAAGCTGGGCTCTGGCCTAGCAGGCCAGGCTGGTGGACGGGAAGGGTGTATATGGGAATGGGGGATAGTGTGACTCCTGATGTGGGGATCCCGGGTGCCTGTCCCAGGGCTCAGGACAGGAAGAGACTCCCCAGCAAGGCAGATCTGACCTCCTGCCTGCATGTGTTCTAGGGCCATGCCAGTGATCATCACTCAGTGATCATTGCTCTGGCTTCAGGGCTTTGAACATAAGATTTGGAGGGTGTCTTTCTGGGATTTTCAGCTTTTTACTCTCCTCAAGGAGCAGTTACAAACCTGAAGCCAAGGCGGTGACCTTTAACCTGTGACATTGGGACTGTTTTCCTCCTCTGGCCCAGCAGGGCCATCAGAGGGCTTCCTTGCCAGGGAGTACACGACCTGCTAGGAGTGCTCTAGGGCACATTCATGCAGACACTGAGTGTGTGCAGACTGTGGTGGTGAGTGGCTGCTGTCCTCTGCTGTGGGTGCTGGGTCCCCCATCAGACGCTGGGGAGTCCCGGCACCCTGTTCTAAGTTAGCCAAGGGAGTTATTAGCAGAAGATCTGCAGACAGTTCCGGTCACTTCACAGAGCAAACTAGGCCAAGGAGGGCCTCTGGAGGAGTAGTGTCAGCTATGTTTTGTGGGAGACAGAATCCTGGCTGCTCTCTGGCCGGTTCAAAGGGTGTTTGTCTGCATGTTCTTCATTTCTATACTCTGCTAACACAGAGGGCTCTGGGGCCTCGCTGTGTGCACGTGAATGTATGTGTGTGTGCGTGTGCACCCATGGAAATGGGTGAGTGTGGGAGGGGTGGGAGTCGCTTAGTGGGGAGAAGGGGAGTGAGGAGGAAGTGCTTCCTATGGAGAGAGTGTTTCTAAGACACTCTTCTGTGAGTTTGACAAGGCAGCCCAGGCTGGGTTGGTTTCCAGGGTCAGGGAAAGGCCACTCTATTTACACACCTTTGCGGAGGAGCATGGAGGGCAGGGCGGGGGCTGGGGATTAATGAGCAGTGTTATTGCCTGTCAGGAGGCTCATGTGATATTGTTTTGATATGGGGGGCCCCCAGAAGCAAACACAACAGGCAAGTTATAAGTGGAAGAAAAGGCGAAGAAAAGGTGGCCTCGCCCCAGCCATTGAGCATTCCCCTTCTCAGCAGGGAGTGGGTCCCAGGACTCCCTCCTCGCCCCATCGCCTTCAGGTGGATCACTGGAAGGCGGCACCAAGGCCAGCTCCCAAGATAACATCGGCCAGGAGTGCCCGGCAGCAAAAATTAAACATCATAGTTGCTAATGAGTAAACTGAGCAAGCCCTTTTTCCAGGACCATTCGGGGTGATGGACGAGGCAGCCTGAGTGACAAATGAGGAACTGAGAGGCTTGCCTGACCCAAAGTAGACAGGCCCAGAGTGGACAGGCCCAGTGAGGGCTTCCACCTCCTGAGAAAGGCTGACCACCCCCAGGACTGGGAGGGGCAGGACGCTGGGTGAGAATGGGACACCCACCTCTTCTTTTTTTGCCTTAGTGTAAGCCAATTCCTCTGGCAGGGCTGACTGTAGTTGTGACCAAATACAGTCACCTGACCCTGAATGGGAGGGGGAATTCTGCCACAGACAAATCCATGGATAGACAACTCCAAATGCTGGGGATGGCGTGTAGCGAGCAGAGGCCAGGGCTGAAGTGGCTGTCCTAGGTGGGAAGCGGGTGAAGACTGAGATTCTCCACAGAGAGGGTGCAGGAGCTCCCCAGCTGGGGCTGATAGAGCAGCCTCTATGCCAGCTTGCCATCTGTTACCCATTGCTTTGCCCTCCTGACCTGGGAGATTCCAACCTTTCCTATCAAATTCAGCACTAGGTTTTCTGCCCCAAGAAGCCCTCCCTGAGCCTGCTCAGCCAGTGAGCAAAACTCCCTGCCCTGAGCCCCTGCCTTTTTAGCAGGTACTTCTCTGAGTTTAGTGCTTGCTGGACAATGCTTGCTTACCTGCCTTTGTAAGAAACCCTTAATCCGAGGCCTCTTTCATAGAAAGCATTTAGTAAGTCCTTGTTGATCACTGGATTGCTTTAAATGCACATTCCTATTCATCTGTCATCCAACAAGTTCTGTTTATGTTCCCAGGGCCAGCCACACAGGAGCTCCCAGTGAGCACGTAAGAAGCCCTGTATAACCTGAAGAACAAAATATTGGGATGGATAGCAAAGGAGAGTTCAGCTCCAGGGAGCTCGTTGTAGAGTCAGAGCTGGGTTCAAATCCCACTTCCACCATTCATGGCTGTGTGACCTTAGGGAATACACTTCACCTCTCTGTGTCATAGTTTCCTTGTCTGTAAAACAGAGATAGTATTACCTACCTCATAGGTTTGCCATGAGAAGTCAATGATGTATGTAGAGGACACACACATACAGTGGCTGTTATTGTCAGTTCAGTACCAGTTGGAGCCACAGCATTGCGTTAGATCTCAGATGTCATTTAAAGGGGCCCATGGAGGAGCACTGAGAAAATCGTCTGGATTATTCAGGGCAGGGCCCAGCTGTTGAGGGCAAGAATTGTTCTTGAGAAATGAATGGGAGTGGGTATTGTCTGCCTAATGCTGCTGTTGGATCACAGGGTTGCATGGCTCTGAGTTCGAGGGAGGCTGGGGGGACTCAGCACAGCGACAGTGGATGGGACAGCTCTGTCGGTGACACCCACTGCAAGCCTGCCTCTGAAGGCTTACAGTGAAGAGAAGGGCTGGGCTGCAACACTTAACCTCTCTAGAACCTGCAGGATTTTACCCCCTCACAAAATACTTGCATTTCTGTTAAGTTTTACTAAGTGCAAACTTGTCTTTTGAATAGAGGCATGTGTGCATTTCAAGACGTTCCTTGCAGTTGCACCAATTTTTTAAAAGTAATGAGCTTTTTTCCCCCCTTAAAGCATGAGGCTGACATCAGAGAACAGTTTTTGATCCCAGTTTTAAAAACGAACTGAGTGGCTTAGCAATGGTGGGAACCCCAGGCAACTTGTTGGCTCACTTTCCCTCAGTTTCATTGAAAAGAATTTCTACAGTGTGCCCACATCACAGGGCATGATGCACTTTGGATTATTCAAAGTTTAGAAACATTTAGGTGATTATGGTAAATCATTCATGCAAACAGCGATAAATGCAATTTATTCTTTTGTGCAATCTTACAAGGAGAGCAGAAATCGCAGCCCTTTTCTCTAGTTCTCAGTCCTTTTGGTGACATCTAGTGGAAGATCTTTGAAAAACACATTTGCTTCTATGGTGTTCCTCCAAAGGTAAGCCCATCCAATTAAGTCATTTAAACCTTGGTTCCACCTACAAGTCCCTCTGTGTTTCAGTCTCTGAGTTAGAAATTCCAAGGCCAAATGGACTCTCTTTGGCTGCTGGTAAGCACGTGCCATCCGGGACCCTATATCACAGTAGTCAGAAACTCTGCATTTGAATCTGGTTGTCACTTTTCAGCAGTGTGATCACCTCCAGCTAAAAAATGCATCTAATAATAGGACCTGCCCTATAGGGTTATTGCAAGGACCAAACGAAATGATACCCATGAAGGACTCAGCACAGTACCTGACATACAGTAAATATCAGTCTGACCAGCTAACAGTGGCCACAATTTTCCATTACCCTCCATCCACACTGCAGATCCTACCTGCACAAACAATGCTCTTGGGTGGAGGGCCGCATAGTATGGTTTGACTAAGCAGTTTGCTGGTATTAACTATGAAGTGGTATCATTTTAAGATCAGCTTCTTAAAAAGATAATGCAGTCCCCCACCTCCTCCACCGTTCTCTCTCATTTCAAATCAAGAAATAGGAATACATAATCTAGACCCAGCAAAGATCTTGGAAAAGAAACGTAACATAACTCCTTATGTTCAGATAAAATTTTGAAAAATCAACTTTCAGGTTTAAGTTGGAAATCTTTGCCTTTCATGGAAAAGATTGGTTGTGTGATGGTCTAGGACCTTCTGTTTTGAGGAGTTTGTATTAGGCACAGTTTGGGAAGGAAAAATGATCCTTTACATTCGGCCACGATATGAAGTGTACTGCATATTTCTTCCTGGTTAAAGTCTGCTTTAGACGCAGGCTTCTTTCTTTTCTTTCTCTTTTCTTTTTTCCTCTTTCTTTCTTTCAAGAGACGGAAAGAGTCTTCTGTGTATTTTAGGCAAATTTAGGTTAAGGTGTAAGTGCCCTTTGAAGCAAAAAGTGTCCATGTTTTGCTAACATATATTTTAGCTACTCTGGCTTGGCTGAGGTCTTCCTAGATAATCAACATCCCTCAACAGCCTTGGCGGTGAGAAGGCACGTGAAAGCTGCCAGCACATCCCAGGAGCCTTGGCTGTGGCGGCTTCTCCTTGGAAAGCTCCACGCACCCTTCTGCCAGGGATCCTGTCCTGCAGGGATGACAGACCCAGCAGCCTCGGCAGAGGGAATGAGGCTCCAGCAGCTTCATCAGCAAGTGGCCAGGCCCAGCCCTAAGTCACAGACTGTCAGAAGGGGACAATGGTAGGAGAGAGCTGGGCTCAGGGTCTGGAGCCTGCCACATGCCACCTGCACGGCTTTGGATACACTCCCTCCTTCATCTGTGGAACGGGGAATGGGGATAACACCCTGGCCCAAGGGTCACACAGAACCAAAAGGTGAGACTTTATAAAAATTCTCTCTACAAACCACTGGGGCCAGCAGATGGCCCACACCCACCCAGGTTGCAGTGAACACTGTGGAGCATCCAAGGAGTTGTGGGAGCAGGGTGGGGGTTGAGGGGGATGGACTGCCCTGCCCCCACATCCTGGGACTGCAGAAGCCGACTTAAGACCTGTGACTCACGGGCACAATAACTGGAACACACCAGTCACAACAACGGTTTAACATTTTACTAAATCAACTCACACAAATTCCAAATTGCAAATATAATTAAGGACAACAGATTCTGCTTTGCCTTATTAAATCTTTCATTTTCAAATCCATCAATAAGACAAAAAGTAACCAAAAATTAGGTCTGTTGCAAATTCATGATTCTTCTGAGGGGGGAAACCAAAAGAACATTAGAGTAAAAAGAACGCCACTGGAGGATGTACAATAAAGCACCACAACACACGCTTACAAACGGGGCTTCCTGGCTTCGGTGACAGGTAAAAGACGCTGTTCTCCCCACTGCTGTGCGTCAATCAGGGTTTCATTAAAATAAAACTATAAAATCTCCTAGGTTACACTAAGTCAGACACGGTCTGGAACACAGTGCTTAACAACAGTAATGCCAACTATCAGTGCTAACATAAAAACATTTTAGAAGGTCAAAAACAATTAAACTGGAAACCAAAGCCTTATTTTCCCTAGATGAGCAAAACTGAAAATGAAAGGGGTCCCACCTCCCAGTAGGAGTGAAGGGGATTTTTTTTTTCTTTTAAACTGAAGGTGGGGTACATGGTGCAGCTGGTTCTGTCATTGCTCAGCCTAGTTGGCGTCCAGCTTGGCCATTTCCTGCACATAGATGCCTATACTCTCGCTGTCAAAAAGCACGAAGTACACCGTTTTGATGGAAGAGGACATTGTAGACACGAAGTAACTGGAGATGGCCTTCAGAATCAGCTGAGCTGCTGTCTGCTTTGGAAAACCGTTCCTGGAGAAGAGAAGATAAGCACTCAGCAACTGGGATGCCACGGGGGCTGCAGGACCTGCCCCACCTTACAGGCCACCTCCCTCTGTGCTGCAGCTTGCCTTGTGTTGGGTCGGTGTCTGTTGAGCCCCGTGTCTGCTTGTACGCCAGTGTGGGAAAGCCCAGTGCCCAGAAGATGGGATGGGGGACAGACAACTGGGCAGAGAGCTGGCACCTGCAGAAGGATGTGCTATGTGCTTTTAGAGAAGGCAGTAGCCAGCAAACAGAATAGTGTTTTGTGGTGTGCATTAAGCCCCCGAAGTACAGTGTAAGCTCCTGATTTTCTTTTTCCATGATACCTTTGACTAGCACAGTGCCTGAGCCATAGCCCAGGCTCTTGATGTCAGCCCCAGGGGATGGCTGCAGGTTCTCTGGGAAGGCACTGACCTCTATCCACCCACACAGAAGAGTTACCCCTTCACACCAGGGGCCACCGCCCAGGAATCCACCCTCTAACACACACCAGCGGTACCACCCCAGAGGCCAGAACGCAGGGAGCTGTGGGCTCTTCAACTCTGGGCTATCATCCAAGTTTCCAAGCCAAATGTGTTTGAATCCACACACATTTCCACTTCAAATAAATGTCGTGGCAATTTTTGGAGGTAGGTGCTCTGGACTTAAAAATGTGAAATCAGGACTGGCAAGACTGGCCCTCACTGCTCTGTGGTGTGCCTGAGGCTGCTCCTGGTCAGCATGGCATGTGGGTAGCCCAGGGGACCCCGGAGGAGATGGGCAGCTTGCCTGGTCTAGTGAAAACCTGGGTTTAGAGCCAGTGGCCCTGGATTCACATCCCTTACTGGTCCCATTTTACAGTTAAGGATACTGAGGGTGAGTCTGGGGCCAGCTCTCATGGGTAGGCTCTTTGTTCATTGGCAGATCTACAGTCACAGATCCGCCTGAGCCTGTGGGCGTGTTGGTGTCCAAAGCGCTGGGCCAACCCGCCTATTTCAGCTGGAGCTCTCCCTCACATGAGGCACCTGCTGCCAGGTGGAGGGGTTTCCAGAGGTGGTAAGGTGGGTATCTACTGTAGTACTGCTAGCTTCACTCACTGCATGCCTGTGCACTCTGAACCTCCTGGCTTGGCCCTGGAACATCTCAGCGATCCACTGTTGACAGTGCACAGTGCATTTCACAGCCACAGGGGAAACCCTCTTGTGACTTGCTTTTGACCACACACGGCTTCACCCGGCTGGTGGAGACTTAGGAGCTTCTGGATGCCTCAGGAGTGGAGTTCACTCTTAGAGGACAAGAGATGTGCCCCCAGCCTATGTGAAGGAGCCTGCGGGCAATTAGTGGGGGGCAACCCAGGGTTCCTTCACACACAGGCGGCAGCTCCTCAGCCACAGAGCAGCCAGCGCATACAACTCTTCCCATGAGAGGGGTCAGAGCTCCAGAGCCGCTCTGGCCACGAGAGTGGTGTTAGACCTGCGCAGCTTCCTCCCGGGAGACCCTGGTGATTCTAGACTAGACTAACAGGTGGGCCAGGATGGAGGGCGGCATGTATAGTGAAAGAAAAGGGCTCTGCTGAGAGTGGGCAGGTCATTCCTCTGGCACCAGTGCTGTTTGCAGATCTGAAATCTTGGCCCACACCAGGCAGAGCTGCCCTGACTATATTCACAGGAGTCAAGGAGCACAGAGGACAGGTTATCTGGAATGAGCCACGTTGAGAATTGCTTGAGGAGATAAAAACTCAATCTTCCATTTTTGGGGGGCATCTTTCCAGCAGCTCAGGCTGCTTCTAACTGTGGGCTGGGATCCTCGGTCCTGTTGCAGCCTGTACTTAGGGGCCAAGGGCTTCTGGAGCAGGCAGAGCCCAGTCTGTGGATGTGACCTGGATCAACGGGGGCTGCAGGGTGCTGAGAGGAGCTGTGAGAAGTTGCATTTTGCATGTGAATCCCAAGACCATGCTCTGCCAGCTCCAAGGTCCCTACAGTGAGGTGCCCTCTTGCCTGTCTCAGCCTCACACGTGCACAGGGAGCTGGGCTGGGCTGAGGGCCTGTGGAGCTACTGCAAACAGCAGTTGTCAGGTGGCCCGATGTTCTGCCTAGCTGAGCTAGCCCTGGGGCAGGGCTTCTGTAGCTGCAGCCGGGCTGCATGCCCAGGCAGCTGTCTCCAACAACGGTTAGCTACATCCCACACAAGCTGGGTGAGATGTGGTATGATGCAGACACAGTGTAGCCTGGCCCATGCCCATGCCATGCCATGCTGACTGGGAGGTCCCAAGGGGTCTCCCTGGAACACACCAAAAGTGTGCCAGTCACTCCTGCCTGTGACCAGTGCTTTCTGACACAGACCCCTCCTGAGGCTTTCCTTGCCTCTGCCTTGGACCCTTACAAAAGAGTATGTGACTTTCAGTGAGGAAATATTCTTTTCTATTCCTCTACATCAATAGTTCTCAAGCTTTAGCCTGCATCAGAATTCTGGAGAGCTTGTCAAAACACAACAGTTTGATTCAGCAGGTCTAGCAGCTTTTGAGAACTGCTGTTCTACAAATAGCCAGCATGGACTTTATAATCCAAGCTGGCAGGGTGGACCCAGATGTTGAGGATCTGCAAGTGGGGGAGAGAGGTCAGTATCAAATGTTTTAGACTTGCAGTGCCCACACCTGCCTACCGTCCCGTTAATAGAGAGCAGACGGTTCCACCGGAATGTCCCTGGCCTTGCAAGCATTTCAGGGTTGTTGGTGGGTGAACATGAATCTGGATTTGTTTCCAGGACAACCCTTTGTTGACAAATCCATCCCTCTGTCCTAGGAAGCTACAGCCTAAGGAAGAAACCCTGCTATGGGACTGTGGCTGCTCTGGACTGCGCAGGCTGCCAGGAAGGAATGGCGGAGGTAACGGCTTTCCTAACGTTTTCTGGTGGGCCTCAAAATGTCTTGCTGCCAGTTAGAATGCTTGTAGCAAAATGGAATGTGTAGGTGGATGCCCTGCAAGAGCACTCCACACACAGCCCTGCAGCCTCCAGACAGAGGCAGCGGTGGCACATGCAGCAGCTGAGGCAGGTCAGACCCAGGTCTGCCTCTGAGGCTTGGGTGGCCTGACAGCCCTACTCCCTCCAGGGTAGAGAAGCAGAGTGGTTAAGAGCTCAGGATTTCCCGGAGTCACACAGGATTTGAGTTGTGGTCCCACTTCGGTGCCTTGTTTCCCCATCCTGTGAAATGGAATCAGAGTCTGGGACAAGAAAATGCAAAGCACCGGGGCATGGCACAGAGAGTCTTCAGTTAAGAGGAGCTGTCTATAAAGTAGGTGGCTTTGAAGGGTCTTTTAAAAGGCTCATGCAGTAGAAAACTGCCCCTTCCACCCTCGTCCCTGGGATAGCTGTGACTGGGTAACTGCTGTTGTCGTTGCAGTTACACGGTGCTAACAATGTTGGCCTCAGACCCCAGAGAGCTGCTGGCCGTGACCGTGGGCATGCAGCAGCAGGGGCTACATAGAGGCTCCCCAGTGCAGTACTGACTGCTTTCAGGAGCAGTCATGCCCACTGGTGTTGCATCTTTGGCTTCTCAGCTGGGTTCACTTGCTACTTGCATAACCACGGCCCCTCTGAATAGCCATTCCTGCCTGGCCTGGCCTCTGTGCCAGCCACTCTGTCCTACAGCTGTGCTGCCTATCTTTCAGATCAGATGTTGCAGAGCAAGAGGGACTAAGGGCTTCCACTCTAGAGTCAGAATTGGGTTTGAATCCCAGCTGCTTTGGGCCAGGGTGTTAACCTCTCTAAGCATTAATTTCCTCCACTAGAAATTAGGTGTTTCAGGGGTCTGTGCAGTGATGACAATGGTGGTGATGATGAGGCTGCCAGTACTGCGGCCACCATCAGCCCCACCTGGGAGATGCGTGCACTGTTTGTTGTTTCCACTCTCTCTTCAGCCCCTGACCTGGCCTGTGGGTTGTGTTTATGGCATGTTCCTTAAGTTCCTCTGGAGTCAAGAGTTTCCTACACCATAGGGCTAGGACCTTAAGCAGACTAAAGAGACATCTGAGCTTTCCCTAAATTCACTCCAGTTGTGTCTGTAATGCCCTTTGCCTTTCCCAAGAGTCCTGGACCTCAGTTTCCCAGGGCCAGTGCAAGATGCCCTCTTGGGTCAGCCTCCTCAGTAATGGCTGGGGGGTGTACGCATTGGATGCTTGTCCCACGGTCCTGTCTGGACACGCAGGGACTCTAGGTGCACCAAGGACCACATCCCAGCTCTTCTCAGCCCTCTCCTTGAGTGGGACTTCACTAAGCACCCCTGCTCTCAGTGAGCTCACCTTCCAGGGCTGGGGCCAGGCAGGTATGCAGCAAATCCAGGCTAGGAGCTCATTAGGGACCTCAGAGAGTCACAGCAGGAGAGGCTGTATCCTGGGAGTCCAGGGAGATTTTTCTGGAGCAGACAGATTGCGAGCTTGCAATTGACGGCTGGGGAGGAGTAGAGGTGGATTCTGGTATTCTTTGTCTGTCACTTAGGGTATAGACATTCTTCTGCTAAGATTAGGTCCCCCTCGCACTGTGCTGTGGGCTGCTCTTAGGCCTTTACCATTTTTTAGTAATTGCCAGGTTGAAGTTGCCCCAGCCACAGGCCACTTTGATCCAAGTCATCAGGATCCTGAGCCGAGAGCAATGGTATACAGGAGGGAGAACATTCAGAAGCGATGGTGATGGGGCCACCACTCCCCTGAGCTGTGCCCCCTGCAGCTAGAGAGGGGATGGGGCAGCCCCAAAGTGGCCTCCCACTCCAGGCCCCCGGGCTTTGGGTAAATGAAAAATTCTCCCCCATTCAAAGGTCTCTTGAGTTTCTGTCCTTTTATCTCACCTCTGAGGCCAATGCTTAGGAGGGGAAAGAGGCTGATGGCTATACTTGGGCAGGTCAGGGAGTTCCCAGGTAGTGTTTTATGCACAGAGAGTACGCAGGCAGGGGGCAGTCCTATGGTGGGATGAGGTGGTGGGACCTGGGGTCTGGCTGACCAATGGAGATGGGAGGCAGGGGTTCCATGAGCCTAACAGCTCTGAAGCGAAGGGCTTCTGATCAAATTCTCACTCTACCAAGTACAAGTTGAGTGACCTCAGATGATTTACTTAACCCCTCTATGCTTCAGTTTCTTTGCCCTTGAAAGGAATAATGCTGTTCACCTTGTAGGGTTGCTGTGAGATAATGCAGATAAAGGGTTTAGCACCGCGCCTGGGGCTCAACACATACCCATAAATAGTAGCTTGAAAAAAATAAACCAGCTTTTCCTTTTAAGCTTATAAATCTAAGGAAAGTTTAATCAAAGCCCCAAACTAGTATTCCCTATGTACTACCCCTCTGGAGAGGGGTCACCCCTAATGTGAAACAGAGCTGAGGGAGTGGGGGTATCCATAAATATCGTGACCAGAATGGCTGAGGACAGGATGTCCAGATGCCAGGGCCTCACAGGCTGGAGGGAGCCATCACACAGGTGTGGTTATGGTCATCTTCCATCCATGTAGGCTGTGCCACTGGGCCTCAGCTAAGAGAGTGATCCTTTACCAATGGCTCTTTCCCAACATGCTTACCTTTATACTGTTTTAATTCCAACATTACTTCCGTGCCAGAGACACTGGATGCAACAAACAAGCTGTTTTATTTCCCCTCCTAAAACCCACTGTGATTTACTGGCCGGCTCTGGTGTAATCCCATTTTTTTTTACTCATGAAAGAGAGGGCAGCTGTTTACACAGCTCTATGGGGTGAGGTCTGCCTGGCAGATGTGGCCTGGGTAGCTGTACACATGTGCTGCCTTAGGCATTTCCCCCTCTTCAAGCTTTCAATTGATTATTTTTATTCCTACTTTTTACTCCATGAAAAATGTAAATAAGTTTGTAATAACAGATGCTCTTTTATGAGAATTACTTTTATGCTTCAATTAAAAATTTCCCAATACCCATATGAAAGGTTGTGAAATTATTACCTCCAATAAAGTTTCCTATTGCCTCCCTCTGCGGAAGCACCTTTCATCAGAGCAGATCAAAGTGCATTGAAAGCACTAATTAACTGAGCCTCAGAACCATTTGTGAGGATGGGCAGTCCCTATAGCCTCACTTGCTGATAAGGCAGACCAGGGCAGAGAGGCTGATTCATTTAACCAAAGGTCACACAGGATAGGAGAGCTGAGGGGCCTCACTCACAGAACCCCAGGACCAGACAGCCCAGAGATGTGAGGCCAGGGAAGGGGGAGGCAAGCCTGCCCATAGCTCAACAACTGGTGAGGGGTTGCTGGGGAAATGCTCATTCTGCTGTTTTGCCCTTGACTGGGAGAAGTGGGGGTGGCGGCGGGTGGCGGGCAGTGATACAGGCTCCAGAGAAGGTTCAGGTGCAACCAGAGATCTTTCCCCAGAGCCTGGTACTGGTGGGTCCTGCCAGTCACACATGGCCTTGGCCATAGAAAGCCCTGGGGAACGGTGGCAGTGCCCATCTGCCTGTGGACAAGGCCTTTTACTAGGCAGAATGTCAAGTGACAGGAAGCCCACTCTGTACTAGTTCTGCCACCAGTACTTGAGGTGTGGGACCTCAGTGATGGCAGCATGCAGGAGGCAAAATCACGAGGCCTGCCTAAGCGGAAAATGGCAAAATCTACTCTCTATCCTCTAGAAAGTTTGGAAGGAAAGTGCTTTGCAGAGAGCAGCTGTCAGTTCAGGACATGGTTCTGAGGACTGTTGCTCAGGCTCGCCCAGAAGGGACAGCCTGCAGTGTCATAGGCAGTTGATGCTGCACAGCCCTGCCTTCCTTGGGTGCTGGGAGGGGCTGATGGGCAGAGACCCCAGAAGGCTCACAAGCTGGGATGGGAAGCCCCAGGAGCAGTGGCAGGTACTCTGTCCAAAGCAAGCCACCTGCCAATACAGAACCCCAGGTTATGGCTCCTCTTGGGCGCAAGTTGTTAACAGCTACAGCCTCTAAAGGCCAGTTTCTCTTTGCTTCAGTGCCCAATGCAGACCTCGAGCCTTCCAGAGGCCTTGGACTCTTGGACTTAGACCCTTGGTAGGGAGGACCCTAGCAATGGGCAGTGGGACACAATCTCAGAGGTGGCTCTGCCCTGACAGGTCCTCATGTCTGCATCATGGGACACACTTCTGAAAGCACTCTGCCTTCTAAGAGCTCCTTTAATTTCTAGAGCAACCCTGAGATACTGCATGGGGGGATTATTATGCCAACTTCTCAGAATGGGGGTTAATTTACATGTCATCACTCACCGGGTTAGTGGCCAAGCCAGGATGCAACTCCAGGCCTGACCCCTAAGCCAGAGTGCAGTGCTGCTCCAACAGGCAGGAACCTGATAGGTTATTTGCTGACATGTGTGGGGTGTACAACCAGGTAGGTATTGTGGGGGTTGCCCTGAGCCCTACCTGCATCATCAGCTGTCGAAAAACTAGACTTCTCCTGTGGTGGTCCTCCGGGTATGTGTATGTCTTAGGGGCAACTGTGTTGGTCGTGAAGACCTTGGTGAGTCTACCTGGGGATTTTCTGGGACAGGAAGTGGAGTAGGGCCCAGCCCTGTTTCAATCTCACGTAATTCCCCATTCCGTTCCACCAGGTCCCATTACCTCATTAGCAGGCCAGCAGGGTTACCCTAGGGCAGTAAGACAGGGAGTCAGGTAGAGATGCAGGTTCTCAGGAGGTGAAATATACTTGTGAGTAGAAAGGAAAGGGGCAGAGGGCTTTATCCAAAGAATACTGTGGTTTGGGGGACAGACCATAACACAGCTATAGCCTTATTCTGAGACAGCCAAGCTGTTCGTTTGTATCCCTGTATTCACGCCTCCAGATCTTCTCCACCCAAGTCACTGTGCCCCTCAAAACTTACTCTCTGAGGTACCATTTCTGTGGTCCCAGTACACACTGGGTTCCCCTTCTGTGATGACATTTGCTATCAAAACTTAAGTTTTATATCATCCTTGGGATTTGGGTCTCTCTAATTGTCCCTCACCATCATTTAATGTCTGCATTCTTCCCTGTGTTGTGCTTCTGGTCTCCTTGGTTAAGGCAGCCTCCGTGGGCCTTGCACAGAGTGAGAGCACCACAATTATGGGCCATGTGTGCGCAGAGAGACACACCCATGACCGATACGTAACAAGCATGTGCCCCTACCTGCCGCTGCCGATGGATGGAAATGCAATGGATTTCAGCTTCTTATCATCAGCCAGGGCCAAGCAGTTTTTCACTGTCTTTTCCAGAAGTTCTTCACACTTGTCTGCACCCCAAACTGGACTATTACAGTGGATCACAAACTTGGCAGGCAGGCCATGGCCTGCGCTGACAGCAGCTAGTGGTGCGGGGATGAAACAGAAACAGTGAGCTCTGGTTCACTGCAAAGCACAAGATGCCAAACACAGACCCACTCCCCTGCCACGGTATATCTTCCTGGGCCCTCCAATGCCCTGTGTCCGAGGAGTTCCACAGCTGTCTGCTGCGTTGTGATTCCAACGTGAGCTGGAGCCAAGCCACACCCTTGGAAAGTTGGCATTATGATGTGTCACCACCAGGAATTTTGACCAAGTTCGTAGTAAGCCTCTCTCCACTCTCAGAAAGCATACACGGTTCTCCCAGAGGCAGAGCCTTATCCATCAAAACTCAACTGAACGCAAACTCAACGTGTCAGAACATTTGCAGCCTCAAAATAATTGTTTTGGGTTTCCAACCCTTCTTCTTCAAGTCGACTGGTGTGCTAATTATCGACTTGCACACCAATATGATGTATTTGTCTCTACTATGATGTATTCTCTAAATCTCCCAAACCCAATTCAGGACAAAGCTACTAGGAAAGCAACTGCTTTAAATGATCTGCTAAGCAACCTGACCAGCATCTCCACTCTGCCATTGTCTTCTCCCTGCTGAGGATGGCCTCACTGTGTGAATAACGGATCCTGTTTATTTGTGGCAGAATTAGATTAGTTTTTAAGGAACTGTGTTTTTCTTTTCCTAGAAGAGGGGCCCCTTTCTAGCTATACATCTCCACCAAAGACTTGCCTTTCCCTTGCCAGATCTAAGGACACAGGCCTGGGGTCTGCCACAAACTGCAAAGTACCATGTCTCCCAGAGCATGTTCCAGAACCCCTGTCCACAGATGCTCTGCAAAGAAGGTTTCCAGGGCACTGGGTTTAGCTGCATGCTACGCTTCTATACAAGAGCACACCAGAGTCTCCACACCACTGCTAAAGTAAAACATCCAAACTTTTTGTATTTGGTTGGCTATTTCTGAAACTTTTTTTTTTTTTAAGGAATATCTGTCCAAGGGGTATGGTTTGTTATGGTCGTGTCATAGATACTGGAGAAGGAGCGATTTGTGGGTAGTGTCTCATGGTACAGTGGAAACAGCTCAGTCACAGGGTGTGAATTTGAGTCCTGGCTCTGCTTTGTGACTGGGCTTGAGAACTCTGGGCTGACCTATAAAAACCTGACATTGGGGGTTGAATTAAACCAGTGGGTTTGTCCCCATGAGAAGTCATGGCTAAACTATGCATAGAAAACGACTGGAAAGAAACATTAACAGTGACTATCTTTGCACAGTGGAACAGGAGTATGTTTTATTCACCTCTTTATACTTTCAAAAATATTTTAAAGCAGTTTCTAAAATAGCCCTTAAAATCAAGAACAAAAGTGTTATTGAAACAAGCAAAAATATCTTGAACCATGCTATACCTAATGGGTTTGCATCTGCTGTGGCTGAGGTTTCCCCAGCAGAGTTTGGTACATGGCAGCACCAGGCTGCCTACCAGGCCTTGTGCCAAGGGCTACCAGCAGGACTCAAGCTGGAACCCCGATGGGAAAGGACCCACAGGCTGGTCAAACAGGTGTTTTAAAGGGCCTGGGGAAAGGCCAGCTGCCCCTGGCTAGGTAGTTAAAACTGTGTATGCCTTCCCTTGTACAATGTGGGACTTTGGTGGAACTGCCTGGGAGAACTTCATAATTACTACCCTGTATGTCATGCCCCTTGCAGGTAAAACAGAAGTGGCAGAGCAGAGGTCAAAGGCACAGATCAGCAAAGGGAATCCTACTGGATCCTGAGACTAGCCTGGAAGGGGTGTCATTTGTCACTGGGAATAGAGGTGCACGGCCTGGTGGACCCTCCGAGAGAGCTTAAGATTCATTTTTAAAACAGAGGATTTAAAAGACACAATAGGCATTGGAATCGGGTAGTAAGAAGAGAAAACCAGAGCCCCAAGTGAGGAAGTGGGTGATCTGTCCTCACACAGTTGGTGGGGGAGCTGGGCCTCCCCACTGACTGGACTCTCAGGTCCTTAGGAGGTGCTCTGTCCTGCACACCCCAAATGACCACCTAAATTCAGGCCTGAAGCAGTAAGAAGTACCCTGCCTCCAGGTCTTAGCAATAATTCTCCCCACATCAGATGCCAAGTCGTTTTCTTCCCCTTATACCAGGGAAGGTGTAATTGGCAAATGAGAAATGTGTATTTATATGTTTCCTCTTACACACACAGATGGCTGAAGATTTTTAATTTGTATCTCTCACCAGCAGTTTTGCAGATGGCTCAGTATCACTCACTCTCAGCTCTTAGATGTACCAAACTCAGCTCCTATAATTTCTTAAAATTTGTGATCTAGACATCAAACATATAGGAGCTATTTTAAGTAATAAAAAAAAATGCAAAGGTGATTTTCCCAGACAACCTGCATGTGGTGAAACTCTAAGATGTAAAGCTACAGGCTGTCCTTGGCCTCCATCTTGAAGATGCGGCTGTGCTGCCACACACCTCTGAATTCTAAGCCCTCTCACAAAATGGCTTTCCTAATACTGCATGTGTCACAACCAGATAAGCACGGTGGCTTTCCCACCTCACCTCCAGCTACTTCCAAGGGCCCGTTCTTTTTCCGGAGTTCCAGGACAGCTTCCACAAACTCCTTGCCACCTTTCTTCTCCAGCGTGTTTCCTAGACAAGGACAGGGTGGGGTCAGGTTGCCATTCTGTGTCTCCGGCACACACAGACACTTAGCATGTCAGGTGATTACATACTTCAAATGATCTATTAAATTTCCATCAGGCTGCAAAACAGGAACTAAGCCTTGGCTAAGTTAATAAAGTAAAATTGAGAAGGGCTTTGTCATCACCAGTTACTACCCTCAAATTGCTGCTTCATCTGGCTGTCTCTGCTGCCCCTTATTTGGGTCTGACTCAGGGTGATCATGGATGTGCCAGAGATGTGAAAGAGACAGGACATGCTTGTTTTTTGCAAACATGCTTGTCCTGGATGCTTTTCATTGGCATGAGATACTAGCTGGTACTGGTTTCCAAGACTAATGCCTGCCTTAGGTTTTCTTCTCTGTCTCTGGGGAGAACCCCCAAGTAAGGAGGTTTCAGCAGCATACAATGCTCCCATCAATAAGCCAGCTCTCCTCCTGGCAGCAGGCCTAGAAGGAAGTGTTCATACCTGGCCACCTTTGGACCAGCATTATTACCATGCTTAGTTCCTGTTTTGCAGCTTTGGTGTCATATGCAAATACAAAATAAAAATGGCCTCAGACGGTATTTTCTTAATTACACTAATGATTCAGAATTGTTTTCAGTAAAGAAGGGCAACATCAGAAGCAGAGCTTAAAGATTAATCTGTGTTCTATAAAAAGCTTGGAAAGGAGGATGTCTAACTGCTCAGGACCAGATTTTTCACAAAAGCCAATGGAGATTGGGAGCAATGTGTTTTCTTCAATTAGGGCACTTGCTAAGTAATCAGTTCCTGCTGTGAAAACCAAGTTCCCAAACAAGATCACCAACACCTATGAGAACTCTGGGTTGATGCTCATGTGGGATAGCAAGTGGCAATCAAAGTTAGCAACAAGATCAGCCTTTCAAGTTTGGCCAGAATGGGGTCTGAGTCTTCCTTAAGCTCTGATTCCTCAGTTTTGCACATTTTAAAGTACTTTTCCTCACAAGAGGACAAAATACTCCCCTTAAGATTCACATCTGTCTTGGAAAATTCCAGGTGCACCTGGCACAATTCTGGTATGGGACGGTCAAGGTGCATCGGAATGCACCAGCCCAAATTCTCTTTGGAGTCACCCTGCGATGACCAGGGTTAATTATCTTAGTGAAACTTGCCTCCTTTGAATGTTTGTTCTGCAGGGGTGAACTAACCCCGGGAGGTGTCTGGGAAGAAGAGTAAATAGCTTGGGCTTTGTCCCAAATAAGAACCAGGGCTAATGGCTAGGACTGGGCCTGTACCCACCCGCTGTAGGAAACCTGGGGTGTGCAGATGAACATGACCAGCAGCCATAGCCCAGGGGAGCTCTCAGCTGTGTCCGAGAGAGGGTGGCACAAACTTAGCATCCTTGAGGTGGGATTTTGTGTTACCCTTCATGATCTCAGACTGCCCTCCTGCCTCTACCTGTCCTGGAAAGCAGCACAGGCTTTAAATGGCAGAGTGAGAATGTCACACCTGTTGCTGCTGCATGTTTCTAGTAAAGTCAGCATCAGAGGTGGCAGCTGAATGGGGCATGCACTGGAGGAAGCAGGCCGGGGGCTTAGAGCCCAACTCCACCACTACAAAGTGGATGCAACCCAGGCGAGTGAGACCCCAATACAGGTTCACCTAAACTATCCCTGCAGCTGAGAAAAAGGAATCTGGAGCCGGAACCAGCTGGATTCCACACACTGCTGCCCCTGGGGCCCAGTCTAGCCTTCTGTCTTAAACCCATTCTCCAGCTTGAGGCAGGGCAACAAAAATGCTGGAGGCTGGACTAGTTAGCATTCTCAGTCTTTATCAGATTAACTCTTTGGTGAGAACTGAGAAATTTGAAAGGTAAAATAATGTTTTTACTTTATCATGATTACCAACTCCTTTCTAAAATATTTAAGAAAATGGGCTGATCTATAATTAAAGGTGTTTTATCTTAGGAAGAGTGTTTAAAATTTTTACTTATAAATATTGCTTTAAGTAAAAGTGAAATTTCCAAGTTAAAATACACTTAAATGCATTTCCCAAACTTAAAAACTGAACCCTAGATTGCAGGCAATCAACCCAGTCAGGACTTGACTCCTACACACACATATGTATGCACATGTTCATGTAGACACACATGTACTTTTTAACAAGAAACAGGCCCATTTTCAACCATATTGTCAACACTCTTATTGTAAGACTCTTGCTTTTTAGGCTTAACTTCAGGGTTAATCATAAAGCAATTGGCTTATTTGCCCCCAAGCATAAACATGTGTTACTCCCATGAGAACAAGGACATTATTTCATGCTTAGAAAGCAGGCATAAGTATCAGTGTTCAAAACAGCCTAAGCGAAAATTTAGGCTTGGACAAATGTCAGGCTAGGCCTGTGGTCTATTTCACTGTTAGAAAGAACTTTTGATGGGTAAAAGTTAATCACTGGGGCTAAGCATTCCTGCACTCGGATTCCTTCTTCCAGCAGTCTCAGGACTTCACACCAAATATGAGAAATGGAGTGATTACTAGCTTCCTCTTTTCTCCTCTCACACATCAAAGTGGGAGCTGGAACCAATTGAGGCCATGTAGGAATCTGGTTTATCATTGGGATTGTAAAAGATATCTGGGGTCAATACTGGTTTGGACTGGTCCGCTGGGCAGAAAAGCCCTGAAGGGCTTTGGAAGACTGGGTTCTGACCTGGCAGTCTTTCTGCCTTGGCCAGTTGGGGTGTCTGAACCTGCTGAGGATTTCTGCAGGTGTTACAGTGTCGGTGAATGATGTGTGCCAGGGTCCTGGGCCCAGATTGCTCCTGTGGCTTGGAAGCTAATAATTCCCCACCCTGTGCCTATCAATGAGTTGTAGGTGAACATGTCAGAGGAAAAGCATTAGCACCATCCTTATTCCAAAGAGACCCATTCCAGTCACAATTCAGGAAGGACTGGGCTCTTCTGGGTGGCACAGCTGGGTCTGCCTGTTACTTCCTCAAGGCTTCAGCCCTATCTCAAAGCTGCAACTCTGCCTCCTGGCATGGCTAATCCTGCTGGGCACGGCCTTCCTCAGGCTGCAGCAGGCAGGCCAACTTTCTCCTCTCCCTGGACCTGGGTAAGATACTTTTGCCTGGAAAGTTTCATAATTCCCATTTCACCAAATGTCCTGAATGGCAGGATGAACCCAGGCCTTAGTCACTCCCAGCTATGACAAAGACAAGCCCTTAGCTGTTCATTTATTTTTCTCTAAATAAGTACTTCCTTTCTATCAAATTTTCATTTGGTTTAAAAAGGAAGCATCTTTCCCTTAAGCTGCCTGACTTTGGAGCTCTTTAACTCCTCCAAAGTCTTGTGAAAGGGGAGTTTAACTGCTTACAGCCCGATTTCATTTTGGCCTGGCAGACTTGGCAAATTCTGACTTTCCATCCAGTTTGTCTTTCCATCCATGTCCAAAATCCAAAGTGCCCAGGAGAGTGATTAGTCCAAATTGCAGTGGCTGGGGAAGACTGAACAGCAGTCTTTGCTAGTGATGCCAAGCAGAGCCAGGCAGCCAGAGATTGTGAGCTACTGCACATCTAGCATCCAGGACGCTTGTGAAAATCCTGATCTCCTCATCCTTCCAGATGACTTCACTGTCTGCTGACTGGAAATGTAACCATTCTCTTTGGAAGCTGGTATTTGAATCCACACTCAGAGGGCTGCTCTCAGGACCAGTACATTTACTATAAAAATTATATATACACATGAGTGATACCTTACAGCAGGCACCAATCATGAGCCAGGCTTTACAAAACAAGGTGCTTTGCTTACATTTAATGTAATTCCCATCATTACCATTACTTAATAGATAGGGAACCTGAAGCACTGAGGAGTTAAGTGACTTGACCAGGCCCTATGATCAGTAAATGGTGACAGTAGGATTCCAGTTCCTTCCACCTAGCTCTAAAGCTGTGCTTTTTTTCTATCACACATGGGTGCCTCCCCCTCAGGTCCCTCAGTGTGTTCTTAAAGCAGGACACTATTTGATACTCCTGCCAGGAATCTGCAGCCTCAGGATATGGCATCTCAAGTGCCCTCTTTCTTGGCCACCCTCAGCTATTTAGCACACCAGGAATCAACCAACAATGCCTTATCAGCTGCCAAGGGAAAGGAAGGTGCTTTCTGGGTCTAGGATGATGTTTCTCATGAGTGGTCTAAGGATACCATGTCAGATTGAGGTGATTTTCATGTACCTGAAGTCTGAGAACCCTAAGTGTGGGCAAGCATTTGGAAAGGGTCCTCCTTGTGCACCTGAGGCTTTAAGGCCATTTTCAGGAACAAGTGTGCTTCTGACATGGAGACAGATTGGCGGGGGTCAGGGGAGTGGGGGTGGTGACCTGTGCACAGGCATATGTGTCTGTCTGCTCTTCAGAGTGCATGGAGATGGTCTTGGTTGTCACTCAGTCCATGTGCCTGTATTGTTCCTGCAGCTGAAATCATCTGTGAACCCAGTCTCCAACAAAGCTGTGCCTTGTGGGGCAGGTGAAGAAACGATTCTGCTGAACCAGTTTTCAAACCAGAAATGTCCATTTGTGAGCTGCATCAGCCAGGATGCATGACATCCTGGCTGACAGCTAGCTTTATTACTCAGGTTCACAACCCAGGGACAGGAGACAGGGTCAGGACAGCTGGAAGTGTGAAATGAATGCAGCCCTGCATAGCTGTCAAAGGATCAAGCTGTCTGCAGCGGCCGACTGACCATGCACACACACACTCGGCAGCACCCGGCTAGGCATTACCTACTTCACCACCGATGTAGAAGTCAGTGTTTGTCGGGTGAACGACAGCATCACTGTCGATCGAGGCAATGTCAGCCTGTACAACTTGCAACTATAACAGGTAAACAAATGTATATCAACTGTGTTGGACCGAGACCCACGCACAGGCACATTTACTAATGCCCCAATGGCAGGGCTGGCCTACCTGGTCGATTCCAACATATGAGCCCAAGGGGCAATCAGTCCACGCAGTGTGCGCACATGTGGATGGGGGTGAGGACAGGAGGAGGAGGAATATCAAATGTGACATGTTTAAATTAAACATTTGAATGAGAAGTCCAAAAAAAGAGAAACACACACATGAGATCATTTCCAAAGGTTAAAAGAAATAAAATGAATGCCCCGTTTCACTTCGCAAAAGCCTATAAAGCTGGCATCCCACTGAGAAGGCTACTAAAACATGGCATCTGTTTAAAAAAAAAAAAAGTGGACCATCAGGCCAACCAAAACAACAAGTTTCTCCATTCTGTCTGCAGCAGTCAACTTGCAGGCTTTGATTTTTATTCTTGTGACATTTACCATTTTGTCTACCTTCAAGGGATTTCTCTTGAAAACCCAGAGAACAGTATTGATATATGTAGAGGACTGCCTTTATTTTTTCCCCTCAACATATGGGCCGATCTCTATCAATATTTTTCCAGGCCCATCTCTTACTCTAGCCTATCTTATTTTTATGGTTTAATTTTTTTTTTTTTTTTTTTTTTTTTTTTTTTTTTTTTTACAGATAGGATCTTGCTGTTGCCTAGGCTGGAGTGCAGTGGCACAATCATAGCTCACTGCAGCTTCGAACTCCTGGGCTCAAGCAATCCTCCTGCCTCAGCCTCCTGAGTAGCTGAGACTACAGGCACGTGTCACCAAGCCCAGCTAAGTTTTTTATTTTTTGTAGAGATGAGGTCTCACTATCTTGCCCAGGTTGGTCTCCAACTCCTGGCCTCACTCAATCCTCCTGCCTCAGCCTCCCAAAACGCTGGAGTTACAGGTGTGAGCCACTGCACCTGGCCTTTGTATTTTAGTATAAAATGTGCTTTGGATAGAATCCTTGCTTTTTCTAGCTTGTGGCCTTTTTTTTTTTAAGTATCTGTATAAGGCAGTTGGAAAACAAGTTCAAGCTGGACACTCTTGAGTCCAGTCCTCATGTTTTCAGCCCACTGTTGCACCCAGTTCGTGTGGGTCAGGCCTGGGCCCATGGAATGAGTGTATCTCCCAGTAAGGAAGTCTGCTATCTGACAAAAACAGCAGAAGCTGAGAGCTCAAGGGATACAAAATAGATTGCAGTTGAGGGTTAGGAAGGAGGCTGCATCTGTGTGCCTATTTCCCCTGGCAAGCCTCTACATCGAAGAGCAGCAGAGCAGCCCTGTCGTGCCATTGAGCTGACAGTGCCACATATGCAAAGATAAAGCCATAGAGGCAGGACACTTGAGGGGCACCTCTCAGTCTGCCCTGAACCATCTGCCATCTTGAACAGGGAGACACCATGGCTCTGGGGCAGTTTTCCTCCATAAGAACTCACTTGGAGATATTGCCCTTCTGTTTAATACCATCCTCTAGCCAAATAATTCAAGAAGGTGGCATTCAGTCATATACTGTTTTCAGTTCTAAAGAAAAGTTGAAGTGATGGTAGTAAATTGTGGACTAAAGACAGCTTAATAGCATACTGATGTGGCCTGTCTTCTCTTTCAAGCTTTGTCATTTCTAATTAAGGTTTAAATGGAGAAACTATCATTTTGTAGTTACCTGAGATTTTTCAGTTCTAAAGTAAAAACAAAAAAACAAACAAAAACCAACACGTTTAAAAATCCCTCCCCAAGTAACCAGCAGTCAGTTTGATCATTATGGAAGAGAATTCAGATGGCAATGTATTTGCAATTGAGGAGAGAGTAGCCAATCACACTTAATGAAACAGACCGTTTACACTTGGAATGGCCTGGAGTAAGTTGATATTCAGCGTCTACACTCAAATATCAATCTTGGATTTGGAAATTTGGCTTGACCACTGTAAAGTCTGGGAAGATGAAATGCCTAAATTCTGGGTTCCATAACTTTTCATCTGACAGCTGGTGGTGCCGAACCCCGTCCCCAATTACCTAGGTCATCTTTAAGGTCAATGTCAGCATTGGTAGGATTGATTATGGCCTCCACCTCAAAGCCGGCTAAATTACTGATTTCACTGTGAATAAGGTTCAGCTGCAAAGAAAAGCATGAGGTGGGAAATAACAGGAGAGCTGGGAAGTCTCAGAGAAGGAGCCTTGGGATACAGGTAAAGGACAGTGGACACTCCAAGTGCACGAGGCACAAAAGGGAAGCAGGGAGTTGCTGGCTCAAATGAACCCATTTCAAACATAAGACTCAAATGCTGCTCGGGATGCGGGAGCAAGCAAACTAGGATGAATGTTCAGAGCCCGTGGGTGGCACCTGGGACAAAAGGAAGCACAAGCCACAGTGGACGAGGAGATCAGCTTTCCTTTAAAGGGACTTGTGATCTGGGGGCCAAAGTAAGGCAGCTATCAGGACCTAGAATGAGTACTCATTGCTGAGGGTTGGGGGCTGGTGGATGTGACTGTCCTCATCCTTGAGCACTAGGCTGGTGCTAACATCCTACCTGGCTTGGGCAAACCCCTAAGGGCTCTGCCATTGTCTTCCAAGTGACTATGGGCCTTTAAGGCTGTCCCCATCACTGTGACTGCTGGCTGGCTTCCCTGCCCTGCTCAGGGTGGCAAGAAGTGAGAATAGTCTCTTGCTTAGTAACATTTAATTTACGTGCCCATTAGTCATGTAATGCTGAAGTTCCATGGTGAAACCCAGGGGAGGAAGGTTCTCCAGCAAGACAATGTGTCTTTTAAATGGTTTTCACCTTGTTGGTCAGGTTGCTCTGAGACTCAATGGGTGGCTTATTGAGCATTTTCCTTAAGTGTTATATCCACCCAGTGAATTTGTTCTTTCTGAAGAGCCACTGAATGGGTGTCCCCCAGCCACTGTTATTCTGTTACAATGGCAACCCTGGCATCTGAGTATTCGAAGAATACTGAGTTCGAAATTCTGTCAGAGGGGCAAGGGGAATTAATGGGCCTAGGACTGCTGTCCCAGGTCCTACTATTCCCCTTGCTTTTCTTTAGGTATTGCAGGAAAGCTTGCTCTTGCACATGCTCTCACAATGACATTGCTCACTCTTCAGTAACATAAATTCCTAACACCTGCAGACAAGTGCAATGCCTGAGTAGCCCTAGCAGAGCTGGTGCTCAAGACTATGACCTAGGCCAGAATAGTGGCTGCAGTCTGCAGGGTTTACCAGGGCATGAGGCTTTGTCCAGGAGCTCACCCAGGAGAGGGCTGTGCACAAGACACTTGGCAGGGAAGCTCCTGGCAACAGAGCAAGTTGCTGCATTTCTAGGGCCAAACATTTTGTTGAAAACAAAACCAAACAACCTGGCACTCCAGAAGTATCGGAAATATAAACCCACATTTTTGATTCCCAGAAACAGTCAGATTCTCAAAGAGGGATGTGCTTACACTAAGAGTCATCCTCTGGGAGGAAACAGTTGTGGAATTAAGTTTTGTCAAACAGCCAAGGAAGAATTCTGGCCAGGGCAGTGGACTTCATTTTTGGTTAAAGACTCAGAGAAGAGGACCAAGTATTATTCATATGGACTTTCTGGGTTATTGCTCCTCGCACTATAGAGTGATTTAGAGGCCACCCACACCCTTGAAGCTGAAGGAAGCCATGGGGGTGATCTCACAAAGCGAAGCTCTCAGCAGCTCAGAGCCCTGGCACCAGGACAGAGGCACAGAAAAGAGACAGCATGGGGGCTGGGGCCTGACTGCTGCCACTGGGGAGTAGGGGTGTGGGTGGGCACAGAGTCGGGGGCCTTAGGGTAAGGCAAGTGAACTCTCAGGATTTAGAACAAGGCAAAGGATTTTACTCTATTATTTAGTTCTGCATTTGGCTCCAAGCAAATGCTATTTACAAAAACTCAAATTAAGCCAATACTCCCCACCACACACCACCAAAACACACCCCACACAGTGTGAAGAGGCAGGAGGTTGGTGAGGAAGGCAGGCAAAGGAGAAAAAGACTCGATCTACTCAGTGTAATGTGGATGTGTATGCTTTTAAGGCACCTATAAATTCCTATGTTTAAAACAATACATGTTCAATCCTTAAAATTCACGCAATTTTTTCCAATTGTATAGATGCTTCTGGTGTTATATTCAGAAATGTTTCATTGGAAAAGAAGCTATTTTGGCGGGCTCTGCTTCAGCTAGCCAGGAAGACCCCCTCAGTGGCCTGTATCTGACTCTCTTCGCGGGAGAACCACCTGCTCTGTCTAGGGGAATGGGATTCTCTGGGGGAAACTTGGATTTGCTGAAGGAAGGGAGCAGTTGCGAACAGAACTCAAGCTCATGGAGAATTCTCAGCTTCCTTTGGACTCACTACCTTCCCTTCTGACCAGAGGCATCCCCACTCTTGGAAGTGCAGACTACAGTACCTCAGGGAGCCACTACTACTCAGCATTGAGGATTTCCTGCCAACCAAGTGCTGTTTCACTCTTCACATCTGTGGATGAGGCTAGAGCTGTGATTTTCCAACTATGCTCTGCTATGCACTGGGGCTCAGCAGAAGTCCTCAGGGTATGCAGCTGAGCCACAAAAGTTTTTTTGCTGTAAAATGTGTACAAATATGTATTTTTAAACAATCTTGACTAGAAAGTGTGTGCTTGGGATGTGTGCATCAGGGGAAGAGAATGGGAAGGGGAGAAGACAAATTAATTCAAGTACTTTGGAAGGACAAATGGGTAATCAGCTTGGCAGGTGGGCCAGTGGGCAGAAGCTGACAGTGAGATGATCATGAACGAAGACAGTAGCTCCACTATACAGAAGAAAGCCCATGAGCATAGCGTGCAAATGGACCAGGTACACATGTGTCTGGACAGGCTCCCACTGTCCAGTCACAAATGAATAAGCGAGATAGAGCCAAGACAGAGGTCCAGTCCTAGGAGGCCCCAGGGTCCCCTCCCACCAGCCAGGGTCAGATCCAGTGGGGTTTATCAGCCAGAGGGGTGTGTGTCCATCTGAAGTACATGGCAGAGAAGTGGTCCTTGTGGGTTAGGAAATCAGATTTCTGGGAACTGTAAAAATTCCCAAAATTAGTCTGATTTTCTGGGAGGAATAAGGATCATTAATGGTTTCAGAATTTGAATAAGGTGACTGCTTCTTTGTACCGTCGTTAGGAAAGATGGAAAACTAAGTTTTAAACCACAGCATGAGGAATTTAAAGCAGCTATGAAGACTGTTAGCCACTGAGGAAAGTAATCATAGGGCACTGCCAGTTATAGAGCAGAAGGGGGTCCCCGCGTGGCTGCACAGTTGGCAGAAAGGGTCGTAGCCAAGGGACCTTCAAGATCCCTTCCAGCACTGGGATCCGATAATCCTAACCTCACTGGCTCTGCTGGGCCAGCTTCTGATACAAGCAGTACCCGAGTCTTCCCTGTGGTGAGGATGTCCGTGGAAACCCTTGTTCTTTACTCATGGTATATGCTCATCAGAGTATAATCTCTTTGAAGGCAGGAGTGGGTGTGGCCCCCTAACCCTGAGTGCTGCACAGTGCCTAAGCCAGTGCTGGGGTTCCCCTGGGCATGTAGAGTTAGAACTGAACATCAAACATCCTTAGATATAACTCATAAAATGACTGCCCCTGCTTGCTTTCCTTTAAGGCATTGTTAATGGAAATGCCAGAGCTCAGAAATTGAGCCCTGGGCCTGGCTTGTATCTGAGGTGGCTCAGAGCCAAGCTGTCCTCGCCTGGATGGGAGGCTGGCCCCCACCATTTAGGGCAGGGCAGGAGGCGGTCTGTCGATGATGACAGGGAAGGAGTGTCTGGATGGACATGCAGACTGCCTGACCTGACCTACTTGGCTACAGGAAATAGTACATTCCTTCTTGGTTCTTTTAAAAAAATATGATTAGAAACCCAATTTTAGTTAATGAAAGTGGCTGTTAAAGATAGTGCCTGAGTAGTATGTTAAATCTAGCCTGTAACTGTCAGATTTTGGTGTCTCTCATTTTCTCATAACAGATAAGGAAGGAAGCCTGGCTGACCACCTAAAATGCAGTTATTTTCCTGTCCCCAAAGTTCACTTCAACGAGGGGAATGGGAAGGGCAATGTCTTCCATAGGACCCTTTCCAGTCTCCTCCTGAGAGCTGTGTCTTCCCTGGGGCACACTCCAGGGCTGGCTCCTGCCCTCACAGCTGTGCTGTGTGGCTCTCCCTGCATGCATGCATGCCCAAGCTGGATTTCTCCAGAGGCCTTGGGCCGGGCAGAATCTAGTGTGTCCAGCTAGAAAGAGCCCCACAAAGATAAGGACATGGATAGATACTGCTGGATGTCCAGATGGTCGATAGCTGAGCCATTCCTTCATGGCTTTGTCAGTTTCCTAAACTGTCTCAGAAGCCAGTCCTCAGCCATAGTGGGGGGAAGGGGTGAATGGTTTTTCTCCTCACTGATGCTTCAACTTCAAGAGCTCCCTTTCTCCTCACAGTTCTTCCAGCTCCCGGGAGAAGGGTATGTGGATCAAAGGGAGAAAACCCATGGTACGTTATGCCCGCCTTGAATGGCTTGCGAGCTGGGGTTGCCATCTTGATCATTTGGGAGGTAAGGAGACTCATCACAGCCTCAGACTGCCTTCCTAACTCCTTCAAATAATACTGACTCTGACAAGGAAACTTAAATCATTTACCATTTACCATTAAGTCAGTGTTACCACTGACACATTAGACACATTAGAAATGTTTTTTCTGAAAATTTTAAAACCTCTGAAAAAAGGCTGCAAATCTTGGCTGAACACAAAGCAAAAGCATTTAGTTGACTCAGATTCACAGCACTGATTTCTTTTTTAAAACAATTCAACAATGTGTGTGAACATTGGGCAAAATCAGAGAGTAATGGCTATGATGACTCCTGAGACTTCAGTATGTGAAATACATCATTAACATCAATGGTCAGGCTCCTAAGCCTGGGCCATGCTTCCTGAGTAGCTTAGCAACCATGCCTTACAGGGCTGTAGCATGCACAATATCACCTTTCTCCACCCCAGCTTGCTTGCAATCTTCAAGCACTGGTTTCAGTGTCACAGATAGAAAAATGAGATTCATAGGACACAGGGTACCATATAGTCACCATTCTAAAGTACCCCTTTTGAAACATTTCCTAAAATCCAAGTCAAAATTAATGTCTATAATATTTTAAATGTGCTTTTTGTAAAAACTGTGTGTTAGTTTCATGATTTTTGCCTTTTTTACACTATATGCCATGATTTTCACCTGACAGTAATAGCCAATAAAAAGCCAGAAAGTAATGCTTCAAAATAATGCTCTAATGTATCAATGCTCACTCCGTCTCATGCTGCAGGGGTGTAGGATTCCAGAAAGGGCAGTTGGAACCCTAGTTTCTAACACTGGTGCTTAGGCTGACTTAAGATGCTGCTTTATTTTGGAAACATGGAGTTTATTCTGCTAAACAGTGTCTGCAGCACTAGATTTTTGGGTACCTCTTCCTGGATATGTGACTCTTGGATCATAAAGTCACAAGCACATTAAACAGGAAGGGCAGTTTCTTGGTAGCCTGGTGTTTTGTTTTCACCACTAAAAAGGGGGTGATATGGGAAAGAAGGCTAGGTGGTCTGTCTGGGTCTACATTCAGCCCCTCTTATGGCTGACCATTTTATACTGGGTGGCAGCTTAACCATTCCTTTCAAATTTTCCTTCCAAAAGTCAAGATAAGCACATTAATTTCACTGTTAAGCTAAGTTCACTGCTTTCATTCTCCATTTTTAAAAATAACATTAAATGATATGTTTGTAATTTATTATAGAGTATCAATACTTTTCTATGGCTTTTTGTATCCTCACCCTACCAACTCTGAGTAGGGAACAGTCATTATTAGCCAAAATTTTACTCTACTGTACTTTATTTTTATTCGTGTGATGCCTGGCCCTGAGACCAGATGTATCTGAAAAGGAAGAGTTGAGTTGCTGAGAGCTGACATGTTCCTGGCTCTTGGGAGAAGCTAGCAAGATGTCTGTGGTGTTTGCCCCCTCCCCTCCAGGGCTAACAAACAGAGCCCAGAGGAGGCCGTGATCCCATTTCTTTCAGAAGATCACAGCAACAAGAAGGGCATCTGCATTTTGCATGGACATTTTTACAGCCATATTTGCTGCTACTTTGGAAATATTTTAGTTCATCCAGCAAGGGAGGTATGAGGAATTCTGATCTGAGGCTGCCTTTGGAGTGGCTGGCAGGAGGTAACAAGAACATAGGCAGGGGAGAGGCCAGGGTGGGAGTGCCTAAGGGCAGAGTGGGGAAAAGAGGGAGAAGGTGACCCCAAGGGCTGAACTGCTCTGTATTTCAAATGGAAGTAATGTGGATGGGTCACGTTAACTTTCAATACATTACCCAAGGAATATGTTACAGGGGTGAAAGTAGACCCAGGCAGTTGTCTTCACTGCTGAGTCGAAATTTTTAAAGGAACAAAAAATATTTTAAAACAAAAACTTTCAAATCCCCAGACCTTAAGATGACAACTAGTGCTACTTTTTCTTTTGAAAAATGCATACAAAATACAAAGAATGGTTAAAAATGTAAACAGTAATGGTTATTTTCTGGAACACAGAGTCCACCACAGGAATTGCATCATGAGAGAGAGTGCAATTAGTGACAGAAAGAGGGAAAGGGGTAGGAGGAGAACTTGCAATGACGTGAGCGAGGGAACCGTGTCACTGTGATGCAAAAGAAATTGACAGTGAGGGTTTAAAAATGATGCAGCTTCAGATCCAAGTTTGTTACCACACTCAAACTAAACACAGATTAACTTGGAACGTCAAATTCATTCCTTTAATTCTTTAAGTATAGGATTAAAAAATTAAGAAGAGTTTAATTCTTTCTTCCCACCCCTTTTTGATGTCAATAAAGAAATATTAGTTAACTCTCATTCTCAGGTCTTAAAAGCCTTTGCATCATTTTTATTTTCAATAAAAGTGAATTGTCTTTTACAAAACCATGGCGTCCTGGCAAAGTTGCATCACTGGGGCGGCTGAAAATATATTGCCCATGGTTAAAACAAACAAACAATTAGCTGGAAGAGTCATCTGGTGGTTCAGTGAAGAAACCCAGTGCACCCATCAGTACAGTCTGAAAACAATCCCCTGTAGAGCCCTGAATCAGACCTGAGGCTCTACCGTTAGTGCCCCCCAGGACAAGCAGGCTGCCGGCTAGGTTGTTCACCTTCCACCACCAAGGCTTGACTTCTGCCTGATTCCCTGGCTGGTGCTATCTGATGACCAGTTTATCCCACAGAAGCAGCTCCTCCTCCAGACTAACCAAGGGTCCCCATCTCCCACAGGAGCTGCCTGCCCTCTTCTTTTTTACCACTGTCTCCCTTCCCCAGCTGCCAGGGTCCTCCCTCAGCATTGTGGCCTCCCCAGCATCTAGCCCTCCCTGAGGCCACTCCCAAAGCTCACAGCCCACTCTGTCTACCCACGAGGCTGGGAGTGGCCCCCGGGATCCCCCCAGCCTTCCAGTGGAAGTAGCCTGTGCCCACCTGTCCCTTGGGGCCCTCGAGTAGACTGAGGCCGCGCATCTGCCTACCTTCTGGCCAAGGAAGAGGCTCTTGGTGGAGAGGACTGTGAAGCCGTCGGCAGGTGTGCCCTCGGTTGTGCTGTCGGCGCTGGCTGCCTTACTGACTTCACCCTGCTTCTTCTTGCACAGACGGAAGGGTCAGAATGTGGGCCACACAGACACAGGCATCCTAATAGAGAGGCAGCTCCCAAGCCTCACCCATAACACCCAAGGGGAAACAGGAAACTAAACCACAACCAGTTCTCAGCGTTTCTCCAAGGGGGAGCTCAGACTCATTTTGAGGTACAAGAGTTCTGTGGAGTGTGTTAAGTTATATGTTAATCACTTTATGATCGTAAAAAAAAACCAGCCACTTAAAGGTAAAACTTCACTTTACAGTGATCATTTAGAATAGAACCATTTTCATAAATTCAGACCAAGTAAATGTCTCTTAATTAAGGATCTTTAAGTGTCTTTCCTTTCTAGATGTCTGTAATACTATTCAAGCTTAAGAAGAAAAACTGTTCTAGGTCACTAATTCTCAAAAAGCCGACTAAGGACTATAACCCTCTAACCTTCCTGACTCCAGAAGGTCAGACTCGCTTCCACCCTTCCTTCCTTAAAGCCAGTGTTAGAGAAGGACGCATGTGGTGGCTGTGATGAACCATCTGTCTCCCTGCAGACCCCTTGACCCATGGTTCTTGGCTTGGTCTTCAGCTTCTTCCTCAGCATTATTAAGACTGAAATATGTATGCCCTGGAGTTCCCAAGGAACTTCTGAGAGAGGTACATGACATGGAGAGTTTAAGAAAACAACTTTCCGATCCTCTACTTCCTAACATTTTCCTACAACTGATCTGCCGTAAGAAGTACACCTGTGGTCAAGGTGCCACGCCAGAGCTCCTTTCATAACTACCCTCCTCCCACTTCCCAGAGTAAATACTAATATGGCACACCACTGTGGGAGTAGGGATGCGTGTTTTTGGCATATTTCTATTAAGGACAAAGCCTGTATTAGAAATGGATACTTTGGCTAATTTGGAGATTTTCTGCATTCAAATAAATTGTAGAGTAAGGATAGTGAGAACAACATTGGTTTTCATTTAGACACTTCACCTTTCCCTTCCCCAAATTATTAATAAAAAGTACTTCACTCCTGAGGGAGGGTCTAGTGGGAGAAAATCCAGAAAGAAGGGGTGAGAAATATTACAGATGGCCATGCTTTCCTGAAGGATAAATCTGAATAAACTCTGGGCAAGGCCTGTGTCCTATCCATTTGCCTATTTAGGATTCAAATTCATTAACAGGAGCATATTAACATTTTTTACTTACAATGAAAAGTAAGGTCTACTTTTGCTAATGGCTTTTAACAATAAGGGCTGCTTTAGCAATTAGGTTATATGGCAAACATTTTTTCTAAATTTAGTGAGCTAAATCTCAAGTTCCAAGGTTATGCTATAAGTAAGAGAAAAAGCACTTTATCAAGAAATATAGTACTGGCAAATATACATTACAAATTATCACTATTTTGATTTTCCTACTGAGTGTTTAACATTTGATGAGTGAAAGAGAAACAGGTATAATCAACAATTATATGGTAAATCTTAGTGAAGCCCTTTTTGATATACTTTTCAGGAGCCAAGAATAGGAAAGGCTGCATAACAGACTTTCACAAGTCAGGTGTTTTTAATCCTGTGCTTTCAACAAAACTGAAGCAATACCTAATTGAGTTAACAGCTGATAGATCTTCAGAAAATAGACTGGTGAAGTTAACAGTAATGGACCAGTGTTGATTTCCTTGTTGTGACCATGTGTACCACGGTTATGTGAGATGTTAACAATGGGGAAACTGGGTGAGGGATATTCAAGAACTCTCTGTACTATCTTTGTAACGCTATGTAAATCTAACACTATTCTAAAATGTTTATTAAAACAAATTGATGAGATTACACTATGTATTGTTGGCATATATCAAAGAGTTCAGAGGACTGAATGATGTTGCTATAACAAAACCCTTTCCATTTCAATTTTTTTTAGTGAACAAGATTTTCCAGACATTCATACCTAGAAATATATAAAAATAGGATGCTAAGCCCTGTTTCATTTCAACAATAAGTAATATTCATCTGAGGATACCTGAACTAGTTAGGGGGAAAAAATCCACCCAGCCCATTACAAGATGTTTTTCCAATAAAATTTTACCTTTTCCTTAACAGTTATTAGAATTTGTAATGCATTTGTCAGTTTGATCAATTGTATATTATTAATAAATGTGCTAACTATCCAATCTTGTAGAATCTACTACTTAATGCTTTTATAAAAGTCAAAAAACACTTTTTCAAAATTGAAATTTATATACATTATTTTTGTTGCAGAACTAAAAAATAGAATAGAAATGTGTTACATTAAGATGAAAGTTTGTGGGGCAAGCAAAAGAGAAATAAGGAGAAAATAATGTAAATTTTCCAACTGTTAAAAACAGTCACAGGACATAAAAGTGATAGTACTCTGAAGTTTGAACTCTGAAGTTCTGTATTTGGGTCCTGGCTCCCCCAACAGCATGACCCGAAAACTGCTCCCTTTCCCTAAGCCTTAGATTCCTTATTTGGAAAATAAGACTGGGTCTGGGAGTGGTGGCTCATGCCTGTAATCCCAACACTTTGTGGGGGGCCAAGGCAGGAGGATGCCAGCCTGGGCAACACAGCAAAACCCCACTGCTACCAAAAATACAAAAAAAAAAAGAAAGAAAGAAAATGAGACTAAGACTGGAGAGTTCCTGATTAAACGACTGGCCTTAGAAAGTAGTAAAGCACTCCAGAGACAAGCCATCACTGCCTGGTCCTATATAGCCTGCCCACTTGGCAAAAAACTTCTGCCTTTTCCCTTCAAGGTACCCACCCAACGGGACAACAGGGCAGGTGCTTAAGGTCGTTACAGTTGCTTGTGAGGTGTTAACACATTCAAATCATAGCAACTATGCCCAAGTTTTTCATAAAGCCTATTGTCTGAAATCATGTCTCTTCCTAATGTTTTGGTATTAAAATGCCCTTTCTTATGGCTGCATAGTATTCCATGGTGTATATGTGCCATATTTTCTTAATCCAGTCTATCATTGATGGAAATTTGGGTTGGTTCCGAGTCTGCTATTGTGAATAGTGCTGCAATAAACATATGTGTGCATGTGTCTTTATAGTAGCATGATTTATAACCCTTTGGGTATATACCCAGTAATGGGATGGCTGGGTCAAATGGTATTTCTAGTTCTAGATCCTTGAGGAATCGCCACACTGTCTTCCACAATGGTTGAACTAGTTTACACTCTCACCAACAGTGTAAAAGCATTATTTCTCCACATCCTCTTCAGCACCTGTTGTTTCCTGACTTTTTAATGATCACCATTCTAACTGGTGTGAGATGGTATCTCATTGTGGTTTTGATTTGCATTTCTCTGATGACCAGTGATGATGAGCATTTTTTCATGTGTCTGTTGGCTGCATAAATGTCTTCATTTGAGAAGTGTCTGTTCATATCCTTTGCCCACTTTTTGATGGGGTTGATTTTTTCTTGTAAATTTAAGTTCTTTGTAGATTCTGGATATTAGCCCTTTGTCAGATGGCCTTTGTAGGGACATGGATGAAACTGGAAACCATCATTCTCAGCAAACTATCACAAGGACAGAAAACCAAACACCGCATGTTCTCACTCATAGGTGGGAATTGAATAATGAGAACACTTAGACACAGGGCGGGGAACATCACACACCAGGGCCTGTGGGAGGGTGTGGGGCTGGGGGAAGGATAGCATTAGGAGAAATACCTAATGTAAATGACGAGTTAATGGGTGCAGCAAACCAACATGGCACATGTATACATACGTAACACACCTGCACATTGTGCACATGTATACATATGTAACACACCTGCACATTGTGCACATGTACCCTAGAACTTAAAGTATAATAAAAAAAAATGCCCTTTCTTCTATGAAATGGAATCTACTAAGTGGTAGATTATTTTCATATCTCAGTTTGGGGGAAATAAAAGTTAGCAAGCAATTCTGTCAGCTCCAGAAAGACTGTTATAATTTTATATTGTCCTACAAACCCATAAATTTCCATGTATTGGACACTCGCCCAGCTTTGTTCTGAGCAGCAGAAAACCTGTTAGGTCAGAGTCAGCTGGGAGACATTTAAGAAACTGTAGAACTGAGCATCCAGAAAGACTTATGTAAAATCATCACCCCATGTTTACCTATGTTTAGTCTCTTATTCTAATGTTTGAACAACCTAAAATTTCAATAGAAGGCCAGCAAATTTTTCTAATAGTAGCTTCTCAAACGAACCAATTCCTTTCTCTGGCTTCCCTTACCAGAACGTTAATCACTCAATTTGCAGTTTAAATATTTATTCCTCAACAAGAGAAAGAGGCACTCTACTAAAATCACCTTGGGCTTTTGCCAGGTGGTAAGGAGCAAGCCTATATTTATGATCTAGGAGGGTAGTTTTCACATGGGGATAGGGTGAGGTTTGTTGATGGTTTGTGTTTGAAAAAATCCCTGGTGAGATCATTATTTATCCAAAAGTTTGGCAAAAACTGGCTTCTTAGAGATCCCCTGAAAGTTATCCTATGATTCTTAGCGTACATCTGATGGATCTTAACCTGAGGGACAAAATTAGGCATAGTTTCCTTTGAATTTTAGGTATTTTATTTTATGCATTTGGAATCTTTATCTTGAGTAAGGGTCCCCAGGCTTCCCTCACTGCCAAAAGTATCCATGTTACAAAAACGTTAGGGATTCCACAGGCAAGTCCTATCACGTTCTCTTAAGAGGGGCCAGGCATGCTCCCACCTCAGGCCTACTTGCCATTCCTCTGCCAGGAGCTCTCTGCCCCCAGTCACTTCAATGGCCAAATACCTTACTCTGCTGGGGCTCTGCTCCAGTATCATGAGAGTAACCTCACCTCACTGCCTATGTAAAATAATACTGGCTCTGCCATCACGCCACTTTATTTTTGTCATAGCAGCTACTCCCTCCTGCCTTCTGTAATGAATCTGCACCTCCTCCCTGAACACTGAGGGAAGGCAGGGACTTTGTTCTCTGCCACATCTCCACTACTGAGAATAGTAACTAGTGCATACAGACTAGATACAAATTGGTCTAATGAATATTCATTTTTTAAAAACTCAGTATTAAATGTTAAAAAGATGAGGCAGTTTTTGAGATTAATGTAGTTAAAATGCCCTAAAAGTGAGTAATAGCCAAAGCTAAAAATATACTCACTCTTTGCCTCAGTAAGTTCACTTTGAGGACTTTATCCTATACATTTACTTGCATGTGAGGACAGAGATCCACAAACAATGACAGTTACTGTTTGTCAGAATGAACGCTACAACAATCTAAAAGTCCACTTGTAGAAGGGTGATGATATGGTTTGGCTCTGTGCCCCCCACCCAAATCTCACCTCAAATTGTAATCCCCATAATCCCCATGTGTCAAGGGTGAGACCAGGTGGAGGTAACTGGATCATGGTGGATGGTTTCCCCTGTGCTGTTCCCATGACAGTGAATGAGTTCTCATGAAATTTGATGGTTTTATAAGTGTCTGGCATTTCCACTGCTTGCTCCTGTCTCTCCTGCTGTCCTGTGAAGAGGTGCCTTTTGCCATGATTCTAAGTTTCCTGAGGCTTTCCCAGCCATGTGGAACTGTGACTCAATTAAACTGCTTTTCTTTATAAATTGCTGTCTTGGGCCTTTCTTCACAGCAGCGTAAGAATGGACTAATTCAGCTGGCTACACTGTTTTTATATATCACATAAGTGACCAGTCATCCTATGCAACACTAAAGCAGCTCTACATGCAGAGACATGGAAGGACTGCCCAGAATATGACAGGGGCAGTGAACACAGGTGCCAGACATGGTTCTATGCACTTCCATGAATTCTGTTAAGCCTCACAACCACTTGTGTTACATCTCCTTTTTAAAGATGAGGAAACTGAACACCAGAGATGTTCTGCAACCTGCCAAGATCATGCAGCTAGGAAATAGCTAACCCCAGAGCCTGCACCCCTAATCACTATGCCACACTGCTAAAATAGGGGGCTCATACGATTTTTATTTAAAAAAAAAAAAAAGAGCAAGTAGGATGGGGAGGGATTTACATCTCTATATGCTTTTATATGCACAGACTTTCTGAAAGGAGACATAAAAACTCACTGAGTGTGCCCTGGGGAGAAGTAGGGTGAGGGACTACAGTGGGAGCAAAATTTTTTTTACTGCATACTCTTTTGTCCAAACTCATACATGTGCCCTACTCAAAAACATTATGTAATATGCATACGGTTACTGAATTGTAAGGCTGGAATGGACCTGATCATTTTATAGATGGAGGTAAATTGAGGCATAGAGAGGGAACAGACTTGCCTGAAGCCACCCAAGTAGAGAGGAGCCCTAGTGTACAGTCAGGCTCTGGACACCCAGCCCCTGGTGCAGTTTGTTGCCTTCTCCAACCATTTCCACTACAGCTGACTCAGCTGTCACAATTGGAGATTTTCAAAACCTCCAAATTATGTAGAATTGTGGGAAAAATTATGATTTGGAATTCAAGTGTTGACACCTGAAAAATACCAACTCTCACTACAAGTGCTTTAGCATGTTACTAAGGCTTTCTCTGCATGTCCCTGGAAAGGTTATTTTCAGAACATTCCACTTAAACCTAGAGATGCAGGCTTTTCTGCTGTTTCTGGGAGCTGACACCACAATTTACATTAAACAAATGTTTTGAAAATTAGCTGTTCACGGTTCCAATTTCAGCTTCCCCCAGGGTTTAATGTTAGCCAAATACTGGTACAGTAAGTAGACAATGTGTTTTATTGTGTGGAAGAAAAACAGACCACCATAACAGGCTTCCTGCTTTTGTAATCAAGGGAAATTTGAGTGGTCGAGTGATTATTGGCATATGGTTATTAGAAACACTAAGTTCCAAATATAGCTACTAGGAGCTAAAGACACCCCCACTCCAAATACTTCAAGTCCAAAAAGTAAGATGAATTCCTAGTGTTTACTAAATTGGAAAGTTCAGAAAGTCATAGAACAAAAACTACTAGGGGAAGACTAGAGTAACAGGAACAAGATTCAGCCCAGGTTTGCCAGCAGACACTGGCATCTGAGAGACCCACTCAAGTATCAACAGTGAACGCATGAAGGAGGGTGATGGCTCAGGACACAGCCAGGGCAAAGGCTAAGCTGAGGACGTGGTCCTGCCCCTGCTGGTCCTCAGCACCAAGGGCCCTGCTCTGTGGGCAGCCAGGTCTCTGGGGCTCATAATCAAAAGATGATAGATTCAGTATCTTCGTTGCCTTTTTAACATTTAGAAAGGGTTGCACAAGCACTTTCCTCCTGCCTTCCCTTCCCCGCCCTCCTCCCAAATGCATATGTTGAAAGGGAAAAAGAAACTTTCCAATCTGCTAATTCTATAGTTAGCAGGAATGAGCAGTGGCGCATTCTGTGAAATCCCTGCCTGGCCTCAAGCCTCTTCCAGGACTTGTGAGCTAGATGGAATGCAAGTGTCTGGAAATAACTTATAGGACACTCCTCAATATTGGGTTTCTCTCTCAAAGAGCTGGGAGTGATTCTGGGCCTAAGGGTGGGTGGCATGTTGGCAAGAGGAATTTAGATTTTGTGCATGCAAAGAAATACAGCCTCTTTCACCTCAACTAAAAGCCACAAACAGTGTGGATGCAAGAAGGTTGGGGTTCACAGAAGATGTCCCTGCATGCGGGTGAAAGCCAGTCTGCCTGAGGCACAGGCAGGCTCAAAGGAGAGGACATGCTGACAGGACAGGAGGAGCTCTGTTCACCTGGTCACAGCTCCTTGAGCCTGTCCTGGGAAGGTGTCCTCACTGTCTCACTCAGGTGAGAGGATTTGGGCTCATGTAGGAAGAACTTCCTGACACTGCATCATTAGATTCCACAGATGCATTTCCAGGACTTCTTATTGAGGGTCTTGCAAAATACAGAGGTCACCTTCTGCCATGGGTAATTTCCTCCTGATCTGGCTGGAGGCCAGAAGGAGGACTCCTTAAGGGGTACCTCAGAGCAGGGCAGCCTCAAGATTCCATTTTCTTAGAGACCAAGATTTGGTGGCACTGTCCATTGTTTGTTGGCTCTGGAGGCTGTGACAACTGCTGACAAGTAGGACTGGGCAAAGAAGGAACAAAGAAAATGTATCCCAGTTGCCTTGTAGTCTCCAGCTCATGCTCAGACAGGTGAGCACAGCAATCACAGGCCTGGACCTCCGGAGGGTGCTCCTCCACACTGAGGATCATGACCTGGAGTCTGCTGGCCTTCTCCACCCAAGATGACATTAGATAACACTAATGAGAGGGTTTCCAGCACCTAGGACCCAGCCAATCCAAGTTAGGCCCAGGAAGAAGCACCTGAGTAATACATCCATTTTCCTCCTTGACAGAGGCAACCATTCTGGAGTGAACTGTCTAGAGCGCCCTGATGGAAGACATGCAGCCATGGCAACATGAGAGTTCTGCAACTGAGCATCAGGGCATGCAGGTAGCTGGCCACAGGACTAGACAGTGGCTGTCCCCTAACACAGGGAAGCCCCCTTCCCACAGGTGTGTGCATCTCCCTGGAAGGGCCAGCTTGGGAGTCCTTCCAGCTTGACACTATCCCTGAAAGCCCACCACCCATCCCCCTTGCCTACAGAGGTTCTGTCCTTCAACTGGGTCCAGACTCTGGGAGGGCCTCCTGACTCTGGCTACTTGTGTTGGACTAGCCCCTCTGGAGAGTAATCAGCTCCTACATGTTCCTCCTTTATTCTCCCATCAGTGGGATGAGCCCACAGGGGGAATGAGGGGGGTGCCCTGGTAACCCTGTTTATCCGTACCCCATCCTATCCCACTTCATACATTCTGGCCAAATCACATACCTTGGATTTCCGGGCCCCTTTCTTGCCTCCTGCTTTTTTAGATACAGGCTTCTTCTGGGATGGAGACTTGGCCTTTTTGGCTGGGGGTGGTGTGATGATGGCTTCCAACTTTCCTTTGGATCCCCGCTTCTTCGCTAGCAACTCGGGGTGGATGTTGGGTAACACACCCCCACTGGCTATGGTGACTCCTTTTAGCAGCTTTCAGGAAAACCAGAATAGCAGATAGTGAGCCAGATACCCTGCTTCTAACCTTCAAGAAGCCAGCCCTGCCCAGGACAGTCTTGCTTTGGGTTGGTGCAGCTCCTTCCTCCATGGCATCCTCCATGAGGATGCTGCCAGGACTCAAGCTCACTGCTCAGGGATCCAGTCCCCAGAGTCCCTCACTCAAATGGAATTTAGATCATCTCTCTCCTTTCGGGAGAGCCAAATACCTTGTATTATCCTGCTTCCCCCAACACTCCCAATAAGGCCTTGGGGAAAAACTGCCATGGGAGGCAGAGAAGCTGCTAATTAATCCAAAAGGCAGTCCACACCTTTCATAACCAGCCAACACCAAAGCCTCTCAGCTATGTTTCTTGGGCAGTATGACCACCTGCTCAAACATCAGTGGGAGATGGGAGAGGCCCATACCTGATTCAGCTCTTCATCATTGGCCACAGCCAGCAGGATGTGCCGGGGTGTGACCCGTCCCTTCTTGTTGTCTCTCGCTGCATTGCCAGCCAGCTCCAGAATCTCCGCTGTGGGGAGCAGAGATGAGTGTATGGTCATGTTAGAGGACCATGTGTCCCCGCCCCGGTCCCCACATTCACAGTGCCAGGAATGGGCAGAGGCAGCTGCTTCAGGAAGCAGCTACCCTGAGGTGAAAAGCTGTGGGCAGAGTCACAGAGGTGCTGAATGGCAAAGCTGAGTGGGACCTAGGAAGCCCCAGGTCCAATGCCCTTGTTTGGGAGATGAAGGAACTGAAGCTGAGGGAGAAGGGACCAGCTGAAGATCACTGAGTGAGTGAGTGGGAGGGCTGAGATCTGAACCCAGTTCCAGCTCTCATTTCCCAGAAAGGGTGCTTGCAGTTAGCACTGCAGATGTCACCAGGGCCAAACCCAAAGTCCTCAGTGTGGTCCCTGAGAGTATACCATGCCTGCTTAGAGTTTCAAGGACAGGATGGCTTGCTATTGAGGAGGCCTGTTAAATCTTTGTTGATTACATCAATGCTGAATGCCTGCACATCTGGATGCAAAACTGGAAGGATGTGACTGGATTCTTTACAAAGTCAACATCACAAATACATTTTTTAAAGTGTGTGTGTGTGGGGGGAGGTTGTTGTAGATTCAAAAGGTGAAAAAGATGTAAAAGCCAAATATAATGTGTCACTCCTTGATGAAATTCTGATTCTTTTAATAAAAGCTAGGAAAGTCATTTTGGAGACAACTGAAGAGCTCTGAATGTGGACTGGGTATCAGACACACGGGATTATTTTCTTAAGTGTAATAATGGTATTGCCATTCTGTAGGGAGCATCCTTGTTCTTAGGAGATACATGCTGATGTATTTAGGGGTGAAGCATCTTGATGCCTACAACTTGCCCTCCATTCTGAAAAAGCTCTAAGGAATAAAGCAAATATGGCAAAATGTTAACAGTTGTTAAATCTAGGTATATGATTATAAGAACATTCCTCTTTCAAGGAAATTCTGTCATTTGCAACAACATGGATAAACCTGGAGGACATTATGCTAAGTGAAATAAGCCAGGCACAGAAGGACAAATATAGCATGAATTCATTTCTATGTGGAATCAGGGACTGGGGGTGGGGTCGGGGCGAATGTTGGTCAAAGGACATAAAGTTTCAGTTAGAAGAAGTTTTAATGATCTATTGTGCAGAATAGTAACTATAGTTAACAATCATGTATATTTAAAAATTGCTAAAATAATAGATTTTAAAAGTTCTTAACACAAGGAAACAAATATGTAAGGTGATGAAATCAGTGTATTCTTGACATTCTGTATGTTTGAAATTTTTCAAAATAAAATGTATGCAAGAAAATAAAAACTAGAAGGGCTATGAGCATAACCCATAGTTAGTACTAAGTTAAGAGCTGATTTACCTGCCATCTGGGCACAGTCTCACAAGACAAGACAGGTTTTCCACAGCACCAAAGATGGTGGGAACTAGGAAGTACCCTTTGGCAAAACCTGGTTTTCTCCTTGGCATTACAGTTCTCTTGGTAACCTGTCAACCTCATCACTGTCTCCTTGTTTTCTTAGTGAGGCATACGGATAGACCCAGAATGGATCTTATATTCTCCACTTCTGCAATTCTGCCCACACTGGGATGTCATTCTAGGCTACCCTTCTGGGCCCAACTCAAATCTGACCTCCTCCCAGTACTAAAGAATTTCTAATATTTAGTTATGTTGTAAACACTAGATTTCTCCAGCAACACCAGCACTCAGAATCATTATGAAATAACTAGGAAGAAAATTCTAGCTGCATAAAAATCGTGTGTTAAAAATTTACGGTATGACACAGGGCATGCATTTTTAAGAGGTACTAACAGCTCCACCCAATGCAAATAACCTGCTGTATGTGTGTAAAGCTGAAAAATTGCTTGGCTACTCAAGGAAACTCTCATATTAGCTTTGGGGGCAGGGGCGGGAGGAGATCAGACACACTTGAAATAGCAGGTTTCCCCCTAAATCCAAGGCAGGAATTCCTTTGCTCAGTAATCACCATACTGATGACACACAACTCTGTGCTTGGCAGGAGGGACCCAAGGCACCAGGAGGCCCCTGTCTTCTCAGTGTTCCCAGGCCTGCAGGGCTACACATGCCAGTGATACAGAGAGTGATAAAGAATGCCACAGGGTCCCTTACCTGGGCTTTATACATGTGAGAGCCACAAAACTAAGGCAGGGTGGAAGGCAAGATAGCCAGTGCTTACATGGAATCTGGTGGAGGGGCTCACATTTCCCACTTTCACCCATCAGTCTCCACAACGCTATTCCCTTCCCTGTACCAGTGTCAGCACAGTTTAGTTTACCAGTGGAGGAGGGAGATGGCCACCCAGCATTTTCACTGAAGCTTCCCTATCATTGATCGTGGTAGTGTCCCAATGCCCAGCAGTGATGGGCCCACCTTGGCCAAGCCAAAAAGGTGCCTGTGATGCCTATGTGACCTTGGGCCCTGGGTACTGTGAATGCAGAAGCGCCTGCCTGGCCAGCCCAGCTTGGCCTTCATTCTCCTGTGTTCATGGGCGGGAGAGCACATCCGTAATGCCACTGTCCTGCCCACGGCCCAAGAGGATGCCAAACCAAGAGTCTAAGCCCAACAAGAACACAGAGCCTGGGAGCAATGGAACATGAAGGAGAGTCAGCCACGATGGGTGCTGGGCAGAATCCTCACGGCAGGAAGGCCTGAGAGGCATATCAAGCACCACTGAGCTGTAGCCCACTTTGCTGGCTTCCCCTCCCTTCCACAACCTTCCCCTTTTGGAGGCCACAACGAAGTTTTGGGCCATCGGTATCTGCAGAGCCAGAATATACAGGAGGAGGCTGATGGATTACAATCTTCTGACCATAATGTGCCAAGAATGCTTTATCTGCCCCCTCATTAACAGAGAGGAAGGGAGGCAGAAGGAGAATGCCCACAGTGGTGACCTGTTTTGCTAAGTCCTAAGCCCAACCCTTTGGCAAGAAAATCGTTTGAAGGTACAGTTTCTCAGGAAAGTGGAGGTGGCCTGTTTCCTCTTCCTGCCCAAAACGTTGGAGGAAGGCCCTCCCTGAGAGAAGGCTCAGTGGCCGTTGGTGGTCGGGGAGGAGGGGAGGGATGTGGTCTATATTTTCTGCAGTGCTGCCTTCACTTTTTTTTTGTGCAGGAAAAATGAGAATGATGGATAAAAAGACCTGAAGAGTGTGGTTGGGCCCCTGACTTGGGTGAGGGCAGGTAGTATGTAAAGAACAGAAAGCAACAGAGTAGCCCAGAAGTAAGCACATCGGGTTGAGAAACCTGAAAATGGATTCTCCAGGAGCTAGAGGACATTATCCCTGGCTTCGCAAGCTTTACCCCTTTATGCTCTTACTTTGTGACTGAAAAGTTCAGTAGCCTCAGTTTCTCCATTAGAGAAACTTGAAGGACCATGCTTATGTTTTGCTATTCAACTGGGAATCAGGGATGCCACACTGGACCAACCTGTAAGTGACAGTGAGTAGCAAGGTGGATAAGGAGGGGCAGAAGGAGGAGCATCTCAGCTCCTTAGAAAGAGCTGGGCAGGGATGTCATTCTGTTGCCTTCTTTACCAAGGAGCCCCAGAATCCAAGACTCTTCCTTTTTGCAAAACCCCAGCTCATCTTTTATCTGCACAAGCCAAAATTACTGCCTCTCCATACTCCTACCACCATAGGGTGGGCCCTCAGCCCTGTGGGTAGGGAGGAGGGAGCTGTGTCAAGTAGGGATAACAAAGAGGGGCACAGATCCACCTTCCAGCTAGTTAAGCAAGAGCTTTATCTTCTGTTTACTCTTGCATTTTTTTCAGATGGATAGTTACCATAGTAACCCCATCGTTAAGGGACACACAAGACAGAGCACCTCAGAAACACACCTTTTATGAGAAGTATATTCAGTGTCCCACCCCTCTCCTGTGCTGCAGCAGCAGAGGGCCGGGGCATTTCACCATGGCCAGGGAAAATGGAGGGTGCCCGACTTAACAAAAGCAGTAACCCAGAATACACACTCATCCCCTGCCAACCATCAGTAATACTCACCCTCTCATCCTTAGTCCAGGTTTAGAAAAAGCCATCGTAAAGGGCTTTCCTGGCTAAGAAAGAGTTGCCTGCTGCAGAGACAGCAGAGGTGCAAAATGCCAGCAACTCAACAAGATGGAACGGTTCCCATCTGCTCTCCAGGGCATGTTCCTATTCAGGGGGGAGCGGAGAGGGTGACTGACTGCTGAGGAATTGGGACAGGGCACACGTCACCAAAGGAGATGTCCTGATGTAGTTTTCTTCCCTGTAAGTGATCCTCTGCTTTGCAATAATATGGAGGGCAAAGTCATGGAGGCCCCAGGCTCAGGGCTGTACAGCAATGCCTGCCTGCCCCCCATGCACACTGGGATGGCCCTCACATTCCCACCAGCAAGGAGGGCTTTCTCCTAGGCTAGAACAGAGCCAACTTAAGCCTCTGCCTCAAAGTGAATGGAGCCGATGCCTTCCTACAAGGGGGAGGGTGGGTTCTTGCACTCAATTCATTTCATGTTTTGGAAGGTTTTGTGAGTCTCTGTTTTGTCTGTGGCTGGTCTAAAAGAAAAGCGATTCTGAGAAAGATAACCAGGAAAACACCAGATCTATGGACACAAAAATCCTTTTCTCCAGAGTTTCCAGAGCTCAGCCCTTGGATTCTCTCTTGAAGGAAATTTTCAGGAGCCACAGCCTGGAGGCTGTAACCAAAATAAATGGAATCCATAAGAAACCACAGGAAGAAACGGAAAAGAACAATTAGGAGAAGAAACAGAACCCCTTACCAGGTTCTCCACCCCATCAAGCCAAGTATTCTCAGTCGGTGACAGTCTAAGTTTTGTTACCAATGACCAATACTAGACTGATTTGGGGCCCAAGGCGCTTAGGGTCTGCTCTGAAGAGGACTGTAAGTGTGGTAAAGTTCCCAATTATAAATGGTGCAAAGGGAACAAGTTGAATGGTGAGCAAACTGGCCAGCTCATTAACTCTTCTAAGATTTTTGTTTTTCAAAACACATAAGCCTCTGGTTCTCACTCCTGGCCAGGGCCAGTCTCTGGCAACTAGTGAGTGGCTGGCACCATCATCTGTAGTGGCCTAGATGATGCAACCATATTCCCTCTCCTCAGAGCTGCAAGCCCTGCAGGGACATCCTGGGCCAAACGTTCCCCAGCTTCATTGAACATGACTGTTTTAAGGCCGCTTGACAAAATTCCCACATCCTTGGATAACAGCATGGTTTGGCAGCCTTTTTGACTACAGACCAGCCGTCTGAACATGAATACCTTTGACAGGTCTACTTTGCAAGTCCACCCAGAGACGAAAGGCTTAGGGTCCTTTTTCTTTTTTCCAAATGTCTTGAACTAAAACATATCTGTTGTATTGAAGCATTTTGTCTATCTTCCTTCAGCAAGATGAAGTCATGGTTTGCAGAATTAGACTCCTAACAGCTAACAGGTGATGTGTTGAGGCTGAGCCAAACTCTAAACACAACCCTTGCAATAGGAAAGAGTCAGGGGCTTTAACGGAGCTGTCTGAAGCTCTGTAAAACAGAGCTCATTTAACAAAAGAAATACTGAAAATAACAACCAGAAATCAAAGAAAAGCAAATGTTCACGTAATCCCAAGGAGAAAACATGTTTGCTACAAGGCCAACAACATGACAAGGAATCTGTTTATTGTATTTCTTTCGATTCATCATCCTTCCATCAGCAGTCCTTTGAGTTCAGAACTGTTTTACACCATCCCAGAAGGCCTTAACCCAATCAACCCCAATCGGAAGGTGACTGCTAAGAGCTTCCTGCATTCTGACCACACCACAACCTCCTCCAATTCCCTTGGTGGCTCTGAGTGTTTGCAGCCGCATCCCAGAATCCATTGCCCCCATCCCACCTTTTCAGGAGGTTGAGTGGCAGGGTCTGAAGCTTGCCCAGCCATCAGCTGGGAGCTCTGGGCCACAGCAAAGCTCTCCATCTGCTTGTCCCAGGGGCCTCAAAGGAACCAGAATTCCATAGAGAAAATAAAACCTACAGCAGTGATTGAAAGTAGTATTCCAAAGATGGTTCCAAGCCTGACACAAACTCCTCTACTGTTGTTAAGCCCACTGCAGACTCCTCCGAAAAGTCCAGGAGGAGCCAGGGGTCTCAGAGACAGCATTTGGTCCAGTCTTCTGCCTTCCCACAAAGTCTCCCAATAAGATGGAAATGCAGCTTAATTTGGGAATCTGTAAAGTAAGTTCCACTGACTGGAACTTTCAGCCCTATTTCAAAGTAAAAAATAAATAAGTTTACATTATACATAATAACACAGGGGAGCTATGATTCTTAGCAAACATTACCTTAATCTAACCCACCAACCCAACTCAGTGCCCGAATATCTTCCTTGTCAGGAAGTTTTCCTCTGCCTTCCTCACCTCTGGTGCTGTTTCAGCTGCCCGCTCTGTCTGCAGGGGAGGGCAGCAATCGCAAATGGCACTGTGGTGAGAGCCCGGGGTCTGCTGACAGACCGTCGGGGTTTGGATCCCAGCTCCTGTAATTATCTGTAAGATGTGGCCAAGTGCATCTAAGCCTCAGTTTCCTATTCTGTACAGGGGGAGTGATACCTGAGGTTACCTCTAGGCTTATGAGATTAATGAGTTACCAAGTAAAATGCTTAGTATACTCAGTAAATTCAAGCTACTACTGTTGAGGCTACAACTGCACTGTTAAAAAAGTGCGACAAGCTTGATTACCAGGAGAAAACTGCACTTCCTTTGCCTCGATTTCCTCTATCTATAACTGGATGATTTCGATGGATGGATTTGTGCCAAAAGGAGGAAAAAAGCAACAGAAAACCTGGTGTTTCCTCTGCCAATAGTTTACTCTTTGCTGTTATGCTTAACAGTTAACATATGTTTGAAAAATGCACTTGAACTCGATTAACCTCGGTGCTGCCAGACCTGCCTTGATGGAACACAGCACCCAGGGCGCCCCCACAGGCATCTCTACCTTGGAATGAGGTCTGGGGCTTTTGTCTGACCACAGCAGAGCGTGCAGAGCCAGTGGCTCAGGCAGTAGAAGTCAAGGCCCTGGGAAGGAGAAGGTGCCTGGGGAGGCCCTGAGAAACCTGTTCTACTCCAAGGCCTGGCTGGCAGCTGGGCAGGACCTCTGACCCACCAATCACTTGCTGTCAAGGACTCTCAATTAAGTTACAAGGAAATGGTTAATATGTATGTTTGTTTTGATAGGGAAAACCACAGCCATTTGTTCTTAATTCATCTCAGGAAGGGGTGAACAATCAGCGATGTCTGCTGAAATGAAATGATTTGAAGAGTATAATGTAAAGAGGAAACTCATTTAAGGAGCCCTGTCATGGTACGGTTTCCCAGATGGACTCAAAGCGAAAGAGCGAGGAGCAGAACAGTGAGTTTCGTGGGCTGCACTGTGTTGGGGGAGGAGGCGACGTCTGCAATCGGGCTACACATGTTCATCAAGACAGGGGAGCAGCTTCGCCCACTGGGAGCAGAATCAGGGACTTGGTCAGAGGGAGACGTTTTGCTCTACTCCCTTTTGTGCTGTTTGAATTTATCTTCTGCATATTTTCCTTTCAAAATGAAAATAATTATAACACTGGATAGATGAGAAGCTGCAGGCACTTCTGCTATCGGCTGCCCCAGCTGGCCTTTGGTACCACAGGTCACAAGCCCCCTTACCCTCAGACACTCTGTCCCAGCCTGCTTAATCCTGCTTCTCCCAAAAAATGGTTCTGAGCATGCGAAGACTTTCTAGGTTCTTTTTTCATGGCTGTTTTTAGAGCAGTGTGAGTGTGTCATAGAAAGGGAGGCCCCTGAGAGGGCACTATAGCTCCTGAGGTCTTTACCAGCCTGGCCTCTGTGCTGTCTGCCGGTGTGGATTCCCGATGCTGAGGACTGCTTGTCTAAGGATTTGCCTAAGCTCCAACACCTAGGATTCCACCTCCTCTTCGCTAAGGGGACAATGAAAGGACATTGGCCAAAAAGCTTCCCACTCTCCAGCCCTCCTCAGTGCCACTGAGTGACACAAGCTCCCCATACCTGACTGGGCACTGCCCTCTCCGACGCCTGCTGTGGCTCCTCAGGGCAGCTCTCTGCCCAGTACCTCGCTTGCTCTGCCACTGCTACAGCAGCAGCTCTAACATGCACCAGACCGCCCCTTCCCGGCGGGCCAGCACATGTCACTCCAGGGGACTTCGCCCCTCCTGTGCTCACACCCACCTCCTGCCTGTGCGCTCTAGACTTTCCTCATCCCTGTCCAGGGCTGCCTATCCTTCAAGGCCTATCTTGCAGGACCCCTGTCCTCCCTGCCCATACGAGGCCACAGGAATGTCTCTGGCAATCACCCATGACTGTTGCAGAGTCTGTCCCCTCAGGCTGTGTCTTCATCGAGCCAGCCTTGGGGACCGGGCATTTACCAGTCTTCCTGAGGTGTACGGTGGCTGCTTCAAGACAAAGGAAATGCCAAGTGGATGAAGTGCTCTGGGGTCCAATTCCTCTGACTGCTAAGGTTTCTGTGCTGTGTGATTTTGGAGAAGTTACTTAAACTCTGAACCTCAATTTACTCCTAAGAAAGCTAGGTGGTTTGAGGATTCGATGAATTACCAAATGTAAAGCATTTAATCAGTGCCTAGCACACAGTAACTGTTCAACATACGGCAGATGTTTTGGAACTTAACTGTTCCACCTTTACCTAGAATTCAGAGCACTTCCCCCGAAGTCCCTAAAACTAGTATTACAAGCCACAGTTAGAATATGAACTAGAGACTGCCAGGGCCTGGGGTGGGAGTGAAAGGGCAAGAAAAACAATGCTACTCAAGTTAAGTACCCTCATTTTCTGAATGAACAGCAGATATTGACTTTTAGCAGTCAATACTCAGATTTATAGAGGCAACATAAATGTGAACCAAAGACTACCTCAGCTACTAGTTACCACAAGGAGCATCAATCAGAATATCGATGGCAAGGGAAACCAACACATTAGCCATTTCCAGAGGCCTTGGGTTTGTTTCCACATGGCTCCCACAGCTCTGCAGGGAACGCGCCTTCTATAAAATCCCAGAGTGTCCCCTGTAGGCAGATGGGGTGATGTCAACCCCGTGAGAGGGTATCTCAGCACCAGGCGCTACTATCGGCCTTTAAAGAGCCCAGCACTGGGTGCCAGGGAACCCACATGTTCTAGCCACTAAATGGAAGATGCACTTGCCTAAAAAGGAAGCAGGTGGGGTGGGAAGAGGAGGAAGAAAGGGAGGGATCCAGGGTCAGAGAGTTAGGCTGAGTGGAGCAGCCTGGCAAACCCAAAGAGGTTTTATGTCATCTTCTTGGCAACCAGAACTGGAAGAGGGTGGTGGGAAGAGACGGAGGCTGACAATGATTAATACCCTTTGGGTTTGTCTTCTTGCTAGAGTTTATTTATAGCTCTGAGGAGTGGCTCTTTGCTTTCAGATTTTACTCTGGGTTGACTTGACTAGACATAGAAGCCTTCAGGCAGGAGAAAGCAAGCAGAAACACTGTAAATATGTTCTATCGGTTGCTGGTATTTTAACAGGAAGACAGTGGGAGAAAAGACATTTGTGGAATTCTTACCTTCTTCCTTCTCCTTTCAGTGACAAAGTGTTAATAGCTCTTTTAGAAGCCCGTCCTGATGGTCATCCACGGAGGACACCTGGGATGCTGGGTCCCACTCCTGGGACACTGCTATCTCTAATCAGCTGGGCAGCTCCTGACTTCCTCTGCTTTTCAAGGTATTGCCGAGACCTCCTCTGTGGCTTTTTTTTGGCAGACATGAGGATCAGCCCTTGCTACATTTCTAACGCCCTACTGTTTGCCAGCAACAGCTGCCCTGCTGCATACCTCCCCTCACACAGGTGTGGCCCACTCTGCCCCCGTGTTAATCCTAATCATGTTTCATTTAAAAATCCAGGGGTCTAGTTTAATTTTCATCCTCATCAATTTCCTGGTAGTATCTGACATTACCAATACTCCCTCCCCCTGAAACTCATCATTCCTCTAACTGGTCTTCTTAGCCTTCAATAAAAAACTATTTACCATGTAGCTGCGGAATATCTGGCCTTGTGCTGGGAGCTGTATACAAAGGTGAGGGAGGGGTGGGGAAGGCCTGGGATCACTAATGTGGCTCTGATGTGAGGCACGTCATAGGTACCCTACAAATCTGTGGAAATCAACCGTGATTCTTTTGACCCCAGCACCCCGCTTGGGACTTTGCACCTAACTCTTTCATTAATCAATCATTCCAAACGAATTACTAAACAAGTGAACCAAGCACTGCAGTGGTCAGTGGTGATTAAGGATGGCAGTGAAGGAAGGTTCTCCAACGCCCAGGCCTAGTTTCATGTTTTAGAACACACACTTGGGTTCCGTAGCAGGCAGCATGAACTATAAAGCTATCATCCCAGGGAGCGCAGCCTCAGGCTGGGCCCAGGATCCAGGCAGGCCTCAACTCACAGTCCCATGTCAGCCTCGAGGTTAGCTGAGGGGTCTAGGGGTGTTGAGGGATTAAGGGCAGATCAAAGATCCTCATATTCTCCCAAGATCTTGGCCCAAATATAAATAAGACAGCCTCTGCATACTACATGTGCCCATTATCCTTTTGATTTCCTGTATTTTTGCATTTTATTTTCTAGATTTATTTTTAAATAAAAAGGGAAAAGATTAAAGAGATATATAACATATATAAGAACTAGTAACATGGATTATCTCCTGGGAAGAGAACTGAAAATGCAAAAGAGCCCAAAGGGCAATGCATGTCTCACTGTATATCCTTTGACAGCATGTGGATTTTACCATTGGTGTTATTACTTATTAGAGAAAAGAAGTTCAACAAAAGTAAAAAGACAAAGACCTACTGGATATGGGAAATAAGTATACAACAAGACAAACAGATAAAGCAGAAAATAAAAGTCCAGAAATAGCACTAATTGTATCTAGAAATTTCATGTCTGATAAAGGTGGCATCTCAGATCACCAGGAAAAAGATGAAATATTCAATTGTGTTTGGATAACTGGATAACCATGTGAAATAAAATTAACTTGATCTCTATCTCCCACCATATCACATGGTAAATTCCAAATAGGTCAAAGTATAAATGTGAAAAAATATAAAAATATTGAGCAAAAGCATGAAGAGAAGTCTTTATAGTTTTGGAAGGAGGTAGGCTTTCCTAACAATGATTCAAAATTCAGCAGAAATAGATGCAAAGACTCCATATATTAGAATTATTTAAATAATGAATATAAAATAATCATGTGAAATATATTTAAATAAAACTTAAAATGAAGAGAAAAAAAGATGATAAAGAATGGCCAAGCATTAGCCAGGCACAGTGGCATGCACCTATAGTCTCAGCTACTCAGGAGGCTGAGGTGGGAGGCTCACTTGAGCCCAGAAGACAGAGGCTGCAGTGAGCCATGATCATGCCAGTGCACTCCAGCCTGGACAACAGAGTGAGATCCTATTTCAAAAAAAAGGCCAAGCAGATTCAAAAAAGAATGAAATAGGACTTCTATAAATGAAAATATGACTGAAATTTAAAATTCAGTGACTGAATCTGTTTAATACAGCAGATTAGATACAGCTGGAGAAAGAGTAAACACGAAGATAGTTCTAGAAGACAGATGAAAAGTAAATATCCAGAAAGTAGTCCAGAAAGACATGAATTAACAACATGACTGAGATTAACAGATACAGAAGACAGAGTAAAATACTAACGTATGCTTAATCTGTGTTCCATAAGAAGTGACTAGTATAAACTGTTTGAAGAAATGATGGCTGAAAACTTTATAGATGTGACAGACATGTTCAAAAACCGAAGTGGAGGACACTTATCACCAAAAGACCCTCAATAAATAAAATTCTAGAGGATATACTTCAATAAGAAGTAAATAGATCCCAAATGGAAGGTCTAGATGAAAAGAAGGCACACTTAGTTTTGGTCACACCTTTTTCCTTGCCTGATTCCAGAAACAGGTTTTGTGGTGCTGTGTGCTTGTCTGTTGGCCCAAGCAAAAGAAGAACCCTTCATATGGAACTTGTCTACCAGAAACAGGTTTTGTGGTGTTGTGTGCTTGTCCGTTGGCCCAAGCAAAAGCAGAACCCTCCACGTGGAACTTGTCTACCTATCTGCAGACCCTGATGGTAAAAATAACAGTTGCATTTTGCCCTTCAAAGTGATATCATGAGACAGCAGTGACACTCCTTTGACTTTTGAAGATTTCCAGGCACCATGGCTTATCTTCAAGATAGCAATGAGATTTTCAACAAATGGTGCTAGAACAACTAGACATCCACATGCAAAAAAGCCAAGTCTAGACACAGGCTTTACAAGCTTTACAAAAATTAACTCAAAATGGATCATAGACCTAAATGTAGAATGCAAACCCATAAAAATCCTAGATAACATAGGAGAAAATCTAGATGACTTCAGGTTTGGCAGTAACTTCCTGGACACAACACCAAGGGTACAATCTATACCATAAATAATTACTAAGCTGGTCTTTATGAAAATCAAGCATTTCTACTCTGTAAAGGACATTGTTAGGGGAATGAGAAGACAAGCCACAGATTGGAAGAAAATATTTGCATCAAGAAGCAATGAGGTCTTTCCCCTCTCAGATCCAAGTATTATAGTCTGACCGCTGGCCTTGGGAGAGCAGAGGAAAATGGGCCCATTGCTTCACAAAGTAGGCCCAGATCATGTTTACGCTCTCCTGAACAATTTCATGGACTCTTTAGGAGGACCATGAAGAACCAGATAAAAACTGTTTTTGAGCTCTACAGCTGGATTCACATGCCCTGGGAGAAGCATGTTATCAAGCTATGCTGCACCTTCACGTCTTGGGTAAGATAGAGAAGTACTGGTGGAATTCCACCTCCTGGTGGCTTCCAGGCTCTAGTCTCAAACCCTGAGGCCTGACCCACTTGGGTCTGTTAACTTGCTGGCCATATAATACCACATCATCAGGGAAATGTCAAAGGCACATAGTGTTGAACTGATTCTTTTTCAAATGCTCAGTGAATGTTTATCCACCATGGAATCATCTATTCCCCAGGGAGACTGAAGGAAGCTTGGTAACTTAGATTATGTGGGGAGCACCTCCTAAAGTACTTCACAATTTGCTTTGTAAGAGTATGCACTGTGATGTTTCTGTGACTGGCCGTCAATGAAGGTCATCAATAGCGTATGTTAATAACAACAAATAATTAGACTAAGGTCTGTCTTTTACACATACACAAAAGGCATTAAGTGTCAGCTGCTAAATCTGGGTAGTGGGATTATGAATGAGTTTTAGTTTCTCAATTTTCAAACAAATTACTCACATAACCAGAAAAGGGAACATGCACTTAAATATAGTCTGCACACTGTGAGTACCCACTGGAGTTTCAACTTCAGTGTTTTTTCTCTAGCTGTAAGCCCCTGGCTCCTTTCCCGTGTGATTAAGATAAAATTCTTAATTTTAATTTAAGAATTCAGATAAAATTCTTTAAGAATTCTTTAAGAATTAAGATAAAATTCTTAATTGTCCCTTTCCTGTGTGATGTGGTGTGGTGTGTGTGTGTGTGTGTGTGTGTGTGTGTGTGTGTGTGTGTGTGTTTTAATTTTAGGAAAACAGGGTGAGGGAAGGGCTTTGCAGAACACAGCAAATGCTGTGGCATAAGCCCCAGTGCAGCATGAGTGCCCAAGAAGGTACTAGCAAGCATTAGCTGGGTTCTGGCCTGAAGCGTCAGTTAGTCTAAGGGAGGTGCACTCATGCAAACAAGCAAGGATGTGGGAGCTCCTAGAGCCTTGGAGCATCAAAGAGCCAAGCCTGACTGTCCTCTTCTTCCTGCTCTATTTTTAGCTGTCTGAGTCCAGGACACATTTGAGTGTCCCGGATAGGAAGGTGGTAAAGAGATTTGGGACTTATTTTCAAGGTAAGTGACAGAACCAACTGCAGGCTCTGCCTACCTCAATCTTCCAAGCTTGTAGGATTCCATCCCACATCAGAAATGCCAAGTGAGGTGGATGCTGGCTGAAATGAGTATCAGTGTAACAGGATGTGCTGCTGACAGGAACAGGCTCTCTCTACCCACTTCTAGGAGATGGAGGCAGGGATGGGTTGTGGCCCTATGACTACCACCAAAGGGATATGCAACATCTGACCTGAGTTAGAGACTGGAAGTCAAACAAGCTGAAACTTGGGATGAGGACAATCACTTTGTTAGCCAAAACCAGATGGCAAACAAGATGTATTTCTAACAACCGTCCCTTTTCCTTGGGGTTTTATTTCAGGATATAGTCAAGCCCAATGGCTGGGCCTCATCCAGTCTGTAAAGTGGATAAAGATCACTCATGGGACCCTGCTTCTTCCCCAGGTCAGGAGCTGGCTCCATAAACTGCACAAGGATTGGCCAAGTACCAACAGGCAGCTTCAAATTGGGACATCTGCTATCAGAGGATGCTGGGTGCCTTTTGGAGGAGTGTGAAGGCTCTGGTCATTGACAAGAGACAGGAAAAAGAACAAGATTACTGGAGACTCCCTTCCTCTCTCATACTTTAACCCTAATGTTAATAGTTAACATCTGGGCACTTACAATGTCCAGGCATGGAATAAGGACTTCACATGCATGCTCTCACATCAGCCTCATAAGAACCTGATGAGACAGTTACTGTGATCCTCATTTCACGGAGTATAAAACTATAGCATGGAGATGTGAGTGACTTGCCTAAGCCACAAGTAAGAAGTGGCAACTCTGGCACCAATGCCCATACTCTAAACCACCCAGCTCTAGAACACAGTGGACCCCAAGTGGTCCCCAGAGCTGGTCACCAAGGAGATGCCAGTTCCCTGCTTCAGAAGCACCTAGTCCTAGGTTGGCACTGCAGCTCAGCAGTCCTCTTAGCAATCCCTGGGCATCCAGACCCCTCCCATCTCTCCCACAGGGGCCTTTGGAAGGCAGAGGGCCTGGCCCAGCTACTTCAAATGGGCCTCCATGTGGCACATCCCATCACCATGCCTGCAATTGTCATGCCAGGTGTTGGGCTTGACTACATGCCACCTCTAAGAGTCTGGGCCATGCAGAGAAGAAAACAATCCCTTCTTAGGAACTTCAGTGACACCTAAACAAGCAGGGCAGCTCTGGTAACTGGTTAACAAGCATTCTCCAGAAAGCATTTCCTGACACCCACTTGCAGTCCTGTCTCCCCCCTTGCAGCACAGGTGGTCCTGCATCACCACAGCTTTTCTCTTGCCTATACCTGTTTCTGGACAGGAAGCCCTTTGGGGGTGGGGATGGGTTGGTGTGTAGCTGTGCAAGGGACATCACAGCTCTCAGCAAGGAGAGCTTGAGTGGGTGGGACTTCCCTCAGATGTCTGCCTAGTGTTGGAGCACAATGTCGGGGTCACATCCTTGACCAGACCCTAAGCTGCTTGAAGGCTGGTACTCCAGTTTCTCCCTCTCTCTGTAGCTTCCCCATGTTCTGGGAAGGGGCTGGCCTGGCACCCAGCAGGCGCATCAAGACAGATAAGTGGTTGGCAGATCCCCTTTCCCAGTTCTTGTGGGGCTGGCTGGCACCTCTCCAGGGCTCAGCTGATTTCTCCTCCTCAGAGAAGCCTTCCCTGGCCAGCTCATCTCCAAGCCCCCAAGCAGCCTGGGCCCTCGTTTGGCCTGCTTTTACTCCTTGCAACACTTTCAGTCTCTAAACTATCTAGGTTGGCTGGCTGTCTTTTCCAGACAAGAGTGTGAGCTCCATGAAGCAGAGGCCACTCTGCCCTGATCACTCCTGCACTCTCACACAGAGCCTAGCACGGTGCCTGGCAGACAGCATGTGGAGTGAATGAGAAAAGGCCTTTAGGGAAACAAAAGTGAAGAGGAGAGCAGAAAGAGGGCCTGGACACACTTCCTTCTCACTCAAGGGCCAAAAAACAAAGTTCTAAGTGGGTCACCCAGAATGTCTAAGTTAGACCCAGAATGTCTAACATCCACGTGCTCCCACATCCCTGCCCAATCGGCTAAGGGCTGGTCACCTTCTGAGGACAGTCAGTGTGGGTGTGTGGCACTGTTCTGAGGGGTGGAACAGAGCAGCATTCTCACTAGACATGGCCCCAGAGTCTGGCTCCTCTCCCATCACAAAACAGGACATAAGTAACCACAGCAGTGACTGGGCATGCATTAACTGCTCAGAACATCCTCCTAAGGTCAATTGGGCCTGGTTCCATGTTAGGGGCAGGCATGGTCATGCCAATGACTCAGTGCCGCATGCAGGCAGAGGAAATGCTTCAGATTCAGCCAACTATAGCCCTGCTGTAAGGTCTTCATAAAATTTAAAAATACATATTATTATTTAATATACAAGAGCTGATGTGGCTGATGCCAGAGTAAGGATCTGCTCTGAGCTACTTTTCCAGTGATAGTGATGGGCTCTCCTGGCCAGTCCTATGCCCTGCTGTGACCTCTCCTACACACCCACAATAGCTGGGGATAGGGATGATGGATGTGTGAGCCACTGAGTCAACGTCTCTAGCCCCCATGGGAATGGACTGCTGATATCCACCTCAGGAGCACTGGGCTCAGATTCAGAACCAGCTATGCCCAGACCAGGAAAACACAGATTTCTATGCAGCACCGGTAGTAGTTGCCTGAGATATGACAAAGCAATGGTATTCCCCATTCATGCCCTTCAAAAAAGAAGAGAAAGCTAGATGGAAGAAATGACACTGAGGTTGTACTTGACCTAATGATGGTGTCTGTGAACACCCCAGGAATGGGCATCATGGCATTCGCGAGCCAGGGGCTGCCTGGGTTTGTGTAGCACATTAGCTTTCCCATTATGTGCACAGCACCTTTGGCCTTCACAGCAGCCTGGAGTTGGAGTAGGGACAGTTGACTCCATTTGAGTTGTAAGGAAATTGGGGTCCAGGGAAGTTAGGTGGCTTCCTCTAGGTCACAGAGCACGTACACTAACTAGGCAAGAACTAAAATGTCTTCTGTTTCCTATCTAGCAACTTCTCCCAGTCTCCCTGGATGACTGCCAATGCTATACATAGCTTTCCTGGGTGTGTCACCTAAGTTCTGGGCTTGTTTCCTCATCTACACAGAAGAATCATGCTTAGTTCACATTACCAGGCCTGCCACCTATAAGAGTCTTTGCTAAGCAGAAAGTCAGAAGTCCCAAAATATGTACAAATACTTAAATCTAACACTATTACTTTTCATGCCCAGATGCTTTCAACAGAACACAAAAACTTTACCTTCCTGATGACTGTGTTTGCTATGGGGAAACCCTCGGCCTTGCCTTACTGAGAGAGCAGGGAGTGCAGGAAGCAACCCAGCCCTTCCGCTGCCTGGTTGTATCGCTTTGGGAGAGGTACCCTGTCTTACTGAGTCGTCCTTTCTGGCTGTAGCACAGGTGGCTGCAAGAATCAGAGTACTCTTTCCTGATCAGACCCACCTGATCATGTCTCAGGCAATACACAGTGAAAGCATTACGACAGGACAGCAGGATTTGGGTCCCTTCTCAACCCCTTGCAGGCTGTATATAACCCCAGACAAGTCCTTTATGCTTTGAGGCCTGGCTTTCTCATCACTAAAAATGGGGTTAGTCTCCCTCCCTTCCCAGCTGGCCTTGCACAATTGCTGTGAAACCACAAATAAGATTGTATCTGTGAACAGGACCAAGGACCCCTTGGAGAGAAGGCTGAGTCCCAGACTGGGGCAAGGGAAGTCCAGGGTAAGGCTGGAATACCTTATTGTGTTAGAAGGCAAGGAAATGTACAGAAACTGATGGAGACATGGCAAAAGGATATCAGAACCAGCTTGAAGATCAAATTTGAGGTGATGTGACCATTAAAGCGAGTAATGAAATGAATATAACTTACTAAATTTTAAAAAATCTGTAAACCAACATTGATACTTCAAAAAAAAAAAAAAAAACAGAGGAAGGGCACAGGGAAAGGTTTTATTACAAAAGAATGCCAACTAAGAGATGCAGAAATAAATTTTTTAAATCACTATTTTATAACCACCAAGAAATGAAAAAACCCACTATTTTATAACCACCACTGTAATATCAAATTCAGGTAAGATCATCAAGGGTTGCTGAAGCCACTGGGTGAAATACCGTGGTACAGGATGTGCAAAAATCCAACAGATACCACCTTAACTGAATGAGCAAGCAGAACATCTCCAGTGACGGGACAAACCACGTCAGGTGCCTCCCGACGTGATGCACAGAGAAGGATGCAGCATCTCTGATGCCATTCTCCTAAGAAAATGCTCATCCTGAATCTAATCCTGAAACCAACCCAGATTGGAGGACATTCTGCCAAACAACTAGCCTGGACTCTTCAAAAGTATCAATGTCATGGAAGATTTTTTAAAAGCTGGCAAACTGTTCAAAATTAAATAAGACTAACAAACTGGCAGTCAAATGCAATATATGATCCTGAAATGGATCCTGGATTAGGAAAGAAAACCAAACAAAATTATAAAGTACATTATTGGGACAGCTGAGGAAATTTCAAAATGGACTATGTAACAGCCAAAAATAAATACAGAAATATCTACACATATGCCTGCATGCACACACACAATGAGGGGAGATAAGGCAGATGAGGCAAGATGTTAACAACTAGAGAATCTAGGTGAAAATGTTCCTTGTACTCTTCTTGTAACTTTTCTGTAGGTTTGAGCTGTTTCAAAATAAAAGAAACAAAAGTGGTCTTTGGAGAACTATGAGAACTTCTGCATCTTAAGCCAGTGGTGTCTGGGTTGACTGAGGTACACTCACCTGTCAGGTATTCCAGGACGGCGGCCATGTACACGGGTGCCCCCACTCCAATCCTGTACTTGGGGTGGCCTTTCTTGATGTACCGCAGCATCCGCCCCACGGGAAAGATGACTCCTGCTTTGGCAGACCTGGACGTCTTGGTGGACTTCTTCTTCCCACCGCGGCTCGACATGGCGGTGGCCCTGGAGGCGGATCAGTGAGCACACTGTGAAGGCGAGAGGCACACCGGTCAGGGTGGCTGGGGACAGCACATGTCCCCTTTCCAGGTACACTCTAGTCCCCTGGAAGGCCCCAGGCCTGCCTGCAGATGCCACTGTCTGTAGCTGCAGGGCCCTCCGGGTCCAGGTGATGCACTCCGCTGGAGCAGTTTGATCCCTGAAAAGAAAGGCTTGGCTTTGCACAATTTATACCATGACATCAATTTTACTTAAGTGCCTTGCCATTATGCCACATGATGAAAAAGGAAATGGGATTTCTTGGCCACATTCTATACACTTGTTTAATAATTGCATTTTCATACACTTGAGACTGGGGCTGATAAACTTACCAAAGGCTTCATAAAAGAAAAACAGCTATGACACCCTCCCCTAAAAAGATGATGTAAAGGCAGATACCTAGATTCTCTGATGAAAGCAGTGTCTCTATTTTAGATTCTTTATCTGTGAGAGGCAAGAACAGCTTACAGGAGTCAGTACAGTGTATAGTCAGGTTGCAGTAAGAGGCCCTCTGAGCACTTCTAGTCCACCAGATGGGCCAATCTTTAGAGAAGAGAGAGAGAGGTGTTTTTTCCTTCCTTGCTCCCAATCCCCATCCAGTCACCCAGTCCAGAGGAAAACCCTCCTCTACACCTCTTGTGGGGCTCTTTCTCTCCACCTCCAGTGATGGGATCCTGGTCATCACTATTTTAATCAAGTGGTCACAAATGTCTCCTGAAAAGGTCTCCCTACCAGAGCCCCCTCTCCTCTAATCCACCCTCTACCCCATGGGTGGGGCAATCTGGGTACACACCCACCTGAACATGCCCCGGCCCTGGCCTGAAAGCTTTCTGTGGCTGCCACAATTCTCATGATAGAACCAGGACTCTTGGCCTGCCATGTAATGCCCTAGAAATCTAGGCCTGGCACACATGTCCAGCTTTGCCTTGGGCCACCTGTGGTCTAAACTAGCAAACAGGGAGCCACACAAGGTTCCCCCCAAATACCCTTCCACTTCTTTTCTCCCTGCCTGGGCAGTAGCTGTTCCCTTTGGCTGGGACCTCCATTATCTCTCACACTTGCCTCTGCCTTCTGCCAGCCCTCCCAAATGTTGAGATCTGGCTGTTTCATCCTCAGGGCCCCATGTGCTGCACACCACAGCATTGATGCACGTGTGCCCATTCTCCCATCAGACTGCAGGTGGGTGGAGGGGTGCCCCTAACTGTATTCCTACTGTAGCACCATCCAAGGTCTCGAATGTTTACTTGGAGCATCCTGTTCATTTATGCATTCACTTCAGGTATTATGCTGGGCAGATGTGGTCCCTGTGGAACTGGTGGGGAAAAAGACAATAAATAACCCCCTAGTCATTTAAAAGATAAACGTAATGCATGCTTCAAAGGGCCAGTGCAGGGTGCTGGGAGAGGGGATATGAGGGGCCTTGGCCTGTTCTGGGGCCCCCTAAAGTCTTCCCTATGAACATGTTTGCTCACTGAACCAACTGGGCAGGTCTCCCATGTACTGATAAACTGACGTCACACTCCATGGTGTTTGGGGCCTTCCAGCACCAGCAGTCAATGCTGTGACCACTGGAGGCCACAGGGATAGGAGTCCCTGTTACTCTGATGCTCAACCTATACTAGGGACATTGTCAGGACATGCCACGGTCCACACTTAACACCTCTCTAATCCCAGGTGCATCTCAAATCATCTGGGATGAGCCACAGAGATGGCTGTGAGGACAGAAAACAGAATTCTGGGCACTCTGGGGCTACTGTGTAGACAGGCCCAACAGAGGTAAGATGGCAGAGGCCCTGGCTCTGGAGTGATGTTAGAAGAGTAAAGGCCTCTGTCATGAGCGCCCTGTCAAGGAGCACCCAGTCTTAACTGCTCACTGAGGGCTAGAGAGACCCAGAAGGGTCTGGGTTTTTCCAAAACAATTAGTTGGATCCCTTCCTTGCTGCAATGAACTCCATTTTAAAACATTCCTTGCAAAAAGGTGCCTGTGCTCACTCTGAGCAGGAAATGATATGTGTATATGTATGTGTGCCTGTGTTTTCAGGCAAGGCTGTCATTGGGTTTCCTAGCAGTCTTTTGCTTTACTACAAATGTGTTTCACAGACCAACAACCTGATGCCTTTGGACTGAGCTTTTAAATCGGAATGTCTCCCCCTTTCAGCAGGGGAGGCCTGTGGTCAGTGATGATTAACAGCAGCTCAGCCCTTTTCCTACTAGAGCACAGACTTCAGCTTTGTTTCCCAGCTGACCTGCTGGGCATGTCTGGGGCTGCCTATGTGGGAACTGGACAGTGGTCTCCTCCAGAAAGGATCCGTTAGCACTCAGAGACCTGGCAGGTCCTAGACACGCTGACTCCTTAAAAGTGGTGCTCCTTGTCTTTCCCTCCTCTGACTCTAGCTGAGTCTTTACATCAACATGCCAGTGACTCCCAGGTCTCTATGCCAGTGCAACACCTGGCCGCTGAGCCTCAGAGCTCTGTTCTGACTGCTGATGGCAAGGGCCCACTTACAAGTCCCATGGGTGCCTTGAACTCCTCTGGGTCTCTCAGCCTCATCAGTGGCAATGTCATGCACCAAACTAGCCAAACAGCAGTGAACCTGGCCCAGACTTCTCTGTCCACCCCACAGCACCCAAGCATTAGCCAAGCTCTGCTGAACCGCCTGCAGAACCTCTCAGGCCTCTTCTCATCACCCTCCCTGCGTTGGTTCAGCCTCTTTACTTCTGACCTATTCTCAACCGCACCAGTCTTCATCCATGGACACCAGAAGCAGCTCTGCCTACTCTGATGATTCCCTGTCAGCCTGAGCTTCTGAGCTAGCCACAAACAGCATACTTCAGCTACTTTTGGTGGCACTGCTTCCTGTCACCCCAGCCCTGGCTCACATGCCTCAGGCCACCCCTGACTTCTTGAGCCTGTCACACTGTGTTAAGGATGTCTCTGAACACGCAGTTCTCCTGCCTGGAATGCCCTTTGTCCTCTTGTCAACTTGCTGAACTGACACTCACAGCCTCCCTCTGCCATGGAGGCTTTGTGGACATGACCACAGCCTGGAATTGCTCACTGCTCCATGTTCCCATAGTATATATATCCCAGCACATGCCTCTCCAACTTGACTGAACTGCAAGCCATTCGATGTGAAGCACTGTAGTCAACTCATCCCAAGAAAGGTCTGAAATATCACAGCTCCTCCAGTGCCACCCTGCTGGCAGAAGAACATCTTCACTTCTCATTCTGAGTCAGGCTCCTGTCCAATAAAGCGGCCTCAAGTCTGTCTCCCCACCAATGGGGTTGTCTTGCAGAGATTCTGTACTTTATCCCTCCCCATGTTCTTCCTGCACTTCTAACTATAGTTCCCCAAGCTGCAGCCACAGCTATGAAAGAATTCTGACTAAGCCATGAAGCCTTATGACATCCAGCAATGTGTGGTGGTTTTCAAAACACCCTTTTGAAAACCAACTCATAGTTGTGCAGTCTCCAGATAAACCCATGAATGTGCCAGGTCCATCCTGCTCTTCAGAGGTTTATGCAGGTGTGGGTAGCTCCAGTCAGGCACCCATGACAAGGGGGAGAGTGACTGTGAGGCCAATGGCAATTAAGCATTATAATTAAAAACTAGAAGTCCAAAGCCAGACTGACCTGATTATAACCATGGCTCTGCCGCTTACTGGCTGTGCATTTTTGAGCAAGTGATTTAACCCCTCTGAACCTATTTTCTTATCTTTCAAGTGGAGATGATGCTAGTAAGGGCCTCAAAGAGTTGGTGGCAGAAGTGAATCAAAGCATCCATGTAAGGGCCTGATACTCACTCACTGGGCAAGTTCTCAGTAGTTAACAAAAACAATAATGTGAATAAGATGAAAAAAGGCCATCTTCTTGCAGAACAGATCTTGGACATTTGCGCTGAAGACATTGCTAGCTGCTGTAACAGATAAGTCTCTACAACTTATTTCTCACTCCCGAAAAATCCAAAATGGGTTTCCATGATTGGCTGGTGTTTCTTGTCCACATAGTGATTCATGGATCCAGATGCCTCCCATCTTGTTACTCTCACATCTTCAATACATGATTCCCAGGGTTGCCATGGAAAGAAAAAGACCATGGATAATAACCTATGAGGGTTTTAAGGGGCCAGGCCTGCAAATGGGGCACATCACTTCTGACCATGATCCATCAACTAGAACTTAGTCACATGCCCACAACTAATTGCAAGAGAGGTTGGGAAATGTACTCTGGCTATTTACTCAGAAGAAAAGAGGAAACAGCCAGTCTCTGTCACATGATAAACCAATCTGAACGCTGACCCTAACCCCAGAATGAGTTACCACCCAAAACCTGTTGGGCCCTGTTTGACCCATGTTCTGCATCCAGCCTTGTTTGAGAAACAGACAGCCCTACATCATAGACAAAGCAGCTTCCTAAGCACTCATCACCTCTGCAGGGCAGTGAAGCTGGTCACAGGAGAACAGCTATACTATCTGGTCAAACTTGACAAAGATGTGTTCTTCCTTCCTTCAGTAAACCAGGAGGCTTCACTCATGGCTCTGCATGCTTTGAAAACAATGATAGGTCCTCAGGCAACTGTGTCTGTTCATCATTGCACATTAGCTTGACTGCCCTTTTGGCTGTTATTGGCCTAGAAAATGAAGGTTCTGTGATTGATCTTGAAGGGATCTCTGTGGTCTTTATTTCTGCAACTCTTCCAATTATAAATCACAATAAACATTAACTTTGTTTATAAAACCTCAAAGCTTACCCAAAGACAAACTTTTATAGAGGAGCTGGATGGAGAGATGAGTCAGGCTACAGTGAGAAGCAACAGAGTCTGACCACAGGCCCCTCAGCAATCGAGATGCGACTGGAGCAACGCAGTCAGTTCTTTTAGCACAGGACTAATTAGAAGGCTGGCTATGTAGACCCCATGAATAAGGTGGACATGAGAACAACAAGCTGTGTACTACTAGGAGGGGCAGTAGGGGCAAAGAACCAAAGTGCCATGGAGGCCCTGCCACACCCTCCTATCCCTTCCCAGCAGGCATCCTAACAGGCTGCTCCCTGCACTGCAAACCACCTTCATTCCCACTGGCACCTTCAGCACACCCAGCATGCTCAGTCTGAACATCTCTCTAGCCCTTTGTCTGGAGTAATCCTGCCTACTGGTCCCAATACCTTCCCTGGCAATGATCCATCAATGTGCTCCCTCTTCTGCATTCCTGCCATGGCCATGCCTTCTGTCAGTCACAGTCTAGTTTGGGGCAGCTGCATGTCCAGACTCCAACCTTGTGCACAGGCCCTGTTGACCTCCAACACATCTCTCTATTTGCAACAACCAGAGATCCACCGGGATGAATTTCTCCCTCCCAGTTCCCTCAATGGATGTGGCAGCTGCAGACCCAGGGCCCAGCTAAAAGTGCCTCACAATCTCCCTCAGGCTGCCCCTATTCTTTAATATACTCAATTATTTTTCTTAGTCTTATATACAGTACTCTGCAAATGCAGTTTCCAGCCCTTCCTTCCATCATGATTGCCAGTCACTCTAGATCCCATTTACATATAAGTTCTGAAACCAGCTATCCCATTCTTAGCACTCAGTGCATGGTATCATCATTGCCTATTTACCTGTCTGTCTTGATGAAACGAACCAATTTGCTCTACTCACCACTGTATCTCCAAGCACCCACCACCCTGCCTGGCACCCGGTAGACATGCACATGCCAGCTACAAGGTAGCTGATTAGTTGGCACTGACAGTGGATAGGGAGAAAGGAGAGGGCAGCATTTCCAAAGCCCACAGGACTGGGAGCTATGGCTAGTGGGACACCAATCAGAGACCTTCTCTTGGACATTCATGTACATACACCTGGCAAAATCCCTATAGGAGCCCAGACACTCAAAATTCAGGGAGCTTGTAGAGCTACCTTGGGGATTCTCAGGAAAGGAACACTCCAATTGCCCTGATAGCTGGGCATAAGGCACACTGAGGCCTTATGACTCTGTGACAGTTCTATGGTTCCAGTGACCTCTCCTCCTGCCTCTGGCTCAGTACCATAGACTGCAGGAAAATACTTAACCTTCCTCACATCTATAAGAGATTGACTCCTGTTTAAGCTACAGCACAGAAACCCCTTAAACAATCAGGGCACTCATGAAACCGCTGGAATAGTCAATCATGAAGTATTTTATTATCTAAGCAATGAATACATGCCTATTGATCCCATGCAATATTGATTAGAACTGCTGGGGAGTTGCTAGTCAAAGAGCCCTATCTCCAGCCCCTGAGGATAGAGGAGTCTGAGCTATCAGTGCTCAAATAACTGCTGATGAGGAAGAACCACGCCATCCATTCTGGCAGCTGGATAAATGCCCGCATATCCACATGCATTTGTCACCTTCCCATCAACTCCAATCACAAAGGCCAACCTGAGAAACTTAATTCTGAAGGACAAGACACTAATCCTGTTTACAGCATTCTCTTCCCTCTTCCGTTTACTCCTATCACACCAAATGATTAACGGTGTCACCCGCTGTCATGTCCCCAGAGGCATGTGGATATACTAGACAACCATTGCTCACAGAGCTGGGGTTCACAAGCTGCACTCTGATTGGCTTGGATCAGAGACCTGTTCTAGTATTCTAGCCAATCAGGAAAAATATCTCTCTCCATTCATAAAACACCATATCAAAAAGTGAGCCAGATGATTAAAGAACCTACAGTCCACTCTCAGTGAACTAGGGGACTGCAAACAGAAGAGACAGACCAACTGAGATAGTAAATAAATCATAAACCATGCATTTTGTTCCAGCAGATGTGTCTTACTCCTGTTATGTTTTCAGTGGCAGGAAGAAACAAAACACAAACACAAATGTCATTTACCACAAGCAAGAAACAGTTTTGGGGAAGCTAGTCTGGGATTGAAATTTCACCTCTGCAAACCCATTCGGTGATGCGCTTCCCGAGATGCACTGAAGGAACTGTGCAGCTTGCTACATTTTAACAGCAAGTTACTGCCTGCCTGCTTTACAAAAAAACTTTTCTACATACTCCTCTCTCTTTTAAAGGTTGTGCCAAACTCTTAAGATAACCAGTCTCACGGAAGGCTATTTAGAGAAAAGTTAAAGTGTGGGCTTCACAGGACAGGACTCTGATAAGGCTTAGCATGTAGAATCCACTCATTATTTGCCGAGTAGACGTGTTCCCAATAAGAATAAAAAGAACACCTGATCCTGTCTCTCTCCTGCTCAAAACCCTTCAGTTGCTCTTAGGATAAAGTGTGGGTCTGACCAGAATCCTTTGTGATTTGTCCTGTTTGTCCCTCCCTGAAGCCTCACCTGACTCCGCACCAGGACTCAGCCATCCCGAGCCTCTGGCAGTTCCCCACATGACCTCTGTTCTTTTCTTCTAAGATGCACACATGGGGTTCCCCAGGCCTCAAACACTTGTCCCCATCTGCCCTCCTTTGCCCAGCCATCTCCTGCTTGACCTTTCCAAGCCAGATAAGGGCTCACTCCTGGCTAGGTTACTGTACCTGCTGGGGGGCTACGTGGGGCCTTTTGCACTGATTTTACAACAGCTACTTGCCTGCCTTCTCCCAAAGTCAGCTCCCCCAAGGTAGGGGCTAGGCATTTCTTAATCACGGCTGTGTCCCCAGTGCCTGAACAGGAGCTGATTCTCAGGAAATCTTTATGGAAAGACTCTGAGACACTGACCTGACAGGTTTGGTCCAAGCAAACAAGCTATACAACTCTTTGGAATGAAGAGTTGACTCACTCAGGCTCACTTGTAAGCACTGAGGCAGGGCCCAAAAGACCTCTAAACCTACAGAATATGGGAAGGACCCACAGAGATCTGGGCCCCAATCACTCCTGCCCCTTCCCAGCCCATGTTCTAGGAATGGGGCTCTGAAAAGGCTGTCACAAATCCTTGGGGACACTCAAATAAAACCAGAGGCTGTTGCAGTTCTGATGAACAACACATATAGAGTCTTGTTGGGTTCTTCGGCTTGAGGTTTTCAGTTTATGCTTTTATTTAAATAAATCTCCTTTAGGTGACTTGGGGCCGCATTAGCTCTGAAGGCAGGTCCCAGAACACATGCCCTCTGAGCTTCTCAGTGGGGAAGGAATGCGAGGCGCTCCTCAAGTTCGCCTCTCTCAGGGACCAGAAGAAACATCAGATGGAGATGTGTCACTCCCTGACACTGGCCCATTTGGTAAAAACTAAACCAGTGGCATGGTTGTATACTAGAATGTCACATGTGAAGTTCCAGACAATTCTTAAAGTTTAATAAAATGTGAGTTAAATTATGCCTCCTTCTAAAGGCCTGCCTCAAACAATTTTCATTTAGACAACCCTCTTAATGCCTTATCTAGGGATCAGCATTAACAATGGTGACAGATCGAAGCCAAAGAACAGACTGGAAAGATTTCTCTCTCCTTGTAAAACTAGAAGGGGGAAGAATTTGAAGTCTTTCAAGAGTTTTGTTGTGTTTAAGAAAAAATAAGTTTGAAAACATACTCATCCTCATCAGAGAGTCTCTTGTGCAAGACTGAGATGCTGCTGCCCAACTCTAGTTAAATGTGTACAATGGGTATTAATTCCAGTTGCAGGCAAGAGGTGTCCATTTCAGAGTTAACACCTCTGACAACAGGCTAGTAGCCTAAAGGTGGCCTGCAGTAGGTGAATTCCACCTAATTTACAACTCGAGTCTCCCATTCAAACCTAAGACTGTTAAAAAATGCCCGACTCCCTGGAGCAGGGAGCTTTGGAACAAAACACTTCCCTTACCCCCTACTTTAACGGTAAAACCTCAAACCACAAAGGTGGAAGAAAAGAGGGAAGCTAGCAGGAGTGCCCCCTCTAATTGTCTATTCTTATGTGCTGTTTACTGGGTCATTAAAATCTTACAAGGCCTTTATAGTCATTGTAATTGTTGAATTCAAGGTTTGTCCCAGTTGTTTGTACAGAAGTCTCTCACTTTGAAACTCAGAAACATTTCCCCTAACATCTTGTCTAAAAGAACCTTTCAAGCAATGTACTGACCAACTCCTTGAGTGATCTGTGGCCCCTGCAGGAGTGGGGGTAGGGAGCGCCATGTCGCACACCTGTTGTCAGGTGACACTGCCAGCAGCATCCTGCACACTCACCTCCCCACTCCACCCCACCCCCAGCGAGGCTCTTTCCTGCTGGCCTTCTCCACCCGGGGAAGCCTACAGCCTTCCGGAGTTACCTTTTAAAAAAAGCAAACCCTTCCTACCACAAAGCAAACAAAAGGCTGATACCGAGACAATCGGGAGCAGCGGGGGTTCCCGTGGCCCCTCTCCAGCCCATCCTTGGACCACTCCCCAACCCGGTCCCCCGCACCAGCCCGGCTTCAATCCCGCGAGTAGCCCCCGCCTTCCCCTCCCTGCAGATAGCGAGCCAGACGCCTACACCTCGGCCCCCCGGGGCTCGGGCCCGACTTATTGTGCCGGGGCCGGCAACTCGCGGGCCGGCGGGGGCCTCACCAAGTACAACTCTGCTCACAGCAGCTCCCGGGTGCCCAGGCCCAGACTGCCTAGCCAGCGCCGCGGGGCCTCCTGCGGCCTCGGGCCTGGCCCGTGAGCCCGCCCCAGGAAGGGTCGCCAGGGTAGGCGCCAGCACCGCTTTTTTCCCACAAAAGCGCCCAGGCGCGGGCAGGGGGATGCGTTTCGAAGAGAAGTTGGTTTCCAGGTTTCTTTTTTGAACAAAACCAAAGGGAATCCCGCGCGGCCCGACAAGGCCTGGGAGGACGTAGTGCACGCGCGAGGACCCGGCGTGGGCCACACCGAACCCGGCGGCCCGAGCCCGGCCCGCACCACACCGGTGCGCGCCAGGCCGGGCCGCTCCCGGGCACCCGCGGCCGGACCCGAGCGGCGGGGACAGGGAGTGCGGCAAGGGGGCCCGCGCGGCACTTACGCGGCGGCTCGGTGGCGGCGGCGGCAGCTGCAAGGTGTCTCGGCCTGAGCCCTCCTGGCCGCTCGCGCCTTTTCTCTCCGCGCTCCTCGCTGGCCCGCCCGCCTCTTCGCTTCCCGCCCGCGCGGCCCGCGCTCTCCCCCTCCGCCCGGCGCCGCTGCCGAGTGAACTGGAACCAGTCCTCGCGGCCGGCTTCCCACAATGCACAGCGCGCCGCTCGTCACATCCCTTCGCGGCCCCGAGCGTCCGGCCTCCGCGCCCGTGCCGCCCGGCGCCCCGGCCTTGACCCCGGGCCCGCGCCCTACCCGTTGACGCCGGCCGCTCTGCGCCCAGGCACCAGCCCGCACCCCGGACGCGAGGTCTGACCCATGACCCCGGGGACGCCCAGAGCCCAGTCCTTGGGAAGGGCCAGGCCCCTGGAGAGGAGCTTCTTCAGGGCGCGTCCCAGACTCTGCGTCTCGAGTGAACGCCTACTGTGTGCCTGGCTCTGAGCACGGGACTGTCGCTGCCACGGCATCTTTAGGAACCTTCCCACTAACCCAGTGGGAAGGCACAATGGCTGTTACCAGCGATCGCTCTTCCCTCCCCAGTCAATGCCAACTCCCCCCTGCCCCGCCTCAGAGACCCCGCTGTCTTTAGATACAGGCCACCGCCAAGCCCTGGTCTGCCCCAAGATCAATTACTGCGCACCCGGTTCCCCTGGGGTCCTTCAGTTAATCCTCCTCACCCCGAAGTCTGGAACCTGCCTTGCACATGGAAGCGGTTAGCTACTTCGCTTCAGCAAAAGTTCACTTTCGGACCCAAGTTGGGAATTACTAATGTAGACAGTGATTCCTTATCATCACACACGTTTTTTAAAAACTGCGGACAGGCCGAAAGAGGAGGAGCCGCCACAAAGCCCGCCACGTCTTCCTAAATTGGTTTACCGCCTGAAGGCATTGGTGCCCCATCCCGGGTACTTAAATGGGGGCCTGCCCTCTACTCCCCTCCCTCCAAAGTGTGGAGCCGGAAGCCACTTCTCCATCCAGCTGTGAACTAAATTTGGATAATAATACACATCCCTCAGGGTTGATGTGAAGTTTAAAGTGCCGCTACTGGGGATTATGGAGGTAATTAGAGACCCCCACCCCCACCCCCCAGTCCTCAGGCTGCGCGGGAATCGCAGCGGCAGTAACCTCCACCTCACCGGGATGCTTTACACCTTACTTTAAGAGTTTGCAAAACAATGTCCAATACCTGCCATTCATGCATTCGTTAATTCGATTAAGTACTGAGAACGTATTTTGTGTCATACATCGATTTGGGTGCTGGATATGAAACAGCCAAGAGAACAGGCAGAAATCTCTGCCCTCCTGTAGTTTGCAGTCTCGTGGGGGAAAGACAGACAAACGGGAGAATGTGTCAGAGGGTCTCCATGGGGTGGAGAAAAATAAGGCGGAGAAGGGGAATAGGAAGTGTGAGATAAGAGTGAGGCTCAAATACAAGAGAAGGCCTCTATGAGAAAGTAACATTTAAAGCCTGAAGAAATTGAGGGAGCAAGCCGTGTGGATGTCTGGGGAAGAACTGCGCCGAGCATGAGGAATAGCAAGTGCAAAGGCTGGGGTAGGAGTGTGTCCAAAATAGTCAAGACAGAGCGAGTGTGAGGTTGGAGTAGAATGGGTGAAGGGGAAAGTAACAGGAGATGAAGCTGGAAAAATGATGATGCTTATGATGCTTCTGGTCCCAAAACAAAGCATTATGGTTCTATGAGGATCTCCCGAAGAAAAGATGTCAGGAAAGGTGCAGAGACCCTCCCCCACACACCACATTGTTGTTCCATCCTTCTCTGTGCCTTTGGGCAAGGACTCTCCGTTCTGTAGGGACCACCAGGTGGAATTAAAGTCTACACTCCTCCAAGAGCTGATCTTGGGGCGGCCCCACCTCCATGCCCCTCTACAGCGTGCCATTCTCATAGAACACACTAGGACCTTTGTCCTCTGGAGCTGTTCAGTGCAGCAGCTCTGACCTCATCCTTCTCCAGAAGCCTCCACCTTCTCTCCCCTCTCTCCTCCTGCGCTTTGTGTGTCCTGTTCTTCCACTTCGGTGACCTGTCTCCTCCCCTAATCTGGCTCAGAGAGGGGTACCAGCTGCTGCTGCTGCTATTGCTTCTTCTTCTGTTAAAGGTTTTTTATTTTTTTCCAATGACAAAGCTATGCTCATTCTGAAAACATGAAAAATAAAAATGCTCAAAAAATAAAACTCACTCTACATTCATTGCTAGGAGAGAACAGCCTGCTCCCATTCCAGCCTTTTTATCTATATCCACTTAACATTAAACATACAGAGTTTCTACTCTATTTAGTGATTGTCACCTGCACTTTAAACTTAATGGTTCTTTATGAGCATTTTACTGGGTAGTTGTTCTACAATAACATTACTGGAACTGTTTGGGTTTCCCTTGACCCTCTTAAAAATTACTGAGAACCCTGAAGAGCTTTTGTTTTATAGGTTACATCTATCAATATTTGCTTTATTAGAAATAAAAACTGAGAAAAAGTAAATATTTATTAATTTATTTTAAAAATGTTAACATGGAAAGAAATTATATTACATAAATAATGTATTTTAGAAAAATAATTATACTTTCCAAACAAAAATAATTAGTGGGAAGAGTGGCATTGTTTTACAGTTTTGCACGGCTCTTGAATGTCTGGTGTAATAGAAGATAGCTGGTTTCATGCCTCCTCCTGCATTCAGTCGGTCACTATATGTTGTTTTGTTTGAAGTATGTGAAGAAAATTCAGCCTTATGTAGATATGTATATGGGAAAGAATAGAGGATTTTAATCGCCTTTTCAGATAATTACAGATGTTCTTTTTTCATACCACACCAAAATGCAAGGAGTCGTTTCTTAAAGGTTAAGTGCAATGTAGAACCTGAAAAAAAAAATCAATAAACTTTTGAACTCAGTTAATACATTAAAATCCATTGGCCTATTTTATATCTTGACTGGGTCCTTTAGCTATGCATAATTTGGTAAAATCATACATTGATCATTTGGGAAATATCAGTTCACTGATTTATACGGATCTTACAAATGTAAACACATTTCATTGTACAATATTAGAAAATCACATCTATTAATAGCACCACTGATCTCATCTGAAGGTTTTTGAGTATTGGGAAGTTGTCAAGCTCTTGGTGGCAGATACGAGTTTCCCAAAATTGTAATTTCTGCTTGAAAGCTCAAGTTTATCACTGACAACATAATGTCACAGTGATTTTCCTAGAAATGACAGGTTCATTTCATTCATTTTCAAGAAAATGTCTACCACAAACAAAGGACCACATTATGACTTTCATGGGCCATAGGCATTTTTGCCTGCATGGGCCCTTTCCTCCACTAAAAAGACAACTGCACTGGTATAAAGACAAATAAATTAATATTGTATATTAAAACTGTGCCTCGTGGAGTATTCAGCCCTACGTACACCCAATTCTGAATACCCATAGTTTGTCTGTCAGGTGTAGCTTCTCCATTAGAAACAGTACTCAGGCCCCCAGGACTTTATGGGCCCACGAAAATGTCTTAATTTCTTTTAAAATCAGAAGAAAATGAAAGTTAGTTCTTTTATATTGAAGAAAATATTTTAATATATAATGTTAATATATTTGTCTTTCTACGAACACGGTTGTAAAATTTTTTTTCTATTGTTTTATAGAAGAAGGGACTCATGAAGGTAAAAGTGCCTAGGGCCATGAAAGTGTAATGCAGCCTTGCTGTCAGCCCTTGTTTCAAGAAAAGCTAGTGTTCCATGAGAAAAGCAGCTAGTTTAACTCACAGCTCAATTGCACACGTGCTTCTCCTCAAGATGACCATCCTAGTAGAAATGCTGTATGCGTACTTCCCATTTGGTCACGTGGAATATTTTAAAATGTGTTCCAAAGGGTCAGATTTAATAAAATTAATGCTTTTTACTGTTTCATCAGGACATTCTTAAGTTAAACTGGCTCTCTTTTTTTTTTTTTTTTTTTTTTTTTGGCTGTGAGTGCTTCATAATAAATAATAAAATGATGATGAGTATGGGATGATGCCATTGCTGATTTGTGGTAAGTCGCCAGCAGTTTTATCCACTACTGTTCTTGCACCATTTGTGCAAAGATCAACACAGGGAAAAGTCAAATAATGTCTTAATGTTAACATGAAAATAGTTGTGACTTTTTGTACCTCCAGGAAGGGTCTCAGTGACCTTCGGGGGACTGCAGACTACATTTTGAGAACTACTGCTTCACAATATCCACAAGCTTGGCCATCGTTAATTTAACCAACTCCTTATTTTTTCTTCTTTCAGGCTGTTTCCAACTCTATTATAAAGATGTTATGAATATTTTTAAAGATTGGCCAGGCGCAGTGGCCCACGCCTATTACCCCAGCACTCTGTCAGGCCAAGGTGGGCAAATCCCTTGAGGTCAGGAGTTTGAGACCAGCCTGGCTAACATGGTGAAACCCCATCTCTACTAAAAATACAAAAATTAGCTGGGCGTGGTATGCGGGCCTGTAACTGCATCTAGTCAGGAAGCTGAGGCAGTTAATGCCCTTGTTTAAGATAAGTACAGGTGAGTAGTTACCCTTAATGAGGAATAACAAAGGGGCCATGGGAAACCATCCTAGAGAGTTTGTAGGAAGGAAGAGGACTGTATTACCTCTTTTCATGCCTAGAGGCATCTCTGAATTTAAATATTTTTTCCCCTGAGGTTAGAACTGGATTGAAAATACAGGTTGAAGGATTTAGGATACCTGTAGAGCAGTGAAAATGTGCTCTGCAGACCACAATGGGGTCCCTGAGACCCTTTCAAGTGATCTGTGACCAAAACTATTTTCATAATAATATGAAAGCCTCATTTGCCTTTTTCACTGTGTTGACATCTGCACTGATGACACAAAAGCATTGTTGGGTAAATAGCTGGAGGCTTAGCATGAGTCAAGGCAGTGGCCCCAAACTGTACTAGCAGCCATAGAATTCTTCACCTCATCTCACACACACACACACACACACACACACACACACACACACACACACCACAGAAAGAGAGTGTTAGTTTCACTTAAGAACTGAGAATGTCCTTAATGAAACAAATTTTTTAAAATTTAAAAGCTTGTATCTGCTACCATGAACTTGACAGCTTCCCAATACTTTTCTGATGAGATTGGTGATAGTGTTAACTAATATGACTTTTTGATGTTGTATTTTAAAATCAGTCAACATTTGGAAAATCTGCATAAGTTAGCTAGCCAATATTTTTCAAATGACCCATGTAAGATGTCACAAAATTATGCATAGGTAAAAAGATCCATTCAAAGTGCAAGATAAACCGATGGATTTAATGTCACAGAGTATGAAAAGTTAGTGATGTTTTCAGATTCTACATAACTACTAACCTTTAAGAGCTGACCACTTGTTGAGTTTTAGTATAGAATCAGAGAACAATATCCACAATTATCTGAAAAGAGTACTGTAATATTCCTTCCTTAAAAAAAAAAGCAAAACGGCCAGGTGCGGTGGCTCACGCCTGTAATCCCAGCACTTTGGGAGGCCGAGGCGGGCGGATCACAAGGTCAGGAGATTGAGACCACCCTGGCTAACACGGTGAAACCCCGTCTGTACTAAAAAATACAAAAAATTAGCCGGGCGTGGTGGCGGGCGCTTGTAGTCCCAGCTACTAGGGAGGCTGAGGCGGGAGAATGGCGTGAACCCGGGAGGTGGAGCTTGCAGTGAGCCGAGATCGCGCCACTGCTCTCCAGCCTGGGCGACAGAGTGAGACTCTGTCCCAAAAAAAAAAAAAAAGCAAAACTTTTGCATGGAAAGAAAAACACCATTAAAAAGTCAAATGACAAAATGGAAGAAAACATTGGCAAAATATAGCACAGATAAAAACTATTGTCCTTGCCTTAGTCTTCTTGGGCTGCCATAACAAAATACCATAGATTGAGTGGCTTAAACAATAGGAACTAATTTTCTCACAGTTATGGAGGCTTGAAAGTCCAAGCTCAATGTTCCACCAGTGTTTGGTTTCTGGAAAGGGCTTTCTTCCTTTCTTCCTGGCTTGTGGACAACTGCTTCGTCCTCACATAGCATTTTTTGCATGGGTGTGTGGGGGTTTATTGGGGGGCTAGAAAGAGCATTCTTTGATGTCACTTCTTATAAAGACACTAATTGTATTGGATTAGGGCCCCATCCTTATGATCTCATTTAAACTTCGTTACCTCCTAAAGGCTCCATCTCCAATTACCATCACATTGGAGGTTAGAGCTTCAACATATGAATCTGGGGGAGACAGAATTTAGTTCATAGCACTCCCTAATATCTTCTGGCCAGGCAGAGTGGCTTATGCCTGTAATCTCAGCACTTTGGGAGGGCAGATAGCATGGACAGATAGCTTGAGCCCAGGATTTCAAGATCAGCCTGGGCAGCATGGTGAAACCCCATCTCTACAAAAAATACAAAAATTAACTGGGTGTGGTGGCATGTGCCTGTAGTCCCAGCTACTTGGAAGGCTGGGATGGGAGGATGCTTGAGCCAGGGAGCCTGAGGCTGCAGTGAGCTGAGATCATGCCACTGCACTCCAGCTTGGGCAACAGAGCCAGGCCCTGTCTCAAAAAACAAAAACAAAAACAAAAAAAACTTCTGAAAATTAATTAATATCTTATTGAAAGATATCCAGAAGATATGAACAACTAATACAAAGAGATATAAAAATGGTACTTAAAGTATGGAAAGATATTCAACTTCATACATAAAAGGAGTGCAAACAAAACCACACATAGAAACCATTTCTTACTTACCAGACTGGCAAAAGTTCAAAAGCTTGAACCTATACTGGCAAAGCTGTAGGAAACAGGCTGTCTCTCTAATACATGACTGGTAGAAATACAAACTGCTTCAAATCTATGGAGGGAAATTTGACAATATTTAATAAAAGTTATCTCTGCATTTACCCTTAACCAAGTAATTATGCTTTTAGAACTTATCCTGAAGATACATCACCAATGATACAAAAATACATATGTACAAGGTTATTTGTTGCCTCATTATTGGGAATTACAAAATATTGGCAGCTACTTAAATGTACAAGCATAGGAAATTAGTTGAATATGATATAATACATACAATGAATACTATATGCTGTAAAAAAGAACGGCGAAGATCTCTGTAAACTGATATGAAGTAAATTCCAAAAGATATTAAGTGAAAAAAGCAAAGTGCAAATGAGAGTATGTGACATTTTGTGTAAGAAAAAAGGGAAATTAAGAAAACATACATATATCTGCTTACAAATACAACTAGAAACACAGGAAGGATAAACTACAAAACAATGACAATAGTTACCTATAAGGAGTGAGGGGCAGAAAGAATAAGGAAGAAAGTGACACTTATCTGAGTATACTTTTTTGTATACTTTTGACTTTTAGAAATGTGTTAATGTTCTACATATTAAAAAACTAAAACGACACCTATAAAAAGGAGCAGGGAGAAAATTCCTAAAACATAAAGCAAATTAAAACCAATGAATCTAATTGTGTTTCATATGAATGTCATAATCCCACTAAAAGGGAGAAAAAGAAATAATCCAAGAAATTTATGACCACAGTATTTGATACTCTCAGTCTATGGTAGGGAAGAGGGACAGGGAGGAATTACAAACACATCCTGAGATTTTTTTTTTGAGTTTTTTTTTTTGTAGTGGCATGGGGAAATCCATTCTAAAATAATTTTGGATGTATTATAGGCTTTAGCAAATGAGTAAATGTGCTGATGTTATCGAGAGCCAGATTTCTCCCTGTGGAAGAAGAGACATACAACCACGGAATGGAGGAAGGCAAGAAAGTACCACATAGGGATGTACTGGAATCAGAAGTAATGATGTGAACTCATGATTTTTAAAATAAGTATATATAAATATGTGTGTGTATATGTGCACATATATGTACATACCTATGTATGTGTATGTATATGTATATGTGTATATACATGCATGCATTTCCTAGCTCTGTCTGCTGAAAGGGCCAAGAACGAAATACATCCCTGTAGCAATAAGCACATCTACTATTCAAATGATCTATTCTTGTGTAAATTTTGGTTAATTGTGTTTTTCTAGGAATTCATTCATTTCAACTGAGTTTTCAAATTTAATGACATTAAATTACTAATAATATTACATAATTCTTTTTTCACGTTCATTGATCTGTTGTTATAGGCCTTTCTTTTTTTAATTTCTGATACATTTTTTGTGTCTTTTCTATTTTTTTCTTCATCAGTTTTGCCATGGTTTATCCACTTTGTGAGTCTGTTCAAAGAACCAGCTTTATTGATCATCTTTATTGTGCTTGTTTCTTAATTCATCATTCTATTATTTTATTTATTACCTATTTCTTTCTACTTTGGAGGGGTTAATTTTTTAAACTTTTTAATTGAAGTATAATACACATGCAGAAAAGTGCACAAATTCTAAGCGTGTGTAGCTGCATGAGTTTTTCACAAGGTGAATATACCTGTGTAAATAGCACCTAGATCAAGAGACAGAATATTATCAGCATCCTAGAATCTCCTCCTCTGTACCCTCTTTCAGTTTCCAGCCCCTAAAATAGACATTATCCTGACGTTTAACACCACACATTCGTTTTGCTTGTTTTGAACTTTCCATAAATGGAGACATGCAATATGTACTCGTGTGTGTCTGGCTTCTTTTGCTTAACCTGTTATCTTTGGATTTCATTCATGTTGTTCTATGTAGCAGTAATTCACTCTTTTTGTTGTTAAATAATGTTTTATTGTTCTAGTCTCTATTTTTGATGAGGTCCAATTTATCAATTTTTCCTTTTATGGATTATTCTTTCAGTCATAGTAAGAATTATTTGCCTAGCCAAAGATTTTTCTCCTTTTTCTTTCTTTTACTTATTTATTTACTTATTTTTTTTGAGACAGGGTCTTCATCTGTAGCCCAGGCTGGAGTGCAGTGGCATGATCTCCACTCACTGCAACCTCTGCCTCCCGGGTTCAAGTGATTCTTGTGCCTCAAACTCCTATGTAGCTGGGACTACAGGTGCGTGCCACCACCCAGCTAATTTTTTTTTTTTTTGTATTTTTCATAGAGACGGGTTTCTCCATGTTGGCCAGGCGGGTTTCAAACTCCTGGCCTCAAGTGATACACCTGCCTCGACATCCTAAAGTGCTTGGATTATAGGTGTAAGCCACTACGCTCGGCCATACGTTTTACATTTAAGTTCAGAATCCATTTTAAATTACTTTCTGTATAAAGTACGAGGCTTAGAGCAAGATTTTTTCTTTCCTATTTTATTTTCTCCTGTGTATGTCTATTTGCTTGAGTACCGTTTGCAAAAAAGGCTGTCCTTCCTCCATTGCATTGGTTTTGCACCTTTGTCAAAAATGAGTTAGGCGTCCCTCTCCCTCTCCCTCTCCCTCTCCCTGCCTCTGCCTCTCCCTCTCCCCACGGTCTGCCTCTGCCTCTGCCTCTCCCTCTCCCCACGGTCTCCCTCTCCCTCTCTTTCCACGGTCTCCCTCTGATGCCGAGCCGAAGCTGGACTGTACTGCTGCCATCTCCGCTCACTGCAACCTCCCTGCCTGATTCTCCTGCCTCAGCCTGCCGAGTGCCTGCGATTGCAGGCGCGCGCCGCCACACCTGACTGGTTTTCGTATTTTTTTGGTGGAGACGGGGTTTCGCTGTGTTGGCCGGGCTGGTCTCCAGCTCCTAACCGCGAGTGATCTGCCAGCCACGGCCTCCCGAGGTGCCGGTATTGCGGACGGAGTCTCGTTCACTCAGTGCTCAATGTTGCCCAGGCTGGAGTGCAGTGGCGTGATCTCGGCTCGCTACAACCTCCACCTCCCAGCAGCCTACCTTGGCCTCCCAAAGTGCAGAGATTGCAGCCTCTGCCCGGCCGCCACCCCGTCTGGGAAGTGAGGAGCGTCTCTGCCTGGCCGCCCATCGTCTTGGACGTGAGGAGCCCCTCTGCCTGGCTACCCAGTCTGGAAAGTGCCCGGCCGCCATCCCATCTAGGAAGTGAGGAGCACCTCTTCCCGGCCGCCTTCCCATCTAGGAAGTGAGGAGCATCTCTGCCCGGCCGCCCATCGTCTGAGATGTGGGGAGCGCCTCTGCCCCGCCGCCCCGTCTGGGATGTGAGGAGCGCCTCTGCCCGGCCGCCCCGTCTGAGAAGTGAGGAGCCCCTCCGCCCGGCAGCCGCCCCGTGTAGGAAGTGAGGAGCGTCTCCACCCGGCAGCTGCCCCGTCCAGGAGGGAGGCGGTGGGCAGCCCCCGCCCGGCCAGCCGCCCCGTCCGGGAGGGAGGTGGGGGGCGCCTCTGCCCGGCCGCCCCTTCTGGGAAGTGAGGAGCCCCTCTGCCCGGCCGCCACCCCGTCTGGGAGGTGTACCCAACAGCTCATTGAGAACGGGCCATGATGACGATGGCAGTTTTGTCGAATAGAAAAGGGGGAAATGTGGGGAAAAGATAGAGAAATCAGATTGTTGCTGTGTCTGTGTAGAAAGAAGTAGACATAGGAGACTCCATTTTGTTCTGTATTAAGAAAAATTCTTCTGCCTTGGGATGCTGTTATCTATGACCTTACCCCCAACCCTGTGCTCTCTGAAACATGTGCTGTGTCCGCTCAGGGTTAAATGGATTAAGGGCAGTGCAGGATGTGCTTTGTTAAACAGATGCTTGAAGGCAGCATGCTCGTTGAGAGTCATCACCACTCCCTAATCTCAAGTACCCAGGGACACAAACACTGCGGAAGGCCGCAGGGTCCTCTGCCTAGGAAAACCAGAGACCTTTGTTCACTTGTTTATCTGCTGACCTTCCCTCCACTATTGTCCTATGACCCTGCCAAATCCCCCTCTGCGAGAAACACCCAAGAATGATCAATTAAAAAAAAAATGAGTTAGGCATATTGCTGTGGGTCTATTTCTGAGTTCTCTATTCTGTTCCAATGGCCCATGTGTCTGTCCCTCTGCCAATATCAGTCCATGTCTTCATTACTGGAGCTATGTATTAGGCCTTAATACCAGGAGAGTGGTTACTTCTGCTTTGTTCTTTTTTTGTCAAGATTGTCTTAGCTATTTTAGAACCTATGAGTTTCTATATATTAAAATAAGCTTGTCTATATCTGCAAAAAACCCTTGGGATTTTGATAGAAATTTCATTAAACCTATAGATCAGTTTTGGAGAAATGGACATCTTTACTATGTTGGGTCTTCTGATCCATGGACACAGTATATCTCCCCATTTATTTAGGCATTCTTTGGTTCTTTTATCAGTTAATTGTTTTTTGATAAATAGAAATTTCTAGATTTAATGTAGTCCATCCAATTTATTAGGTTTTTTTTATGATTAACACATTTTGTGTGCTGTTTAAGAAATCTTTGCCTACCCTCTATCAGTCATCAACCTTTGAGTAAGATGAGTAGGTCATGGCAACCCAACATTCTTACTGTGACAACATTTCACTGTGACATTTTTACTGTGTAAAAAGTTGTGTACTTTAAAAAAAGGCATCAAAGGGCTCTGGAAGCAACAAGTACAATATGAATTTAAATTGCAGAGGGGGTGAACTGATGATTACTAGCAGCTTCCTTCCCTAGGGGCCTTTTCCGATTATAGGCTCAGACTGAAGTTTGGATCTAACTCATGCAGAGAGACTGTATGGAAGGAATAGAACCCAGCAAGGCTTTTGGTGGCTGCACAGGATTCATATGACAGATTGGAGACTTGCAGAGCCCCCAGACATGTTTGCATTTCCCATAGAACACTTGATAAGTTCTGAGGCTTGTGTGTAGGAGGCTGAGAAGTCCGGCAGAGTGTTTCTAACAGGCAAAATACAATTTCCTGTAGTTTGGTGCTCAAGAGACAAAGTCCTGCTAGAGGAAGAGATCCTGTCTCAAAAACCCACCCAGTCTAAAAAGGCTTCACGACATTTGTCAGATTTTGCAGTTGTATGGAGCATGAGGATACAAAATTAAACTCAACACTTTCAAAGAGCTGAAATGAATTTCCCACAGTCTTTCAAGGGTAAGAGAACAGAGACCCTCTAGATCTCAGTGAAAAAAATAGGCAAAACTTACTTATTTTGACAGTCATAATAGTGATTTTTTTGGGTGTAACTGGAAGGGATCATGAAGGATCTTGTTGGGTATATGAAAACTGTCATCAATTTTTTAAGACTTGTGTACTTTACTGTATATAAGTTATAGCTCAATTAAAAAATAAAAACACTTCTAAAAAGAAAGCAGAAAAACGTATCTTTCACACTTTGCAATCCATCTGGAATACAAAAATATGATATAAGATATCATTTTATCTAATTTTTCCAGCACCAGTTAATGAATAATTATACTTTCCCCGTTGCACCGTAGTGTCATTGATCAAGTGACAGTGGATTTGTTTCTGGACTCTCTACTTGTCTTAGTTTGCCTGGACCATCATAACAAAACATAAACTAGGTGGCTTAAACAACAGAAATTTATTTCTCACACTTCTGGAGACTGGGAAATGCAAGATCAAGATGTCGGCTTATTCAATTTCTGTTGAGGGCTCTCTGGCTTGAAGTAAAATTGTTCAGATACTCTCTTACCCTTTTAATACAGCATTTGTAGTGCTGTCTTCCTTGTTGTTACTGGTACTGATAACCTGGGATTTCTCTCTTTTGTCTCAATTGATATTTCTAAGGGTTTATCAGTTTTTCAAAGAACCTACTTTTGGCTTTATTTAATTTCTCTATTAAAGTTTTTCTACTTAATTAAATTTCAGCTCCTCTTTCCTTCTTTCTACTTTCATTGGATTTAACACACTGTTCTTTTTACATCTTATTAAGATACAAGCTTAGGTAATTGATCTTTTTTACTTTCTAATATATGTAGTTAGAATTATAAATTTTTATCTGATTTTGTTGTATTCTATAAGTTTTGATACATAGCATCTTCATTATTATTAAGTTCATAATATTTTCTCGTTCAGCTGTAATTTCTTCTTTAAACTATATATTATTTTTGAAGTACATGTTTGATTTTTAGACCTGTGGATTTTGCTATTTACTTCTAGCTTAATTTAGTTGTACTCAGAGATTATACTATGGATGCTTGTAAACACTGGAATATTGTTGAGCCTCTTTTTGCTTCAACTCATGGACCTATTTTGTCACAAATTTTATGTGCACTTGAAAATAATGTAAATTCTATCATTGTTGGCTGCAATGATTTATATATGTCAATTAGCTCTAGCTTTTTTAAATTGTGTTTTTCAAACTTTGAATGTCCATACTGACTTTTTTGGTCTAGTTATTCTATCAGGTTTTGAGAATAGTGTGTTAAAGTCTTCCATTGTGACTGTAGGCTTGTCTATTTCTCTTTGGGTTCTGTCAGTTTTGCTTTAATATATATTGAAACCGTATTTTACACTGGGTTCTGTCAGTTTTGGTTTTATATATACTGAAATCATATTATTAATTATATACTGGGTTCTGTCAGTTTTGGTTTTATATATACTGAAATCATATTATTAATTATATACTGCTATATGTAATATATGTGTGTGGCATACTCCTAGTGAATTGATCTTCTTATCATTATGAAATTTTCCTTTTTTGTTTTGATAACGTTTCTTGAAATTGATTTGGTCTGATGTCGGCATTGCTATATCAGCTTTCTTTTAGGGTTTGTATGGTCTATTTTTTCAGTCATTTGTTTTAAAACTTTTTGTGTCCTCATATTTAAAGTTTGTCTGTTGCAGTTGGATTAATATCGCCATCTTACCATTTGATTTTTAATTGACCCACCTGTTTTATTTGTTATTTATTTATTTAGAGACAGAGTTTCACTCTTGTTGCCCAGACTGGAGTGCAATGGCACGATCTCAGCTCACTGCAACCTTCGCCTTCCAGGTTCAAGTGATTCTCCTGCCTCAGCCTCCCGAGTAGCTGGGATTACAGGCATGTGCCACCACACCCGGCTAATTTTGTATTTTTAGTAGAGACAGGGTTTCACCACGTTGGGCAGGCTGGTCTCAAACTCCTGACCTTAGGTGATCTGCTTGCCTCGGCCTCCCAAAGTGCTGGGATTACAGGCGTGAGCCACCAAACCCAGCCAACCCACCTGTTTTATATTCCTTTTTCTCATTTCTTGTCTCCTTTTGGATTAATAAAATATTTTTAATATTCCAGTTCTTTTGATTAATTTGTTGTTTTACAATATGTTACTATTCTTATAGTAGTTGCCTTAGATATTACAAGTTGCATCCTTAACAGTTACCAAAAAATAGTAATTTCAACACTTCAGAATATTTACAATAAGTATTTAGAAATATTTTAACTTCATTATTCTCCCAACTTTTGCATTGTTTTCGTGAATCCTAAATCTACATATATTTTAAATTCCATAAGACATTACTTAGGACTATATTGTGCAATTATATAAATTTATGTTTATCCACATATTTATACTTTTTAGTGCTCTTTATTCCCCCTTGTGTATGCATGTCTTTATGTGAATCATTTTTCTTTTTCCTGGAAAATTTACAATTAGTGTTTCCTTAAATAAAGGCTTGCACACAAATAATTCTCCTAGTTTTTGTTTGTCTGAAACTTCTTTATTTCACTTTTGTTAACAAGAAATTTATTATGGAAAAATTTAAACTTATACAAAATGAGGAGAACATAACTAACTCACATGTATTCATCTCCTAGCTACAACAATTCTCAAATTATGCAATTCTTGCATCTCTATACTCCAACAGCTCCTCCACTTGATGATGTTGATGATGATGACTTTTAGCAGTTCTTTTATTTTAAGGTAGAATGTACATACATGAAAGTGCAGACATTTCAGCTGTATACTTTTGACAAATGGATGCACCACTTAATGCCTCCTGTGTCATGATACAGAACATTTTCGTTACCTCAAAAAGTTCCCTTGAGTACCTTGTCAGTTAATCCCCACGCCCAGAGGCAATTACTGTTTTAATGTTTTTTGCCTCAGATTGGTTTTTCCTGTTTCAGAACTTCAAATATATGGAATTATACTGTATGTTTCTTTTGCGCTCAGTTGGTTTTGTCCAGCATAATGTTTAGGTCAATCCATGTTGCTGTGTATATTAATAATTCATTTATTTTTATTCTTGAATAGTATTACATTGTATAAACATACCATGATTTGTTTATCCATTCTCCTGTTGATGGATATTAGTTTTTTGTTTTTTTTCAAATTTTTTATTATTGTGAATAAAAATGAGATGAACATTCTTGTACCAGTTGGTTTGCGGACATATGTTGTTATATCTCTTGTATACATGACTGAATTGGAATTGCTGGGTCAAAGTATAAATGCATATTTAACTTAATAAGAAATTATTAAAGGCAAACAGAATGGAATAATGAACATCGAAGACTCAGAAGCAGGGAGGTTGGGAGTGGGGGTGAGAGATGAAAAACTGCTTGTTAGGTACAATGTACACTACTCAGGTGAAAGGCGCACTAAAATCCCAGACTTCACCACTATACAATTCATCCATTTGCATATTTTGTTTATACATCCATTTTGTTTATACAAAAACCATTTGTACCCTTAAGGGTATTTAAGTTAAAAATTAAATTAAAATTTAAAAATTAATTTAAAAAAGAAAAATTGCCAAAGAGTTTTCTCAGAATGGTTGTACTATTTAATGTTCCTACTAACAACATAAGAGTTTGGGTCACTCCACATCCTTGCCACTTTCCTGATGCTCTATAATATTGCGCACTTTTTCATGGGCTTATTGGCTATTTGAATACTGTCTTTTGTGAAGTATCTGTCAGGTTTTTTGCTCATTTTTATGACTTTTTTGTCATTTATATTATTTAGTTGTAGGAGTTTTTATGCATTCTGTATACAAGTGCTTTCTCTGTTATGTATCTTGCAAATAATTTCTTCCAGTCTGTGGTTTGCCTATTTCTTTTCTTTTTCTTTATTATGCTTTAAGTTCTAGAGTACATGTGCACAATGTGCAGGTTTGTTACATATGTATACATGTGCCACATTGGTTTGCTGCACCCATTAACTCATCATTTACATTAGGTATTTCTCCTAATGCTATCCCTCCCCCATCCCCCCCAGCCCCAAAACAGGCCCTGGTGTGTGATGTTCCCCGCCCTGTGTCCAGTTCCCACCTATGAGTGAGAACATGTGGTCTTTGGTTTTCTGTCCTTGCAATAGTTTGCTCAGAATGATGGTTTCCAGCTTCATCCATGTCCCTACAAAGGACATGAACTCATCCTTTTTTATGGCTGCATAGTATTCCATGGTGTATATGTGCCACATTTTCTTAATCCAGTCTATCATTGATGGACATTTGGGTTGGTTCCAAGTCTTTGCTATTGTGAATAGTGCCACAATAAACATACATGTGCATGTGTCTTTATAGTAGCATGATATATATTCCTTTGGGTATATACACCCAGTAATGGGATGGCTGGGTCAAATGGTATTTCTAGTTCTAGATCCCTGAGGAATAGCCACACTGACTTCCACAATGGTTGAACTAGTTTACACTCTCACTAACAGCGTAAAACATTCCTATTTCTCTACATCCTCTCCAGCACCTGTTGTTTCCTGATGTTTTAATGATCACCATTCAAACTGGTGTGAGATGGTATCTCATTGTGGTTTTGATTTGCATCTCTCTGATGACCAGTGATGATGAGCATTTTTTCATGTGTCTGTTGGCTGCATAAATATCTTCTTTTGAGAAGTGTCTGTTCATATCCTTTGCCCACTTTTTGATGGGGTTGTTTGATTTTTTTCTTGTAAATTTATTTGAGTTCTTTGTAGATTCTGGATATTAGCCCTTTGGCAGATGGGTAGATTGCAAAAATTTTCTCCCATTCTGTATGTTGCCTGTTCACTCTGATGGTAGTTTCTTTTGCTGTGCAGAAGCTCTTTAGCTTAATTAGATCCCATTTGTCTATTTTGGCTTCTGTTGCCATTGCTTTTGGTGTTTTAGTCATGAAGTCCTTGCCCATGCCTATGTCCTGAATGATATTGCTGGTATCTTTTAATAAACATAAGATTTTAGTTTTGATAAATTCAATTTTCATCAATAAATTTCTTTCTTATTATGTGTCTCTGGTTTTATCCAAGAAATCTTTGCCTAGCCCTAGGTGATAGATTTTTATATGTATTTACACTTTTAGCTTTTACATTTTGGTTTATGATCCATCTTAAATTAAATCTTGTACAAAGTGTGAGGTTAGGAAGTCAAGCTTCATTTTATTTCAGATGGATTTACAGTTGCTTCAGCACCATTTGATAGCATGACTTCTCTTTTCCCATTGGCTTGATGTGACACCTTTATTGAAAACAAATTAACTATATAAATGCCATTCTATTTCTAGGCTGTCTATTCAGTTCCATTGCTCTTTTTGTCTATCCTTTTACTAACACTAAACTTTGTTGATTGCTATAACTTTTTACTAAATCTTGAAGTTAAATAATACAAGTGCTTCCGTTTTGTTCATCTTTTCTGGATTATTTTAGTTATTTTAGGTCCTTTGCATTTCATATACATTTAAAAGTCAGCAGTTAATTTTTATTTTTTTAAATAGCCCACTATTATGACTAAGACTGTGTTGAATCTATAGACTAATTTAAGGAGACTTAATAACTTAACAAAATTGAATTGGCCAATCTATGAACATGGAATATCCATCTACCATATTATTTAGGTCTTTTATTTCTTGGTGCAGTGTTTTGTGGTTTTCAGAGTAAAGATTTTGCACAGCTTTTGTTAAGTGTACTTCTATGCATTTTAAGTTTTTGGTGCTATTTTAATGCAATTGATTTTCATTTTTGTAATTATTTGTTTCTAATATGTAGAAATGCTATTGAATATTATATATTAACCTTTTATACTAAAACTTTGCTAAACTTATTTATCATATTTAGGGATTTTATTGTTGGTGTTAATTTCTTAGATTTTTCTAGGTTAAAAAATATTGTCTGAGAATAGAAGCAGTTTTATTTCTTTCTAGTGTGAATACAATTTATTTCTTTTGCTTGTTTTAATTCACTGGCTAGGTCCTCTAATATAACATTGAATAAAACTGGTGATAGAAGCCAGTTTTGCCTTTTCATAATAGAGGGAAAATGTTTAGTATGATGTTAGCTGTAGGTTTTATGTAGATGTTCTTTAGCAAATGGAGGAAATTCCCTTCTCTTTCAAATTTTCTGAGAATTTTTATAATGGCAATGAAATTTGTCATATGCTTTTTCTGCAGTGCTATCATCATATGATTTTACTCATTTATTCTGTTAGTATGGTGGAATTTATTAACTAATTGTTAAATGTGAAATCAACCTTATATTCCTGAAAGAAACCTTACTTTGCCATGACATACTACCCATTTTATATGTTGCTGGATTTGATTTACCTATATCATGTTGAGGGTTTTTTTCCATATCAATTATTATGAGAGATGTTGATTTATAATTGTATTTTATTCTTTGATAATATTTTGGTTTGGTTTTGTTATCAAAATTATTCTGGTCTTATGAGTTGGAAAGTGTTTCTTCTTTCTCTATTTTCTGAAAGGGTTTATGTGGGATTTGCATTAAGTCTTCCTTAAATGTTTGATAGAATTCACCAGTGAAATCATCTCGTTCTAGAGAGATGTGTGTGTTTATAGAGGGGTTTGATAAGAAATTCAATTTCTTTGACAGTTTTAGAGTAGTAAGATTTTAAATTTTGTCTTCTGTCAGTTTCTTAAATCATTTTTTAAGCTGTAGAAAAATAAGCATAACATAAAATTTACCATTTGAATAATTTTAAGTGAAAATTTTAGTGGCCTAAGATGTTTACATTGTTGTGCAACCATCACCACCATCTTATTGCCAGAACTTTTTCATCTTCCCAAACTGAAACTCCGAACCCATTAAACAATAACTCCCACTCTCTTCTCCCCCCAAGCCCTTGACAACTACCATTCTATTTTTTGTCTCTATGAAAATTTGCGTACAGGGTGTTTTTAAAAATATATCTTAATTTCATCTAAGTTATCAAATTTGTTTGCATAAAGTTATTCATAATATTCTTTTTTTGCCTTTGAATAACATTATTATTCAAAAAAATAGAGAATAACATTCTCTTTTTTTCCCCTTTGAGTAAGAAGTATAGTAATATTACCTCTTTCATTCCTGGTATTGGTAATTGTGCTTTCTCCTCTTTTTTCTTCATTTGTCTTGCTAAAGATTTATCAATTTTATAGATTTTTTTTCAAAGATACCACTTTTGGCTTTGTTAATTTTCTCTACTCATTGTTTTCAATTCCACTGATCTTTTGTTCTTATCTTTATTGTCTCCTTTCTACATACTTTGGGTTTTATTTGCTTTGTCTTTTTTCTAAGTTTTCTAAGGTAAAGACTTAGATCGCTTATTTTAAGTTCTTTTTCCTTTTTTTAATACAAGCAATAAAAGTGTCCTCTCCTTCTGGGAATCCAATTGCATGTCATATGTGTGTTAAACCAGTAAACCACTTGATATTTGGCCACAATGTCTCTGAATTTCTGTTCATTTTCTTCATTCTTTCATCTCTCTTTTCTTTAGATTGGATAACCTCTCTTGCTGTGACTTGAATTTCGATGACTCTCATTTCTGTCATTTCCAATCTGCTGTCAAGCTCATCCAGTGAATTTTTTCATTTTTGTTATTGTACTATCCAGATCCAAAATATTCATTTGGCTTAAAACAATTTTTTTCTCTATTGAGATTCTCCATTAATGTGTCCATCATTTTCTTTAAATACTTACATTTATTTATGATGGTTATTTAAAGACTTTATTATTTGCAACATCTGAGTTTCCATAAACTGATATTCTTCTTCAATGTAGGTCATATTTGTATGTTTCTTCACAGTTCTGTTTATTTTTGATTGAATAGTGAACAACATGAGTAGTGTTTTGTAGATTCTGAATTCTGTTATGTTTCTCTGAATAATTTTTATTCTAGGAAATGGTTAACTTTGAGTCCTTTAAGTTAACTTTTCAAACTGTTTCTCTTTTATGCTGGGCAGCAACTGGAATCTCTGTTTACTTATTTCAAGATTCCAGCTGTTGCTTTTTTTCTTTGAGTCTTCTAAATTTACTATTCATCTGTTACAGTTCATTTTTCAGGGGTGGGATTACATCTAATTTCTGTCTGGTTTATTCAATTTTCAATACCCTCAAATAATTATGTTTTAAAATCTGTCTGTGTTTAAAAGGTTGTTATCTGCAAAAGTGTTAGTCTCACCAGAAGCCAGAACTCCTCATATTTATTTTTCAAGAATATTTTCACTGAATGCAGTATTCTTGGTTGACAATTATTTTATTTTAAAACTTCATTTTTTTTTTTTGAGATGGGGTCTTGCTATGTTGACCAAGCTGGCCTTGAACTCCTGGGCTCAAGCCATACTTCTGCCTCAGCCTCCCAAGTAGCTGAAACTACAGGTACATGCCAACATGCCTGGCTTCTTTTAGCACTTCAAATAAACATTATTTCATTGGATTTGGGTTTTCATTTCTGGTAATAATTTCTCTCTCCATCTTACTGAGATTTTTTAGGGTGGTGTGTCCATTTTCTATATCTACTTTCATGATTTCTCTTAGTCTTCATTTTCAGTGGTTTTATGGTAATGTGCTTAGGTGTGGTTTTCTTTGCATTTATCTTGTCTGAGTTTTACTAGGTTTCTTGAGTCTGCGGTTTGATGCCTTTCCTAAGGCTTGTAAAATAATTAGCCATAATTTTTTTCTAATAGTGCTTCTGCCTCATTTTTTCTCTCCTCTTTTGTTAATTTCAGTTACACAAGTTAAGCTTTTGGGCTGTATTCTTTAGGTTGCTTACACTTGGTCCTGGTTCCCCCGTCCCCCCAACCCCCATTCTTTTTTTCTCTGTGATTCAGCTTGGATATTTTCTATTAATCTATCTTCAAGTTTATTGATCCTGTCTTCTGCTTTCTTACTTTGGGTTCCTTTAGAAGTGGACCCTGATTTTGAATTTGAGAACAAATTGTTCATGTAAAATATGATCCCAGAAAACACTGGTAATGGAATGGAAAAGTGAGACAGGAGAGCAAATACAGTTAACTAAGGGTTCATTATCAAGCAAGTTCTCACTGTAAGTAACTGGAGTTTTCTCTTGCTTGGGAATGCTCAGCATCCATGTAGAATACATGCTAAGAGTTTGCCTATCTGACAGATGAAGGTGTGGAGATATTTACTAATTAACTCTCATTAGTCATTGATTGAAGGCTGCTCCCAGGAAACATTGATTATCTGACTCTTCTGTGTGCATGTGTAGAGTGGGCTTCAGCATCCAGAATAAAGCCATCAAACTGCTGGAAGTCAGGTCACTGTGTACTACAATGATATGGCCCAAAGGAATCTGATCAGGTCACTGATAACATTTACTACAATTTACCCATTATACCACTCAGTTATACTTACGGCACAAATTAAGTTCAATGCATTTTACTTCTGGTTTGTCCCTGTTCAAGGTTGCGGCTCTCCAGAATTGAGACACGGATGTGTCAATTTTTTTTTTCTCATCCCCTAAAGACTATGGGAACTTTTCGCTCTGCTTTTCAGAGGTTTTTGGCTTAAATTTTTAGCCTCCTACCTTGAGCACTTTCAGAATTTTGCAGTCATTCTGAAAAGGAAAACAATGTAGTTGAGGCTCTCCAACTACCTCAGGCTGGTTTCTCAGTTCTACGGCAGCAGGCTTCTGCCAGGTGCCAAGACTGGATTCTTGGCCTCCAGGTATGCCCAGTTGCCAGGAAAGGGAGTGGGAGATTGTCAGTGTCAATTATTATCATTCCTAGGGCTCCTCATTGCTCACTCCCCAGGCAGATTTTTGTCTACCAAGCATATTAAGACTGTGGAAAATTCTCAGCTTTCTGAGATTTGGGATTAATTATTTAGCCTCCTGACCTGTAAAGTTTGAGATTTCAGCTAAGGTCTTGGAAAGGAAACCCGCCATGTGTCTGAAGCCCCTCAAGTCTCCAATTGTATAATTCTAGTCTCATGTGACTTTCTAAAACTCTGCACCTAGGAGACTCCTGTGACAGGTCCCACCCCAGATTCTCAATCTGTGGCCTGTGCCCAGGATCTACTAATACCCCAAAGATAGATATCTTCAGCTTGACCCTGAAAGGTTCTCCTTTCAGTGGAATTTATTTCCTCTAATCCATCATTTCTATAATTCTGATACTTTTGAATACATAATTTTTATAAGTTGTCTGATTTTTCTAGGTCATTTTAGCAGGAGCGTTGCCTTTCCACTATCTACTTTGAAATTTAAAAAGTGGAACTCTTTGAGTTTAATTTGCTGTCATAATTTTAACTTCCTAGGGATAGATGCTCATTCCTCTTTTCCCTTATATGAATCCTAGGGTATACATTTCTCTCTAAGTCTGGGTTTACTGTATCCCATAGGTTTTAGTATGTTGTATTTTTATTGTTATTCAGTTAGTTTCTTCTTTCCACTGTGATTTCTTCTTTGACCCATGATTTACTTAGAAGTATATTGCTTAATTTCCAAATATTTGAGGATTTTCTAGTAACTTTGTTATTTATTTCTAGCTTAATGCCACTGTGGGTAGAGAATATCTTCTGTGTGATTCCAGTTTTTTGAAATCTGTTTAAATTTGCTTTGCGGCTTAATGTATGTTCAATATTGGCAAATTTTCATGTGCAGTTAAAAAGAATGTATATTTATTCTTTCACTGCTGGGAGGTCATACTCTAGATATGTTGATTAGATCAACTTTTTAATCATATTGTTCAAATCTTCTAAATGCTTGCTTATTATTTTCTGCTTGTTTTATCAATTACTGAGAGAAATGTATTTAAATCTTCGCCCATTTAATTGTAGATTTGTCTTTCCTTTTAGTTTTGTGAATTTTGCTTTTTATATTTTGAACCTATGAAGTGCATACAAATTGGGAATTGTTGTATATTTGTGGTAGATTGATCCTTTAAACATACATTACTCCTTTTTATCTCTAGTAATGCTTTGTTTTAAAGTCCCCTTAGCTACATCAACCTTTTAAAAATTAATGTTTGAATTAAATTTTTTTTACCCAGTTATTTTAAAGTAATTCTGTATCCTTATATTTAAGTATATATTTAAAGCAGGTTTTGGTTGTCAGTGCTATTGTATCTAATCTAATTACACTTTTATTTTGAGCACTTTCTTCATTTATGCTTAATTTTATAACGTATTTGGGTTTCAGCATTATAACTTACTCTTTATTTTCTACTTGTTTCACCTCTTTTAAGCTCGACTTCCTTTCTTACTCCTTTTTGTATTATTTTTATATTATATTATTATAGCTTTCTTCTTTATTAGTCATTAGTTACATTCTACTGGTGATGAACCTAGAGATTACAGTATGCATTTTTGATTTATTAAAATCTAATATAAATGAATATTTTTACAATTTTCCAGACAATGCAAGGATTTTAGAACATCCTAGCTCCATTTATTCCCTTTGTGTGCTATTATTGTTGCATATTTTAATTACATGCATAATTGTATATGCTTATATTTATTAAGATTTAATATGTAAATAATTTAATTAATAATTTATAATTAAATCATATTATAACAAATAACACATGTATTATGATTTAATATATAAATCATAATACATGTGTTATTTGTTATAATATGATTTAATTATAAATAATATCAAACATATTTATAATCCCCCCAAGACGTTATTATTGATGTTTTCAACAGTGAAAATTTATTTGGATTTACCTGTTTATCTTATTTTTAAATCAAAGTTTTATTTTAAATAGTTTTGAACTTACAGAAAAGTTGAAAAGATAGTACAGAGAGTTCCATGTATATTGGACCCAACTTCCCCCATGGTTAAAAATTTACATTATTATGGCACATTTGTAACAACTAAGAAAACAGCATTGGTGCATAACTCTTAACTAACCTCCGTACTTTCTTTGGATTTCATTAGTTTTCCCTAATGCTCTTTTTCTGCCATATCATATTCAGCCTTTGTGTCTCCTTAGGCTTCTTTGGTCTGTGACAATCTCTGACTTTCTTTGTTTCTCCAAATTCTCAGACCTTGAGAGTTTTGAGGAGTACTGGTGGTTTGTAGAATGTCCCTCAGTTTGGGTTTATCTGATGTTTTTCTCATGGTTGGGGGAAGAAGACCAGAGGTGAAGTGCCAGTCTTATCACATCATATCAAGGTACACGCCATCAACATGACTCATCACTGATTATCCCAGGGCTGAGATAGTGCTGGCGAGGTTTCTCCTCCATAAAGCGAGTGTTTTCCGCCTCTTTGTACTCTATTTTTAGGAAGCAACTCAATGAGCATGGCTTACATTTGAAAGTGGAGAGGAGAGTGAAGTCCACCTCCTGGAGCAGGGAGTAGCTACATAAATTATTTGGAATTCCTTGATTTATTTATTCAATAATTTGTATCAGTATGGCTTCATGGATATGTATTTTACACTTGGGGTTATAATCCAATACTGTAATTTCATGTTGCTGAAATTGTTCCAGATTTAGCTGTTGAGAGCTCTTGCGGGTTGGCTCTTGAGTCATGTCCCTATGGTTTTGCTTTTTTTGAGCACTTCCTTATTTTCTGGTACTACAGGATGAGCTTCAGGCCCAGCCTTAGAATCAGCCATTTCTCCAAAGATCCCTGCGTGCTTTTACCAGAAACCAAGATTAGGGCACTGGGCATCCTCACTGTTGCTAGAACATCATCGCTCCTAGGCCCTCTCAGTAGACAGAGCTAGGAAGTATATGTACATATGTAATAACCCACATATATATTTATATACATACATGTCTGCAATTATTTCTGTCTCTCTCCATCTGTATCTATTTTAAGCTACTCATGAGTTCATACTGCTGTCTGCACTAATCTACAACCACATGCTTCATTCCAGCCTTCCCCACATGCGTCTCTGCAACCTCTAGCTCTAACAGTGGGAAACCTGGCTTCCACCCCCTCTCTCTGTTTCATTTACTCATTTGTTCATTCCCATCATATATGTGCAGCAGGTTCAGAATTGTTAACCTATATCCCTGTGAGGAACAGCTTCACTAGTAAAGTTTCTTATTTCTGCGCAGTTCCTTTTGTCATTAATCTTGCAGTTTCCAATCAAAACACCATTTTCCAAACATTTTGATATTTCTTTGTCATAAATATTTTGCATTAATTTTGATTTTTAAAATATTGCAATTATAGATTATTTATGACAAGTATTAAGTTTTTTTTGAGCCCCCTTGCATTTTGCACCCAGAGGGAGTCCCTCACTGGACTTTATCTTAGTCTTGCCTTTCCAGGGGCAGATCTCCATAATCCAATCAGAGATTGAAATGATTTAATATTGGAAGCTAGATTTGGCTAGAGTTGGTCTAGTTCTGGTCCACTCGTTGTATCAAATACCTCTTACATTCTTTCTCAGATCCTATGAGTTTCGCCTGTCTTTAGGGCTATTGGTTACCTGTTCAGCCCTGGCCAACACAAGGGTTACTGACTCTGAAAAAGGCATTCAAGTCAGCATTATTCTAACACATGAGTCTGCTGTGAAGTGTCTCTGGCTTCCCCTACAGCTTTTACACCCAGATGTAAAGGGTGTGGGATATGTCTGTCTTGGCACTGCTAAAGGGATTGGCGTATAATATGGAAATGTAGGAGTTAACCCTCTATGGAGTGAACTTTTACTCTAGGGGACAAGAGATGCAAGGCACTGGCAGGAAAATTCTCAACCTGCATACCCTTGGAAGGACTGTTCAGAGACACATAGCATTTCCCATGAAATGGAGCAGTCAGCTGTGATTGTTGTAAAGCTCAGTGATCCACTTCCTTATATATGTTCATCCTACTCTGCTTCACTCACCTTTCTTCCTCACTCCAGCTTCCCTGCAATTGTATTTCCTAGGAAGCATGCAAGCTTTTTCTTTGGGCTCTGCATTCTAGGAAACCTGGGCCAAGATTCTCTTATTCCTATGCTGTAGATATTCGAGATCCCAGCTTAAAACCTGAGCTGCTTATCATAGCCTCTCCTGATTGGCAAATCTTGAATTCTAATTTTTGTACCTGCACCCAGGTGAGAGATGGCCAAAAGTTCTTCTCAGCTTCTCAGCTGGACCTTTCTGACCAGCTTTTCAACCAAAAAGTTTGAAATGGCAAATATCCCAAGGAGAAGGACTGCTGAAAATTGGGCTTCCTTGGCTGGGCGTGGTGGCTCACGCCTATAATCCCAGCACTTTGGGAGGCCAAGACCAGGAGTTCAAGACCAGCCTGGCTAACATGGTGAAACCCCATCTCTACTAAAAATAAGAAAACTAGCAGGGCATGGTGGTGGGCACCTGTAATCTCAACTACTCAGGAGGCTGAGGCAGGAGAATCGCTTGAACCCGGGAGGTGGAAGTTGCAGTGAGCTGAGATTACGCCATTGCACTCCAGCCTGGGCAACAAGAGTGAAACTCTGTCTTAAGAGAAAAAAAAAGAAAGAAAGAAAGAAGGAAAGAAAGAAAGAAGAGAAAATTGGGCTTCCTTCTCCCCTAGATCTTGCTTCTGGAGGTCTGTCATTACTCTTCAATGCCATCACACAGATTAAATGACATATTTTTGTCCTTTTCTAGTTATTTTCAGCTAAAGGCTTGGCCTGGAAAAAAGCTAGCTCCCCATTCTAGGAAGCAGAACTCTCAACCCTTGGTTTTAACAGGAAACCACAGGGTAATGCTGGAGAAACTGCTGTTTTCTTGTAGACTCTTGCAGGCCCCAGACCCAACAGAGAACAAAATGGGGCCTGTCCCGTTGTGTGCCTGTCTTCTTCTTTCTGTTTTTTCTCAGTGTCTTCATTTTCTAACAGCTCTACGTGTTTGGATGTTTTGGTAGGTGGTAGCTTGAGCACATTTTTTCCTTGCCTTATGCAAGCAGGTCTTTCAGCTGGAGAATTTTTATACGTGTTGGAAAAATATGGGCAGAGTTAGTTGTGAGGACAATTGCAAAGGAGATGGAAGCTGGGGGGTAGGTGTGAAAGGAGCTTTCTGTGCTGTCTCCCATCCTATTGTTCGGGAACCTGTCCACAATTCTAGTGTCTGCCTCTGGCCCCTTTCTATAAATGTTGACTCCATTTCTCACTGTCATGAGGATTCAGGTATTATGTGCACCAGCTATTACATAGTATCGCCCTCTGGTGGTACAGAACTGTTAGCCCCTGTATTAAAGGGGTCCAGAACGTTGCTATTACATGCTCTTTGTCAACAAGGGAGGAGACAGAACAATAGTTTTTTAAAAAGGACTACCAAATCTCACATTTTATAAGAATGAATCTTTCTCCATTGATCTGCTGCCCTAATGACCTGGGAAAGAGGTGAATTGCCCTTGTTAAAACTGTTTCTGATTTATGAGTCAATAGGTAACAGGCAAGAGGCCACTGTAGCTTCTCAGATTTTTAAAAATACTTTGGGGCTGACTTTAGGTTGAGAAGATTATTTGCCTAATTTTAGAATGGCTCTTGTATTATTCAGAGTAGGCCAACTGCTGCCACAAATAAGTTATGCATTTCGATGCTTTGCAAAATAAAGTTTATGTCTTGCTCATGCAGTGACCCATCATAGGTCTTCCTGGTTAGGTAACTCTCCTATGTTGCTCTCCTCCATGTGATGTCATAGGGACACAAGCTCCTCCTAGCTAATGGCTCCACTCTTCTTAAGGCTTCAGAGAATTTTCTATTTACTCAGTAGATTGAAAAAGGCAATCAGGGGTTGTACAAGGGAGTGTTTATGGGCCAGACTTGGAATTTGCATCCATCACGTCTGCCCACTTTGGGCATTCTATTGGCCAGAATTCAGTCTTATGGTTGTGCCTACGTGAAGGGGAGGCTGGGAAGTGTAGTCTAGCTGGTTGCCCAGGAGGAAGATGTAGTTTGTAAACAACTATTAAGTCTCTGCCACAGGTGTCATTTGTGTGGGTGCATTTCTGCCTCGTGAAGTAAAGTAAAAGGAATGTCTCAGCTTCTGTCAGAGCCCTTGAACCTTCTTGGCCTTTTCATCTCCAAGTCTACTTAATTCTGGAGTTGACAGCAGCACTGGATACAGTTTTTCAGCCTCTTGAGATTAGAGGAAGATACCTTTCAATTAAAACATGGGAATATTTTTCTGGTCCTGGGGAAGGTGTACAGCCAACATTATTTTTAAGTAAGATTTTTTTTTTAATTGAAGCATGACATAATACAGAAAAATACAAAAAAAAAGTAAGTGTCCAGCCCAATGAACTTTCACCAGGTCAGTATAGCCAGGTAACTCTCATCCAGGTCGAGAAATGGAACATTACCACTGTCTCCAAAGCTGCCAGCAAGGAAGGGCAGGTAGAGGGGTTCTCGGTGATCAGAGGAATTCAAGGGGTGCTCAGTTGCTGGCCCATTATTTTGGGCTATAATGCCTCTTTTTAAAAATGTTAGCACCAAAGTTGAAGCGAGGATGAAGAGGCCTGGGTTATGCCCTCCCCGATCCCAGCCATGGGAATTATCTTTGGCAGGGTACCTTCTTAGAGTCTCTGCTTCTCCATCTGTGCAATGGGAAGGTTGGACTAACAAGCCATTAAGGTTTCTCAAGCTGGAGCAATGTGGTTTCAGGACTTGCCCCAAGTCTCACAGGACGAGGTGCAGTGGGGAACTGCACGATGGATCTGGAAGCAATCACTGGTAGAGAGAGATGGCCTAGCCCCAGGTGGTTCCCGGGCCTGCTGGAGCCCACTCCACTGAGTTCTCCAGACTGGAGTCAGGGGAGTCGGTGACCATGGCTCTGCCACAAACAGTTTCCACCCAACTGGTGGTCAGCCTTTTTGGACTAGTCCAGGTTTTTGTGTGCTCTGAGAGGCTGCCAGAACTTGTAAGGTCAGGGAGGTATAGACATGGCCAAGGGCTAAGAATTTCAGAATATGGACTGAAACAGACTCAGGGGCCAACTCTGGCTTTACCACAGATGGTCTGTGTCATAGTGGACAAGTCATTCTACCTCTCTGAGACGCAATCTCCTCGTATGAAATTCAATGGAGATAGTTGCCTCCTTCATAAGTTGTTGTGTGGATGAAATGCCCTAATCCATGACACCTAAATGCCAGTAAGACTAAATTGTGAGTGTTGCTCTTCCATGCTTGTCCTCCAACAATGATGCTGTAAAGCTCCCCAGGCTGCCCATGGCTGGGGCTCCAGAACCTGGAGCCTGGAATAGGGATCTAGGGGAAAACAGGTTTGCTCTGCACCTAAATCCAGACTAGACCCATTTATTTTCTCTCACCCTCTTTACCCCCTCTCCCCTCATACTGGAACAATTCATTTGTCACAATTGCCCTAGTCGAGTCATTATCTCTAAAATTCAGAATAATCCACTGGGAATTTAATCAGATCAAATAATAACCATCCAATATAATTATAATTAAAAGGAATGCTTAGAACATGTAGTACGCTTTTTCTCCTAAATTCTCTGGAAAGCAATGGGAAGATCAGGCTTCAGAGTCCTACAAACTTGGGCTCAAGTAATGGCTCCACTACCAACTGGATGATCCTGAGCAAATGACTTAATCTCTCTGGACTCAAATGAAAAATGGGGCTGCAAGGTCTTCTAATTCTCACTTCTACTCTCCTTCCTTGGGCAGCCTGGAAAGCTTTCCAGACTCCCTTGCAGCTAGGGCTCTGGCTGGAAATAAATTCCACTAGTCATGGTTCTTGTGAGAGGTCTATAAGGCAGAACTGAGGGACACCTTCTTCCTCCCTCTGAGGTTGCTGGTAAACTTGGTTGTGGTGAGTTTAGAGGCAGCCAAGGAAGATGGTCACTAGCTTCAAGGGTGGGAGAAGTAGTCGTGACAGTAGCTCTGGTGGCAGCTACAGCAGCTTCCTGATAGCTCAGCTGTGTGATGTGTCCACATATCCAACTGCTCATTGTCACCCCCCTGCACATGCTCCTCCAGCCCTAACCACAATCTTATAAACATTTGATTCCCTCTATGAAAATCCTCTTTTGCTTGAAATACTTAGAGTGACTTCTGTTTCTTACACTGAACTTGACCAACACGGGGTGATAATACTGCTAATTTTTCAGGATCATGAGGATTAGGCAAGCTATTAAATGTAAAATACCTGTTGCAGAAGGAGCGCTCAGTCAATAGTAGTCACTAATCATTACAAGAAGACTAACTGTGTACAGAACCAGTCCTGTAAATTGCATCTTGCTGCCCACCAGTGTTAGCAGGATTTTTTCCCACTTTGGTTTTTCCAAGCAGTCAGCAGGCATCTACAACAAGAAGAAAATGATCCTTGGCTAACGTTGCTTTCCCCTTGTGTTCTCGCCAACAATTCATGTTGCCTTAAGAGATTAGGCCTCTTTATTGCTTGCTTCACTGCCCCGCTAGCTGTCTGCACCAACGTTACATCGTGGCTGGCTGGGCGTGTCCTTCTGATGGACTCCAGGCCTGCTGCACAGAGAGCAAGGGGGTTATTTGATCTCTTGGCTGTGGCTCTTACAAGTCCCATTGAGAGTGCTCTTACCCACAGAACTCTGCTTTGCTAATTGTCCCAGTGTAGCCAAATAAGCACAATTACACCTAAAGCAATGAGCATTTCTTCTGGCAGGATTTGGGATTTGGAAGAGAGCAGCCTCTACGGGGGCTCAGGGGTCAGCTCTGGGTACCACGCAACCCTTCCCAGACCCTCAGAACCCCCATGACTAATGGGCAGCTGATACAGGGTTATGAGGAGGCATCCCCCGCTTCCAGAGAGATTTATTACTCAGCCTGGACCAGAGTCCTGGAATATAAGAAAATCCCTCTATTTGGTGTCTGTCAAGATGGGCCCGAAGCCTGGTATCTTCCCCTCTGAGTCCTGTTGCACAAATTGTGTTGGTGGGAAGGCAGGGAAGTTGTTCTTCCACCCCTGCCTCAGATGACTTTATTAAAAAGCCAGTTGGCACTTTTCCTATTGCGCATTCTCATTACAGTGCTTCCAAAAAAGTGAAGTTATCCCACAAAGCCGACTCATAAAATTATTAGACCCTGGAGAGATGTTCAGACTCAATCCCTTTCACCAGCGAAAGCTTAATGAGAGTGCAGCCCTGCCCATGGGCTTCCACAGCACCATTGTCACCCACACTGGCCCGCTGCCCCGCTCACGCAAGCCTGCCTGCAGCCTCGCAACTCTAAATCCAGTCTTTGCAGCCCCCAAACTCTTCAAATTCACTTCAGGACTATGGAATGCTCTCGATGGGCCACTGAACTCAGCATTAGCAACCAGCGTTTGTTTTTTAAAAAAATGAACTCTTTGAAAAGTGACAAAAATCCCCTTCTCTTTACCCTGGGTCCCTGTCTCTCTGCTGAGTGCTCTGTTTTATTGACAACAGAGTTCTCCAACTTTAGCGTGTGTGAGAATGATCTGAAGAAAACAACAGTGAGATTCCACTTCGCACCTACTGAGACGGCTATACAGTGAGTCCTCCCATAATGTCCATTCATCCAATGTTGCTTCGTTATAAGATTGATGAGAAAAAAAAACAATCAATTCCGGCCTGGGGCCACTGTCTGTGTGCAGTTGGCACATTATCCACATACCTGCGTGGGTTTTCTCTGGGCACTCGGGTTTCCTCCCACATCCCAAAGCTATGCACATTAGGCAGAAAAAAAAAAAAGGAAAATAACAGGCATTGGTGAGGATGTGAAGAAACTGGAACCCTCATGCATTGTGGGTAGAAATAGAAAATGTTTCAGCTACTATAGAAAACAGTATGGCAGTTCCTCAAAAAGTGAAACATAGAGTTACTATATGACCCCGCAATTTCACTTCTAGGTATACACACAAACACAAAAAGGAAGGCGGGGACTCAAGTAGATATTTGAACTCTAATGCTCATAGCAGCATTATCCATAATAGCCAAAGGGTGGAAACATCCCAAGTGTCCATAGAAGGATAAATGCATAAACAAAATGTAGCGTGCATATATACAATGAAATATTATTCAGCCATAAAAAAGAATGAAGTTCTGTTACATGATACAACATGGATGAACTTTGCAAACATTATGCTGAGTGAGCTAAGCCAGAGACAAAAGGACACATATGGTATGACTCCATTTAGATGAATATCTAGGCTAGGTAAATTCACAGAGACAGAAAGTAGATTAGAGGTTACAAGGGCTGGGGGAAGGGGAAAACATTATTATTTAATGGGGATAGGGTTTCTGTTTGGGGTGATAATGCTGGAAACCGGCCCAGCGTGGTGGCTCACACCTGTAATCCCAACATTTTGGCAGGCCGAGGCAGGCAGATCACCTGAGGTAAGGAGTTCGAGACCAGCCTGGACAACATGGTGAAACTCTGTCTCTACTAAAAATACAAAAATTAGCCAGGCGTGGTGATGGGCACCTGTAATCCCAGCTACGCGGGAGGGTGAGGCAGGAGAATCACTTGAACCTGGGAGGCAGAAGTTGCAGTGAGCCTAGATCGTGCCACTCCACTCCAGCCTGAGCAACAGAGTGAGACTTCGTCACACACACACACACACACACACACACAAAATGTTGAAAACAGTGAAGATGTTCGTGCAACAATGTGAATTGTAATTACACTGACTTGAATATTTAAAATGGTTAAAATGACATGTTTTATGTTTTATATATGTATATGTGTATATATATGTGTGTATATATGTATGTATATGTGTATATTGTGTGTGTGTGTGTGTGTGTGTGTGTATTGCCTGAAGAGCTTATTGAGATTCTGATTCCTGGCACTTGCTCCCAGATTGGTTGAGTCAGGAAGTCCAGTGTGGGGCCCCAGTATGTACCTTGTTAACAAGCATCCGAAGTGCCTCTGATGTAGGTAATCCATGGCCACTTTAGAAATACAGATAGGGTATGCCAACTGGCTTTCTTGCACAAAACGAGAAAACAAAACAGTTCATGCTGCTTTTCAGAGCTTGTCCTGAAAGCAGAGCACTTTCCACACTGCGAGGAGGAAGGTATGCCACTCCATGCAGGGTCCAGGGGCTCACTGAGCCCCAGTGAGTCTGAGAGTCTGGATGGGCACATTAGTTTATCCAGGCTGAGTCTGATTATGGCAGTCTTGGGGTCAAAGGACTAGCAGTGACTCTAAAATCAACCCGGTGGCCCTGAGATCTGGGGCCCTGCAGTGCCATCTACCCATCTCTAGGGCGGCCTCAGAGCCCTGTCCTGGTTCCTTCTCCGCCCTGCATTTCTCCAGCCAGCCTCCTCTGCTGGGTCCAGCAAAGGCCAGAGGCAGGAGGTGACTCTGGGTTCTGGTTTTGTTGAAGATGGTCGTGCCTTAATGATGAGAGAGAGATGGTTCTCTCTCCCTAATATTCCCAGTGCCAGGGTCAGGTTTGTACTTCTTCCATCAGTGGTATATGATCTCTCTTCCAGTATTCTACTCCCAGTAATCGGCACAATATATTGTATATTTTGAATAAATTTTTCCTTGCCTGTAAAGTAAGCAAATTACTAGACTATAATAATGTCTAGTAATAATTACTAGACTAAAGTAATGAGACTGTCTTGGGCAATTATGAAATATCTTCTGGGCTCATCTTTGAGAATGTGTGCCAGTGTCTTCTTGCTGCCTGGCAACTCAGGTATTCTTTGAGATTGGTTTGCACTTTCACCCTGAGTCCCTTAGACACATTTTCAAAAACTATTCTAATATGTCCCATCCAGGGAAAAAGACAGAAAAGAGCCTGGCCTAGAAACTCAAATGTAAGTACAGGTCATCTTCACAAGCAAGGGAGGAAAGAGGAAGGGTCACTTTCATCCTACTGATTTTTACTGAACCCCGACCAGGTGCCAGGTCTGGACCAGCCCCCTGGGAAATGGAAGTGAACAAGACACAGACCTTCCCTGGCCTCTACCTGCTGGATACTGGTAGTATCCTCTCCCCAAGCCAGACATTGTGAAATGTCCTCTGGGGAGAGGCAAAATCCACTCCGGTTGAGAACCACTAAGTTAAAGCATGATGTGTCCATGTGGTGGCATAGTATACTCATCAGGATAGTTTTTAGAAGTCATTAAAGATGTGTACAAAAATCTTCACAATATGACACAAAGAAAAAAGTTAGATCTATAATTTTACATATAAGAATAATACTAAAAGTACCAAATATACATACACAGTACATGGAAAGAGGTGGGAAGGAAATATAATAAAACATTATAAGAATTAAGCTGGATGGTAGGATAAATGACATGTTTCCAATTTTCTATTGTAAAAAACATTTTTTCAATAAGGATCAATGTTTTATATTTATTTTATGCATTTTTTTTGTTGTTGCAATTTTTAAAACCAGGCGGGTCTTGAACTTCTGGCCTCAAGCAAGCCTCCTGTGTCAGCCTCCCAAAGCTCTGCAATTACAGGCGTGAGCCACTGTGCCTGGCCCAATGTTTCATATTTATTTATTTGTACATACAATGTTGCTATGAGCCTGACCATTTATTTTAAGGAAATTTATTATTGGATATAACAGACATACAGAAAAGTGCACAAGTCATAAGTGTGTGGCTCAGGGGATTTCACTACGTGGTCATACCCATGTAGCCAGCACCAAGATCAGGGAACATCACAGGCGCTCTTACCTCCAGTGTCAACTTCCAGTCACCACCCCCCAGGGCTGACCCATTTCCTGATTTAAACTCCAGAGATTCTGTTTGCCTATTTTTAAGCTTCATATAAATGGAATCACACAGTGTGAACTCATTTGTGTCTGGCTGGCTTTGCTCAACATTGTTGAGCAATGTTGTTACTGTATGTAGTTGCAGTAGAGCACGGGTATGGATCATTTAAAAATCATAAAGCTATTTTTAAAAGAAGGCAGATTTGAAACCCTGGGACACTTTTTGCTTCCTGGGGAGCGCTACACAGTCCTTCTGCTGGGAAGTCGGCCCATGGCCTCCAGCCCCATCTGCTGCCCTGAAGATCCCAAACATTCTCTTGTGCAGTTGCTTCTGCAAAACTAAGGAGGATTTGTGCCAGTACTCCTGACCCTGCCGGCTCGCCCACCATCGCCAGTGATATGCATTTGGGCCCCTTGACAAGGAGGCCAATCAGATAGAATGGAGAGGGGGACATATGTGTCTCACCATGGTGGTGCCGGACATAAGGCTGACAGGAAGTGGTGTCCAGCAGGGGTTCAGATCCTCCTGAAGGGAGGGCCATCTCTTCCTGCTCCCGTGGTGACTGTCGCTGATAGGCCACAGGCAGAGAAGCAGAAGCTCTCTCTCAAAGGTCGCCCCATCTGGCCCTGGCTCATCACATTCCTCAGCGTAAAGCACCCTCTGCCCTTGTTCTCGTTGCAGCAATCCTATGAGGGTTAGGGCTAGGGGGGGCTACAGTTATTTTCCATTTTGTGGACCATGAGGCTGAGACTGGGGAAAGTCAGCCTGCAGAAGGGCACAAGCTGGGCTTCGTGTCCAGGACTCCATGACTCCCAAGCCCGAGTTCTTACCCCTGGATATTTGCCTCTAAAGGCCACCTCCCTGTCCCTCCCATGTCTGGCTGAGGTTGGGAGATGGGGGTCGTGACTCAGTCTCCGGTGATGGGCTCAGCCTGGCGAGCTGCTCCCAGCCAGCTGTGTGGTCAGGCAAGTCATTCTCCCAGAAGATGCTGCAGTTTGTTTGACCATAAAGTGGGCAGCTCAATACTTCTCTTCTTCTCACGCCAAGCCCCTCCTCCCCGAGCCTGCAGGAATCTCTGGAAAAATGTTCTGGAAAAACGGAGGCATTTTTACGACTCTCTCCTCACCTAAACCCGCTGCGCCAGGACAGAGCCCAGACCCTCGGGCTCTAACCGTTATCCTACACTTTGGACCCGGGCAGCCCCTGCCTTTGATGTTGTCTTGCTAAATGTCCCCGAGTCACTGGCGGGCTCTGATCTCTCCAGCACCTAATAATTCAGTCTGAAGTAGTGAGCAGCTAATCAGCTGGGCAACTCTTGCAGCTGCACAATGAAGTTGAAGGGAAAGGGGGTCCCTTTCATTCTTGGGGTCTCATTCTACAACCCGATGGCCAAGGCAGACAGCACCGTCCGCTGGCCAGGGGGTGGGGTTAATTCCTGCAAGGACCTGGGTGAAGGTCTGCCTGGCCAAGGCAGCCCGTTGCAAGGTTTGAATCATGGCTGTCTCAGCTGGGCCATCGGGTGGGAATTAAAATTTAATTTAGAAAGTCCTGTCTCTGCGGCCCTGGTGGCCGTCGTCTGGGTGATTGACTGGCTGGTTTCTTTCACCTTTGCACGTCTTGGGTTTTTACTGGCAGAGGAAATGAAGGCTGAACTGGGGCAGGAAATTCCATGTACACAGGTGTTTCTGATTAGCCCCGTGCACCTCACCCAGGGGCACAACCAGGGGCTGAGATGCCTGCATGAGCCCATGGGCCCCTCTCTGGCTTGGCAACTGTGGCAGCTTTGCATCTAGGGAAGGCTGGACAGGGCACTCACACCGTTGCAGGGCAGACAGAGGTGCCAACCAGTGGTCTGCTGCCTGGCCCTGGGAACCCGGTGACATTCTGCCATGGACACGAGATCACACAGCGCCCTTGGCCAGAACCACCCCAGCCTCTGTGTCTGCAGTGGGCTGCTGGTGGCACCAGGGCCTGACCTGGAGATTAGCATCGCCCTGAGGTGTGTTTACACATTGTAGCTGGCGCTTCATGTGGCTGACCTGCCCCCATTTTCACATCTTCAGAGGGGCTTAGAGATCCAAAAACCACCTCCTCCTTTACTTAAAGGGTCTCTGGAGGGGTCGGGGAGGGCAGCCCTGGGCTTGGCTCAAGATGGCCATCTGTAGCAGTGGTTTCAGAGGCTGAAGAAGCAGCTTTCTTCATCCCATACCAGCTTTTCACTGCCACTGAAGCATCCCACCATTGTTATTCACTGCCATGGGTAAAGGCACTCGGGGCTCCCGTTACACTTAGAGTATACCTGGAGGGAGGGGCATTCCAAGAAATGGCTCATGGAGACACACTGGCTGGCTCTGGGCAAATGTCCACTCCAACCCTACCCACCTTGGTTTTCCCATCTGTAAAATGGGCATCATAGGAACAAAGTCTGCTGGATCAGCACATGGATTAATGAGATAGTCTGCAAAACATCAGGCACATAGAGGATCCACAAAGCATGCAGCCCCTGGGAACATTCTCAAGGGAATTGTTCCAAAGAAAAAGTATTTGATGAATACTTTGAAGTATTACATTAACCATTGCAAAAACATTTTAACCAGTTAAAATGCTCATTGGTTAGTTATAGACTAAGGTGTATTGTGACATAATAATGTGTAACCAATAAGCTCAATATGACAAGGATGGAGCCATATGAAATTCCAAGAAATAACTGAGGAAAATGAGTCTGTGTAGCCTGATTACAACTGTGAGAAAGTGTGTACCCTGAGGAAGATTGGAGGGGCATGTAAGTAAATGTTTATTTAAATACATTTCAGTTATCCACGTAGTTAAATGCATATTAAAACACGAAAATTAAATAAGAGCAGAGACAGATATGAATGTGTCTAAGTTATCAAGTTCCTACTAGGAGAAGACTCCATGTCATCAGTCCAGGACAGAATGTATGTGGTCCCAAACGCTGGAGAAAAGCCTGTGGCTGAGCTTTTGCCCCGTAGGGAACACGGAAACAGTCAACAGAATGCATGTGGCCACCACACGAGGTTCTGGACTCAGACTGGGCATCCTGGGGATCTTGGAGGCTATGGGGCTAAGCCACCGTCATAGTAAGCCCCTTTTAACAGCCTAGGGCCTCATGTCTCCCCCTGCCCCTGTCACCTGGAGAGAGACCTGGGCTCCTGAGGAGGGGCTGGGAGTGGAGCCTCACCCACATCCTCAGGACTCTGAGTGACACTCTGCTGACCCTGTTAGCTGCAGAGTAAGAGAAATGTGTTTTCATTGCTGTTACGAGTTTCCAGGCTGGGCAGCGAGCAGCCCCTTTAGAAAGGACCTCTTGTTCTTAGTGAAACACAAATAAATGTCTGTCGTGTGGGGCTATGTGAGCTGGGAGGTGGAGGGGGCTAAATGGAGAACTCAGAGAGCTGGCTACCTTGTCCCTGGGCCCCTGCCCAGTGGGCAGCAAGGCATAGCCAGGGGCTGTCCCTCTCTCTCAGCAGACGGCCCATCCTTCAAGGTATGACTTCGTCCCTGCCCCGCTCAGAAACCCCTTCTGCCCAGACCAGCCTTTGTCAGGTTGAGCTCAGAGTCCTTCTGGAATCTGGATGTGGTCCTGGGTCCCTGGAGGGCAGAAGCTGGGCCTCACCATTTCTGTGCTGCACCCGCCACAGCCCCCACACCCAAGGCTCTCAGGATGAATCTCGGTACATTGCGACTGAATTGCCGTGGATGAAAATAACGGTTGGAATGGCAGCAGTGGCTTGTGAATTTCAATTCCTCTTCTAAAACCACTTGCAGATATTTCTGCTGCTTTCTTCCCCTCTCCCCTCCCCCCTCTTCCCTCCCCTGAAACAGGAATTATGAGACAGTAACGCACACTCCTTTTGCATTTGCGGCTCCTCTTGTGGCCATCGGTATGGTTCCTTCAGGGACTGAGCCTGCTGTGACTCACTTCCCAGTCCCCCAGGCCCCAGCAAGCACCATCAGATAGGAGGCTTGTCACCTTGGAGGGAAGGGGGCAAAAAGATAATTTCCAAACATTGAGGCCTTAATGTCGGTCAAGCACGGTGCAGAGTCCTTCACAGGCACCCCCATTTTATCCTCCCAGACACCCTGTAAGACCTGTGATACTCCTGTTTCACAGAAAGAAGAAACTGAGGCTGGGAGAGGTTGAGCTCTTGCCTAAGGTCACAGAGCCAGTAAGTGGTAGAGCTGGGATCCAGACTTTGGCTGTCTGAGACCGAAGTCTAGGCTTTTCTTTGCTCTAAATCCCTCAACTCAACTTCTCTTTTGTCTGAGGAATTCTAGGAAGTGTTGGTTCTGTTTCTCATCAGTGGGGCCTGATGCTCCCCATGGTCTCTGGGCACTTGCACGTCATCCCAGAGGCAAACCTTGGGTATGCAGAGCCTTGTCCCAGGGTCCAGGATGTTCAAGACCAGCTGGAATCAGATGCCTTCTGGCTCCTTGCCCTGCCACGTGGAAATGCCATTTGTAGTGAGCCGGCTGTCGTTGGAGAGCTGCCTTTAGGTGCAGTGAGTCAAAGGACCACATGGAAATACTTTAGCCTGAGGCGGCGCTAGGAGCAGCCCTGGCTTGTAGCCATGAACGGCAGCAGGTCCAATAACACTGAGTTCCAGGTATGCATGTTGCCAAGAAGGGAGAGCAGTTTGGAGACCGACCAGCTCCTCTGGCTCATGCAAAAGCCCCTACACAGTGCTAGGCACGTGGTGCTCAGTAAACATAGGTTCCCGTTCTCTGTGAGAGGAAGGCCTTGGCCCTGTGCACTGAGTGTCCTGGTAATGGAATGCTCTACGCTCTGGCTGTCTTGGGCTGGGGGAAGAGGGAGAATCTACACCAGGAAACCATAGGCTCCTGAGGTTGAATGCAAGTTGCGTGTGTTCCTATGTGCAAAGAGAAGCCATAGCTATCATTTTCTGAGGTGTCCAAGACCCACAAAAAGCCAAAGACTGCACTACCCGAGAGACTGCAGCAGGAATGAGTGGATTAAGCCATTCAGCATGTCCAGACATACAAAATCACTGGGGACAGCTGGCTGAGGGAGACAGGCCAAGCTAGCACACGCATGTGAGGAAGAGGAATGGGCACTCAGGCCAGGCCAGCTCTCTGAGCAAAATGGAGCTCCTTCACGCTTCCCTTCCCGGCCTGACCACACAGGCTGCAGAGCACAGGGGCCCGCTTAAGGCCTTCAGGGAAGATGGCCTCCCCCAACATCATCTGTGAACCTCATCTCCAAGCTCAGAGCTTCCTCCCAGGTGGGGTTGCCCCTTCTCAGAGCTCCAATTTCCCCATCAGCCTTGGGCCGTATATCTTCCCCTTCTTTCTACGGGCTGCTTTATAGCTTGCTGGAAACACCTTCCCTTAGCACTTCGAAATGTATCACTTGAAAGCATCTTAACGTTAATCAATGTGATTCTTTTTTAATTTGAAGGGGCTTATTTCTCCAAATGGCTTTCCTGATCTTATAGGAGGGCATGCTCTCTAATATTAAACTTTTTCTTTAAAAAGAGCAAAAAAAATGACTCACATCTGTTTGATATTTAATTCAAATTGAATGGCAGGACAGGAACGAAATTACACTGCAAAGGGCCATAAAGCGTGATGTTTAAAAGAGCCAAGCATACCAAACCTACATGCCAGAAAATTTGAAATGACAAAGGATTGAGGGGGTGTGGCCTGGGCAATGGAGTATCTCCTACCCAGAAGCTGGAGGGGAAGTAGCCAAGCTGGGGGAAGGTGGGAGGTGGGAGAAGGTCTCATTTTGCACGGGAGGACTTTGTGGGGGCTGGTTTCCAGCCACATGTGAGTTTGGGGGTCTGGGATCTGAGCCCCAAGCAGAGGTCCTGGAATCCAGTGCTGGCTGCTCCATGTTGCGGGGCGGGGTGGTGGCCTGTCTGGGGATCTCCAAGGGGCTGCTGGGTAACGCTGCATGCAGCCTGGGTGGTCAGCCAGGCACTGTCCAGCTCTCGGTGTCCAGGAGGCCTTGGGGTTTGGCTACAGCTCAGAGAATTGAGTTTAAAGCCCTTCTGCTGCCTTCTGATCAGTTTAGCAGAGACACCAACATCCTGTGTCCCAGAGGGCAGAGAAATGGGTGGATCTCAGAGAGCTGTGTTTTCCTCCAATCTTGGAAGGAAGGCACCCTCTGAATGTCACTGTCCCCGAGCTCTGTGACAGAAGTCCTAGGAAAGAAGTGAGTGTGACCTCTTACTTAATATTCCCTTAAAGCCAGAGGGCCAAGTCCAGGCCTGGCACAGGCACTCCAGTTGTGAACCGTGTCTGGCGATGCCTGTAAGGTGAGCTTTGACAGTGGAGTGCAGTCAGAGCTTGTGTGCTGGTGTGGGCTGCCCCTCACCAAGGCCACGAAGGGAGGGGTGGAGACAAGAGAGGGGTTTAGAGTAAATCAAATGCCAGCTGAGTGGGCTTGGCCTCCCTTTCCCTCTCTGATCCTGTTTCCTCATCTATACCATGGAATGGTTTAACATCCTCAAAGTTATTTTAAATATCTAGTATGATAAATATAAATGAATTCACTTTTAAATAACAAAATATTGTACGTGTTTCTTAGAATGGTAACTCTGGCCTTTCCAGGGCTTCTGCTTAGGTACCAAGTTTATTTCCAAGACATTAACTTGTTTTTCCAGCCAGCACTTGAGCACAAGGGTCTGGAACTTTTTCCATGCAGTGGTGCGCTGGAACTGTCTCACAGTGTTTGATAAAAGCTGATTGTTAAATGATTAAATTATATTTAATGACTCATTAAACTGTTAAATTTTTAATGTAACTAAGTTATTAACAATTATATGAACTTATGGCAAAATGATATTAAATACAAAGTGAATAAATAAATCAAAACTCACTGCTTCCTAATTATTTTACTATACCTTACTATATCTATGGCCTTGGGGCTATTTACACTGATTGTATCTGTGTGGTGGGAATGCCACATGATGGTGGGCTTACTGTGTGTCTCTTTCCAATTCCACATTCAGTGATGTCATTTTGATACCTTGAAGTTGACTGTGGTAAGACAATTTACATCACGGACATCAGCAAACACTACAATCAGAGCGCCTCTGCCACTCAGAGAGCTGCTAAACATTTGTCAGCACAATTCTGTCTGTAGAGATGGGCAAAATGAAGTGTGCAGAGCTCCTGGTGACTTTCTCAGAATCGCTCAGCCATGCTGAACGTCTTCCTTTCAATCCAGTGCTTTCTTCATCAGACTTAGCTGTTCCAGCCTTCTCAGGAACTTGTGGCCAGCTCTTACGGCATGCATCCCTTTATCCAGAACACTCTGACCTTCCCAGCATGCTCCCCTACCATTCCTCTAGTGGGGTCGCTTCTCTGCTTCTGTTTTCCTCTGAGCTAAGCCAAAATATTCACTCCGGTGTGTAAAGCGGGCTGAGAATCTCAAGTGGAAGTATTTTCCCTTTCTATAACTGTGGAGCAAAACTCACAGCTCATAATTATCATGTGGTTTTCTAACCAACACTTTACCTGGGGTGCTTGACAGAGCCCAGAGGCAGGTGTGTGTGTGTATGTATGCATGTGTATATACATGTGTGTGTGTGCATGCAGGTATGTGTGTATGCATGTGTGTATGTATGGATGGATATGTGTATGCAGGGGTGTGTGTGTGTGTGTGTATGCGTGCGTGTGTGTGTGTGTGTGTTGGGGAATGGAGAGGGGAAGGAGAAGTCAGACCACATGAGGCTTTCTGATGTTTTGGCTTGAATTCTGCACTGCAACCACAGACCCTGTAGGCCCAGGGGAAGAGGAACGTAAAACTGAAAGACAGAGACCCCCGAGGATTAGCTTCCTGCCTTGGCCTCCAAGAGTGTCCACAGGGGACGACCATGTGTTTCCCAGTAATGAGGCCCAGCGCTGGATCTGGAAGCCTCTAACGTCAAGCTTCCAGCCTGCCTGCTTCTAATACTCCCGGGGCAGCTCTCCAAGTTTGGGAGCTCTGGACCTTGTGCGTGTATTTCTGAGTGGGAAGGGCTGGGTGGTCGTGTCACACCAAGGAGACGAGGCCCATCTGGAAACAGGAAACCCTGTTGGCAGGTAGCAGAGGGATGGGGTGTGGGGCCCTGCGTGGCCCTGCTGGAATTTGCCATGGGCTTCCGGGCTCAGGGTCCCCTGGATACCGTGGTTCCATTCACTGAGCAAGACCGCTGACCCTTCCTCTTCTCACTCAGGGCACTTATTTATTTAAAATATATTTTCCCCTTTTTGTCAGGAGCTGTATTGTGGTTTGACTGAGGTTCTTCTCAGAGCTTTGACCCTAGTGGTCTGCTTTCACCCCACCCAAATTCTTCCTCTCAACTCTCTCTCCTGTCAAGAGAGCCCTGACTGAGGACCTACTGTGTGTAGGTGGCTGCTCACCTACAGACATGTCCAAGACGGCTTCTGCCACAGGCAGGGCTCTGCCTGCCAGTGGGAGGTTCCAGCCGACTGGCATGTGAAATGGGCCCAGCCCTGCACCTGGCACACTCATGTTGTGTTTTTCATCTTCACAGAGGTGAGATAGGTACTCATAGTATCCCCATTGTATAGGTGAGGGAAAAGTGGCTTGGGGGAGGAAGGAAGTTTCTGGATTCTGTAAGTGGAAGGCAGTGGGATTTGGGCCTGTTGGCTTCCTGAGGACAGGTGTCTCTGCCCTGCCCTCTGCCTATCTCGGGAGCTGGTGTTCAAAGCAGGGCATCTGGGTGAGTTGTGTGTGGGTCCAGCCAGGCTGTACCTGGGTCTTCTCTGTGCTTCATCTGTGGTACTTGCCCTCCTCCCTCCATCCTTACAGATGCTGAAGGTCACATAGGTTGGGGTGACAATGATGGTGGGGACCTATGTTTGCCCCTCAGGAGTCCCTGCAGGGTGGAGTCCTCTGTGGTGTGGCCTCTCCTTCCTGCTCTCCCTACTTGGTGGCCACCCCAGGGCCCCAGGCGAGGCTGAGGGGCACTGACATGGCCATGGTCTCTGTACTGGCCATTTGGCTGTTTGTCGTCAGGACCGTGATTCTCTCTTTCATCCCCTGCTCTGTACTGCGGGGAAGTTGACCCCTGGAGGCTGCATTTCTCAGGCTTGCCAGTCAGCTTTCCTCTGGCTGGCTTCAGCCAATGGGGTTTGGGGGGCCAAAGAAGGAGAGAAGCCAACGTATTCATTCCTCTGTCAGCCTGTCAAGTGGAATCACCTCATCAGCTGCTGGCGGCAGCTGCCTCTCCTCTGTGGCTCCTCTCCCTCTAGGTCCCAGCTACCATAGGGGGCCTCCATGGTATTCTAGCCCTGGGCTGGACATTCCCCACTGTGACTCCAGTAACACCCCCTCTCAGTTGCGCTCCAGCCTGGAGCCAGCAGTGGGAACAATCTCTGTTAATCTCTGAATTACATTCCCTATTTGGCTTCTCAGTGATTCCCTACCCAATTCCCTGAATTACATTTTTTGCATACTTAGACTGGCTTTTGTATTTCTGACTGGATCCTGAATGATAGGCCTCCCACTGAACAAGGTGACTTAATAGGGTCCATGTTCAGCCCATCTGTAGCAAGCCCTCTGAGCAAATGACATCATGACAGCCCCTGATCCCTCAGAGAAGCAATTATGGAAACCTCGTGTCTGGCTGCCTGGCTGTGCTCTCGCTCCAAAGGCCTATGCCTCTGCCTTATTCTGAAAACTCCCACCTCTATCCCCTGCCTCCACATCTTTAAAGGAAAGCAAGGCAAACATCGCAGCCAGGCCCCCTTCCAGCAGTTAGAGTGCTTGGCTCAGAGCCTGGGCCCTCCTGCCGGCCTTACTTGGGACCTGCTGCATGTGAACTGTGTTGTCAGGTAACACACAGGGAGGGTCAGAGAAACGGGAGAGGGGGAAAGAGAGCCTAGAGCCTCCTCCACAGCCCCAGTCTCCACAGGTTTTCTCCTCATTCCTGGACTGATTTGATTTGGATTCAAATCTGCCTGTACTCGGACTCCTTCCTGGCCAAATGCCTGGAGCTGGGCCCTTTGCTGCCAGCACCCCTTAAAGAAGTGGGCATGGTTGGGGAATGGAGGGCATTTCCTCTGGAAAGAAAAGGCAGAGGAACCAGTAATGGCCCAGGAGTGCTGATATCCTTACTGGGGTGCACATTTTTGTGAAATGAGACCCCTTGCCAAATAGAACTCTAAAGTTCCTTCAATTCACATGCCTAGAGAAGAAAATAATCAAACTCTTCTGTCAGGGATCACCTGGCTCCCCACATCCCCTCACTTAGGATGTTTTATTCCCACTGGAGCATGTGATTGGAAAACAAAGGTAAATAGGAGCAATTGATTCCCGGATCCTTTTTTTTCCCCAGCAGGATTAAAGCTGCCTCAGCCATAAAGAGTTTACAAACTCTAAAGAAAGATAATAACTTCCCTTCTCACGGCCCGGTCATGGGGAGGCAATGCATGTTTCCAATCAGCTGAGAATGTAACTCAAATGGTAGGTTTTATTTCACTTTAATCCGCCTGTGAGTTCACGTTAAAGGTAAGAGGAATCACAGCCCTGCAATTCAAATAGGGTTCATTAAATTCGGCATCTCCTCTTAACTGGGCTGGGTTGTTTACTCCTCCCACAGTCTTGGATGGGTTTTGAGGGTCTGGTGCGGTGTCCGGTGAACGGCTGCAATGCAGGTTAGGCTGCCACCATGAGGGAAGCTGGAGGGAGGACCTGTTAACCTCATGGTACTGTGGCGACATCAGCCACCACTACGTGTCACGGGGTGGATGCTGAGGAAGAGAAAACAGAGCAGAGCTGGAGAAGTTCGTACAGTAGATACAGTGGAAGACAGGTGGCTCAGCTGGCAGCCCACTGCAGGGGTGGTGGAGGTCGCAATGCGCTGTCCCCACCACATGGAGCTTGCTTGCCTCCGCACCTCTTTGCTGGCTGCAGCCTTGCTGCTCAGTGGGCGGTTGTGGAAAGAATCGGTTCTCAGTTCCCATTCCAGCTCTGCTATTTAGACACCGGGAGACCTGGAAACAGCCCCTTGACAAAGTCTTGCTCTACACGTTTCTGTAGTGACCGTCCATTTGAAGGGATAGGGAAATATTCCCTCAGTGTCCTGCTGTGAAACTGTTAAAGCCACCCATCCTATGAAACTCACTCCTTTGGGTTAAGCATCACGTTCTCAGTCCTTTCCTGTGTGGATGGAGTGTTGGCACAGTGAGGCGGGTGTTGCAAGTGGACGCGTCGGGGGTGGTCTGCACGGGCTGGCCTGCATAGCCCAGGGGTGGAGAGAGGGGTCAGACTAGAACCTATGGAGACTTGGTGGGCAACAGGCCTGGGCTCAGTCCAGCCAGCCCAACCTCTGATTGCTATCCTCAGAGCCCCTCCAGGGTCTCCTTGGCAGGGGCTGTCCCCTATGAGCCTCTGCAGGGGACAGGAAGTGCTGACTGAGAACTGTCTCTCTGTGACATGCACCCTGTCAAATCCATAAACCTTCCTCAGCAGTCACCACACAGAATCCCAAAACCCCAGGGTTCTGCTTGAGTTAGAGCTACAAAGTCTCAAGGACTAGAAGGAAGCACCAGCCTTGTTCTGCCCCAGCTAGAGGGTCTGCGCTGCCCCAGCCAGAGGGTCTGTGCTGTCCCTGCTGAGGCCTACAGGAGGCAGAGACATTCACCTCCACTTCCTGTCTGCCCATGGCTTCGCGGCCTTCTCACCCCAGCTGGCCAACTGGCTTCCCACCACTATGGGCCTCGCACTGCCCATGCCGGGCCTGAGGGGCCTGGCTCAGACTTTAGTATCCAAGGGGACTGCTGCCTTGACCACCAGAGCCCCCCCGTCTGTGCATCTGTCCTCTGTTCAGCTCTGGAAAGGCCACCGGGAACACAAGAGCCAACAACCCATGGCCTTTGTCTGCAAGGAACTTGAGGTCTCACCGGGCAGACAGGCACGGAGTGAGTGCTCCACCATGGGCCTCCCTTCCTCCAGGTTGCATCCAGGACTATGCTGTCTAGCGTGTCTGCTGTGACTTCCTCATGGCAGAGCCCCACACTGTGGCTGTTTATGGAGCATTTGCAAGTCTCCCTCGAGGGGAGCCCGTGTCTCTCACGGACAGCTTGGCAAGATTCACATTCTTGGAAAAGCAGAGGAATGCGAGGGTTAAAATACCTTAAAGGGCAAGGAGATGATTTCTAGATTTCCAGACAATGTCTCAGAGAATTGTAGTGCTCTGGGGTATGCCTGAATGTAACTAATGTAGCTCCTTTTGTGCCTGAGTGTAGACTGGGTCCATGTGCCTACATGCATTCAGTTCCTCCCACCAAACTGGACAGTGATAGCTAACCCTGTTGACCCTTATGTCTGGGTGCCTTAAATTTGTGATGCCTCAAACTGACCTTCACAATGACTCTAAGGAGGTAAGTACTGTGAACTTTCCCGTTTTCTACAAGAAGAAACTGTGGCACGGAGAGATTCAGTTACTTGTCCAGGATCACAGAACTATAGTAAGTGGGGGTGGGGACAAGAATTCTAACCCAGGCAGCAGTCTGACCAGAGGGCCCTAGCTGGGAGCAGCGTTCATGTGCACTGTATGTTCGTGTTTAGTGTATGTCTGTGCATACTTGCGTGTGTGCACACGCACACATGTTCACTCAGGCACGTGGGCTGCCCTGCGGTGGGAGCTGAGAGAATGCAGTGGAGGTTGTTGGGAGGAACTCACCCGCCTGCTCTGGCTGTCTGAGCAGGTGAGGGATAGTGATATCAAGTGCGAAGACCAGGCCCTGAAGCCAGCCTGACGGTTCCAGCTGTTAGGAGAAAGTGAAGGTGGGTGCCATGGATCTGATGATTTCAGTGATTTTCTACTCAAGAAAAATGAAGTCTCGGATGGGCAGAGCTTAACTGCCTTAAAAACTTGGTACAGGGCAAGGTGTGAGTTTCCCGGTGAGACTGTGTGAACTGTGAACGGGTAGAGTCTGAAACTACAAACCAGATGTTTCCGGGCTCCCTCCCGCCTGGTCTGGCCTGTCTTCCTTCTGCTGCTATGCAGTTCATCCTGGGTCCCTGAGGGCCTCGCAGATGCTTCACTCGAAAGATTGGAGTTGCAGAGTCCCCTGTGGAGGAATTGAACTGCCCCCTCTCGCAGGACCCCAGCTGGCAAGGTTTTGTTCCTCCCTGGAGGGTAGAGACCCTCACTGAGGCCCTGGAGAGGGGCACTCAGGGGCAGCAGCTCATTCCCAAAGTTCTCTGGTGGAGCTGGGGAGTGGCACCCTGGGAACTCTGGGGTTTCCCCACCAGCTCCTCTCTCCAGTCTTTGGTGTCCAGGTACAGTCTCCAGGCCGTGGCTTCTCGAGTTCTGTATGTGGGTTGCTGCTCCGTAATGCATAGTTGGGGGACCATTTTGGTCAGTGACAGATCACTGCTGCTTTTCATCAGACCAAAATACATGTGGCTTCTTCTCCTTGCCAGCCCTACCAGGGCATCTCCCATTATACTAACCCTGCCTATTGGACCTTCTGATGCAAGGAGCAGATTAAAATCCCCTCCCTGTTGCCTACCAGGTCCGTGGCTACAACTAAATCCCTAGTTGGGGAATCACAGAGCACAGGTAAGCCCTTGGGTTCTGGAGCCAGCTTACTGGGGTGTGAGTCTTCCTTAGCTCCGTGTGGATGGTGAGCCCTCCTCTCTCAGGTCTCATGATAGTAGCTAACCCTTATTAAGTGTGTGCTGGGCACTGATTGAATGCTTTACAGGTGTCACCTTCTAAGACCCTCGTAACTCTAGCAGGTAGTACTATTATCTTACCCATTTTCCAGCGGGAGAAATAGAGGCAAGAGCAGACTAAATCACTTGCCCAAATCGCATAGCTACTGATGGTGTGATGTTGGGCAAGATATGTAACCTTTCCAAGTCTCAGTTTCCTTATCTGTTAAGTGCAGTTAATACACACAGCACCTAGCAGAGTGCTAAGCACATGGTAGGCACTCAACAGGCAAGGCCACTTAACAAGAGAATGTGAGCCCAGCTGGAGGAGAGAGAAAAATACAATGACTATAGCACTAATCATAGTAGTGATCAAATAAGTAATGCACTCCTGAATGCTTGACTTTCCTGAGTGCAAGGTAAACTCCCTGAGGGAGTTTGCCTTATTCACTTCTGGTTCAGTTCCGTGGCTTTGCACAGATCTGGCACAAGGTGGGTGCTTGGTGAAGGTTTGCTGAATGAATGAGGAACTGCTTTGGGGGTCCCAAGGGGTCATTCACAGCATCAGAGAGCCCCTTCCTAGCAGCCCTGCTCTCCCTGCCTTGTGGCTGTGATCTGAGTGTTTTTGCTTCATCCCTATTGGAGAGGAAGCTTCCCACACCAGGGCAAGCCTGGGTCTTGCCCACCTCTGTTTTCCTGATGGAGAAGATGCTCAGGGCCTGTGAGTGAAGTTGGACCTCCTTGTAGCTTGCCCTGGGTGCAAAACGATCATCCTTTTGGGCAGAAAACAGAAATTGTTGACAGCTACAGACCCAGAGATTCGAGTCAGCCAGGGGAACAGGGCTGTGCCCTTGGTGCCTCAGATTCCCTGGAGAGTGGGGTCTGGGATCATGGTGACCATGTAGATCCCTCCCTGCATCACACTAGTGAACGTTGTTTCTAAACCACACTCTCCCCTTCTCAGCATGGCGTGGCAAATAGCTGCTGCCCTTGTTCACCGAGAAAATCCTCCTGCCCTTGGCGTACCTGGCTCCTAACGAGTCCCTTATTTGGAAGGAATTCCCCCACCCCCATTGGTGTGTGACTCACCCTGAGCGAAATAACTGCTGGGCTGAGTTCTTACACAAACCCCCACCCCATCCCCTCATTCCCTAAAGACCTTGCCCTCAAGTCAACCAAGGCCTTGATCCAGAAGTGACAGAGAATGCGGAGTGTGAGGATGAGGATGATAAGGGGGACAATGAATTTCCAGGCAGGCCCAGCTCCCAGCTCCCATCCTCAGGAAACCCTGAGCCCTGCCTGCATCCTTTCCAGAAATGTGAGTCCCACCTTTCCAATTTCCTCTTACACCTCGTCTATATTTCCCACCCCCACGTCTGCATGACAGCGTGGCGTGCATGTGGCCCATCTGGGGATCAGGGAATCCTATTGGGTATGCCAGCTTAATGAAATACTTGCAGTTTATTACACTCAGGCTTTCCTAAGCCCCGCGTGCCTGTGGGTATTTGAAAGCTGAAGGTAACCCCAAGCTACCACAAATGTAATTGTTACATGTGTCCACGCATTCCTGGTGCAACCTCAAACTCCTGCTCTTAAGCAGCACACAAAATGAACCACATAAAGTAACTCCTAGTCAGACAACAGGGAGAAATGTGTGGAAATGCTGAGAGAGGCTCCCCAGAACCCCTCAGGGCCTCTAAAAGTATATGATGTTCCCATTACATTGCATAGCTCTGGCCACAGAGGGTGCTTCTCCCCCCTGGGCTGTTTGTTCGGTGTTTGCAGAATTGGTTCATTATGAGCAAGGCAGCCAGTGGGTTTTGCTTGTCAACCTTGCATGATGCAGCTCAAGTATTTCAAATCCTGTTTCATCTAGCAAAGGCTTGCTCTAGTGGCAGGGCTAGCAGAGTGCACTGTCTGGGGGTTCCCTCTGGAGCTGTATTTCTGTTCCTCCTCCAGGTCTTGGCTGGAGAGGGCTGTCCCAAGTCTGGGAAGGGCCGTGGAGAAACCCCAGGCAACCTGGATCTGCTACCCTGAACCAGGGGGAGGCTGCCCCTGGGAGATGCCTTCCCATTCGTCAGTTTCCTCAGCCTCAGGTCTGTAAATCAGGGGTGAAGGGCTGACATGGAAATAGCAGACAAAAGCCTCCAGGGATGTGCCTTCTTCTACGCGAACCAGCATCTGGATGCCTGAGAAGGAGACCCTGTTGACGGTGCTCAGGGGGACCTGCTCCAGGTACCTCAGCGTCAGCCCATTGACCCACACACAGCCCTTGCGGCTCAGGGCCTTGAGGCAGAAGGCCAGCAGGGCACTGCCTTTCTCCAGGTAGGGCTCCAGGGACAGGTGACGGCGGGAGAGGCGAGGGAGCTGCAGCTGGAGGTGGGCGTCCTGCCCCCGTCCGAGAAGCAGAGGGCTGGTATCATGCTGCAGCCGTGGTGGGACATTGGCAAAGGCAGATGGGCCCAGCGTGGGATGGTACAGGCTCACTCGCAGGACGGTGAGGGGCTTCTCCATGGAAGAAGTCCTGGGAAGTTGGAACATGGACACACAGGCTCAGCTTCAGTCAGAGACCTCTGTGGCTCCCTGAGCCCAGACACACTTGCCCACCTCAGGGGCCCTGTGCCTGTTCATACAATCACTCTGCCCAAGCCAGGATGGAGCCAAGGCTGGAATTGGTGTGGAAGGTCATGAGCTTAGTCTCTCTCATACTCTGAATAGAACATGCCACCCACTCTGTCTGACTTTTGGATTTCTGTAGTATAGATATATCTGTCCTTGTCTATGCAAGGGATAAGGCATGCTGGCTTGCAGGGTGGGGATTTGGTAATCTTTTGGTTATTTGGAGACAACTTGGCCCTGCTTCTTGGAAAGGAAAGGGTAGACAGACTGGCTACATTTTCCTTGTATCTGACAGTCACACAACAAACCCTTGCTGAATCCTCCTTTGAGCCAAGCAGGGAACCAGCTGCTGGGGAGAAGCAGATTCAACAACGAACCGAGCCCTGACTCTTGGGAGCACCCACTGGTGGAGGAGAGAGGTGTTTCTAGCATCAGGATGTGTGGAAGGACACAGAAGGAGGATGCTTAGCCTAGTCCTGGCCACCAGAAAGGCTGCCTAGAAACCCTGGTGAAGAGTAAACAGCTAGCACATTCCGAGTGGTTACTATGGGCACTTGCTGGAAGGCCACTCACAATGGCCAGCTTTGTTCCTGCATGGGTTTGAGGAACACAAACTCTGCTATGTCCACCAGCACCCTGTGGCCCAGGACCTGCCATCATCTTCAACAGGAACCAAGGGTTGAGTGGATTTGAATAACTAATTATACATTCTCTGGGTACCAGGCTTTTGCTCACATTATTTCTCTCCTAAGAATGCATCTTCCATCCCAAACTCTGTGTCCAAATACTGCCCACGGTTCAAGGCCCTGTTCAAGTGTTACCTCTCCTGTGAAGCTCCCTTCCCTGGGGAAGGTGACCTTTCGCTGCCTTCTGACTCCCACAACAGGGGGAATCCCCCAGGACACCTGGCCAACCTTACTCTCCATTCATTCCATCTTTGCATTTCATGCCCAAGTTCTGTGGGCCCTTGTCCTGTCTTCCCTGAGTTCCTCTCTTCCTGCCCCTGAGGCCTCCCAAGGGCTGGGTATGGTCTGGGCTGTGGTTCTTGCTGCCCCATGTTCCACTGCCCCATACAAATAGGGCCTGGCCACCATAAATGTCCAGGGGCACATTTGCCGAGTGGCTAAATGAGAAGCCCACACACACACATGGTGAAATCACCCAGAGAGACCACAAATGGGATCATGTCTCAAAGGCTGTGGGACAGCGAGCCTGTTGCAGGTGGCTTGAACTCAATGTCCCTCCAGGTCTTGAACCTGCTGCCCCTCCTGCCTTTTAGATGCAGTAGGTTAATGGCTGAGACCTTTTAGTCTGATAGTGAGGGCACCCTTTCACTATCAGAGGCCTGAGGGCACCCCCTTTCCCCTAAGGCACAGACACACATATGCCTCTACCCACACCCCATCTGGCCATAGTCTGCCGAAAGCCTTTCTTTTTTTTCTTTTTTTTTTTTTTCTGAGATGGAGTCTCACACTGTCACCCAGGCTGGAGTATAGCGGCATGATCTTGGCTCATGGTAGCCTCCGTCTTCCAGGTTCAAGGGATTCTCCTGCCTCAGCCTCCCCAGTAGCTGGGATTACAGGTGCCCGCCACCATGCCCAGCTAATTTTTGTATTTTCAGTAGAGACGGGGTTTCGCCATGTTGGCCAGGCTGGTCTCGAACTCCTGACTTTAGGTGATCCGCCCGCCCCGACCTTCCAAAGTGCTGGGATTACAGGCGTAAGCCACCACGCCCAGCCAGAAAGCCTTTTCTCGAGGTATGCGTTACAGGCTGAGCCCAGGACAGGTGGGCTGGGCAACCCATGCTGTCAGGCCTGGCTGGAAACTCAAGAGTTCACTCCCAGAAACTAATATCACGGCACAGAGACCCTGAAAGAATCCCTCAGGAAGAAAGATTCACAGTTGCTGTGTGGCCTTACTCTCTGCTCCAACCAGAGCTAACAGAAATCTCCCACTAAAGAGGAGCCCATCCACGACAGGCTGTCCCGTGTCTTTTGGATCCCAGGTGTTCTGGGGAAACAGAAACCCAGCCCTACAAATCCAGCCTTTGGGACGGGGCAGGAGGAAGACACTCCAGAATGTGTGTCTCAGGGGAGCCCTCCTCCCAGCCCCACCAGGCCCTCCCTTCTCCCCATGGGTTCAAGCCCCTCTGGCTTCAACTTACCTTATTGCCGGGGCACATCTGGCTCTAGTCCTGCAGCTGTGAGCTCTTGAGAGGGAGTAGGCTGGTTTGGGTAGGGCTGGGAGGGCTCCTATGGCTGCAGTTCAGGAACGTGGCAGAACATACTTCAGTTTTGTTGCATTCTTCCTTTTTCCCTTTAGGAAAGAAAATAGAAGTGTAATTTTTCATTGCAGAAGTGCAATTCCACTGCTGAGAGTTTGAGAAACCCCAGCGTGGGGCCCCTTCTGAGACAGATGGCCTGCCTTCCTGGGTTTCAGTTCTGCCAGCCTCTCCTACCCCACCCCCAGGGACCTTAGGACCTGCACCCAGGGTATCTGCAAAGTTCCTCTCCACCTGCCAGTAGGATGGGGTCAAAGCAGCCCAGGCATGTTAGAAAAGAAGAGCTTTTTGGGACAGATGGCTACGGGACAGGAGAGTCCCCTGAGTGTGGGAGAATGAGGAGAGCGTTCTGGCTGGATAGAGGTTGGCCAAGGAAACTGTAGGCAACATGGCACTTCCCTGAGGGTCTCAGGAGAGGGCAGGGCCTGGGGACGGGGAGGATGGAGAGGGCAGTAAATGGCCACTCATAGAACATGATCTCTCCTGCAGAACAGTGAGAAGGTGGTCTCTCATGCCCACTCCCCATCGCCCGAGCTCTGCCTATTTGCATGCAGTTTGGAAGGGGTGAAGATGGTCGCTTGTCCAGCACTGCGGGCTCTGGCTGCCCTGGAATGTGAAGGTGCTAACCCTTCACGTAGCCCAGCATTTCATAGTCCACCAGTGTGTTCAAGTCACCTGCGTTATCTCCTAGGAGTTTTATAGTTCTATACGTACATTTTAATTTTTCTGACATGTGTAAGGTTTGTGTCTAGATTTTTTTTTTTTTTGGCTTATAGGTGTTCAGTTGTCTCAGCACCATTTTCCGAAATGACCATGTTTTTTTTCCTTCAGTGTTTTCTCTTTACTCCTTTGTCAAAGATTGGTTGACTGTATTCATGTGGGTTTATTTCTGGGCTCTCTACTTTGTATCATTGATCTATTTGTCTATTTTTTCACCAATACCTTACTGTCTTGATTGCTGCAGCTCTGTAGTAAGTCTTGAAGTTGGGTACTGCCAGTCCTTCAATTCTGTTCTTCTCTTTCAATTTTGTCTTGGCTCTTTTGAGTTGTCTGTCTATATAAATGTTAGAATCAGTTTGTTAATAGCCACAAAATAACTCGCTGGGATTTTGACGAGACTTCATCAAATCTATCAATAAAGGAGGGAAGAACTGACATCCTGACAGTATTGAATCTTCCTATTCATGGACATGGGATATCTCTCTATTTGTTCAGTTCTTTGATTTCCTTCATCATAGTTTCATGGGTTTCCTCATATAGATCTTGTATATGTTTTGTTAGATTTATACAGAAATATTTCTTTTTTGAATATTAATGGAAATGGCATTGTGTTTTTTATTTCAAATTCCACTTGTTCATTGCTGGCATATAGGAAAGTAATTGATTTTATGTATTAATCTTGTATCCTGCAATCGTCCGTTAATCACTTACTAGTTCCAGGAGCTTTTTTGTCAATTCCTTTGGATTTTCTACATGGACAATTACGTCATCTGCAAATAAAGACAGTTTTTTTCTTCCTTCCCAATATGTATACCTTTTTTTCCTTTTTAATCTTACTTCATTGGTTAAAACTTTTTGGTTAAACGATGTTGAAAAAGAATAGTGAGAGGAAATGTCCTTGTCTTGCTCCTGATCTTAGTGGGAAAATTTCTGGTTTCTTATCAGTAAGTATGATGTTAACTGCAGGATTTTTGCAAATGTTCTTTTTCAAATTGAGGATGTTTTCATTTATTCCTGGTTTGTTGAAGATATTTTGCTCTAAAGTAACCGCCAACCTAGAATTCCATGCCCAGATAAAGAATCCTTCAAAAATAAAGATGACATAAAGTCATTTTCACACAAAAACTGAAGAATTTGCCAACAGTACACCTACTCTAAAGTAAATTCTAGTGTTCTTCAGGCAGAAGAAAAGTAATCCCAAATGAAAGCATAGAAATGTAGAAGAAAATGAAGAGCAATGGAAATGGATATATTCATATAAATCAAAGTGAATATTAACCATATGAAAAACAATAATAATGACATTTTATTTTTGAAACTTATTTTAGTTTCAGGGGTACATGTGAAGGTTTGTTACATATGTAAACTTATGTCATGGGGGTTTGTTTTACAGATTATTTCATCACCCAGGTATTAAGCCCCGTACCCAATAGTAATCTTTTCTGCTCCTCTCCCTCCTCCCACCCCCCACCCTCAAGTAGACCCCAGTGTCTGTCGTTTCCTTCTTTGTGTTCATGAGTTCTCATCATTTAGCTCCCACTTATAAGTGAGAACATGTAGTGTTTGGTTTTCTGTTCCTGTGTTAGTTTGCTAGTAGGATGATGACATTTTAAAATGTATTTAGAATATATGTATAATTAAAGTATATGACAACAATAACATCAAAAGTGGGAGGGGTAAAAATGTAATTATAGTGTCCCAAGGTCCTTGCATTGTCCAGGATGCAATAAAACTACAATTTAAGGTAGACACTAATAAGTCAAAGGTGCATGATATAATCTCTAGGATAATCAGTAAAAGAATAATAATGTCTTAGTGACAAGCTAATAGATGGGAAGTGGAGTAATACATTAGCAATGACAATGAAGGCTGAGAAGCCTTGGAAAGGCACAGTGGAACAGGGAGGACATCCAAGTAGGGAGGATGAGGACAGCCCCAGACCAGGCCTGCACCTGGGTTGGGTAAAATTGAAGGGGAGAAGAAGGGCTCCAGCACTGGCTCTTCCTGGGCAGATACTGACCCATTCCAGTAGCTCACCTCCTGCCTTCTTCTAGGCTGAGGCACTTGGGACCCTTCAGCATGGTGGCCTTGGAGGCTGTTTCCTCTAAGGGTCTCTAAGTCTGCTCTTCTCCGGGCGGTGGGCTGCTACTCTGGAGGCCTCACTGGTTACTCTTGGGCCTTTTCTGACCACCCTGAGATCCTCAGGGCCAGATGCTCAAATAACTGACCTGGAAGCTCAGCGAAGGGAAGTGACCAGCCAAGGTTACACAGCAAATCTGTAGCACAGCTGGGTGAGGACTTAGGTGAGCTGACTTCCAGTCCCCTGGCCTAGCCACAATACACCTCCATGGTCCAGATAGCTTGATAGCTGTGCCACATACTCCCTCTGGGTCATACTTGGGGCCAGTCATATGGGTCTGGAAACAAATGTGGCTCCTGGTCCCTCGATAGCAAGCTAAGCAGAGAGGTGGGGGATCTGGGGGGAGGGCAGTGAGGGGCAGGGCTAGCCCCCAGAACCACAAGATCTTTGGTGGCAGACCAAGCAAGACAGGTGACTGAAGCTCAGTGAAGGCCCCATCATGGTCTTTACATCTCTCCAATTGCCTTTTCTTGTATTCTTCCCCCATCTCCTGTACCTTGGCTCTTCCTGGTACTGGGGAAGGGTAGGGAGCAAAGCTCAGATCACTGAGAAAATCCTCTCCTGACAATTCTTGGGGACTTGCTATGACTCCTTCTCTAGAAACCTATGGAAGGCAGTAGTAACCTAAAGGAGTAGTTCTAAGAGCATGCCAGACCTGCTGCTTGCTCTGTGCAGGAGAGAAGCCAAGTGCAGGCAAGGTAGCTAGAATGATCAAAAACCCGAATGGCCACTCCAAGGTGGGAGAGAAGCCATGTGTAGGCTAGGCAGCTAAACTTGATCCCAGGCCTCTTGCCGGCACCACACCCCTACTCAGGGCAGTGATAGACAGATGAATGACCGAAAACCCAAATGGCTACATCAAGGCACTTCAAGGGCTGCAAAGGCACATAGATGGGGCTGAGCCTACTGTGCGAAGGTGGCTGGCCATGCTCCAGGGCCTTTCCTCTCATCAGTCTCCCTGGTCCAAAGACCACCTGGCCTGCTGAGCATCCCTAAACCCTGGGCAAGGGCCTCATCTTCAGGGCTCCAGTCTGGGCAAGACCTCAGTGATCCCCAGTTATTTCTGCCCACCAGCAGAGTAAGGTAGTGGGCAGAAGCCTGGTAGGGAGCTTTGTCATCTCTAGATATGTGACCTCAGGCAAGTCCTATCTCTTCCCTGGGCCTATTTTCCTCCCACTGCCTTCTGTTGTAATCGTGAGTCATGAGGGGAGGGCTATGTCCGTGCTCACAGCCCTGGCGTGGGAGGGTGACTGGCGAGAGGACATGTGTTCATGGTGCCTGTGTCCTTCATAACTTGGGTCACAGCAGTTTCCAACAAGAAAGAGAACTGAAACAACCAGGGAATTCCCTGGCAAGGAGAAGTCCTGCCCAGTCTGCATCTTTCAGAAGCCAGGAGGAATGCCCCAGGTTTGTGGGTAGGAGTATGCATACACAGTGCTGGTTGTTGGCTTTCCGGAGGCAGATGGGAGCTGGAAGTCTCACGAAGGGAGAGTAAGAGCCCGAAGGGTAAGAGCTGGGGAAGTGCCGGTTTCACTCAGCCTGGCTCCCTTGGCTAGGACAGCCTCTGGTTGGGTGTTGGGCATCTGGTGTTGGGATCCTGGGACATATTACATCAGTCAGCAAATGTCCCCCATCATGTGCTCAGGGAGGGCTCAGGGACAGAACAATTGCCTCCCCAGGCAACCCCTGAAACTCCCACCTCCAGGGCTTTCTCCAACATTAGACCAGTGAGGCTTCTGCAGCCAGACGGACTCAGGTCTGAGGCTTGGCTCCTACGTGCAACAACTCAAGCAAGTTATGCAGCCTTTCTGCACCTCAGTTTTCTGCTCTGTAAAATGGGGACAAATTGCTGTTGTTGTGAGGACTCAATGAGATATGTGGAAAGTGCCAAGCACGCGGTGAGAATTGATAAGTGAGAACTGCTCTTAGTAGAACCCTTGATGGTAGAGCAAAAATGCACCCTGGGGATACGGGCTGTCAGAGGAGACTTAACAACTGCGCACACAAAACCTAAGTTTTCAGACAGCTCCAGTTTTTGCTTAAAATAAGCATGGCTTTAGAGTTGAATTCCTAATGTGCATGAGTTTCCTATAAATTCCATTTTATATTATAATAAAGTAAAAGGAAGTCTCCAAGTAATTGCTGGGACCTGTATCCTTGACGTCCAGGAAGGCTCTCCATCTCACAAATGAGGAAGCTGGGGCTCAGAGCAGGTAGTTGATTTGCTCAAGGTCATCCTTCTGGGAAGTTTCGGAGACAGGATTTGAACACAGTCTCTGAGACTCTTGGGTTTAACCATGAAGCTTTCAGGCCTCAAAGGTAGGGTGTCTCTGGAGTCCAGCTGCCTGGCCTTCTCAAAATGTGTGCTCCAGCCCGCTGGCCACCAGTGACACTCAGCGGAGAGTACCTGGTTCCAGCCCTAGCAAGCTAACGTGGCTGGCCGCTGAGTCCCGATAGCCTGTGGCCACCAGGTGGCAGCATCCCTAAACCCACTGATCCTCTCTTGGGGCCCAAGAGGGAGGATAGTTTGAAAGGTTGGGGAAGCCATGGCAGGAGGCTGCGCTGGAGGAGGGAGAGGGGTCCTCCTTTCTCTGAGTCAAAATGCCCTGAATGGACCCCAGGTGAATCCACACCCAATGCCCCTCCCACTCATAATGAGCATGGAGCTAAGAGTAGGAGTCAGAGCAGAAGCAGGGGAAGCAGCCACTCAGCAGTGTGGATTGTTTGTAACAGTATAAATCTCAGGGAAGTGTTAATGAGAGGATCGATGAATCTTCTATGCCATGAGCTCCCTGCCAGGCTTGGATTCTGCCATTTCCTGCCCATGAACTGGATTCTGTGCCACTCGCTCACTGAGCTTTCCCAAGTATTCCTGGTGTCACAAATTTTGGGGGCAAGGGTTATGTGATTATTATGTTTCTTTTTCCCCCACCATGGGCTTCTACGTAAAGCTGTGGCCAGACCATCACCACCAAACACTGTTTCTAATGAGTTTGGGTCACAGACTCAAAGCCCACAGCAAAGTTCTGCGTTCCCAATATGGTAGGTGCACAAAACCCAGAGGGTCCACAGCATTTCTGGACTTTTGTATTGACTCCTCATTTAAAACTCTTTCCAGAAAGCCGATTCATTACAATGCTGGCTAATACCCACAGGAACACTGAACTCCACTGTGTGGGAGCTTGAGGGGCCTGTGCTGCCCATGCCGAGTGTCCACCATCTCACACTGCTTCTAACACCTTCAAGCCATCTCCTGAATCTGGAATAGTCATCATGAGCTGGAGGCTTCCTCAGAAGAACCCTAAAATCAAGGGGGATTCTGGTGCCAAGAAAAATAGCCCAACCCAGCTTCACAGCTGTGAGCCTCCAATGCGCCCCAGGAAGCTGCCATCACCATGGGTAGCGCGACCTGGCTTGATTTTGCCAAAACAAAGGAAAATTCCTCCAGCAATTTCTGTGAATTTGTTTTGCAAAACTGAATTGTCTGCTTTTAATTCCCCTATACCAATTAAATAAAAATTGGAATTTAAAATCCAGTGAATGACAGAAACCTCACTTTGGAGTGGATGACAGACCCCACGCAACCTGGGGTCTGGGGTAGAGAAGTGAGATGCTGGGAACTTCCAGGGAGTGGCGGCTTTGGTGGCAGGCTCCCTAGGTTTTGGGGCTCCTGGACCATCCTTATGTGTACATGTGCTCTGAACCCATGGGACTAATAGCTGACCACGAACAGAACAGCAGCGAGGCAGGAGCTTGATGCTTGCCAGATTTCAGCTTCAAGACTCTGCCCCACATGCCTCTAAAGCCAAATTCCTGTGTGTTTATTTGTGTTTCCCATGGGGCTCCTGGATCTCTTCCCAAGGAGGAGGCTAGGCCCAGAGAGACCCTGGCTTCCTCTGCACCCAACCCTGGGTGGCTCTGCACCAGTAGGGCAAGTGCCATGGGAGGAGTCCTGGTGAGCTGCCAAGGCATGCCTCGGGGTGGAGGAGGGCTTCCTTGAGGAGCTGATACCAATGCTGAGTCTTAAAGAACCGGTAGGAGTGGCTAAGTTGATAAGGAGAAGAGGACATTCCAAGAGGGGGACCTGCTCGAGCAAAGGAGCAGAAATGTGGGAGAGCCGGCAACCCCAGAGGACTACAGGGAGTTGGATCAGGCTGCTTCTTCCCAGGCTGTTGCAGAGGCACTTGAGGTTTCTGCTGTATTAGCCCCGAGCCCTCTTGGGTCCTCCCTCCAGTCTCTCCCCGACTCTTCCAAAGCCCTAGAGGCCGGATGATGTGGCATGTTGACCTTCATCACCTAGTTTGTTTTCCTGTCTCTGCTGTCCTGCTGAGTGTCCTACATCTTAGGGCACAGCCACAGCCCCTCATAAAAAATATGCAGTCACTGCCCCCAGGACACAGGAGGCCATCAAAGTAAGGAGGTCAAGTGTCCAGCTGTAAGCTTGGGACATGTCACATCCAGAGAACCTGAAACCTGGGTTCTTCGGGAGGCAGTGTGGCTCAGTGGCCAAGATCATGGGCTCTGGGGTCAGGGAGACTGAGTTCCAATCCCAGCACCACCTCTCATGAGCCAAGGGAATTGGGCAAGTCATTTAACCTCATGGAGCCACAGTTTTTCTCTGTAAAATGTCGACAGAGTAAAGATTAAATGAGATTGTGTTTCTAAAGCACAGAACATGGAGCCTGCTAGAGTGAGAGCTTAACCCATTTATGCCTGAGGTTGCAATTTTTTGAATTTTTGCAATCAGACCTTGGTAATGACCTTGAGCAGTAGGATATAGATAACTCCCACATGCTTAGCATTCCAATAATGGAACACTAGGCATAAGTGGGTCAATAGTAGGTTGGTGCAAATGTAATTGTGGTTTCGCCATTATTTTCGATGGCAAAAACCGGAATTACATTTGCATTAACCTAATAACTATCCCTCACTGTGATCAGTATTGATTGACTGACTGCACCTGGATGAAGAGAGACAAAGTGGCAATCTACTATTTTGTCTTTTCCAGATTCATTACATTATTTCATTTTACTAAATTTTTCTCTCTACATATTCTCTCTCTTTCTCCCTCTCTCTGTTATTTTGAAAACTTGGATCTCAAGCAGTGGCTTGAACAAGAGTCACCTAATAGGCCAGGTGTGAGCAGCCCAGGGCCCCGATGGCTGCTCCACAGTGTCGGCAACCCAGCCTCCTTCCCCCTTGCCACGCTGCCGACCCTAGAGCATTGCCCTTGCCCATGTGGCCTCACATGGCTCACCCCCACCATACCCACATCCAAACAGGGGGAACTGGCAGGGGGCAAGCGTGGAGCACATCCTTTCCTTCGGAAGATGCGTCCTGGAAATTGCCCAATCACTTCTGCTTGCATCCTGTTGGCTGGTCTCAGGGAATGGCTAGTCCTAGCTGTCAGGGTGCCTGGGAGCTGTGTGATCAATGACAAAAGGAGGGTTCTATTATTATAGGAGAAGGGGAAATAGATATTGAAAGACAACAGGGTCTCCTTTTCCCAGCCGAACTGCAAACTCTTCAAGGGTTGGAAAGACTTCTCAAGCTTGCACCTCACCCTGTTGGGCTCCCCGGCTGCAGATTTGTTCACTGAGAGAGACTGATTGCTGAGCCGGCTCCACAGAACTGCTGCACTGAGAAGTGCCATGGTCAGCCCTCCACGTTCTCAGAGTGCAGAACAAAAGCCAAGAGCCAAGGACAGCAGCATGGGGCTGGGGTGTTGCTGTGGGGAAGACAGCCCTGAGAGAGAGGACTGGGAGCTGGAGAAGCAGATAAGCAGCAATTGGAGCATAGCTGATGGACAACCTTTGGATACACAGAAAGGGATGGCTAGAGGGAGGAAATTTAGTTTTTGAGATTTTTAAAATTTTTACATCAAAATATGCTCTGAATGTTTTAGTTCTCTTCAATGATTGAGCCTTCCAAAATGAAAAGCTTTGTTTTATTTTTATATCCCATTTTGAAAAGGTAACATATTCACATAGTTCACTTTTTTTTTTTTTTTTCAAAATAAAAAGTAGAGAGGAAAGTCTCTCTCACACTCCTCCCCACAGGTAACTGCTGTAATGGTGTCCTGTGTATCCTTCCAGAGAGTCTTGATGCGAGTACAAGCACACATGAATCTATATTCCAGCCACCCCACTCTGTTCCCAGCACTGTCTGCTGCCTTGCTTTGTGAAGGTATCCTTAAGGCCAGCAGCTCCCATTCTCCCCAGCAGTTTCTCACTTTTAACAGTTTTCTCCCTGTCCTGTGATATTTCACAAAACGAACCCAAGCCATGACAATAAATATTTCATACCTTTCGTGCATGACATGTTTCACATATGCTTTACAAACGTGCGTTTTCATTCGGAATCGAATGTTGAGGGAAATATGTCTTTTCCACATGGCCACTACCATAATATAAAAAGCATTTTCCTCCTCCCTCTGCCCCAGGGGGGATCTATATCATGAAAATGGAAAAGTGATGAGAAAATGAGCAATCCTGCCTACAGAGCTCTCTCCAAGTAGTTTTCCAGAAGCTCCCTGGGACTGCATCACCTCATGAGCCATAAATCACCAACTGGGCCTGGGCAACTTGTCACCCAGTGGTTCACTTAGTGACTTTGGCTGTTTCTTTTTGTTGGCCATTTACCTGAAGGGTGTCTGCTGTGTACGTGTTGGGAACCTACCTCAGAACCTGTCATTGGTGTTTGGCCTTTAGCTGTCTGCCTGCAATTGGCTGGCCATGGCATGGGATGGGCACATACTTTCCTATGGGCCCATCTGCAGTAAGAAGTGGCTTGTAGAGCTGCAGAGGTTCTAACTGAGGCTCAGGGCCATCGTGGCTCAGCCATTTGCAGGTAAGTTCTACTGCTGATGGGATTGCCACAGACCATGGAATGCCTCCAACACCTTTAAATCAAGCCTGGGGGCTCTCAGCTCAACCTTGGCAAGCCTTAATGTGTCTTCAGTGTAAGCCATGATCTGGTCCTCCTGGAAACAGGGAACCCTGGCACGAATGCTAGGGCCAGTGCTTGATAAATGCCACCCTTAATCTGCCTTCCTTTCCCCCCCATCCCCTACCCACTCCTGCTCGCCAACCCCAACACACCCAAATGTTGTTGGCAAGTATGACTTGGAGAACCAGATTTTTCCCTAGTCTCTTCTCTCAGATAACTTTCTAAAACCTCCCAGGCCCTACTCTAAGAAGGTATGTCATTATGAGTGCTAGGGGGCACTGTTGGGCAACTTTTGTGCACAGGAAATTGCCTGCTTGTGTGTTTTCAGAGGACGCGACGCTCGGTGGGGACAGCTGTCCCCACCCTCAGGCAGCTCTCAGGGACTCGGCATAGTTGCTCCCCCTGCAGGGCTAGAGCTACCTCCATGTCACCTCTTCAAGGCTGAAGGCTCTTGGAGGAATTAACTCTGCCCACCTCAGCTCAGGTGGAGAGCTGCCCTGCGAGATGTGAGTAGGGCTGCCTTTCCCTCCTCCCTTTCTCAGTCTTTAATTGACAACTGCTTGGCCTGGATGATTTTTTAGATAGGAGCTGAGGTGCCCCCCACCCCCGCCTTCCAACAACAGCACCCAGGAAAATCAAGGACACAACTTTTTATTCAATTCTGGTATTTGTTCTCATTGTTGGAATGATGAATGTCACAACTCTATTATTTGTTGGAAGTGTTTGTTGCAGACGTGCAGCTGCATCGGAATTCAACTGAATTCTGATGTTTTCACTTGGGAGAATCGAATTCCCCCATGGATCCTGCAGGGAAAGTGGTCCTAATGTTCAGGACAGGCACCCCAATCAAGCTAGGAGCCACCTGGATTTGGTGCCTTCTGCCTCAGTGGGTCCCTGTCCGCAAAGAAGAAACTAGCAGCTACTATGGGCCACACAGTGTGGTATTGTATACATTTTGTCCAAGTTGTCAACATTTTAAAATTGGAAGCCTGGAAATAAAACCCTCAATTTTTGCAGCTTCAGCTGAAAAGTCAGGAGATGAGGCTGGCCTGGGCTCGGGTTCCTGCAGGGCACTCGTCTGCTGGTGCAGACGCTTGGCGCTCCATCCCAGTTTGCCTCAGTTCCCCCAGTCCTGTTTCGTATATATTTATTTTATGTTCTAGGCTCCTGTAAGCCTTTGAGTTTGCAATCCTTTTGTGAGGTGTGGTAAACCCTAGTTAGCCAAAATGTAATTTTTTCCTTAGGACATGAGCCCCCGCAGAACCAAATAACAGAAATCACCATGAAGGAGCCAAAGTCTACACGTGAGTTGGGGCATGGGGCAGATAGCCTGGGTGGCTGGTGTTAGTTCCAGACAGACTGGAGTGCTCAGGGTCTCTCTATTGGGGCAAATCTCTCTGCTCCATCTTCATGTGGCCTTCTTCTCCGAGTGTGAAATCTCCCACCACCTTCCTGTGATGAGGATACTGTCGTTGTATTTAGGGTCAATCCAGATAATCTAGGGAAATCTCCCCATCTCAAGATCCTTAATTTGATCCCATCTTTTGCCACATGAGGTGACAGTCACAGGTTCCAGGGTTTAGGAAGTGGGTGTGTCTTTGGGGCCACTACTAAGCCTATCACGTTTGGCAAGCCTTCCTTCAGGAAGCTTGCATTCTAGAGACAGTCTGGAAAGGAAGGAGGAAACGAATAGGAATGGTGAGCATGTAGCTGCGGTGGGGGATGACTGTGCATTCAGAAACCCCCCCTGGGGAGATTCTGGTTCATCAGAGGCTGAAGGGAGTAAGGCAGCAGGCCGAGAGGTCCTGAGTGCAAATGCCCTGAAGCAGCAGCCTTGGTTAGACAGGGAACTGCCTGCAAGCGAAGGGAAGAGCAGTAACAGAGAGATGGCTGGAAACCAGGTGGGGTTAGATAGTCCTTGCAGGGCCTTTTAGATTCTGGTAGAGGGTTTGGATTCTATTCCAAGACAATAAAGGAGCTGTTGAAGGATGTCGGCTGTCGTGGGATGTGAGCCACTGAGGATGGTGCCTGAGATGGGGCAAGGCTAACAGATGCCCCTTACTCAGAGATCACCCCTTAGAGAGGTAGGGGTGGAATGGGAGGCTGCCTCTCTGGTGCACTATTGCCTGGCTACAGGCTTTGCTGGCCCCAGGTGCCCCTTTCGCTGGGCGCCTCCCGTGCTCCAGCCATGCTGCGAAAACTCAACACCCACATTTGTAACAGGGTGTTCTAGCCAAGATGGGACTCCAGCATTTTTGAAATCTCAGATCCTGTGCTTTTACCTTTAAGCTAAAGGTGAAGCTTTAAGAAGCCAGATTGCCTGGGTTTGAATCTGGAGACAGACACTTAACTATGTGAATGTGGGGGACCCCCATAACCTTCGTATACTTATTTTCCTCCTCTAAAAAATGCAGACAAAATGGTGACTGCCTCACAGTGTTGTTGGGAACTGGTGAAGGGATAAACAGGCACACAGCTTACACAGGATCGTGGACTAGGAATCAGAAAATCAATGTCAACCGTTGTCATTTTATTTTTATTTTACTTTATTTTTTTGAGACACAGTCTCACTCTGTTGCCCAGGCTGGAGTGCAGTGGCGTGATCACAGCTCACTGTAGCCTTGACCTCTGGGGCTCAAGCCATCCTTCCACCTCAGCCTTCTCAGTAGCTGAGACCGCAGGCACACATCATCACACCTGACTAGTTTTTGTTTCTATTTTTTTTTGTAGAGACCAACCTATGTTGCAAGGTTGATCTCGAACTTCTGGCCTCAAGTGATCCTCTTCCTGCCTCAGCCTCCCAAAGTTCTGGGATCACACACATGAGCCTGGCCCATTAGACTTTTAGTTTCTGTAGGAGGCATCTTTGAGAGCAGCCTATTCTTTGTGTTTTGAAAAAGGGAAAAAAATTAACAGGGCATTTGATTTTACATAGAAAAAGCCAAGCTGCAGCTCTGGGATGCAGAGGTTCCAGGCAGCAAAAGAAAAATACTGAGAGTTTTGTTTTGTAGAATCACAGCAAAGGTTGTCTTCACTCAGGGCAGAAATGTGAGGAATTGCAGAAATAGAAAGGAAGCGAGTTTCCTTACAGAGTCTCAGAAAGCTGGAGGAGTGTGTTGTTGGAGGAGAGGGCCATATGGTTGGGGCAGTCCCTCTTCGAGGGGATGCTGACCCCTTTGTGGGCTGTGGTTTCAGGACTTTGAGCCTAGCCGCACCCAGGAGCTAGTTTGCAGGTTTCCATCATGCTCTGTTGTTCTCTCCTAGTATTATCCCAGTCAGGTCTGGTCCTACTTTGCTTTAAGATGTAGCAGCAGTCTTGACCACGTGTGAGCCGAAGCATTGTGGGGAGCAGTGGGGCCTGGGAAAACTTGTTATGAGATGTCGAGAGATCACCCGAGATAAGGAGAGTGGGGAGCTTGAGTCAGGAGGTGAGATGAGGGAATACCAGCCACAAGCTGGTATCGCCAGGGTGGGCAAGCTCAACCTGTTGATTCCCAGGGCACAGAGGGAGGGGAGCTGGATGAAAGTTGGCCATACGATGACCAAGGAGGATGAAGGCTGGGTCTCTTCTGCTATCGGACACTAAAGGGCAGCCAGACCCTCGGGAACAGTGGGTGTCTGGCATCTGGGTTACATCTGGCTTACATCCTCATAACTATCCTACCATGGGGTACTATCATGGGGCTTGTTTTACAGATGGGGAAGCTAAGGCGCAGAGAGTAACTTGCTCTCAGTCACACAGCTGGTAAGTGGCAGAGTTGGTATGTCCACTGGGTCTGACTAACCCCAGCCCCTGCCGGTCCCCCAGGGAGCAGGCCCTTGCCCCGGTTCTGCAGGAACTGCAGTCATTGGCTCCTGCTCAAAGCCTCCCAATAAAGAGAATTTGGGGGAAATCCCTTCCGCAGGAGAAGCTGGTGAAAGACAAGCCCCCTTCCTGGATATTCTCAGCACAATTCAGGACTTGCTAATTACTCCTGGGCCCTACCTTTCTCTTCTCAAGTAGGCGGCAAAGTTTACTGGTGATTGCGAAGTGATTGCAGAGCGGTTGGAGAGTGAATGGATCCGGAGCAGCGTAGCAAACAGCGCAGTCTGGGGGGCTCCATCCCGCCGCAGGGCCAAGGCCTTTCCTGCCAGTCCGACGAACTGCCGGTAGATGGCACTCTGAACCCGTTCCCCGGCCCCCTCCACGCCCTGGATCCGCCGTCTGCGCCGGTGCGGGACTCCCCGGGAAGCGCCTGCGATTTCAGAGTAAGAGCTGTTTCTGCACTGCTCCAGTCCTGCATTTAACAGACGCTTATGCAGCACCTGCTGAGTACCAGGGTCTGTCCTGTGTGCTGGGTGTTCAGCCTTCCTGGGAGAGGATATACAAGGCCATCGCAGGGCCACTGCAACTCAGTGTGACCGCAATTAGGACCGGAGAGCACTTGATTTCTAAACTGCGCCTTCTGGAAGATTTCTAAACTTGCGCCTCCTGGGAAGAAGGCTAGAGTTAGCGTTGCCGCAGGGCTGTGCCTCAGACGACCAGGCACGACCAAGCACACAGGTGGTGCTCAAGAAATGAATGGGAGTAGATGAGGGCATTCTGGAGACTGCATGGAGAGCCAGGGCCTGCCGTAGCAGCAGCACCAGCAGTGGCGATGGCAGCAGCGGGGTCGTTTCCAGGGGACTTGTTCTTTCCGGTTGCACCTCTAGGCTCTGCGGAGTTTAACGACGAAGCTCAGCCTGGGCACCTTCTCTGGAAGATGGGTGCCCTAGCTCTGAGGGCGTCCACCGCAGCCAGGCGTCAGGGCTGGCCCGGGCCTCTGCAGGGAGCTCCAGCTGCAGGGAGCCCCCAGAGGAAGCAGGGGCGGCAGGGAATGAGTGGAGGGGGGTGGGGTTGCCAGAAAGAGGGAGGTGCTGTCTGCATTCAGTACCGATCAGGTGGCTGGCACCTTACTGAGCCTGAACGCTGAGCGCTGTCTCCTACGCTGTCCTCACAGCAACCCTTTCCAGAGATGTTCTCGTCCTCGTTAGGCATATGGGATAATGGAGGTTCAGAGAAGGCAAATCTCAGGCATGAGATGAGTGACCCATCAGGAGAAGCTGAGCTGTGAGCACATGGAGTAGGGTGCGTGGAGAAGACCAGGGTCAGGCCCCTCCTTTGCTGGTGATAGAGAGGGGGCCTGTTGTGGGCCGCTTGTGAACATATCAGTGCAAAGAAGCCTTCCACAGCAGCAAGCGAACACCCGCCCGGAGTCAGGCCAGCTCCTGAGCACAGGCGCCACCAGGCTCCACCCGACTCAAGCCCCCAGATCGGCTCTCATTTCCCAACAGAGTGCCTGGCTACCCAGGCTCATGGCCTCCGGGGACCACAGGACAGAAAGTGCAGAGGGTAGGGTGGGGAGGAGGGTCAGTAGGAGGCCTCCTCTTAGGACCTGCAGTGCTTCTGGGCCTCACATAGGGTCATCCACCTTGGAAGACTCCTGCAATGTCGTTGGCCTGGTTTCTGGTTGAAGTAATGTGTACGGCCTGATTCTGAGCCCAGGTCAACCAATGATGACTGCAACCCACCCCATCTCTAAACTCCGCTCCCAAGAAACTTCTCAAGAAAAAAACACCGGCTGCTTGAATACTCTCCTAGGCGCACTTCATCCCCTTTTTCTTTTTTTTCTTCCTTCAAATAGTTCATTATTTTGCATGGAGATTTTGCTTTTCTTTGACTATTTTTTTTCATATATAACCTGATAAAAGGGCTCCCGTTATTTCAGAATATATTCTGGGCCCTATTCTGTGCTCAATTACACACCATCTATAGTTGATTTTCATGAAATTTAAATAACAAAGGGGGACGCTTATGTCATTTCTTCCTTATAAAAATACACCCTTGAAATCCACTCTCACTGGAAAGCTGCAGCCTGTCTGCAGTTTAACAGCTTGTGTGTCCAGGGGTACACACTGCCTCATTAGATGTGCATGCAGAGGGAGGAGTGTCTGAGTAATAAGAGCTAAATTTCACTCACTGTCCCCAAGTGGAAACAGACTGCCTGGAATGCCAAACTATATCCTTCAGGGCTCAGCAGCATCTGCTGGTCTCTGCAACACTGACAGGCCATGGTGGGCTGATGGGGCATTAGAGATGCATCCTGTGGGCCATGGATCCAAGGAGGGTGTGTGTCTGGAGGGACCTGGAGTGGATGGAGGCTGCCAGTGGACCAGGGAGGAGCACCCAGTGGCAAGATATTAAAAACTCAAACTGCGCCTACCCCTCATGAGCCCCTGATGGCGGTCAGCACCACGAGGACTGCATGCTTCATAGCCCAGGCAAAGGGAGAGTGGGAATCCTCCAAGGCTTGACCAAAGTCCTGGGAACCAAGGTGGGGGCTAAGAAACAAGAAGGACCTCTGTGATGGGGCTACTGGTGGAACTATGGGGTGATGCTATTTGACATCTAACTCTAAGTTCCCCTCTTCTGGGTTGTGTTCTCCATATGGGGTTCTGCAGAGGGCATGTGTCCTGATGGGGGGCTGCCCAGGGCTGCTGAGAGCACAAGTATCTGGACTTGGGGGTGTGTATGTGTGGGCAGGGAGGGAGATTCTGCCCCAAACCTAGCCTTCAGATTCCCTACATCCCAGAGCCCACTGCCTCCCACCCTCCGGGATGGACTTTCCACAGAGGAACTGAACTGGTTTGCTCCAGTTCCTAATATCAGGGCTCTGCCAGTGGGTCCACTTTCCCGCAGGCTCCATTCACATAGTAGGAAAACTTGATTAAGTGTATGAGTTTCACAGGAACTTCCTGCCTCTGAGTCTCCCCTCAAAGAAGCCAAAGCACAGCAGAACATCCACAGTCATAGGAGCCACTTGGGTTGCACCTTAGGGCCTGGACATGACCCAGGGCCACTTGGTATTTCATTCACAGGGGCTCCCCCCACCTCCTTGGGCCCAGCCTATGATCCTAACCATGTTGAGCTGGGGTCTGGTTCTCCTAAGGGTCTCAAAAGCATCTTGGAGGAGGTGGAACTTGGGTGGGCCTTGAAGGGTTTGGCACCTAAGAGGACATAGTGGAGATGTCTGAGTCGAGGAACATGTGGGCAGAGGCCAGGAAGTGAGGAAGTAGGACTCCAGTTTGGAAGAAGAGAAGAGGGTCTGTGGCAGCTACATTTGGAATGGATGGTTAGGAAGGTCTCCCAGAATTGTAAATCAGGATGAACATATGTGATATTGTAGGATTAGGAAAAAATTCTACAACAACCCTTAGCCACTAACTGTTGTTATAATTCTTGTTCAGATGTGGGTGCAGGTAGTATGGGCAATGTGTGGGCAGTGTGTGAGTCCTGTACTACCTGGACCCACAGCTGAACAAGAATTATAACAACAGTTAGTGATTAAGGGTACAGCCTCCTTTAAATCAACTAGGAGGGGGAAAACATCAAAATGAAATACAAACAGAAGCAAATAAACCTAATTTGTACTTCCAAGGAACAGAATAACTATACTAAAGGGAGAAAAGGAAAGCCAAGTAACTGTTGGACCCAATACTTTTGACTACATACCCCCAGTGTAAAGGCAAAGAAAGCTGCACACCAATATTGAACTCTACATAGAAAGAGTGCCTTCACAGTGTTATGGGTATAGCCATATACTGTGTATTGTAAGATTGAGCAAATGAATGAATGTATTAAAGTCACAAATAGTGAACTGAGGAAGGTTTGCAATAATTCTATGGCGTTGAATTGGAGCTGGAAGATTGGAGATATGCACACACACACAGAGATAGATATATATATATATACACACACGTATATGTACATATATAATACATATATTTCCTAGTTCTGTATAATGAAATGGTCTAGAAACAATAAAACCACAGTAGCAATGAGCACACTTACTCAGATTTCAGTTTCTAAATACCATTGACGAATAAAAAGAACCAGGGTTCCTTGTAGGCTGTCTGATTTCAGGGCTGAGACAGGAAAAGTACAAGATGAGCCTGCAGCGTCTTGTTACGTCAGAGAATAAGGGAGTATGCAAAAAAGGATGGAGGCATGAAAGGACAAGAAAACCAGCTTGAAGAGGCTCCCACAAGCTGCATCTGGAACAATTTAAACATCAAATAAATGATAGTATTGTAACCCGGTCGAATAAAAGAAGAATCTATGAGTCTAAACTGGCATAAATAAATTAACAATTAATCCATGAATAGAAGGAAAAGCATTTCTGTATAGTAAAATGCCAACTAACAAATGCAGAAGGAATGATGGAATTCAAAAATCACCATTTTGCAAACATTAAGTTATTAAATAATAATATTTGCAAAACCAATTCTTGATTCAGGCAAAATCATCAATAAATGCTCAAACTAATGGGTGAAAGTTTGATGAGGATCAGGATATTTATGGTCTCAAAATACCTTTTCACTTATTAGTTACAAAGGAAAAATAGTAGCTTCACAGTGGAGAGTCCCGGCAGACTCTACCTTAACTAAATGATCAAAATTAACATCCCCAACGTGGAACAATTCAGCATCAAGCACCTTCTGATAGGATACACATCACTTCTTTGGTATTCCTGCCAAAACATATAACCTGAATGTCATTATGGGGAAAGAACAGAAAAGTCATTTTGAGGGACATTATACAAAATAATTGGCCTGTACTTCCCCCAAAATGTCAAGGTCATGAAAAACAAAGAAAGGCTGAAGAACTAATCCAAGTGAAAGGAGAGAAAAGAGATGACAGAAAATAATTTCATTGCCAAAACAACAGAGTGGGAGATAGGAGATAGGTGTGCAGAACCCAGCAATGCAGGATTCTGAATGAGATTCTGGCCTGGGAGAAGCAGCTGTGAAGGACATGACCAGGATAGTGGGATAATCTTGACTATGGACCAGGTGTGAGATGATAGCATTGTGTCACTGTTGAATTGCCTGATTTTGATCATAGTGCTAAAGTTATGTTAAAGAATGTCCTGGTCAGGCGCGGTGGCTCACGCCTGTGATCCCAGCACTTTGGGAGGCCAAGGTGGGCAGATCACAAGGTCAAGTGATCGAGACAATCCTGGCCAACATGGCGAAACCCTGTCTCTACTAAAAATACAAAAATTAGCCAGGCATGGTGGCTGGCGCCTGTAGTCCCAGCTACTCGGGAAGCTGAGGCAGGAGAATCGCTTGAACCCAGGAGGCGGAGGTTGCAGTGAGCAGAGATCACGCCACCGCACTCCAGCCTGGCGACAGAGCGAGACTCCATCTCAAAAACAAACAAACAAACAAACAAACAAACAAAAAAGTCCTTTTCTCGGGAAATACACACTGGAGTATTAGGGCTGAGTGTCATGCTGTCTGCAACTTGCTGTCACATAGTTCAGTTTTTTAAAAGTGGGCATCTGTCTGTCTATCGGGAGACAGATAGAATGAGAAAGCACATGCTGGGAAATGCAAACAACTGGTGAATCTTGGTATTTGGGAGTTCTTTTTACTACTCTTGAAACTTTTTTGAAAGTTCAAAATTATTAAAATAACAAGTTACCAAAAAAGAAAATCCACAACCTGTACACACTCTTGTGTGGGCTTTTAAATTGCTGTGAAGATAATAATATCTGCCTCTGAAGGAGGTTGGGAGGAAATACTGGGCATTTTGTTAGAACTTAATAAAGGAGATGGATTCTTATTACTAATGTCTACTTTCACTTATAATTATTTACAAGGAAGGAGGGCTCATTCCTTTGTCCTTCTTTTGGATCAGGGGATTTGTGCCATGCTCCTGGTCATGTATTGGGCCCCTGCCCCGCCCCCTGTGCACATGTCCCAGTTCCTCACTACTGGTCCTAAGGTCAGCAGAGCTGAGTCTTTGATGTCCTGGAGTCTCTGGGGCACATCCCAGGAACCGAGAATAAGGCTGAAATTCTCCCTGACTCATCCTTTGCAGATGCTTTGGGGAATATCTGAGGAGGTCCACCTTCCAATGAGACCTTAGCAACTGACAAATAATTTACCCGAGAATGGTGGCGAGATGTTTAAAGGTGAAGACTGTCCTAAATGTCTAAGTGGGCAGAGGGTGAGGCTGGTGTTAGAAGCCCAGATAGCCCCACATTCTGCTCTACCTGGCGAGAGCTGTAGAAACTGGCCAGTCATTGGCTTCACAGTTTCCTTGCCTGCTCTGGCCTTCTTGCCTATCAGAGCCTCCAAAACGCCAGGTCCCAATTCAACAAGGTCAGTCGTTTCAATCTTGCAGGCCGTCATCTCTTGACCCACCGTTTTCAGTCCACCTTTGCCTCTGGGCTAGGCAACCCCACTCTAGCTGCCAGTTCTCTCAGTCCTCTTCAGTCCAGGGGTTCTAAAGTGTGTTACAAGGACCCCTGGGGAGAGGGTCCCTAGGATCCTCTAAGGAGGTTTATATGGTCCTTGTTTTTCCAGCTACATATCTATGTGAGATCGGATCTTCACATACTTCAACAACATAGCAGAACAGCTTGAATGCAGAAGCAGATAATATGAATCTCTCTGCTGTGTTCTATTAAGCCATTTCAAGAGATTTGCAAGAACATAAAGCAATGTCACTCTTCTCACTAATTTTTTGTTTTGCAAACTATGTTCTTCATAAAAATTTTATGTTAACATACAATGGTGTTATTTTAAAATAAATATTTTTCTTTTGATTTCTAAAAAAGCAAATATCAATAGATGCAATTCACATAAACAAATGCCCTCCAGGATCCTCAGTAATTTTTAAGAGATCAAATTGTTTGAAAACTGCCACTCTAGCCCCTGACAGTGTTTTAATAAGAATAGGCTAAGGGGCCAGGTGTGGTGGCACATGCCTGTAATCCCAGTGCTTTGGGAGGCCGAGGCAAGAGGATCACTTGAACTCAGGAGTTTGAGACCAGCCTGGGCAACATAGTGAGACCTCTTCTCTACTAAAAAATTTTTTTAAAAAATTAGCTGGGTGTGGTGGCATGTGCCTTTAGTCCCACCTACTAGTGGGGCTGAGGTAGGAGGATTGTTTGAGCCTGGGAGGTCGAAGCTGCAGTGAGTCCTGATTGTGCCGCTGCACTCCATCCTAGAGTGATAGGCTGGAGACCCTGACTCAAAAAAAAAAAAAAAAAAAAAAAGAGAGAATGGGCTAGGCTGTGTGGCAGTCATAACCCCAAACCCCAGTGGCTGAATGCACAAAGAGTATTATCTTGCTTATGCTATATGTCCACCATGGATTGATGGAGGGTTGTCTTCCACTTTTTCCCTCAGGGAACTAGGCTGAATGACAATATGCTCTCTGGAACATTGTGGGTCACTGTGACAGAGGAGGACAGCTAGAGAGTCTTGTACTAGCAATTAGTGCTGCAGCCTAGAAGTGGCAGGGATCACTTGGACTCACAGCTCATTGGCCACTCCTAGCCTAATGGCTCTGCCTAACTGCAGGTGGGGGAGAATACAAGCCTCTCTGTGGTCAGTGTCCTGAAAGAGAGAACTGGTAGAGGCTGAGCACCAGTGGTCTCTACTGCTCCTGACTTTGGAGTTTTTCATAGCACCTATCACTTTCTGACAGCCATATCAGTCATATTAGCTACCGACTAGCTGCCTCTCTGGTATGTAAGCTCTTTGAGGGCAGGTTCCTTGTCTCTTGTTCCTTTCTCTGTCCTCAGTGCCTAGAACTGAGTCTGGACCATGGGAGGGACTCAGTAAGTGTGAGCAAAGATGAATGGGGTAAGGGTGCTGACTCCTGGTCTCTCTGGGTGGTTGAAGGCTCAAATAGGGCTGCATCTCAAAGTGCTTCCTGGCCCTATAGTGCAGGATGTGCAGTAAGTAAGCACATAGGGCTCCTTTCATCCAGATACATGAGGCACAGTTCTACATGCTGGTGCTGGCCAAAGTGTACCTGGAGAGTCTGCACCTGCAGGTGGAGCCTTGGCCCAGATAGGCGGGGAAAGGACTCCCATGATGAGGACCAGGGGTGCAGCCCATTCACTGGGAGGGCAGGTCTTTATTTGGCAGGTCAGAGCTCCCTTTTCTCCTAGCCAGTTGCAGCTGTGGGCAAAGACTGGGCTGCAGCTTCTGTGAAGGATACTGGAGAATCAGCCCTGGAGGCTCCTGCAGAAATGGCCACACGTGCATGGCCGCAGGTGTGCTCCGTTAGCTCTGCAGCCCTGCCCTTTCCCTCCGGAATGCTGGTCTTATCAGCCAGTCCCACTGGATCCTGACGTCTGATGTGGGTTGGGTTGGGGGCGGCATTTCTAATAGAGAACGTAGCCTGGTTGGGAGCAGGGTGAAGGCCCACATAATTCCGTAGGTGTAGTTGGCCCTTGAAAGAGGGTACAGTGGTAGGCCCAGGGAAGAGACAACAGCATTGGTTGGTCAACCTGCTCCAAGAAGCCTTGAGGCGGAATGCCTTTCAGGATTTTTATGCCCTTTGTTGGAGGAACTGACTCAGACTTGAGGAAGATTCCTGAGCAGGAGCAATTCACTTACCTCCCTCAGGCTCCGGTGATTTCCGCACTCTTGGGGTACAAGTAACTTTTTTTTCCAAACCATGGGGCCTGTGGCCAGACACAATATTTTTGTTTTATTTCCAGGACAGGAGAGGTAGTTTGGATGATAAAATGCTGTGATTTCTGGACTGTGCAGAGCAGAGAGTTCATGGAAATAACACAACAGAATACAGCACTTGAAATCAGGGTCAGCCCAGAAAATTGGGGGCAGGGGCAGTTGCTAATATTTTCAAACCATCTCTATGCCAGTGCAGAGTCTGAACGCAGACAATTCATTTCAATTCTGGCTCCCTTGATTAACCAAATGGCGTCAGGTGCTGACTAATTAGAAAAATCCCTGAATCTTAGAGCACTTTTTTAATGAAGCTTGAAAAATTAAGTGCAAGTGTCCACTATTTTGTCTAAACACATATGAGAATAATTGTGAAAACAATGATAACAACAAAAACCAAAAAGAGCTGGATCATTTTTAAAGCAACTTTAGCCAACCTGGGGAAAGAAAAAGACCAGAGCAGCCAGGTTTTGATGGAGACCTGAGCCAAGTGGAATGTGAACCCCAAACCAGCTTCAGCAACCAGTCCAGTGTTACAGAGAACCCAGGGCTTGTATCATGCATAATTCTAAATTCAAGCAAACCAAAACAACTAGGACCTGAATTCAAAATGAATCCAAGCATCCATTTTCTAAGGTTATTAGAAATCATCATCAATATGGTCTTTAAATGACATCTGCTGGGGACTGAATTGATATCTCCTTCGTGTGGAGCTTCCAGACTTGAGGTACAAAGAAAAAAACAAAATAAAAACAATAAAATTAAATACACAATTACCATATGATATAGTAGTTCTATTTCTGAGAATAGTCTCAAAAGAATTGAAAGCAGGGACTGGAATAGGTATCTGTATACCCGTGTTCACAGCAGTTGTTTTCACAATAGCCAAAAGGTGGGAGCAACCCACGTGTCCATCTACAGGTGAATGGATAGACAAAATGTGGTATATCCATACAATCGAATTTTATGCAGCCTTAAAAAGGAATGAAACTCTGACACACATCACAACATGGATGAACCTGGAAAATATGCTGGTCAGTCACGGAAGGACACATACTTTATGATTCCACTTAATACGAGGTCACTAGAGTAGTCAAATCCATGGAGACTGAAAACAGAATGGTGGGTGCCAGGGGCTGGGGAGAGCCAGCAATAAGGAGTTGGTGTTTAATGGTTGCAGAATTTCAGTTTGGGAAGATGAGAAAGTTCTGGAGATCGATGGTGGTGATGGTTACACAACAATGTGAATGTACTTAAATGTCTCTAAAGTGTACACCCAAAAATGGTTAAAATAGCTGGGCGTGGTGGCTCACGTCTGTGATCCCAGCACTTTGGGAGGCTGAGGCAGGTGGATCACCTGAAGTCAGGAGTTCAAGACCAGCCTGACCAACATGGTGAAACCGCTTCTCTACTAAAAATACAAAATTAGTCAGGCGTTGTGGTGCATGCCTGTAATCCCAGTTACTTGGGAAGCTGAGGCAGGAGAATCGCTTGAACCTGGGAGGCAGAGGTTGCAGTGAGCCGCGGTTGTGCCATTGTACTCCAGCCTGGGCAACAAGAGCGAAAACTCCATTTCAAAAAAAATAAATTGTTAAAATAATAAATTTTACATTATGTATATTTTACCACAATAAAACAAAACAAACAACAGGAGTGTGCCCCATGGTTCTTAGTCTGTAAAGATTCTTTGTGAGGGAGACACTGAGCTGCTGTGGATGTCCTGGGGGGGACCCTGTGACACCAGCCCAGGCACTTCAGGGGCCGTCTGATGGCTCTGAAGGGCACGGGCAGAGAAACCCAAGAAGGGGTCGCCAGAACGTGGGCTTTCTTTCACCTTCTTTGGGGGAGCGGCCATCTCCCCGTCAGATGGCCAAGGACCAGCCCGGAGGGGAACAAAGCCAGGAGGGTAATTTAAAGGTACCCTTGTCTTACCCCCTCCAGGGGTAGCCCCTACTATTGTACTGAGCTCCCCACCCCGTTTTCTACCAGGATCCATCAATCATAAATATGCACGAATAACTGAGGCCCAAATCCTTTCCCATTTCTTCAGTGGGGCTCCCCAGCACTCGGGACAAGAAGGAAATTTGGAGGCAGGAACTCAGAGGAATCGGGCAGAACTCACGTTTCCAACTGTGCAAGACAACTCCCTGGAACTCACAGCAGCCATCATAATTATCGCTTGCAGAAGGGGTCTTATCACATAACAGCTTTCTCACTCCTCAGGGGGCAGGGGGTGGGGCCCAGTCTCAACCGCAGGGACTTGTGTCTTCATTCATTATTTCCCAAACAAGTCAGTAGAAAATTGAGGTTTCTGAGCAATTTGCAGATTAATAACCACTGGAGATGTGGGTCCATATAACCTCACCGAGCGAAAAAGTGAGACCCTCCCCTCTCTCCTTCTCTTGAATAAGGACCTACAGTAGATATCTTGAGAAGCAAAAAAAGAGAAAAGCAGAAACGTAAGTAACCTTTCCTTTCCAGCATAGCAACTCTACTTGCAGCCCCACCGCCCAGCAACTCCTGGATTAATCTTTCTTTCTTTCTTTTCTTTTTTCCTTTTTCTACTCAATGGATTGTGGTCAAGGCCATTGTAACGTGAGCAGTGCCTCGGAGGGGATTGGCCGAGGGGGCTGTGAGGGGCCCCTTTCACAGAGGGCTAATTGCGTTTCAGACCACCAGTATTCGGGAGCTACAGATGTCTTCCTTCATTTGCCTAGGCAGTACAATTGGACCCATCTGTTGCATTTATTCCGCTGGCTCCCCTGCCCGCCCCCTGCCCACCCCCCCACCGCCTTGCCCCCGTACCCTCCCTTCCCTTGTCTGCTAAGCCTAAATTGAAAACTCATCAAAATGTAATCCAAGAGCAGTTTGGCTGCCGAGCTGCTGAGAAGGGGCTCGGTGGGAATAAAGGCCCCCCGCCACTTTTACACACGGGCCAGAGCCCGGGGAGCCGGGTCACAGGCAGCCTTAGGGGGGAAAGTGAGAAGTTAGCCGGCAGATGGGCTGCTCCACGCGGCCCTATAACCTGATGCCTCCGAAGAGGGGCCCTAGCAACGAGCTGGCCTAGTCTGGAGGACGCCGCTGCCCTGGAGGTGGCGACCCCACCTCGAAGGCCTCGCCCCTGGCCCGAGATTTCAAACAGGGCTGGGGCCAGGGCTCATCACTCTCTGACCCCCATCTGCCCTCTCTAGCTCAAAGGGATTTCCAAGGCAGAGAGGGCAGGGACGGCTTGGCCTTGCAAGGGTTGGGGAATATGGCACTCGGGAAGGCCGTCTGCCTGGCCTGGGGTGCCCCCCTCCTGCACTGCCCAGGCCTGCCCTCTGTCCACTCCTCCCTGGCTGCTGCCTCACTGCAGGCTCACACCCTTTCCTGCACCTCCTCCCCTTTCTCCCATGCAGGCCATGAACTCTAGAAGGTAGGGTAGTGCTGCTGGCACCTTTGCGTTGCCCCACACTCTGAGTCTGGTTGTGGGGCTGGCTTTGGGGCTCTGCTCTTGCCATCAATACAAGCCCTGGCTGCAGTCTCTTTTGGGGGCCCCTTTCTGACACCTGCCCCAGTGTGGGCCTGGAATGGGCCTGTCAACGCCCAGAAGAGCAGATGGCTGCACCTTCCTACTTGTCTGCAGATGACTTCTGGGAAAGGGCAGGCTTCCAGCGATCATGATGTTTTAGGATCAATAGGCTTGAAGGAACAGCTATGGTTAAGATTTCATTGAATTGGGTGCCTGTGAGGGCTTTAACACCTCCTTGTTGCTGAAATGTTGTGAATGTGGGTTTTTTTGTTTTTTGGGTTTTTTTTACTTCTTTTTACTGAAATCTACAGTTAAAAAAATTCATAGCAGCTCAATATAAACACACACACACACACACAAAATGAAAGCAAAAGATGCATTAACTAATACTTCCTCTCACTCTATGCGATGTCTTCTGATATTTTCTATTCTGATATTCCATTTCATTTCATTCAATTGTTTAAAATGCTGATCATCTTGATCTGCGAAATTGCTTTCACAATCTACAGAAACAGCCGTTCTCAACACCCACAGGCATCAGAACCCAACCTTGAAATGCATAAAAGAGCAGGCTCCTGGGCTATCTCAGAAAGTTGGGATAAGTGGTGGCGGGGTGAGGCACAGAAAAAGGCATTTGTGACAGTCCTCTCCACCCCTTTAGGGGATTCTGTTGCACTTTGAGAAACGCTGCTGCTTCCAATGTGCTCGGTGGTCTCAAGCCCATAGTCTGAGCTGGAAACAACAATAGGTTGACCATGGTGGTCAGCTCAAGGTGGGGCGTTCCCAGGTCGCCTCCTCCCCTCTACCTCCCCACCATCCTTAATTAAATCCTCACCCAGTGAGAGTGTGGATGTCAGGCCTGGCTTGGCTGGCTTTTAATTGAAGTGTTAATTTGCTGCTGCAGAGAGTAAGGGCTCTGCAGTTCTGGAGGCTTCATTTGCTGCCATCCTAAGCTGATTAGCTTTGTGGGGGTGGCTGGTGGTGGTGGGGGGAGTGGTACAAGCCACCAGCAGGGGAGCTAGCTGGGCCAGAATCAGGCCTTGGAGCTGCCTTTGCGGACAGAGGGCGGGCCAGGGCCAAAACCTTCTGCACCTGCCTCATTCTGCCCACCAGCCGCCAGGCAAACACCTGCTCAATGGGCCTCCAAGGCATTGACCTGGTTTTTGCACCCCCTCCCTTCCATCTTGATGATAAAGAGCCACCTTTATCCTGTGACTCTTCTGCTCACACACCGTTGTCTAAAGAGGAACAATCAGCTCCTCAACTTGATGCTCAAGGACCCCCAGGAGTGGCTCCAAGAGCACCTTCTGGGGCTCCCCTCTTCCACCCTCCCTTCATCCTAGCCAGGCCAGGCTGTTTCCTATCCCCATTTGCACTGTGTCTCCCCTGCCAGTCCCAGCCCTTTGTTCTGATGTGCCTCCACCTGGAATGCCCTTGCTGAATTGTGCCAGTCATGAACCTGGCTTTGACTTCAAGAACAGCAGAATCCTAGTGCTCCTATGATGGCTTCTCTCTCTCTCTCTGTGTGTGTGTCTGTCTGTCTCTTAGCTTTGCTCCCTCTGTTCTGGTTTTGTGCTCATATGAAGGCAAGATAGTATCATCCATTCCAGACTTACATCCTATGAGCTAAACAACCCCAGCAAAAAGAGAGTGTGGATTTCTCATTAGTTCTAGCAAACATCCTGAAATAGAGTCTAATTGCTCAGCTTGAGTCTCTTATACATTCAACCTAGCATACATGTAAGGACACACTTGTCGGATATTTTCTTAGAAGTGAAATGGTGGGCTTCAGGGAATGGTCATTTCTTGCGTATCCAATATTCTCTGTCAACACTTCTGCATCATGGAAGCCAGTGAGGTCTGTATGGCCCCATGAGGTGCACAGTTGTCTGGGTGTCTAGGATAAGCTCTGGAAGAACCTCATGCATGGGTTCTCAAGGATCCTAGATTTGACACTGTGCCTTTGTTAAAGTTTGCTTAAATCTTGTGTCTCTTAGTGCATTAATAGGCAATTGAAATAGCAGCTCCCTTGCCAGGTGGCATTTTTGGTTGGCATTTAGGATGAGACTGGCCCACCCTGACCACCGGAGTTCAGAGCCAGCAGATTGCTTAGCTAGTGTGTGATTTAAGAGGTGTGCATGGGTGTTTCTCTTGAGATGTTTCATGGTAACGATAATAATGGCTAACATTTATCAAACACATACCATGTGCCAGGCACTGTGCATTAGTCCTCACAACAACCCTATGAGGTGGATACCATTATTATCCCCAATTTACACATGAGAAAATGGAGGCACAGGGAGATAAAGCAGCTTGCCCAGGGTCACCTAGCTAGGAAGCAAAGATGGGTCAGCTCCCGGGTCTAGGTGTGTAATCACTTTGCAATGTAAAAACAGCAGCGGCAACAATGATAGCAACTGTGTTGCCTCTCAATAGTTCCAACCTTTGGTTTGATGTGAGAATTACTGCAGTCTTACTTGGTGTTCTCCTCTTGGCTTTGTAGTGGGGTAGCTTCTTGGCAGCTTGTGGCAGGAACAATGCAGATATCTACCCAGTGCAGGCTTTCACATTTCTCACGGTGCCCAAGTGGCTTCAAGGAGAAGCACTGACTCCTGCCCTGGCAGTCAGCACCTGGACCCAACACCATCTGACTTTACATCAACTTTATATTACATCACTCTCCCACTTTCCAACCATAGCACTTTCTTACTGGTCCCCAAACATGATACCCGTCGGTATCCTTAAAAAATAGAGCACAAAAACTTAAGTACTAACATTTTATTGGAAGTTCAACCCCAGGAAGGCAGAAGTAATGGAAAAGAGGGGTGAGAGGGCCGGGTGCGGTGGCTCACGCCTGTAATCCCAGCACTTTGGGAGGCCAAGGCAGGCGGATCACGAGGTCAGGAGATCGAGACCACCCTGGCTAACATGGTGAAACCCCGTCTCTACTAAAAATACAAAAAATTAGCCAGGCGAGGTGGCGGGCGCCTGTAGTCCCAGCTACTCAGGAGGCTGAGGCAGGAGAATGGCGTGAACCCGGGAGGCGGAGCTTGCAGTGAGCCGAGATGGTGCCACTGCACTCCAGCCTGGGCGACAGAGCGAGACTCCGTCTCAAAAAAAAAAAAAAAAAAAAAAGAAGAGGAATGGGCGGAGGGGAAGGGCTATTCCAGACAGAGGGTGGCATGTGAGCAGAGCACAGGAGTGCAGTCCAGCAGCATGCCGCTCTGTGTGTGCATGTGTGTGCATACGTGTGTGTGTAGACACAGCCATGTCCAGGGGATGCTGTCAAGAGATCATGCTGGAAGGATGGGCAAGTCATAAACCATGTGGCTCATGAACCTCAAAAAGGAACTTGGGCTTTATCTCCAAGTGCAGTGGGGAGCCACTGGCACGTTAGGAAGTCAAATCTGCAAAAGGAGATGAGTGGAGAGAGGAAGTGAGAGGAGAGGAGGAGGCCTCCCAGGCTGCTGGGCTGGCGACGGGAGTGGAGGAGGAACAGGCTGGAGGGTGGAGAGGAGAAACAGGCTGGAGTGTGGGGAGGATCAGGTCATTTTGTCAAGTTCGAGGAAGTTGACTAAGGGTGGAGAGGGCATTTGGGGTGGAGGAATGTCTGAGGGAGTGAAGGTGGAAGAATTGGACAGAGAGAAGGCTGGAAACTGAGTCTGGGGTGTGTGTGTGTTTGTGGGGGTGTGTGAGAGTGCATGAGTGTGTAGGCATGAGGGTGTGTGTGCTTGTGGGGTGTGAGTGTGCAGACACGCGTGTGTGTGCTTGTGTGGTGAATGTGGACATGAGTGTGTGTGCTTGTGGGGTGTAAGTGTGTGGACATGAGTGTGTGTTTGTGGGGTATGAGTGTGCAGGCATGAGTGTGTGTGAATGCTTGTGTGGACATGAGTGTGTGTGCTTGTGGGTGTGAGTGTGTGAGTGCTTGTGGGGTGTGTGTGGACATGAGTGTGTGTTTGCGTTTGTAGGGTATGAGTGTGTGGACATGAGTGTGGGTGCTTGTGGGGTGTGAGTGTGTGGACATGAGTGTGTGTTTGTGGGTGTGAGTGTGTGAGTGCTTGCGGGGTGTGTGTGGACATGAGTGTGTGTGTGCTTGTGGGGTGTGAGAGTGTGTGAATGTGTGTGAAGCTTGAGGAGGTGGATGATGACCACATCTGGAGTGTGGCTATAAGAACAGTTCGAGCGGTAAGAGTTCACTGGAGTCACTTGGGGCCTGCAATTGTGATCAGCTCTTCAGGGTGAGAACTGGTTGTCTGATCAGATACTGAGATCTTCAGAGGCAAGGCCGGGTGGAGGGGAAGACTGCCTAGGTCAATGTGGCTGTTACTATCATCACTGTCATCATCTCTGCTCAGCTGTGGGAGGGGAGGGGGGTGCTGGGATGTGGCATCTGGTGGCTTAGAGAGCTATTGCTTCACGTGTTTGTTCCTGGATGTGGAAACGCATCCCGGATAGATCAAGGACAGGAGCTGGGCCCGAGCCAGGCCTCAGGCAAGAACTGTGGGTCAAGGTGCCAGTGCCTGCGGTCCGGTGGGGTATATAACAGTAGCTAGGAAACCAGGCAGGCCTCTGCCCAATGGAAATCTCCCTGCATGGAGGGCCAGGCACTGGGGCCTGGTCTCCTAGTGCCCCAGGGATAATAAGGACTTCAGAAAGGACAGCCCCGACTCAGGGCTCAAAGAGGCTTTAGTTCCTTGTTTGGCGGCTTAAAAAAGGCAAACAGAAGCTTTTCTCCTTTGGGGATCAATGTGAATCCCAGAAAATCCCATTATTTCCCTTTGAGATCAGTGGCCTGCTCTTGAGGGCTTTCTCTTCCCCAAGGCAACAAGCCCTCTCCTCACCCTGTGTGAGCATCCTGTCCCTGCGTGGCCCCTTAGGTGAGGGGGTGGGAACGGGGCACAGGTGAGCCCCAGCTTGCTTACAGCTGTTTCCTCACCCCCTAGTCCACCCTGATCTCTCCGCAGCCCTAGGAGCAGGGAGTTGTATGTAGAGGTGAGATGGGGTGGGGGACAAAGCCACTAGAAAAATGTTTTTCCATTTCTCCTTTTCTAGGAAGTCATTTTTGACCTCAGAAAATGCCTGAGAGGTCCTGCTTCTCTAGGCTGCTGCCTCATTTGGGGTCTGCATCTGGGTTGCCACTTCCCACCAGGATTCTCAGCAGGTGGGATGCATATCATCATGGGAGGATGTGCATGATGGTGGAAGATGACATTTATTGAGCCTTTACTCTGGTACCTGGCACTGGGCTAAGCTTCCTTAATGTGTTTAAGAACTCTATGAGGAGGGCATTATTATTATCCCCATTTTACAGAGGAGGAGACTGAGGCATGGACAGGCCAAGTCACTGACCAGGGATGTCCGTGGTAGGTGGCAGAGCCCTGCCTGGTTCAGAGGACATTGAGGAATTGGCCATGAACTGTCAGGCTTTCTAGGAAGTTGCCCCTTATTGGGCCCCTGTTTAGACAAAACAAAACAAAACAAAACAAAACAAAACAAAACAAAACACTCCAGTTTATTTTTTCCAAAAAAGAAAATCAATGGAGCATGCCTGACCACCTTCGACCACCATATTGACCACCAACAGCCAGCCTCCTCCTTTCCGAAATCTTCATCCCAAACTCATCTATCCTGTGTGTGCTGAGCACTAAGCCAGGGCCCAGGGGAAGAGCAACCAAGCAGAGATCACTCCTTGCTATGTGCTGGGCCTGTGACAAATGCTTTCCAAAACCCCTGGCCTTCATAATCCTTACCATTTGGTGATCAGAGCTGACCCTGCTGGTCTGTGATGCAGTAATGAGGGGGGTGAGCCCCAAATGAGGAAATAGGGTCTCAAAGCAAGGGCCAATATCTTGCCTAGTAATGTGGAGTCTAGACAGGAACTAGGATTGTCTGACTTGGGAACTCACACTTTGATTCACTTAGGTCCCCACACAGCTTGATGATCTTCTGTGCAATTTTTTTTTTGTTTTGAGATGGAGTCTCGCTCTGTCGGCCAGGCTGGAGGGCAGTGGCACGATCTCGGCTCATTACAACCTCCGCCTCCCGGGTTTACGCCATTCTCCTGCCTCGGCCTCCTGAGTAGCTGGGACTACAGGTGCCAACCACCACGCCTGGCTAATTTTGTTTTTTCGTATTTTTAGTAGAGATGGGGTTTCACCGTGTTAGCCAGGATGGTCTCGATCTCCTGACCTCGTGATCCACCTGCCTTGGCCTCCCAAAGTGCTGGGATTATAGGCGTGAGCCACTGCGCCCGACCTTCTTGGAGTGACTTCTAAATGGGTGAGATGTTGGCAACAAGTCCTTCTCTGTCACTTCTAATTCAGATGAATGTGGGCAGGGTGTACTGGGAAGCTCAGAAGCCCATGCACTCTGTTTCCTGGGCCCTATTTGACTCTGAGACACACACACACACAGAGGCACAAGGACACGCAGCCCTTACATGGGAGTCTTTTGGAGATGTGCTTTAATGCGTAGAGAAGAGTCTTTCATTAGCATTGAAATAGGTGCTCCAGAGAGCACTTGAAAGCTGTTTGCTCTTTCAAGTAGGCTAAAAGTCCCCAGCTCTCTGGAGCCTGCACCGTGGCTGGCCTTACGCCTCTCCTGGAGGAGCCTGCTCCAGACTGGGATGTGGGGTTTTCAAGCCAGCTGCTCCTCTCACCATTCCCAGGAGCATTTTGCACATCCCAGCTGTGGGTTTTGATCCGGGGAATGTGAACAGAGGGGCCCTTGTGGAGCCCAGGCCTGGCCCAGCTCGTCCCTCCTGCAATTGTCCTACCCAGGGTGACCACCTCTCTCCCTCTGGGCTTCCCTTCACTCAGGCAGGACTGATCTGGCTTAAAGAGGCTGTGTCCCTGCTGGGCCTCTTGGCCTCTATGTCCCCCCCAGGTGGCCTCTGGGCAGACTGATGCCGGATTTGCACTCACTTAGCCTGGAGAAGAAGTTGGGGACCGATGGCCAGAGATCAAAGGTTAAGAGGGGTTAAGCCTTCACCCCAGAAGGTCACCCATCAGCCCTGAGACAAGTATCTCACAGGTATTTTCCTGAAACCTAGAGCAGAGTTAGGCCTTCAGGGAATGTTCATCTACTTACAGTCATACGACTGAATGACAGGGATATGTTCAAGAAATGAATTGTTCAGTAAGTTTGTGGTTGTGCAGAATCATAGAGTGTACTTACACAAGCCTAGATGGTATATATGCTTTTATTTATATATTTTTATATGGAAAACCAAATGTCCAAGCACCATTACTGATAATCAGTCATCTCTCCTACTTGATCTGCAATGTCAGTATCAAGTGCCATATGTCAGATTTCTATATGTGCTCCCTTATAATCTTATGGGACCACTGTCATATAAGTGTGGTCTATTGTTGACTGAAAAACGTTGTTGTGCAGTGCAAGACTGTACTAAGGAAACACCATCCTCCCGGTATAGAAGGTCCATACCCCAGATTTTATGCAAGTCACTGCCTCCTAGGGTCTGTTTCCCCATCTTCCGAATAAGGAGTTTGGACTTGACTGATTGACAATCAGTGGCAGATACTTCATTATCTTGGTCAATTAGAGCCCTTAATACATTTCTGCTCTCAGGCAATGAGAGGAAATTAGTCTAGACAAGACAGATAAAAGGGAAAAGGATGGTTGGACTTGATCAGAATTCCTAAGGGAGGTTGTAACATTGTTTTCCTGAGGATCTTGGTGATCAGAGCAGACCCTGCTGGTCTGTGATGGAGCAATGAGGAGGGTGAACCCCAAGCTGAGACTTAACCCCTTCCCATCTGCCCACCTTCCTTTCCCCTTCCCAAGAGGCTATGGTGAGCAAATGGCTTTGATTCAGAGGGGCCTGATTCATCAAGCCTGATCCAAGCTCGAGGGTTCTGATTTGTCCTGAGCACACAGTAGAGTTCCATCCAGTGGGAATGGGTGGGATATTATCCTACCTGCCTGCCTCTCAGCCAGGGGCAGTGCTATAGTGCACCAGTCAGGATGGTGGCAACCCAGAGGTGTGCGCTTCATGCAGAATGGACACACCAAGTGTTGTGGACAGCTGCAAAAAGCACCACCAAGGCTACACCTTTGATGGGCATTGTGTGAGCAAGACCCGGTGGAGAAGGAAATTGAAGGGAAAGAAATTTCACAGGCTGAACTTTTCCCCCTGCAGGGGCTCTCTGTTCCCATTCAGAGGAGTGCTCAAACTGTCTCTCCACGGCACTTGGGTCAAGGCCACAGGCTCTTCCAGGACTGTGGAGGAGTCCCATCTTGGTGGGTCAAAGGAAGGCAGCTGGTCTGGAGAAGGCACACCCGATGTTGACAAGGGGGCACTGAGGACCTGCTGGGGCTTCCTAGCATGGCTCTGGAGTCAGGAGGAATGTGGGTTAATCCCAGGCTCCATTTCTGGCTGTGAAGCTTGGACAGGCAACTTAACTTCTCTGTGGTTCCCCCCATCAGATCTACACACCGGGGTAATAATGGAGCGTCCGTGAGCAGGCACGTGAAAACACACAGAGAGCGCCAGCAGCGTAAGTGCTCAACAACTGATAAGCACACTACAAATAACAAGAAGAGGGTGCCAGGCATTGAAAGAATACGATGTTCAAAGTGATTACTCCACTGTGAGTACTACCTGTTACTTTTTGTGGCCTTTGATCCAATCAACAGTCCCATGGAGGGGAACTGCTGCTGTCCCCATTCTACAGAGGAGCCCACTGAGGCTTGGAAGTGGGCTTGGGTTTGAGCCAAACCTTGGATTCAGAGCCCTATGCTTACCCTGACCTTAGGCCTTGGGCACGGTGCTCCATAAGGGCAGAAGGCTGTGCCTACCTTCATCCGTGAAGAAGGGTGGAGGGGCTGAAGGAACACCCATGTCCCTGGGAGAAAGAACTGGAGAGAGGTGAAAATGGAAGATTTTAAAGGCAGAAGTAGCTGTTGCTCTCATGGCTTGGCTCCTGGCTGCATACCTGACCAGGACACAGAGAGGGTTTTAGGACCTGCCAAGGCCCAGGGCACAAACCACAGAAAGTGGATCCAAATGTGTGGGCTCAGCAGCCTCCCTGATGGGGGCTTTTGAGACTGAGTGGGTGGGGGTGGGGCCCACGCTGTTCTCTCTCCCAGCAGGGATGGATGTGGCAATCAGGGACAGATGGCAGTGCCCTGAGAGGCAAATGGGAAGAGAGAAGAAACCACTGCCTCATTGGCAGGAGAAGGGTCAGCCTAGGAACAAAGCTCATGGAGAGAGATACTTCCCTCCTGGGCACTTCTATAATTGGGGGCCTTGCCCCACTTCTCCCCTGGAGCAGCCTGGGGACCCCAGTAAAGGTGGCACTGGCAGGACAGAGAGGACAAATGGGTCAGAGCTGCCCAGTTGTTGTGTGCAAGGGCTGGGGATGGCAGAGCTATCTCACCCTGGGGGACCTTAGACACACCCTCTGTTCAGATCCCAACTGTGAAATGAAGCAGATGACAGTGCCCACCACAGGCAGCCTCAGGTCCAGGGATATTCAACTGGCATCACCTAGGTCAGGGTTGGAGTATTCCTGCCCACTTCTCCCCTCCACTCAGTACCCACTGAGCTTTCCAGGAATCTCACTGTCATTGTGGGGATATTGAGGCCCACGAAGGGGAAAATATTTTTCTTACTGTTAGATGGGGGAATGTCTATGGGAATATCTGAGGGCTCTGGACCCTAAATCAGGAGCTTTAATGAAGTGAATTGGCATTGGGTGGTGTGTGTGTGTGTGTGCATGTGTGTTGGGAAGCTCTGTTTGCCCTGGGAGGTTTGATGACAGGGAGAGGATGGATGACACTTGGCGTAGGCAATGCTGGGCACCGGGGTGGTCCTGAGCTTACAGCTAAAAGAAAAAAAAATTTCCGCTCGGCTTTGTGAGTTACTGAAAGCTGTCCCTAGAGGGAGAGTCTCCCCATTTCTCCAAGAGCCCTGTGGTAATCTCCTCAAAACTCAGGCACAGTCTCTGGGAAGCCCATCTCCGGAGCCCTGGACCCCTGCAGATGTGCCTATCTTCCCCTCCTTTCCCTCCCAGTGCCGCATCTTCTCGGAGGGTAGAAACTGGGTGAAAGGAAGGAGCCAGAGACAACAGGCGCTCCACAGCCTGTGACAGGTTGAGCGACAAGGCAACCCTGTTCTGCTTCCCACCTCAGCTGCACTAAATGGGGCTGCACTGAGGGAATGGGGACCAAAGGCATTGCCAGTCTGCCCGAGAGGATGGGGATGGGGGTGAGGTGTGAGGAAGGGCCACGGACCCAAAGGACCAGCCACAGAATAAACAAGGACCTTCAGCTTTGCACTGCATGGCCCTGAACCCCAAGTGAAGTTTACAAGGAAAACTCTAAGCCTTTAAAACATCTTCCTGAACATCACCCCACATGATACTAAAAATAAAATGCTTCCAGATCCCACATGGAATTAAATTTATATAGAACTATAGAAGCTAGTGGATTTAAACTTGACTAGTTAACAATGTTATATTAGAGACATTTACTTCAATGCTTATGAATTTCGTTTTTGCCGTGTTTTGTTTGTTTTTAGAGCCAGTAATGTTTTCTCAAGTCTCAAACCTTTCTTTAGCCCCGGAGAAAAAGCCCGCGGCTTTGTGCTTATGTTTTGCGGGGTGGTGGCTGTGGGTGGGGTTGGCTGGGTGACGGCCTGTCTCCCTCCGCTAGCCTCCTCGGGTCCTTCGGGAGGCGCCAGATTGTGTGGGCGGCATCGCCTGGGGACAGTGGGATGGGGCTTCCACCCGGCGGAGGGCAGAAGCGTCTTCTTGGCTGGCTAGAGAAGCTCCGCCGGAGTGGCCTCCTCCCCTCCCCCAGGCCGGGGAGGAGGCCGCCGAGGGCTCTCCAATTGGAGAGCCTTTCATCTCTTTGTTTTTACAGTGATTAACCCGTCCGAGCGCGCTCCGAGCGTGGCTCCAGGCAGCGCAGGGGGAGGGGAGAGGACGGCTGGGCAAGGGAAGGGAGGGAGGAGGGCCCTGGGCTTTGTCGCTTTCAGGGAACTCTGCTGCCATAGCAATGGGCCTTTCTAAGGCCTGACTTTGATTCCGATTCCATGAAAGAGCCTGTCTGCCCAGTCTCGCGAGTGGAGAGGGCGTTCCGTCTTCCCCAGACTTGCCCCGCGCCCCTCGGACTTGGGGAGGGTAGGACGCAGCAGCAGGGCCAGGATCGCGGGGCCTGCAGGTGGAGGAGGTAGAGGAGCCCGGGACTTAATTTTGGGTACACCTCACCCCTCCTAGGGTCCCCCAGGATGGGCGCCTGGCCTTGCGCGCCTGTTCCCCTGGGAGCCACTTCGTCTCCCTGGGTGTCGGGACTGGAGGGAGGCGAGCGGTCCAGCCCCTGTCCGGCCGGAGGGAGGCCGGGGCACCTGCCGGTCTTTCCACCTCTGCATGCATTTCACACTTTCTATCCTGTTAGGCGTCCGCACTTCTATGCCAATGAGGACTCCCCTTCCCACCCCTGTTTTTTTATGTCATGTGGATTTAATCTAGTTAGACGATTTTATGCTTAAAATTGCATTGTTAACAGCAATTGTTTAAAAGGGGGCCGAGAGCGAGGGCGCCCAATCTTTGAACTGGTCGGGTTTTGCATGCCTCCGCTCCGAGCCCGTGGAGCGCTGCACAAAATCGTCTAGCGCGGAGCAGGGCGGGGACGGGGAGAGACACAAAACAATCCTCGGGCTTTCTCGCTACTGAGCCTTCGGGGCCGTTTCCCCAAGCGCAAACAGATGCAAATGTCTCTGCAAACATTGCACAAAGCTATTCAGAGAGAGGCAGCCTCTCGCGGCCTCAATAGCCCTTTAAACCTAGTCCAATTGCCCCCAAGTAGAGGTAAAGAGTCCACATGCATTTTTTCACTTTGGCTGGAAGAGGGGCGGAGGAGGCGAGGGCCTTGGGGAGCAAGGTATGAGGGCTGCTCTGGTTCAGCGGTTCGTGCCATCGACCCGAGCTGCAGCGTGCGGAAGACCGGCAGGAGAGTGCGGTGGCTCGGGGGACTACGCGCTTCGGGCCGGGCGGGGATTGAGGTGCAGCCGAAGCTGGTGCCGCGGGAATGCGCGGACCGGAGAGGCCCCCGGGACCTTTCAGGCCCACAAACGCCGCGCTAAATAGCCACGCGCACAATAGCATGAAAGGGCTCACTCGGACCTTACTGCAACACAGTAGATTCACACCCCTCCGAGGGGACTAATAAGCTCGTAACTAACGCGCAACGCTCAGCGGTGAGAGCGGGCTTGCGCCCTGCTGGCCCCTCGCAGTACGCAGACTCAGTCTTTCAGCGTCACTCGGAGGCCCAAGGGCAGCCGCTGCACGGAGGGCCAGGCATTTCCTTCTAACCTCGCCAGTAGAGGAGCCTGGGGCCTGCCGGTGCAGTCCTTAATGCACCCCAAACTCACGTGGGGCTGGCGACCCCGGAGGCTCGGCATTTCCTGGCCCTTCAGAAGACGATGTCGGGACCTCTAGACTCCAGGCTGAGCGAGGAAGAAGCTCCAGTAAAAGATGCCAGCGTAGGCGCGGTCTTAGCCAGCTGTGGCCAAGCCGCCTCCACCTCCAGTTCAGGGCCGGGGCCTTTCCCGTCGCCGCACGCAGCAGGTGCTCTGGACGCGATGGGCGGCCTAGCCAGAGCAGGCACGTGCGCTGAGGGCCCGGAAAAGCCCCTTCCACCTTTGCCCTCTTCCCCGCTCTGGGAGACCTACTTCCATGCCACCCACATTTGCTGAAGCCCCTGGGGTTTTGCCCTCACCCAGCTTCCGACCTGGTGGTCTTAGGGACAGAAATCAAGCTATACGTAGCTCCAGAGTCCCACAAACCCTTCCTTCACAGTTAAGCGAGAGTGGTCTAAGCCAGTTGCTAGGGTAGGGAAGAAGTCGCCTCACAAAGGACTGGGAATATTTAGGCTTCAGAGGCAGCCCGGAGGTGTATAATCTGCAGGCGGCTGTCATTCCTGAGTCCCTAAACTTCATCTTAAGGGCAGAGGTCATATTTCACTCCCCACAGGAAGTGGCCCGTGGAAAGTGTTCCCCGCTGTCAGTGGAATAGATGAGTGAGTTGTGTGGTGCTCTGGGCAGGGAAGTCTCCCAAGGGCTCAGCGGTGACTGACTTTGGGTGTCAAGGAAGAAGCCTCCTAGCTTCTGGTAGTAGATCCTAGCCCCAGAGGCCATCCAGCCGCTCCTTTGTTAGAGCCGGAGTTTGTGAGGCCACAGCGCTTTCCCCACCTCAGACGCCCAATAGCATGCTACTGTGGTTATCCCCATCTTTCGGATGAGCACATCCAGGTTTAAAGTTGCCGTCGCCTGCCAAACAGTGGCAGAGCCAGGATTCGAGCCTTGGCAGTTGATTCCTAGGGTCTATTATGAGTTTGTTACAAACCGAGCTTCTTTCTTCTCCAACCCCACCCCCACCCGCAGCTCTGGAGACCATTTCTCCAGGCTGGGGGACGCAACCTGCCTCCCGAGAGGCGCGTCCCTGTCGCCTCAGGCAGGTGCAGGCCGGGCGGGCGCGTGGGGCGGGGCAGGGGCGTTATCTCCTGACCGAAGAGGGCCGCACATCTGTTTATCTCTGAAGCGGCGCTGGATTGGATTTCTCGATGTTTATCTCCCTCAGAGGAACAGCGCGCTGGGGCTGCGGAGAGCGCAGCTGCGGGCCGGGCAGTGATTGACAGGTCGGGAACAGGGCCTCCCGCCCCTCCTCCGTCTGGGTGGGGGGCGCTTGGCTGCCCACTGCGCACCCCATCCTAGAGCGCTGCAGGTGAGCATGCCGGCGGCCAGGTGCCTCCGAGTTCCTCGGTTACCCGGCGCTCAGGCCTGCTCCTCACTAGGGACCACTTAGCTGAGCCAGAGAGATTGCAGTGTTGACTTAGTGAGGCAGTCTAGGGCGGGGGTGGGGAGCGGGAGAGGTAGCCAGTGAAAAGGTGGATGAAATCCTAATGAGTCAATTTCCTAACCTGCCAGAGAGGCAGCCTAGGGGAACCACGGGAAGTGCCCTCTGCTCTCAAGAATGCCTGGAGCTAAGAGGGGAGCCTTAGTACCCCGAAGAGGTACTGGGAGAGGGAGCTTCAAGGCCATGAGTAGGGCTGCTTCAGGAGGCTGTGAGGTCACAGGAAACCCAGAGTTGAATGTTTGTCTACCTTCCCTAGCTATACCCCCTACCCAAACCAGGCGACCTCCCCACTTTCTTCTCCATCATTGCGGTTTGTACTTATGTACACACCCATCTGGCATGGTTGTGTGGTTGATGAAACTGGGCTCCTGCGGGTAGGGCTGGAGCATGAAGTAGTGTTCAGGCAACACTTGTTGCTGGTTAGGGCTACTGGACCTTTGAGGAAGCAGGCTGAACCGTGGTGTTGCAACTATTGTTCACAAGCCACCTAGGATCATGGGAAAAGTCATCTGGATTTTGATCTTTTTCATGCTGGGGCCCTACTTGGTACCTGTATGTCCTGGTTTATTACATGAATGTCAGCATATGTTGTTGACCTTAATTCTCCCTGCCCCAGTGGCTGCCTTAGAAATGTGGCATGTCCCTCTAAAGCTTTCATTTAGTGCCCTCATTCCAGCCAACATCCAGCTGCCCATTTTTCACTTTCCAGCCCACTTCAGAGTGGGCTGGATACCCTTTGTGCCCCTGACACTAAGGGACAAGTAAGCATGTCTTATCCCTTGTAATGGTGGTCTGAGGTCTGGAATGACTGCAGACAGGACACTCAGGAGCAATCTGAGCAGTGCATACTCTGCCAATTGCTGTGGACTCAAACTCTATAGAGGACATTGGTTGGTCTTATATATATGCTGGCCTGGCAGTGTCGATGGCCCTGTATCTTCAGTGATGAGATACAGGTGCCTGGATTTATCATTTCACCTAGATTATATATAGCTGGCTAGTGGCAATAACCCCACAATAAACTGGTGTCACTTTGATGGGTGAATGGATGGTGGCTGGCCCCATTTGGGACAAATTTCCACCTCCTCAGGCAGAATGGGCACCAACTCTGTGTGTGGGCAGGAGGGCCATAGATTGTTCCAGAGTGCCAAGAAGTGCAGACTCCTGGAAATGAAGCAGGAAACTGGTGTGGGAAGCCTCTGGTGTCCTTCTAGCCCTGTGTTCTAATGAACGTTTAATGTCAGGTGGGGCGAGTGGTCCGTGAATGCTACCATGTTAGTTTCCTCACTTTTTATGTTGTCCTACAGGAGCAGAGCATGGCTCGTACGAATGCTTATCAAATCAGAAACCACAGCTTCCATGGAGGGCCACCAGCAACAAAACTGGTTCTCATACAACGAAAAATGAGGCAGCCCAAGGCCGCAGTGTGTTCTGCTGCGTGTGTATTTACCTTTTCCATAAGCTGCGCTGCACTCAGGCATGGTTCTCCCTGGCTGGGACCTCTGTAGGGAGACCAGAGTGCCAGGGAAGGTCTTACCAGTGCCCTATTTCTTGATGATGAGTCATGATGAGGCTATTACAAAACAAAGCCTGTTTCAAGAAATGAGTAGTTTTGGCTGATTCAGGCTTCAAGACTTGAAATCTGTTTCCCTTTTGTGAGTTAGAGCAGCTCCTGTTAGCAGTGGCCATTAACGTTGGTGTCTGCCAAGACAGAGGCCCAAGCAGGCCAGGGCAGGCACGGCTTTCTCTTCCCGACTATCACACACAGGTGGAACTTAATCCATGATTCCCTTTATTTCTGAAACAAATCTTTATGTTTTCTTTCAGAAGAGACCTTAATGGCCTCTTACCAAGAAGAGGCTTAAAAGGTTTTCTCTCTAAGAACCAGGTCCTGAACATCTTGAGGTGAAGAGTCAGGAATGGGAGGAATTTAACCACCCAGAGTTGCTGGCAGCTGTGAGGGGAAAGCCTGGAGCCATGTTTGAGAAACAGGCTCCACAGGGGTGGCTTAACTGAAGAGAGGAGAGCAGATCATGAGGCTGGAAAGATGGGCTTGGGGAAGGACTGAGGAGTCAGTGCATAGCCCTCTCTGTCCTCTGGAGCCTTGAGAATATTCGCTTTTAGAGACAGATAAATGGAGAATATCCCGGGCACACCACCAAGCCCTGCCAGGAGCTGAAGCCAGGGCTTAAAGCATCATGTGTGAAGGTCCCTGGGCGGTGCCCTGGAGAATCCCGGCAGAGGCTTCCTATCTCTGGTTATTGTTTCAGCTCTCCACATACCGCTAGTCCCTCCATCATTTAGGCCACAGCATTGTGCTGGCTGTGGCTACTCCCTGTTTCCCATCCCATTGTAACAGACCCCTTTTCGACCAAGTCCTTTCAGTTCGAACAAGAAGACAAAGGCTGGCCCTCCAAGGAGAGGCTTCTCTTTCTAAATATTTACCCTGCTGCCCTGATTCATCATTAAGACTTCCTTTGTGTGGAGCTGCACAGGCACAAGTCATTGCCCCCCAGCCCACCATGCTTGACATGGCCAGTGGTTCAAGCCTCCCTGTCCTTCCCTTGCCTCCTTTAGGGGTAAAAGATGCAGAGGCTTGAACCACTTCTCCCTTCCTGCCTTCTGGAGAGGCCCTGGGCCAGCCACTGGCTGGCAATGCTCAAGAGGTGCCTCTGACAGTGCAGGTTTACTTTCTTTCTTTTTTTACGTGGTCAAAGGATATTTGAAGATTGAAAGTTCACTAAGCATTTTAGGAACTCATTCCAAGGCAGCTCACATTCCTTCAACAAATGTTGATTGAGTACATGTGTGAGATGGGCCTTGTCTTTCCTTCCAGAGCCCTTAGAACCCAGCATAAGCCTGATGCGCAGAAGGTGCTTAGAAATACCAAGAGAATCACAGAGCAGCCACGGGAGGAAGTCATCAGACAGAGAGGAGACTCCTTGCCTACCCTAGCAAGCTCTTCTTCTCACAGTTTTACTGCATATGGTTCTGACGTCACTTCCTAGGCAGGTTTAGCTTTTTGTTTCTGTAGAAGACATTTTCTGGAAAACTGCATAAGTTAGGTTGTTGTAAATTGGAACCTTGGAATTGTCCCAGACTCCTAGAAATGGGATAAGAGGTGCAAGAGTCCTTATCCAAGTGGTTTAAACAGCAGTAAACATTTGTTGTCTCACTGTTTATGTGGGTCAGAAGTTTGGAAATGGCTTAGCTGTGTGGTTCTGTTGTGGGGTGTCTCATGTGGTTGCAGTCAAGATGTCAGCTGAGGCTGCAATCTTTTGAAGGGGTGACTGGGAATGGAAGAGCTGCTCCCAAGATGGCATGCTCACATTGTGGGCAGTTGGTGTTGGCTGTTGGTGAGGGCCTCAGTTCCTCACTTTGTAGACCTCTTCACTGGGCTGCTTGAGTATTCTCAAGACATTGCAGCTAGCTGGCTGCCCCCAAAGCAAGTGTTCCAACAGTGGCAAGGAAAATGCCACAATGTCCTTTCTGACGCAGCCTTGGAAGTCATAGTCCATCGTTTCTGTAACATCCTTGCATTAGTCTGTTTTCATGCTGCTGAGAAAGACATACCTGAGACTGGGAAGGAAAAGAGGTTTAACTGGACTTACAGTTCCACGTGGTTGGGGAGGCCTAAGAATCACAGCAGGAGGCAAAAGGCACTTCTTACATGGCAGCAGCAAGAGAAAATGAGGAAGAAGCAAGAATGGAAACCCCTGATAAACCAATCAGATCTCGTGAGACTTACTCACTATAATAACACAAGAAAGACTGGTCCCCATGATTCAGTTACCTCCCCCTGGGTCCCTCCCACAACATGTGGGAATCCTGGGAGATACAATTCAAGTTGAGATTTGGGTGAGGCCACAGTCAAACCATATCAATCCTATTGGTCAGCCCTGATCAGTGTAGGAGGACACTACACAAGGGGCTGAATACTGGGCGGCGAGGATGACTGGAGTGGTCTTAGAGGCTATCTACTGCACCTTTTAATATGGTACATATTTTCTTGTTTATTACACTTATTTTTCATTGTTTTTCTTTCACTACTAGCTCTTTGAAGGCGGGGTTCTTTGTCTTTCTTTGTTTCCCAAGTTTCTAGAATAGTGCCTACTACATAGAAGGCATGAAATAGATATTTATTGAATTGCATTAATTTGATTTGAATTATTTCCAAACAAAAATCAGTTCCCCCACTTGAAGGGGGTGGGGGAACTGATAATTAGTGCTTCTGACTTGTGTTTTTAAACCAAAGAATCCACTGTCTCTTATTGCTACTTATTAGATACGTCCAGTGTTTGCTATGTTGGCCTTTTTATTTTATTTTTAAAATAAGGCACTCTTGTATTTGAAGGTAGCTACTAAGCAAGATTTACAGGGACATAATCCTGTTCTTCAACTCTACAGGAAATAAAAGGGATCTTTTAAATCTTTCTGTTCCTCAGTTTCCTCATTTGAAAAATCGAATATTGCTGACTATATACTAGGGTGTTTTATGGATTAAGTGAGATATTTTACTTTTAAAGGATTAAAAGTAAAGTATATCTCCTACAGTAAGCACCCAAAAAATAAACTATATCAGTCAATTTTAGAGGTCATCGAGTCAGGAAACAGGCTGTGAGAAAGGTGGAGAAATCCTCTCTGAAACTTTTAGGACTGCCTGGATAATGCGTCAGGCATGTTGTCCTGTGCCGAAAGTATGTCGTTAACACCCGCACTGAGGCTCCTGCTGACTTGGATGACTGGAAACAACCTGGATGCCATTTAGGAATCTTCCTGGGCAAGTTGAGGAAATTGTGCGATCCACTTGCTAACTCAAGAGCACGTTTAGCAGGCTATCATTTGAGATCCTGTAGGTACTGGTCCTGGGCTTGCAGAGATGATAGAAGTGCAATCTTTGGCCTCAGGGGACTCACTGTCTTTAGGGAAAGACAGACAGATAAGCCACTCATTCTGATATAGTGGTCAGTGCAGTTGTTGAGTCCCTGGACCCTTGGGGAAATAAGTGGTGCGGAGACAGCATTATAAATGGGGTGATATAAACTAAGTTTTAGGGTTGGGTAAGAGTTGGGAGCATAAATGATAGGAAGCAGGGAAGGTTATGTCCCAGCAGAGGAAACAGCTTGGGCAAAGGCCTGCAAGCATGATATGGGTAGTGGGAGGGAGCACGTGGAGGTCATAAAGACAGATGAGGCTGAAGGTACAGAGGAAATAAACAGGCTGGAATTTTATCCTGTAGGATTTTTATTCTGTACCCCTGGAAATAGGTAAACGAATAGTGAGTGTGTCAGACTTGTATTTTAAAATCCACTGGTGGCCTTCTGGAGGACAGACCAGAATGGGTGAGACCTGAAGCAGGGAGATGAGAGGGGAAACTGGTGCAGGGACCCTGCAGCCATGGGTAGAAATCGTGGATTGCAGGATTCCACTGGGCATGACCCAGGGACACTCCCAGTCTCATCTGGAAGAAGAATCTAAGGTTTCTTCCCTGATGATCTGCCCCAGTTACTGCCAGTGGAGGGAGTCCTTGGGGGACCACCTTACTATTCAAAAGTGGAAAACAAAGGAGGCAGGGATTTGGTCCAATGACTTTGCACCTGCTTTCTTCTACTGGAGAGGAGGACACCTATTTCAGAAGAGAAGTCCACAACCCCCTATTTTCTCCTTTATCCCATTTGAAATGCTACTGAAGCCTTTACAATGACCCTGTACTTACTCCCAGCATTTAATTTTATGCCTGGCTCATCGTACACTTGGGATAAAGACGATGGTTACATGATTCATTTTCTTCTGGAGACCAGGGCCTAAGACCCACCAATCTTTACCTCCTCCATAAAACATAGCACAGGGTCTAGCTCTTTTAGCAGAACCCAGTAAGTAGATGACATTGGCAAACAAATTCAAGCACTGCTTTCAAACCTTTTCTGCAGAGAAGGTGTGCGCCACATTTACACATACATGTACACACATGTGCCTGCCTCCCCGCCCCACCCTACCCCAGGCTATTTTCCAGAATAGGATTTAACAGATCAGTCTCCACCCCATTCCCTCCCGACCCTGGCTTCATAGCCAGGGAAGCGAAAGATGAGCTGAGTGCTTTTTCTTTTGAGTCAGATGACTCAGATCTCAGTTAAAGGGAGACACATCTGTCATGCTCAGCCTGGGGACTTTGGGACAGGTCTCTGGGGCCAGCCTGCAAATCTTGAACTAACTCACTCCCTTTGATGGGTGATAGGGAATCCTCCACCTGACATGCAGGGACAGAGGGGACCCTGGGTCTCCTGTGCCTCTTCCCTCTGCTGCTAGGTCCCTCCCTCGTGCTGGGTGCTCACCGTAGGGATCCTCATCTCCCACTCTGTGTGTGAGGCAAAGGCGGGAGACATGTGTGAGGTTTTTGTGGTGGAGAAAATCTGGCAGTCCTGAATTTATTCCTGAATCTACCATCTGCTGAGTGTGTTCTTGAGGATTATGATACATTTTTTAAAGCAGTGGGGGAGGTGAGAGGGTGAAAAACTGGTGATTCCTTCTCCACCTCTTCCCTGCTGTTCTTGGAGCCATGCAGAGCCAGGCCTTGGCATCCTGAGGCCGGGTGCACCTGGGAGTCAGATCCAGTCTCAGGTCTGGCTCTGCCACTTTTCTGACCCTGACATTTAGTCTGTTTCCATCATAAAATTGGACAAACATGCCTGCTGTTCACCTGAGGATCCAATGAGTCACTGTATGCATGAGGTCTTTTAAACTGTAGAGGTACTTGGGCCTGCCATTAGTTGATGGTGCTGAAGCAGAACCTAAGAGCCAGCGTTCAACTAGGACCAGGCATGCTGCCACTTGGGGACATCAGTGCAAGGTGTCGCCACAGCTTTCACTCCCAAGCATGGATGGCAGGGAAGCTGGGATGCAGCTTTGGAAGCTGACCTTTGGTTATCAATGAATTAAAATTCACTGATTGCTAAAGGGGGCGGGGAAGAGAAAGGATGAAGCTGGCACCTGCTCTAACGGGGTGGGTGAGCGTGTCCCCTGCCCCCAGCTGCAGCATCCTGGCTTGGCCTCAGAGTCTGACAAATGTCTTTTCTCATAGAAGAAAGGAAGGAGAGGGGGGAGCAAGGCTTCAAGCTGAGCCACAGAAGGGAGTACAAGGTTGAATCAGATGACCCCACCTGCTCTTTCCCACCCCTTTGTAAATACTTCAGATCCTAGAAGAAAAGGAGCATTTTCCCCAGGAAAAGTAACCAACCATTCTGGTTTACCCAGAACTGAGGGGATTCCTGGGATGCGGGAATTTCAGTGTTGAAACAGGGACAGTTCCAAGTGAACTAGGATGGCAGGTTGTCCTACCCCCAAGGTAACTGCCTCCAGATAGTTTATTACTTCTGAATAGATTGCTCAGCTGATCCCTTTATTAACTACAGGAGAAGCAACTTTACTCCCCCTCCCCCCCCACCCCTAGGAGTAAGAGAACAAGGAAACTTCATTTCATCTTAGATTTCTGCATTGGCAGCACTGTGATTGGTAACAAGGAATGGATGATGGATGAAGCACGCTCTTCGATTAACTGAAGGTGATCTACATAGGTCATGGTGAGATATGTTGGAAGACATAAGGCCCATTAAATGCATAATTCATGTGAAAATGGTGAGCTCAAAGATGTTCATCCGGCTCTGCCCGAAAAGAAATCTGAAATAAAATGGATATGTGTTTACCTTTTTTGCTGGAGTTGTAGCTGGTAACCTTGGTATTTGAGGGTTGTAAATGCATGTGCCTAGGGTTGTGTGTTATGGTGGGAAAGGCCTGGATTTGGCAAATTGATCCTCATTTGAGTCTTTGCCTTTCCACTTATTCTCTTTCTCCGAAGGCAGGTATTTCACTGCCCCCAGCCTTAGTGTTCATATCTGCAAAATGGGTAACATACTTACCACAAGGTTGCTTTGAGGATTAAAAGTCACACCACCTATAAAGCGCTTGGCATGCAGGCGCAGTGGCTCACGCCTGTAATCCCAGCACTTTGGGAGGCCAAGATGGGCAGATCACTTGAGGTCGGGAGTTCGAGACCAGCCTGGCCAAAATGGTAAAATCTCATCTCTACTAAAAATACAAAAATTAGCTGGGCATGGTAGCGGGCACCTGTAATATCAGCTACTTGGGAGGCTGAGGCAGGAGAATCGCTTGAACCTGGGAGGCCGAGGTTGTGGTGAGCTGAGATCGTGCCACTGCACTCCAGCCTGGGAAAAGAGGGAGACTCTGCCTCAAAATAAAAAAAATAAAATAAAATAAAATAAAATAAAATAAAATAAAATAAAATAAAATAAAATAAAATAAAATAAAATAAAAATAAAATGCTTGGCATGATCCCTCAACATAGTAGAGATCTGACACCATGAAATCCCTCACATCTCTCAGGGATCTTAACTTTTCCTTTGGTTATATATGCTTTTCTAACTTTTTGTTCTTAGCATGTTTTACAATATTTGCTTCATGCAATGGTACACACATAAGACAAACATAAGTTACAACACAAAATGAGTACCCAGAAACTTATCACCCAACCTAAGATCTAGAGCAGGGGTCCCAATCCCCAGGCCATGGGCCTATACCAGTCCATGGCCTGTTAGGAACCAGACCACAGAGCAGGAGGTGAGTGGTTGAAGCTTTGTCTGTATTTATAGCTGCTCACCATCACTCACAATACTCCCTGAGCTCTGCCTCCTATCAGATCAGTGGCAGCATTAGATTCTCCTAGGAGCGCAAACCCTATTGTGAACTGCACAAGTGCGGGATCTAGGGTGTGCACTCCTTATAAGAATCTAATGCCTGATGATCTGTCACTGTCTAGTTGCAGGAAAACAAACTCAGGGCTCCCACTAATTCTACATTATGGTTAGTTCTATAATTATTTTTATTATATATTACAATGTAATCATAATAGAAAAAAGTGCACAATAAATGTAATGCTCTTGAATCACCCTGAAACCAACTCTTGACCCTGGTCTGTGGAAAAATTGTCTTCCGTGAAACCGGTCCCTGGTGTCAAAAAGGTTGGGGACCATTGATCTAGAGCATTCATTTCCCAGGACTGCCATAACAAATTACCACAAACTGGGTGTCTAAAAACAAAGGAAATTTATTCTCTCACAGTTCTGACCAGAAGTCCAAAATCAGGGTGCCAGTAGGGCTCAACTCCCTCCAAATGCTCTTGGAAAGAATCCTTTCTTGCCTATCCCAGCATCTGGTGGTTCCTGGCATTCTTTGGCTTGTGGAAACATAAATCCAATCTTTGCCTCTGTCTTCACTTGGCCTTCTTTCCTGTGTCTGTGTCTAAAACCTGCTGCTTCTATCTCTTAAAAGAACACCCGTCATTGGACTTAGGGCCCACCAAACATCCAGGATGATGTCAGCCTGAGATTCTTAATTACAACTACAAAGACCCTATTTCCAAATAAGGTCACATTCACAGTACCAGGAGTTCAGACTTGGACATATCTTTTTTAGGCGCACTCTTAAACCAACTGCGATCATCATTATGAGTTTCCCTCTGCCCATGCTTTTTCCATTAATGTTATATTTCTTAAGAGTCATTCATATTGATGTAAGTAGCTGTAGTTCATTCATGCTTAATACTCTGTTGGGTACTAGTACCCCAATACATTTATCCATTCTCCTGAAAATGGATATTCAAGTTATTTCCACTTTGAGGCATCATAAACAATGCTTCTTTATCTCCTGGTGCTCAAGTGCAAACGTTTATCTAGAATATAAGACTAGGAGTTGAATTGCTGGACCCAGGGTAATGGATGAATAGCATTTTGTAGGATGATGTCAAATTGTTTTCCAAAGTGATTATACCAATCTGCATTCCCATAAGTCAAGTACAAGATGCTCAAAGTGATTTTTTTTTTAGTCCAGCAAATGTCAACATTTCAGGATTTGTCTTCTCTGTGGTGATAAGCATTAGATGATAAGACCTCTTCTCTCCTGATTTTTTCTCTATAGCAGATGATTTCTGGTGGGTCTCTGCCCATGGAGAGAAAGTGCTAGGCCCTGCAGTCTCACCTGCTTTTGGCTGCATAGGCCCTGCCTGCTCTACAAATCCATCTTAATGGGTCATTAGAGGTGCCTGGAAACTGTAATTATGGTATAGCATTTCACAGGCTTACAATTGAAGGCTGTTTTCTAGACGCCCAAGTGAAGTCTATTGTGGAGTGATTCATCTCAGAGAGTTTGCACCCAATATAATCAATAATGAATATAAAAAGGTGCTTGCCTTTAGCACGAGGGAACTCTTACTGTGAGGGCAGTGATATAGGCATCCCCTAATTGGTTGAAATGACACGTATCAGGGCTGGTGGAGTGGCAGGTATGCTGATGCCTCATGATAGTCAAAGTAGAATGGTGTATTCTGGGGGGATTTTTCTGCAGAAGCAAGGGGGACAAAACACCATTTGTCCCAGTTAGATCACAGATCCCTCACTACAGGGACAGAATATGAGCACAGTAAAGGATTCTAATAAATCCTCCTGACTGATAGGGAAACTGAGACCCAGAAAGAAGATATAATCAGCACCTGCTGTCAATGTAGGCCTTAGGGAGAGCTGCATCTTGTTTTGAAAGCCTAGCTAATTGTCTTAGGTTGCCTTCTCTGAAAGCAGAACCTAGATCAGGTATTGTTGAGCAAGCTATTTATTAAATGAGTGCTTCCAGGTAAAACCTATACAGGATATTCAGGGGAAGAAGCTAAGCAAAGTTGTGGGTTCAGCTGACGTCCAGCCTTAGCCTGATTTTTTTTTTTCCTCTAGAGAAACCAGAAAAGAAGGCTGATCTTATAGGAGGCTTTGGAGTATGAATAGCACCTCGAGATTGTTCCACCATGTACCCTCATTGCTGGATCATTGGCTGCAGGCTGCCCCGAGGGAATGGAGTAACCACCTACACGTTTCCTTGCTCCCTGCAGCTGAAGGCAATTCTGTTAGAAGCCAACTGTCACAGCAGCTGATGCGATTATTATTTGGGTTGGGGAATGGTGTGTGGTCAGGGGATGAGGATTTGCTTTGTGCACATTCTACTGGTCACCGTCTAATACCAACTCATGCTTTAGACATCAGCTCCATGACAGTAGGGATCAGAAATGCAGAACTAGGGAATTAAGGCAAATGTGCGTCATCTCCCCCTTCTCTTAGAATCTGCCACCTCCTGTCTGTGGCAGGTGAGATGGTCACATTCTGTTGGTGCATACTTCATTAGACTGCCTTGCCCCCAGAAGCTCCACCCATTTTTCTCTTTCTCCTGGGCCAGGAAAGTCCCTGGAAGAACTCTCCCTCTAAATTGTGGGGAGAGCCAACCCGGCAGGGCCTCTCTCTTTGGGGGTCTTTTGGGGCATTGGCAGGATGTGGCTAGGGCAGCAGCTGAGACTCTCTCAGAATTCGAGAAAACAGAAACTACTCCCAGGATGTCAAACATAGGGAAAAGTGTACCAGGGAAGGGGGAGGCAGAATAAGTGGGGACTGGAGTTATTGCGATTTGGATATAAATGATCTCTTTGGCCCACGGGCTGTTAAGTTACTTGGGTGGAAAAGGATGTAAGCACACCAGAGGTGAGAGCCAGAAGGAGCCTTTTAGTCCACTCCTCACCTCACAAATCTCTCATCTCCTCTCTTCCTCTTTTCCTGACTTTGCATCCCTTACCAAAAGGCCTGAAAGGGCAGATGGGCAGGGACTATGGTCATCCTGTAGGAGATGACATCAGACTGTAGAGATGGGCTGGGGTTGGAATTCAGAAGCAAAATATTCTGTTGCTGTGATTCCTGCTCAGAGGATGACATCCCTTTCCAAGAGGGTCCCCAGTAGAGGGTGGGGACAGAGGAAGGAGGCAAGTTGGTTCTCTTCCCTTCCTATCCTAGTGGTGTCTTTCAGCTCTGACCCTGGCTTTGCTCGCAACAGCTGCTGAAACCATTTACTTCATCCAAGAGAGCAGAACTTGGTTCTCATGCCAGGGTGCAAGGATCCCACATTTCTACACCCCTCTCTCTCCGCAGCCATCTGCTAGAGCACCTTTGTTTGCAGAGAACTCAAACTGCATCCTGCAGTGAAGCTTTCTGTTCTGACTCCAGGAAATTCTTGGTGCAAATCAGGAGCAATTAAACGAATATTTATGAAGCTGCCATCATTCAGAGTGGCTGTGTTGGTGCGTGCAAAAGCCTGAGATGTCCCCTAGTAAATGCTGCTCACATTCAACTCAGTAGACTTCCCAGAACTTACAGCTGTGATGTGCTGAGGCTGTCAGGACACTTCCAGAGCAGCAGCTGGAGAAGCCCTGTTGAGGGTGGGTGGAAAAAGCTATACCCTGGGTGAGGTTAAGGCCACAGGGAAGGAGGGGGAACAGCAAGGGCTTTGGACTTCTTAATCATCAGGCTTCAATCTCAGGAGTCACCTGCGACTACAGATTTTCTGGGTGGGAAACCCTTATTGAATGCTACCATGGGAAACTCACCATGCTAGGTGAACTGGGAGGTTACTTGCCATATGGGGGGTTGAGGGAATCATGGGAGAGAATGTTGGGGAGCCATGTTGGACCTCCTGAAGCCCATGGGAGGACAAGGCGGTGGTATTGCCTTTTCCTGTTAAATGTTACAGGTAGTGTGTGAGCTCATGGTTGGTGCCAGCTACTTGATCTGACCTGGTCATGTCCTTGGTCATCTACTTCAGGGCTGGCCTCAATGGGATGGGCTGGCCCTGTCATCACTTCGCTTTTTCTCTCAGGAACATAGCCTTCCCCGTCAAAAATGAGCATGAGGCTGGGCGCAGTGGCTTGTGCCTGTAATCCCAACACTTTTGGGAGGCTGAGGCAGGTGGATTACTTGAGTTCAGGAGTTCGAGACCAGCCTGGACAACATGGTGAAATCCCGTCTCTACTAAAAATACAAAAATTAGCTGGACATGGTGGCACATGCCTGTAATCCCAGCCACTCAGGAGGCTGAAGGAGGAGAATTGCTTGAACCAGGGAGGCAGAGGTTGCAGTGAGCCAAGATGATGCCATTGCACTCTAGCCTGGGTGACAGAGTGAGGCTCCATCTCAAAAAAAAAAAAAAAAAAAGCACGAGATCTTATTAAAAGAAGGATATAACATATCCAAAGATATCTATGTTCAAAGAAATAATAGACCTAAATGTAAAAATTAAAATTATAAACTTTCCGGAAGAAACCTGGGAGAAAATATTTGCAATCCTGGCATAGGCAAATATATCCTAGATATGAAACAAAAGCCTGAATGATAAAAGCAGAAGATACTGTTAAGAAAATGAGGCCGGGCGCAGTGACTCACGCCTATAACCCCAGCACTTTGGAAGGCTGAGCTGAGCAGATCACTTGAGCCCAGGAGTTCAAGACCAGCCTGGGAAATATGGCAAAACCCCATCTCCACTAAAAATACAAATATTATCTGGGCATGGTGGTGGGCGCCTGTAATCCCAGCTACTCAGGTGGCTGAGGTGGGAGGATCACCTTAGCCCAGTAGGACAAGGCTACAGTGAGCCGTGATCCCGCCACTGCTCTCCAGCCTGGGTGACACAGTGAGACCCTACCCCAGAAAAGGGAAAAAAAAAAAAAAAAAAAAAAAAAAGAGAAGACAAGCCACAGAATGGAAAGTAATAGTTGTGATGAGTATGTCTGAAAAAAGAGCTGCATCTAGAATACATAAAGAGCCTTCCCAACTTATCATAAGAACACAAACAATATGAAAATAGGCAAAGGAAAAAAAAGTGGCAGGAATTAACTCTGATAAAATTAAAAATACGTAACATGAGTTTTGTTTCAGAAATACATTTCACTCCTACTTTGATTTTTTTCTTTTCTGTTATCTCTCTCATAGTAGTGTTTGGGATTAACTACTATCCACCACATATGATGCATTAATCTGATTGTATAAGTGGGCAAAGAACTTGAACAGACACTTTACAAAAGAATATATATATATATGGTCAATAAGCAGAGAAAAGAATGCTCAACATCATTAGTCATGAGGGAAATAGAAATTAAAACCAAAATGAGATGCCACCACACACACACTAGAAAGGCTAATATTGAAAAGAATGTGAGTATCAAGTCTGGGCAAGTATTTGGAGCAATTATATTTCTCACGTACTGCTGGCAGGAGTGTAAAATGGTACAGCCACTTTGGAAAACAGTTTGGCAGTTACTACCAAAGTAAAACATACACTTATTATATGACTCAGCAATTCCACTCTTTGGTATTTTCCCAAGAGAAATGAAAATATATGTCCACTCAAAGCTACTTGGGAGGCTGAGGCAGGAGAATTGCTTGAACCCGGGAGGCAGAGGTTGCAGTGAGCCAAGATCACACCACTGCACTCCAGCCTGGGCAACAGAGGGAGACTCCGTCTCAAAAAAAAAAAAAAAAAAAAAGTTATATATGACTGTTCGTAGCAGCCTTATTCGTAATAACTCTAAACCAGAAACCACCCAAATGTCCACCAACAGGTGATGGATAAACAAATTGTGATATGTACATATGATGGAATGTTACTCAGCAAATAAGAGTATGAATTACTGATGTATATAATATGACTAAATCTTTAAAAATTATGCTGTGCGAAAGAAACAAAAAAAAGCACATATTGTGTGATTCCACTTGAATGGAATTCCAGAACCAATAAAACTAAAGTGGCAGAAAGCAAATCAGTGAGCACCTGGAGCCAGGGGAGGAAGAGAATTGAATGCAAGGGGTCATGAGGGAATTTTCTGGGGCAATAGAAATGCTCTATATCTTGGCAGCAATAGTGGTTAAATGGGTATATTCATGTGCCAATTATCAACAAATTGACACTTAACGTGTGCATTTTATTGCCTGTAAATTATACCTCAATAAAGTTATTTTGATGCAAAGAGGAAGGTGATACTTTTGGGTGATGGAATTAAAGATAATTTTTATTTTAGTCTTCATGCTTTTCTATATTTCTAAGTTCTCTAGAGTAATCTTATCACTTTCCTTAAAAAATAAAAACAAAAATACTGCCAATGTGAAAATGTTCTCTCTGGCTTGGAAGCCTCAGCTCAGAGGCTGTCTCCTTCGGAAGACTAGCCGGGGCCTCAGTTGGAATGAATTACTACCCCCTGTTCTAGGTGCTCATTGCCCTTGTTGGTGTCTCTGCTAAGCCGTTGCATTTGGCCTTGGGCTACTGTTACTACCTGTGTAGTTGGTTCCTTGTCCTGTGGGCACCCAGTAGTATGAGGGTTGGGCCTAGCACAGAGCCCCAAACATGGTAGGCAGCTATTCAATGTTTGCCAGGTTAAACTGGGATTTGTCAGGCTATTTGGTTTCGGGGGGCTTTCTTATGTTGTTTAAGGACTGTCATGACATGTATAAAGCAAGGCCTAGAGCAGTTGAGAGCTTTGAGTCCAAGCTCTACCAATTACTATCCACATAACCTCTGGCAAGCCCCATGAACTTTCTGAGCCTCAGTGTCCTTCCTGTAAAGGTACCAATAGTTCCCTGTTGTGAGACCTGAGTAGCATAGTGTTTGGCACACAGTAAGTATTCAGTTAGCACTGGCTGCTATTGTAATTATCATAGTTATAACAAATAATAATATAAATTGAGGGGACTGCCCAGATGGGAAAGTACTAAGAAATACGTAGACCGGGCATGGTGGCTCACGCCTGTAATCCCAGCACTTTGGGAGGCCAAGGTGGGGAGAGCTCTTGAGCTCAGGAGTTCGAAACCAGTCTGGGCAACATGGCAAAGCCCTATCTCTTAAAAAAAAATTATTCAGGCATGGTGGCATGTGCTTGTAATCCCAGCTACTCAGGAGGCTGAGGTGGGAGGATAGCTTGAGTCCCGGAGACAGAGGTTGCAGTGAGCCAATATTGCACCACTGCACTCCAGCCTGGGCAACAGAGCAAGACCATCTCAAAAAAAAAAAAAAAAAAAAAAAAAAAAAAAAAAGAGTAAAAGAGAAAAAGAAATACACAGGTAAATGGAGCAAAAGTTTTCTTCCCTGGGAAAGACCGTCATTCCAATTAGTGGGTACGTCACATCAGTCTTTAAAGGCCAAAAAAGGTACATGTGGACACAAACACGGGAACAGTAAATACTGGGGACTGCAAAAGAGGGGAAGGAGGGCGGGAGGTTAGGCTTGAAAAACTGCCTGTCAGGTACTGTGTTCACTACTTGGGCGACAAGATCCTTGGAGCCCAAACCTCAATGTCACGCGGTATACCCAAGTAGCAAGCCTGCACACGTAACCCTTGAATCTAGAATAAATAAATAAATAATGTACATTATTTTGTGTTAAAAATTAAAAAAAGGCTAATTGGAAATTAATTTTCTTCCACATGAATTTTTTTGAGAAAGTCAAAACCATTTCCCAAAAAAGCAGACATCCCGAAAGGAGTTTGGATTTTGCTGGCTGTGCTCTTCATTCAGGTATCAGGTGGCAGCCAGGGCTCGGTCTGAAGGAGGCTGGCTTTCTCTGAGTGTTTGCTGGAGCCGGGCTGACACAGATCTGACAGAGGTTGTCAGATCTCTGAAGAACAATCGACTTTCTAAGCAGAGCCCCTTCTCTGAGTCTCGCGGTGCCGCGTTACATTTGTAAATGCCAGCGCGCTGCTAAGCACGTCCCCGTGAATAGAAGTGTTTTGATGTTTTGTTTTTGGTCGGAGATTGAAGTCCAGTGTCTTGGGACCCAGTGACTTCAGCTGACCTTCCTGCTACATGGACAGGGCTAAATTTCAACCCCTGGAGGCTTCTGCACACAAAACCTCATGCCTCGCAAGGGCAGGTGCAAGGAAACCCGGCGGAAATCTGAAATCTTCGCTGCTTCAGAGACCCGAGCTCACTTCTGTCAGAGGAATCAGGTTTCACAAGCCCTTTTTTATGTAGGAAGCATATCATTAGGGGAATCTGGCAGGGCAACTTATTAAAACTACTGCCTATGGCAGAGAAAAAGCCATAATGCCTAAGGACATTCAAAGGCGAATGGTGTGATTTTTATTTCTAATAATTCTTGCAGTATCTTTGCAAGAGAATTGCTTGGCCAGAGTGACTGACTTCTAGCTGGAGATGACTCTGATATTTTAGGTCTTGCTGGTTTTGGAAAACATTGTTTTCCTCAAAACTTGTATTGCTGTTTTGAAATCAGGAGAGACCTTTTATTTCAAATGTTTTAATTGAGTAAGCAACTGTATAAAACCTGTAACTTCACCCTGTCACCATTTCTGAACTACTATTGACATCTCTCTCTAAGTCCTCCAAACTTGGCTTTTTCTTTGTAACATAGCTAGTTTTTGAATCGTCTTGATAATGTGGATGTAGTTTGCAATCTCTTTCCCTCCAACATTTAATTTAAGCTATATAGTTTATATAGTTGTAATAACTGCTTTTTGGTAGGTAACACTTTTTCATGATGCAATTCTGCTCTTCTCTATTGAGTAATTCCTCTGGGTTTGAGTACTTAGGGATTTTTTCTGGTTGTTATAAATGGATTTTCTGTTCATCATGTTTATCGAGTTTTTCTTTTCTCTTTTCAATATTTCCTTTAGCTACATTATGAAAGATGGCCCTGGAGTTGTCTGATATTTGCAAGAGCTCTCCAGTCTTCCAGCCCTGCCTCTTTCCCCTCCTTTTAAAAACTCTAGACTTGACGCACACCTGCAAGGTCTTCCTCGGCCCCTCCTCTGATGTCTGAAACAGCCCTTCACACGTCAGTGGCCGTGAGTATCCCATCATCATGGGAAACTCCTGCTTTTGTTCTTTGGGCAATCTCCATGAGGGGTTCTCAGTAAGAGCTCATGTCAACTGACCTCAGCTGGGTGTCGCAGGAGCTCTACCCTTGAAAAAAGCACACTCCATGCCATCTGTAATTTTGGTAAATACTCCTTCTCTAGACAGTCATGCTACCTAAGTTATTCATTTATTTATTTATTTCAGCAAGTGGCTGCCTTATGGATGACAGAGTTGCTGAGGTGAAAGTAGCTCATGGCGCGAGATCCAGCACCTTCTGCAGTATGGTCATCCTTGTTACTGGGGCTGATAGGATCTGATGGGAAGAACTCAGCTGTGTCCACCGTCATTTTGACAGGAGACATCCTTTTAACTTCATGAAGCCCCACATGATCTGGCCTCTGCCTCTCTGTGATCACCTCCGCCCTCTCCTCCACCTCACTGGTTCCACCCACACTGACGTCCCTCCTGTCCCAGCCATTCCTTTTGCTTGGAGTGCTTGTCCCTCTGATCTTAGCAACAGTGATTCTCATCACTCCATTGTCAGCTTAGTGATCCCCTCTTCCGAGAGGGCTCTCCTGACCACCCCTTCTAAAGTGGTTCCCATTCACTCCTTAGCACATTTTCTTCTTTAAACTTTTGCAGAGCTTTTTTCACCAATGATTTTTTTTGTTTACTTAAGTAGTTGCTTGTTTATTGACTATCTCTTCCAGCAATTGATAAGCCCCATGAAAGCAGGGGTCCTGTCTATCTTATTCCCCCAAATTGTAGAACAGAGCCAGGCACATAGTTGGCATTCAACAGATATTTGCTGAATAGGTGAATGGATCATTTGCTCAACAAGCACTTATAAATGCTCCTTGGTAGACATTATGGAATTCAGAAATTTGAAGCCGGGTACACAGTAGGTTCTCAGTAAATGCTGGTGCCAGCATTGCTTTCTTGCAGATCAGTGGTCAGCCCAGGGAGACCAGACCCACTCCCCTGGCTATTTCCTTGTATTACCTCTTGGTGAATGGCAGCAACAGCTCCCTGGGAGACACTATAAGGATGTTTAGGACACAGTACCCTGTGCAAAGGGAGTGCTCATTTACATGCATTTATCCATTTTATTCACTAACCAGTACTCACATAGTACTGTCAAGAATTCTGAATCTGAGACTTTATCTTACTGGCAAGCTAACAAGTTTGCCTGCCACCATTTCATTCTGATAGAAGATAGGAGACTCTTGGGTCAGAGAGGAAGGATAGTTTATCACTCACAGCAATTGCAGAGTATTAGCATCTTTTTAGTGATACCTCAAGCCCTGACTTCCGCAGAGTGACACAAAGAGGGCCTGATGACACCTGCATGCTCAGTGAGTTACATGAGGGGAGCCCTGAGCTTAGGGAACTTGACTATAATGGACAGTCTGTCTGCTCTTTGCTCTGGAGGGAGACACCATCTCTATCTTCCAGAGTTGTTTGATATACATGTCTTTGAAAAGGTAGTCCAGAACAAAGAGCAGTCAGTGCATCTGCTCACAAGATGTGCAGAAATGCTTGGGACCTGTGGAGAATTGCCTCACAACAAGAAGCCTAGGAGGCCCTCAGATTTGTTGAATGAATGAATGAATGCCAGGTGTTGCATGCAGCATTATATAGTTAAATAAGACATAGTTTCTGTCATTAGAGTTCATGTCTTCTTGGCCGGGTGTGGTGGCTCACACTTGTCATCCCAGCCCTTTGGGAGGCTGAGGGGGGTGGATCACAAGGTCAGGAGATCGAGACCATCCTGGCTAACATGGTGAAACTCCGTCTCTACTAAAGAATACAAAAAATTAGCCGGGCATGTTGGCGGGTGCCTGTAGTCCCAGTTACTCGGGAGGCTGAGGTAGGAGAATAGTGTGAACCCAGGAGGTGGAGCTTGCAGTGAGCCGAGATCGCGCCACTGCACTGCAGCCTGGGCGACAGAGCGAGACTCTGTCTCAAAAAAAAAAAAAAAAAAAAAAAAGAGTTAATGTCTTCTTGCTGGGGAATGAATTGGTAGGGCAGTACAGTGGGTAAGTGCTTGTGCCCTGGGATCAGATGCCTTGATTTAAATCCTTCCCCCACCACATTGCATAGCTTTGGAGCCCTGGCCTTGGATTCCTCATCTCTAAAATGGAGATAAGAGGGTTATTGTGATTATATAAACCAATGCAATTCAAAGTGCTTGGCTTAGTGCCTAACTGCTGGTAAGTATCCAAGTAAATGTTAATTACTAGGTTGAAGTATATGAAATTACTATTTCTGCAGTTAAATACTAGCAATTTAATATGATTCAACTTAATCGTATACCCACTATTATTAATCTTTTGCTTGCTTACACATCATGGTATGTAAACAATTGTGATGTGGAGGTGTACTCTGGGTCATGGGAGGCAAGCCTGGAGAGGTGGAAAGTATCTCAGGAAAAGAAATGGACTTGGAACCAGATGCAGCTCTGAGCCCCACCTTCTCCTCTCATTAACCTTGTGACCTTGGGTGAGCCACTTAACCTCTGAGCCCCTTGCCTCATCTGTGCTACAGATACAATAATCCCTTCTACCTCACTGGTCACTGAGAAGCTAATGTCAGATGATGGATGTGAAATTGCTTTGTAACCTGGAAGACACTATACTCATGTGCTCATGCTCAGGATGGAGAATTCTCAAAGGCAGTGTGATTTGAATCTGGGCTTGAGCCAGACTATCACTAGGTATAATGTAATATCCCTCTTAGTCCTCCAATCATGGTTTTACATTTGAAGTATAGCATTGGTCACTAAACTGCTGTGTTAGGATCAAGTTATATCAGTCATGTTTGTGTTCAAGGCCTACAGCCTTCAGCAGGGTAGGGACCATCTGGTGACCACAGAAAGATCATTTCATTACAAAGGGTAATTGGCTTGCAGCTAAATCAGTCAATAGCTAACATTTATCCAGCTCCTTCAATAAGCCACGCCTAGTTTTAGCTCTTTACAATAATTGCTTCTCACTGAAACCTTGAAAAATCCTATAATATAGGTGGACACTATCATTATCCTCCATTTTATGGATGAGGAGACTGAGGCGAAAATGAAGTTAAAATTAGAAAATGGCAGAACTGGACTGGTCCAGTTCCCTTTTAAGTTCCCTTTTAAGAAGCACAGTTGTTTGAGTATTGACATCATTACATTGCCTGAGCACCCTCAGTAAAAGAATTACCAACCCTTAATTGGGCCCATACAAGGAAGGCAGACCCCAAAGCCATCTTTCTGCAGCAGCTATAGTTGTTTAAGCTGCTACTGTTGCATAGTCATGTGCTACATAAGGACATTCTAGTCAATGATGGACCTATATATGGTGGTCTCATAAGATTATCATACTGTATCCTTTTTCTTTTTTTTTTTTTTGAGACGGAGTCTCGCTCTGTTGCCCAGGCTGGAGTGCAGTGACAAAATCTCGGCTCACTGCAAGCTCCGCCTCCCAGGTTCACGCCATTCTCCTGCCTCAGCCTCCCGAGTAGCTGGGACTACAGGCGCCCGCCACCACGCCTGGCTAATTTTTTGTATTTTTAGTAGAGACAGGGTTTCACCATGCTGGCCAGGCTGGTCTTGAACTCCTGACCTTGTGATCCACCCACCTCTGCCTCCCAAAGTGCTGGGATTACAAGCGTGAGCCACCACGCCCAGCCACTATATCCTTTTTCTTTTCTTTTCTTTTCTTTTCTGAGACAGAGTCTTGCTCTGTTGCCCAGGTTGGAGTGCAGTGGCATGATTTTGGCCCACTGCAACCTCTGTCTCCTGGGTTCAAGCAATTCTTCTGCCTCAGCTTCCCAAGTAGCTGGGACTACAGGCGCCTGCCACCCCGCCTGGCTGATTTTTTGTATTTTTAGCAGAGACGGGGTTTCACTGTGTTGGCCAGGCTGGTCTCGAACTCCTGACCTCGTGATCTGCCTGCCTTGGCCTCCCAAAGTGCTGTGATTACTGTCATGAGCCACAGTGCCTGGCCTATAATACTGTATCTTTACTGTACATTTTCTTTTTTTTTTTTTTTTTTGAGATGGAGTCTTGCTCTGTTGCCCAGGCTGGAGTGCAGTGGTGCAATCTTGGCTCACTGCAACCTCCGCCTCCCGGGTTCAAACAATTCTCCTGCCTCAGCCCCGAGTAGCTGGGATTACAAGCACCCACCACCACGCCCAGCTAATTTTTGTATTTTCAGTACAGATGGGGTTTCACCATGTTGGCCAGGTGGTCTAGAACTCCTGACCTCAAATGATCCACCCGCCTCAGCCTCCCAAAGTGCTGGGATTACAGGAGTGAGCCACCACACCGGGCTTACTGTACATTTTCTATGTTTAGATATGCAAATATTTACCACTGTGTTACAATTGCCTACAGTGTTCAGTACAGTAACATGTAAATGTACAGGTTTGTCCCTAGTGCTGTAGGATATATTACGTAGCCTAGGTGTGCAGTAGGCTGTACCATCTAGGTTTGTGTAAGAACACTCCGATGTTCACACAATAAGGAAGTGGCCTAAGGATGCATTTCTCAGAACTTATCCCAGTGATGCAAGACTGACCTTGCTGATGGAAGTTCTGCTTCTCCCAAAAGCAGCCGGAGAAAGCCAAGTTGTGCTGGGGACTTGAAGGCTGTTAGAATGATTCCATCCCTCTATCTCTGTACACTGCTGTATACACTGCTGAAAAAGTAAGAACTTTGGTTTTCTTTTGTAGACATCCTCTGTGGTATGAAAAATAATGCTCGACTTGCTTGCTTTTCCCATATGTTTTGAGCTTATGCTCTCTCCAAAAAGTTCTTGCTTTTAGCTTTTCCTGGACTAAAGCATTGGCCCAGAGTCAGCAGATAGCTGTCCTTGTGGAGGTCCCAGACAATTAGAGTAAGGTTTGGCTTCTACAGCAGAAAGGCACAAAGATACAGTGGTTTAAAGAACAAAGTTTATTTCTCATTCATGTAATAGTCCAAGAAGAGTATTCCAGGCTGCCAGGTGGCTCTGCTCCATGCAGTCATTCAGGGATGCAGGTTCCTTCTAAGTTGGCCCACTATTCCCTAGGGCAGTGCTTCTCAAACTGTATATGGTGAAGAACTAATTTCTTCTTTTTTATTTTTTTGTAAAAAGTAATAAAAATGAATTTCTGAAAAAATAAAAGGAAAAAACCCCAAAGACACAAAATGCAAGCCTACACTGTTTTGTTATTAGATATAATAGCCATAATATTACTTACTTAAATTTCTGTAAAAGTTACTAACTTCACCCTCTCAATTTCTGTACTTACCTCTTTGTGGACTGGTGCTAGAAACCCTTTGAGAAGGACTGGTCTGAAGCTTTGTCATCATCCCCATGGTTGAAGCTGGGTTGCCATCATGTTCAGGTGACAGTCATGGGAAAAAGAACAGAGGGTGGACAAGGCCCCATAACACCCCATGATTATTTTTATAGTTTTAGTCAGGCTTATTGAGGCATAATTTACATAAATTTCCCTTTTAAGATGCACAGAGGTATGAGTATTGACAAATTGTGAAATTACTAAGACATAGACATAGAACATTTCCATTACCCCCCAAAATTCTCTCTCGCTCCATTTTAAATTAATCTCCTCCTCTTCTTGTTTCTGGAAATTGCTAATCTGGTTTCAGTCCCTACAGTTTTGCGTTTTCTAAACACCATATAAATGGAATCATACTGTATTTCGCATTTTGAGTCTGCCTTTTTTAAAACCTAGAATAATGCTTAATTCATGTTTTTTGTATGTATCAAGAAATTGATTTTAATTGGGTATATAATAATTTCTTTATATATTATGTTGACAGGCACCTGGGCTCAACTAGGATAGTATGAATAAAGGTGATGTAATCATTTGCATCAGGCCTTTGTGTGAACATGTTTTCTTTTAGCTTATGTCCCTAAGAGTGAGATTTCAATGCCATATGGTAAATGTATGTTTAATGTCAAAAGAAACTGTCAAACTATTCCAAAGTGGGAATAGTACTCCCACCAGGAATATATGAGAGTTTGAATTGTTCTGCACTCTAGGCAGCACTTGGTATTGTCAGTTTTTCTAATTTTAGCCATTCTAGGAATTGTGTGATTGTGATATATCATTGTTGTCTGAACTTGCATTTCCCTAATTGTGTTGAGCATATTTTCATGGGTTCATTTGCCAACCTTATCTCTTCTTTGGAGGAGAGGACAGTTTTAATTTTTTTTTTGCCAAATTTTAAATTGGGTTGTTTGGGTTTTTTGTTGTTGATTTGTGAGAGTTCTTTATATATTCTGGATACCAGTCCTTTATTAGAATGTGTTTTGCCCATATTTTCTCCCAGTCTATAGCTTATCATTGTTAACTATCATTGTTAACTTCCTTAACAATGTCTTTTGAAGAGCAGACATTTAAAATTTTTTATAAAATACAATTTTCAATTTTTTTTTCTTTATGGCTCATGACTTTTTTTTTTTTTGAGACAGGATCTTGCTCCATCACCCAGGCTGAAGTGCAGTGGCATGATCATAGCTCGCTGTACTCTTGAACTTCATAGTTCACTGTACCCTTGGATTTCTGGGCTCAAGTGATCATCCACCTTAGCCTCCCAAGTAACTAGGACTATATGCATGTGCCATCACACCTAATTTTTATTTTATTTTATTTTATTGTCAGGGTCTCACTATGTTGCCCAGGTTCTTTTGTGTTTTATTTAAGAACTGTCTGCCTAACCCCAGGTGGCAATGGTTTTTCCAATGTTTTCCTCTAAAAGTTTTACAATTTTAAGTCTTACATTTTGAGATAATTTTGTCTATGGTGTGAGGTATAAGATTTGTTTTTATTTCATGTGGCTATCTAACAGTATTTTAGCATCATTTGTTGTAAACACTATCTTTTCTCAGTTGAATTACCTTGGTACCTTTGTCTAAAATCAATTGTCCATATATATGTATGTTTATTTCAGAATTATTTATTTGGTTTCTTTTATCTCTGAGACTATCCTTTCACAAATACCACACCATCTTGAAATCAGGTGGTGTGTATCATCCAACTTTTTTCTTGCTTTCCAAAACTGTAGCTATAGATGGCTATGTTGTGTGCAAATAACGACAGCTTTTTTTCCTTCCTTTCAAATGTGTATGACATTTATTTCTTTTTATTGATTTATTCCACTGACAAAACTCTCAATACAATTTTGGATAAGAGTTATGAGAGCAGAATTCCTTGTCTTGTTCTTGATTTTAGTGGGAAAACATTCAGTCTTGGAGTATGATATGAGTTGAAGGTTTTTCATACATGTCATCTATTGTGTTGATAACAATTTCTAGTTTGTTGAGATATTTTTCTTTTCATGAATAGATGCTGAATTTTGTCAGATGATTTTTCTGTATCTATTGTAGAGATTATACTGTGTTTCTCTTTTAGTCTGTTTATAGGATATGCATTAATTAATTTCAAATGTTGAAATAAATTTGCATTCTTAGGATAAACCCCACTTAGTCATGGTACATTTAACCTTTTATATACTGCTGGATTTGATTTACTGCTATTTTATTGAGGATTTTTACGTATATGTTCATGAAGAATATCATTTATAGCTTTTTTTGCTTGTAATATCTTTGCCTGGTTTTGATATGAGGATAATGCTGGGCTCATAAAATTAGTTAAGAATGCTCTTTCCTCTTCTCTTTTCTGGAGTAATTTCTATAGAATTTATATAATTTCTTACTTAAGTGTTTGATACATGCTACAGACTGAATTGCATCCCCCCAACCCCAATTTGTATGTTGGAAGTCCTAACTCCTAATGTGGCTGTATTTGGAGCTCGGGCCTATAAGGGAATAATTAATGTTAAATGAGGTCATAAGGGTATTGGTCCCAATCTGATAGAATTAATGTCCTTTTGAGACACCAGAGAGCAGCTGTCTCTCCCACTCTCTCTCTCTTTCTCCACAAACACACCAAGAAAAGGCCATGTGAGGACATGGTGAGAAGATTGCTATCTGCAAACCAGGAAACGGGTCCTCATCAGAAATTGAGTCAGCCGGAACCTTGATCTTGAACTTCTAGCTTTGCTTTCAGAACTTTTAGAACATAAATTTGTCTTCTTTAAGTCACTTAGCTTATGGTATTTTGTTCTAGCAGCCGAGGCTGACTAATACAATAGACTTCTTCAGTGAAGCCATCTGGACCTCGAAGTTTCCTTATGGGAAGTATTTGACCACAGATTTCTTTTTCAGATTACCTATTTCTCTGAGATTAAGCTTTTGTAGTCTTTGTTTTTCAAGAAATGTGTTCATTTCATCTAAGTAATCAAATGTATTGGCATAAAGCTCTTTAAAATATTCTCTTATTATATTTATAAGGTCACATGATCTGGAATAATGTTCCATCTTCAATTCTGGATACTGATGACTTATATCTTCACTCTTTTATTGATCAGTTTGGTTAGAAGTTTATCGACTTTGTTGATTATTTTTTAAAAACCAACTTTTGGTTCCGTAAAATTTTTCTGTGGCTTTCTGTTTCCAATTTCACTGAAGTTTGCTCTTGCCTTAATATGTCTGTCTTTCTGCTAGCTTTGAGTCAAATTTTCTTAGTTTTTCCATTTTCTTAAGAAGAAATCTAAATGAATGAGTCCAGATCTTTCTTGTTTTCTAATAAAGCAATTATTAATGCTATGCATTTTCCCCAAAGTACTGTTTTAGCAACTTTCCCAGAATTCTGGCAAGTATTTTCATGTTTTCATTTTTGTTCAATTAAAAGTATTTTCTGATTTTTCTTGTGACTTTTTCTTCCATGATTGGGTTATTTAGGCGTGTGTTGTTTAATTTCTAATTATTTGGATTTTTGAGATTTTTTTTCTGCTATTAATTTCAAGTTTAATTCTACTGTGCCAGAGAATCTACTTTGTATGACTTGAATTTTTTAAAATTTCTTGATATGCCTTTATGGTCCAGAATATGTCTTTCCTGGTGAATATGTTATGTGTGCTTGACAAGAATACATTCTGCTGTTGTTGGGTGGAGTGTTCTACAAATGTCAATTAGATCAAGTTAGTTAATAGTGTTGTTCAGATCTTCTATATCCCCTTACTGTTTTTCTGTCTGCTTTCTTTTTTTTTTTTTTTTTAAGGCAGAGTCTCACTCTGTCACCCAGGTTGGAGTGCAGTGGCACAATCTCGGCTCACTGCATGCTCTGCCTCCAGGGTTCATGCCATTCTCCTGCCTCAGCCTCTGAAGTAGCTGGGACTACAGGCGCCCACCACCATGCCTGGCTAATTTTTTTGTATTTTTAGTAGAGACGGGGTTTCACCATGTTAGCCAGGATGGTCTCGATCTCTTGACCTTGTGATCTGTCCGCCTCGGCCTCCCAAAGTGCTGGGATTACAGGCGTGAGCCACCACACCCAGCCCATTTCTGTCTACTTTCTTTATACATTACTGAGATACTGAGAAATGGGATTTGAAGTCTTTATAGTTGTGGATTTATCTATTTGTTCTTTGAATTGTATAAGTTTTTAAATGTATTTTGGAGGTTCATTGTTAAGTGTTTGCACATTTAGGATTGTATGTCTTCATGGTGAATTGTTCCCTTTATCATTATGTAATGTCTCTCTTTATCCTTGGAAATAATCCTTCTTCTGAAGTCTATTTAGTCTGATATTAATATAGCCATTCTAGCTTCTTTTAATTAGTATTTGCATGGTACACCTTTTTTCTTTCCTTTCCTTTTAATCTGTGTATAACTTCACATTTGAAGTGAATTTCTTGTAGATAGCATGTAAGTGGGTCTTGCCTTTTTGTCCAATGTGATAATCTTTGCCTTTAAGTGTAATTTACATTTAATATAATTATTGATGTGATTGAATTTAAATCTTCTGTCTTCCTAATTGTTTTTGATTTGTCTTATCTGTTCTTTAGTCCTTTTCCCCTCTTCTTTTACCATCTACTTTTAGGTTAATTATTTTTATTATTTCTTTTTATTTCCACTATTGGCTTATTAGTTATACCTTGTTTAAAATTTTTGGTTTACAATATACATTGTTAACTTATGTGAGTCTACCTTCAAAGAATATTATACCACTTCATATAAAGTGAAAGAATCTTTCAAGACTCTACTTCCAATTCCTCCCTCTCATTCTTTGAAATATTTTTGCCATATATTTTACTTTTACATATGTTATAAGCCCCACATACATTGCTATTCATTTTGTTTTATACAATTTAAAGTCACCGAAAATAAGAGAAAAAGGGTCTTTTACATTTATTTTTACCATTTCCTTAACTCTATTTCTTTGTATAGATTCAAGTTTTCATTTGACATCAAAGTTTTATGTATACATACCAAAGTGTTTGTAAAAATTCTCACATGGTCACTCAATACAACGTTTCCACTCTAGTCACCAAATGTGTGCAGGGATTTCTCCCCACCAGCAGACAACTCTGCAGGAGATTCTCCAGCAGACACCAGTTGAGTTTCTTCTAATTCGATTCTGACACTGTCTACCTGGAGATCCCATAGGTTGAGGGATCAGTTCCACAAGACTGCCGCCACTTTAGATGGCAATCACAAGCAGAGGTTGTGAGCCGTACTTCTGACTGACTGGCTATAAATCAGGGTTCCCACAACTCCATCCTTGGGTTTGATTAATTTGCTAGAACAGCTCACAGGACTCGAGAAAATCCCTAGATAACTGGTTTATTAAAAAGTATATTACAAAGGATACAGATGAAAAGCCAGATGGGAAAGATGCTTAGGGTGAGGTATGGGAAAAGGGGTGTAGAACTTCCATGCCCTCTCCTGGTGCACCACCCTCCAGGAAACTCCATATGTCCAGCTAACTAGAAGCCCATCCAAACTCTGCTCTTTTGGGGTTTTATGAAGGATTTATTACATAGGCATTATTGATGACATTATTGGCCATTGGTGATCAACTCAACCTTCAGCCCCTCTTCCCTCCCTGGAGGTTGGTGGGTTGGTCCTGACACTGTATTTATACCTTGGTCTTTCTGATGACCAGCTCCTATCTTGAAGCTGTGTAGGGGCTGCTAGCCACTAGTCATCTCATTAGCATTCAAAAGACACTCTTATTCCTCTGTAGATTCCAAGGGTTTTAGGAGCTATGTGTCAGGAAAGAGGGACAAAGACCAAATATGTATTTAACAATATCACAAAACTTATTCTTCTCCAAGATCTTTCCTTAAAATTTAATGTAGCACTGGTCTTCTGGCAATAAATTTTCACTGCTTTTGTTTGTCTGAAAAAGGTCCTTATATGCCTTCAGTTTGGAAAGGGTTATTTTCTCTGGTGGGTATAGAATTCTGGGTTCATAGTTATTTTCCTTCAGCACATTATGGTATCACTCTATTGTCTTTCGGCTTGCATAATTACTGATGATAAAAGTGTCATATTTGTTATCTTTATTAATTTGTATTCAGTGTGTCTTTTTGTCCTTTGGTTACCCTCAAGATTTTTGCTTTATCTTTGGTTTTCAGCAGTTTGACTATAATTACAACGTGTCTAGTTTTTTCTGTTTTGTTTTGTTTGAGACAGGGTCTTACTCTGTTACACAGCTAGAGTGCAGTGGCACAATCATAGCTCACTGTAGTCTCGAAATCCTGGGCTCAACCAATCTTCCTTCCTCAGCCTCCCAAGTAAGGACTACAGGCATGTGCCACTGTGCTAGTCCATTTTTGCATAGCTATAAAGAAACACCTAAGGCTGGGTAGTTTATAAAGAAAATTGATTTATTTTGGCTCATGGTTCTGCAACTATACAGGAAGCATGGTGCTGGTATCCGCTTCTGGTGAGCCCTCATGAAGCTTATAATCATGGTAGAGGGTGAAGGAGGAAGCAGTGTATCACATGGTGAGAATGGGAACAAGAGAGACAGCAGGGAAGTGCCATACTCTTTTAAGCAACCACATCTCATGTGAACTCACTCATTACTGTGAGGATGGCACCAAGCCATTCATGAGGGATCTGCCCACATGATCCAAGCACCTCCTACTGGCCACACCTCCAACACTGGGGATTACAATTCAGATTTGGAGGGGACAGACATCCAAACCATTAACCGCCACACCTAAAGTTTGTTTGTTTGTTTTTTAACTTGTTCTCTTTGGAGTTTCTCTGAGGTTGTTGAGTCTGTGCTACGAAGTCTTCCATTATTTTCAGAAAATTCCAAATCATTATGTCTTCAAGTACTTCTTCTGCTCTGTTCCTTCTTTCTTCTTTTGGGACTCCAGTTACATGTATGTTAAACTATTTTCTATTTTTCCACATTTTTTCAATGTTCTGCTCTGAACACTGAACTACCCCACTCTTTTTTTCGTTGTGTTTCAGTTTTGATAAAGTCTGTTGACCTATCTTCAAGGTTACAATCTTTCCTCGGCTTTCCAGGTTACTGCTGAGCTCATCAAATACATTTTTTATCTTGGATATTCTATTTTATTTACTAGCATGTTAATGTAACTCTTTCTTATAGTTTCCATTTCTCTGCTGAAATTCCCCATCTGTTCAAACATGTTGCCCATCATTTCCAACAGAGTTTTAAAATATTTATCATGGCTATTTTAAATTTCCTATCTGAAAATTCTAACATCTAGGCTTAATGTCTAGGCTGCATCTGAGTCTGGATCTGTTGATTACTTTATTTCTTGGGAGTAGGTTGTTTCTTATTCTTTTTGAGTGTGTCTTGTGATTTTTGATTAATGTTGAGCATCATAGGTAGAGGAACAGTAGAGCTTGAGGCATAATGTTATGCCTGGACATGCCACTATTTTTGTTATGCAGTTAATATGTAAGGAGGGGTGGGTGTTCAGTCAGTCTAGTCAGGAGCTGAGCTTAGTTTGTTTTCTTCTAGTTATTATTATCTTCAGTGGGATTAGTTTGTTCTCATGCTGCTAGGAAGAACTGCCCAAGACAGGGTAATTTATAAAAGAAAGAGGTCTAATTGACTCACAGTTCTGCATGGCTGGGGAGGCCTCAGGAAACATATAATCCTGGTGGAAGGGGAAGCCAATACATCCTTCTTCACATGGCAGCAGGAGAGAGAAATGCCAAGCAAAGGGGGAAAAAGACCCTTATGAAACTATCAGATCTCATGAGAACACACTCACTGTCATGAGAACAGTGTGGGGGAACTGCCCCCATGATCTAATCACCTGACATGAGGTCCTGTCCCCAACACATGGGGATTACAATTCAAGATAAGATTCTGAGTGAGGACACAGGCAAACCGTATCATTCCACCCCAGTCCCTCCCAAATCTCATGTCCTCACATTTCAAAACACAATCATTCCCTTGCAACAGTAGTCCCTCAAATTCTTAACTCATTCCAGCGTTAACCCAAAAGTCAAAGTCCACAGTCTCATCTGAGACAAGGCAAGTTCCTTCTGCCTATGAGCCTGTAAAATCAAAAGCAAGTTAGTTACTCCCTAGATACAATCTGGGTACAGGCATTGGGTAAATACACCCATTCCAAATGGGAGACATTGGCCAAAACAAAGGGGCTACAGGCCCCATGAGAGTTCAAAATTCAATAGGGCAGTGATTAAACCATAAAACTCCAAAATGATCTCCTTTGACTCTATGTCTCACATTCAGGTCACACTGATGCAAGAAGTGGTCTCCTTTGGCCTTGGGCAGCTCTGCACCTGTGACTTTGCAGGGTACAGCTCCCTCCCAGCTGCCTTCACAGGCTGGCATTGAGTGCTTGTGGCTTTTACAGGCACACAGTGCAAGCTGTCAGCGGATCTACCATTCTGGGGTCTGGAAGCTCCACTAGGCAGTGCCCCAGTGGGGACTCTGTGTGTGGGCTCTGACCCTAGATTTCCCTTTCACACTGCCCTAGCAGAAGTTCTCCATGAGGGCTCTGCCCCTGCAGCAAACTTCTGCCTGGACATTCAGGTGTTTTTGTACATCCTCTGATCCTCTAGGTGGAGGTTTCCAAACCTCAGTTCTTGACTTCTGTGCACCCACAGGCTCAACACCCCATGGAAACCACCAAGGCTTTCACCCTCTGAAGTAATGACCTGAGCTGTACCTTGGCCCCTTTTAGCCACAGCTGGAGTGAAGCAGCTGGGATGCAGGCATCATGTCCTGAGGCTGCACAGAGCGTGGGGGGACCCTGGGCCCTGCTCACAAAACCATTTTTCCTTGCTAGGCCTCTGAGCCTGTGATGAAAGGGGCTGCTGTGAAGGTCTCTGACATGGCCTGGAGACATTTTCCCCATTGTCTTGGTGATTAACATTTGCCTCCTCGTTACTTATGCAAATTTCTGCAGCAAGCTTGAGTTTCTCCCCAGAAAATGGGTTTTTCTTTTCTATTGCATGGTCAGGCTGCACATTTTCCAAACTTTTATGCTCTGCTTCCTCATGAATGCTTTTCTGCTTAGAAATTTCTTCTGCCAAATACCCTAAATCATCTCTCTCAAGTTCAAAGTTCCACAAATCTCTAGGGCAGGGGCAAAAAGCTGCCTCTCAGTCTCTTTGCTAAAGCATAGCAAGAGTGACCTTTACTCCAGTTCCCAAAAAGTTCCTCGTCTCCGTCTGAGACCACCTTAGCCTAGAGTTCATTGTCTATATCACTGTCAGGATTTTGGTCAAAGCCATTCAACAAGTCTCTAGGAGGTTCCAAACTTTCCACATTTTCCTGTCTTCTTCTGAGCCCTCCAAACTGTTCCAACCTCTGCCTGTTATCCAGTTCCAAAGTCGCTTCCACATTTTCATAACTTTACAGCAGTGCCCTACTCCTGGTACCAATTTACTGTATTAGTCCGTTCTCACACTGCTATGAAAAACTGCCTGAGACTAGGTAATTTATAAAGGAAAGAGCTTTAATTAACTCACAGTTCTGCATGGCTGGGGAGGTCTCAGGAAACTTACAATCATGGTGGAATAGGAACCAAACATGTCCTTCACATGACAGCAGGAGAGAGAAGTGCCAAGTGAAGGGGGAAAAAGCCCCTTATAAAATCATCATATCTCATGAGAACTCACTCACTATCATAAGAACAGCATGGGGGAACTTCCCCCATGATCTAATCACATCCCATGAGGTTTCACCTCTAACATATGGGGATTACAATTTGGATTACAAATCAAGATGAGATTTTGAGTGGGGATACAGCCAAAGCATATCAAGTGCACCACACGCTTCCAATCCCGTCAGCAGTGGACTGTTACTATGTTCTTTCATTAGAGTGGGATGAGGGGGATGCAAGAGGTTTTTGTTTTTGTTTTTTTTTTTTCTGTTCTCCCTCAGCTTTCAACTATTCTTGGCTGCCTGTGCTCCAGGGGGGCATCTCTATCCATACTCTTGTTCCTCTTCCAGGACTAGACTGATGTTGCTTATTACTCAATGTTAGGCTCATAACAGCATCCAGCCTCAGTCTTTGGCAAGTCCTAGGCATCTTGGCTTCATAATTAAAGATTTCCAGCACCATACCTGCCTGGCAGGCAAACCCTATCTTGGTTGTTCTGAGGAAGGAAGGAATTTCCTTTTTCTCTCCCTTCAGAGTAGCAGACTTTGTTTGGTATTGGTACAGGATCCTTACCCTTCCCCCAGGAAATACGGTGTTTGCCTCTACTTCTCCTCTAGCAGCAATTGATCTTTGCCTTTGTCCTGAGGTTGAGATAATTTCCTACACCTCTACAAGAAGCAGGTGGATTTTGTTTCTATTTCTCCATAGAACCAATAGGTATATGCCTATATTCTAGGGAAGATAGTTTACCTTCTTCAGTGGCTTAATGTGTCTGCTTAAAGGATAGAAATCTCTGGGAAAATGAGTGGGGTTTGTGCCTATTCCCAAGCAGAAATCACTTCCTAAACTCCTTTACCACCAGAGGAACTTCCAGTCTTCTGTTCTGACCTGATCTTTCTTGTGAATACCTGATGAAGGCTCATGGATAACAGCTTGCAAGTAGGTGTGTGCTCCCCTGTTCCAAACTGACACCCTAGCCCTAACTTGGTGTTAAAAATTTTATTAAAATTTTAGTTGATTTATTCTTACCTACCTTAAGCCACCTCTTTCTCTTGTGCTTTGACTGAGGTGAAACAGTCAACATGCCCTGTCTCCCCTGGTCAGGGGGGCTTTCCCATCTTTGTAATTTAATCAATTTGTGACCTCAGCTTTCTTGTTGGCTCAAGAAAAGTAATGATTTTGTAGATTATCTGGATTTTCTCATTTTTAGAGTAAGAGTGATTTTCTTTGAGCTTCTTACATTTTACATGAAAGTTCAAGTTTCCACCATTGTCTTAGTCTAAGTTTCAGAAATGGCTCACATTTCTACTCATGACCCAGTGAAAAGGGCCCAGTCACATGGTCATGCCTAATTGCAAAGGATTCTGGGAAATATAGTCTAGTCATGTGTCCTAGAATAAGTAAAGAAGAGATTTCAGTGAATACCCAGCAGCCTCAGTCCCCAGGCTCCAAACAAGTGAAATCTAAAATAACTCTGTGGCTGGGCACTGTGGCTCATGCCTATAATCTCAGCAATTTAGGAAGCTGAGGCAGGAGGCTTGCTTGAGCCCAAGAGTTTGGGACCAGCCTAGGCAACATAACAAGACTGCATCTCTACAAGAAAAAAAAAAAAAAAAAAGCCAGGTGGGGTGGCATGTCCCTGCAGTTCCAACTACTTAGTAGGCTGAGGTAGGCTGAGGTGGGAGGATCACTTGAGCCTGGGAAGTGAAGGCTGCAGTAAGCTGTGATATTGCCACTGCACTCCCAGCAGATAGAGACCCTGTCTCAAAAACAAAAACAAAACAAAACAAAAATGATTCTGGGCTTGGAGCAATTATGAATCACTGGCTCCATCCTTGGTGTTAGCCCTGTTGAGATGGTAAGAAATCTGAAGAGAACAAGGTGCTTTGGGCACCTCTGAGTTGGCTGTGGCTGAAACAAAAGTGAGTGGTCAGTTCCTTTGGCCACCTTCCTGAGGTGACGGCTGGTTCTCTACTGTATCTCTCCCCCTCCCATACCCACAAGGCTGTCTGCCTGCAGAGTTATAGCCTTCTCCCTTCAGGGAAAATGGCTGGGACCAGATGAAAGATCGAATAAAGTCAACTTATTTCTCCTTGGCCTGAACTACCTAAGTCCTCCCTAGGAAGACTGGGAACTATTTCAGTGATTCTCCAGTCAAGTTGTGAATTGCACCAAAGCACCGCATGAATAATGGCATATAAGTTCTGGGGATTATTAGAGGTCTTAGGGGGCTTGGAGCTGCCTCTTGGGCTTAAGAAATCTGAAGTCCCTTAGAAACTGACATGTTCACAGTGTATACAATAATCAGGAAGGTGACTGAGTGTGATAAGAGCCCAGAGGAAGTTGGAATGACTAAGTCTGCCTAGGATATCTGAAGAGGCTTCACAGAGGAAAAAGCACTGGAGCTGCAGTTTGAAGGATGAGTGAGGGCCTGGGGATAGCCAGATAGGAGACAAGTGGGTAGAAGACATAGAGTCATGAAAGGCCCTGCTGTGTTTGGTGGGTGGTGAGAGGGCTCTTGTGGTCCTGGCCTAGGTGATATGGAGAGGATGGGTGAGTATACAAGCTAAGGCAGCTGGATTCAGTTCTAGGAAGAGCCAGGTGTAGTTATGTGGTACAGCATATTTTGATCAGATTTCTTTGAGGAAAAGACTATGAACAGATTTCAGATATAGACTACCTTGTTTTTTTGAATCTCCCAGAAGCAGACCCTGAGATGAGGAATTGAGCAGGTAGTTCTCATTTGGAACTGAAGCTGAAGGGGTGGCAATACAGTTTGGATGTTTGTCCCCTCCAAATCTCAGATTGAAATGTAATCCCCAGTGTTGGAGGTGGGGCCTGGTGGGAGGTGTTTGGATCACGGGGGTGGAGCCGTCATGAATATCTTGGTGCTGTCCTCATGGTAATGAGTACATTCTTGCTCTGAGTTCATGTGAGATCTGGTTGTTTAAAAGCGCATGGCACCTCCTCCTCACTGTCTTGCTCACGCTCTCTTGTTCTCTCTCTCACCACATGATGGGTCTGCTCCCGCTTTGCCTTCTGCCTTGAATTAAAGTTCCCTGAGGCTTCACCAGAAACCGAGCAGATGCTGGTGCCATGCTTTGTGACCAGCCTGCAGAACTGTGAGCCAATTAAACCTCTTTTCATTATAAATTATCCAGCCTCAGGTATTCCTTTATGGTGATGCAAAATAAACTAACACAGGTGGCCACTTTCTCAGTCCTGCTGTCCTCATGTGGAAAGCAGAGTCTGGAGAAAGCAGAGGTGGAGACAAAGACAAACTGTACAAATGCAAGGAAAGCATCTGCTTGGATGTGGCATAGCTTACGTGCACTCACAATCCATTAGCCAAAGCCAGTCCCATTACCAAGGCCAGAGTCACTGGGACAGGAAGGACTATCAGCCTACATAGGAGTGCATGGTAAAAGTAGGGGAAGGAACCAACAATTGTGAACAATAGTACAATCTACCAAGTTCATATGCTGGCTATGCAGGAGGTGTTCAGTTTGTGTCAGGATGAGTTTAACCTAATAGAAGCAAGCAGCATACAATTAAGGGCCAAGTGCAGTTCTTTAGACAGAGCGAAGATCAAATTTGAGTCAATGAAACAGTGTATACTCTGGTTCTCCTTTTTGCTTGTATCTCAGAGACTTGAGACCACTTTGGCATAAACTGGATGCATGTTTCCCCTTACTCTCAAGACCAGAAGATGACATCTGTCAATGACACAGTGGTCTTCATCTGAACAAGACAGTGACCTTAGAAGACAAACAGTACCCTGCCAAAATGGATGGCATAAGCTCAGCCATCTGAAACCCCAACATCTAGTTTTACCATCCTGCCTTCAGGGTTGCCTGGCTTCTGGCCATTAGCCCAGTAAGCAGCAGGTAAACTCAGTGCTTGAGCTGAGAGTTTGTCCTGAGCCTCTCTGGGAAGTGACAGCTCCTAAAGAGAGATATACTTAGGCATATTACTGGCTTATGGCCATTGCAGGCAACTGGTAAAACTTACCAGGAGCATCTTCTGTGCTAAAATCTTCACCATTGGTCTCTTTGGTGTTGAACTTTGCAGCCTTGATTCCCTGCTTGGCTGAGGTTGGAGCAACTGCATACATATTTTCTAAAAAAAAGTCTAGGACTGACTGGTAAAATGTATGGGGCTTTCTAGAGAGATGTGGATTTGTGGAGACTGATTTTTCACAAGAGGATGCCACCAGGTTCTTAGCTCTGTTGGTTCTGCAAACTGATACCCCAGGTCTTTGCCAGAGAACTCACCCTTAAACCCTCTCAGGCTAGTTCTCTCCTACCTAAGTGAGAGAATAGGGTGAACGTGCCCTTTTCCTCATTCAGCAAAAGGCCCTAGAATGGCAGCTGTGGCCCTGCCTCCTGCTATGATCCAGCTTACTCCTGTGTTAGACTGGGGCTTGAAGCTAAGCCCCAGCTTTTCACTCAGCTGCACTTCATTTTTATTCCTTGAGAGATAATTGAAACCACAGCAGGAGCACTGAAGCCAGTTTCCCTAGGTTCAAATCCCAGCTTCGTGGGTTACTAGCCATGTTATCTTAGGTAAGTTCTTTGATTGTGCCTCACTTCCCTCATCTGTAAAATGGAGATAATTATATTATCAACCTCATGGGTGGAAGAATTAAATAAGTTACTATGTGTGGTTTGTTTGGAGCAGTGCACAGAATACAGGGTAAGTGCTACGTAAGGGCTAACTAGGGTGGCAAGGATGGGTTGGTGATACTGAGGGCATTGGCCGTGACACCACAAGTCCCTTCCCCTACCCTTGCCATAAATTTTCTTTGGGGCATTTATCTTAGGCCCCGATTCAGACAAAGTTGTGGTTCTCTTGAGCACCAACCTGTCTTTTTAGCTCATGGACACTGTTACGGTTTGGCTGTTTCCCTACACAAATCTCATGTTGAATTCCCATGTGTTGTGGGAGGGACGTGGGAAGTAAGGTCTTCCCCGTGCTGTTCTCATGATAGTGAGTAAGTCTCATGAGATCTGATAGTATGAGGAGGAGTTTTCCTGCACAAGCTCTCTCTTTGCCTACTGCCATCCATGTAAGACATGACTTGCTCCTCCTTGCTTTCTACTATGGTTGTGAGGCTTCCCAGCCACGTGGAACTGTAAGTCCAATTAAACCTCTTTTTTTTTTTAAAAAAAAATTGCCCAGTCTCAGGTATGTCTTTATCAGCAGTGTGAAAACAGACTAATACAGACCCCGAGACTCATGTTTCTATCTTTGTTTTAGGTACTAAAATGAGCATTTCAGGCAAAATTACCCATTTGTAGAGGGCTTTCTGGGATAGGTTCTGTATCCACATTGCTCCTACTTCAAATCCTTGAAGCCATCCTTGATTCCTCTGTTTCTTTCATGCTCAACAACAAATCCTGGTGTTTCTATCTTCAAAGTGTGTCCTGGTTCTGACCACTTTTCATCAGCTTTGCACCATATACTCCTTTCTACAGGACTAATGGTCAACTGCTTAGTTAGGTCCCTGATTCTGCCCTGGCTCCAGCATCTATCATCCGTATAACAACCAGTGTAGCCTTTAAAAATATAAGGTAATTCATAGCACACCTTTGTTTTCAGCCCTCCAATCACCTTGAGAAAAAACCTGAAGTCCTTATAATAGTTTACAAGGCTCACCGTGATTTGACTGTGCACCCCATCTGTATTAGTCAGTTTTCATGCCGCTGATAATGTCATAGCTGAGACTGGGCAATTTACAAAAGAAAGAGGTTTAATTGGACTTACAGTTCCATGTGGCTGGGGAAGCCTCACAATCATGGTGGAAGGCAATGAGGAGGAAGTCATGTCTTACATAGATGGCAGCAGGCAAAGAGAGGGAGTTTGTGCAGGGGAACTCCTCTTTTTGAAACCATCAGATCTCATGAGACTTATTCACTGTCATGAGAATGGAAAAGACTTGCCCCCGTGATTCAATTACCTCCCACCCGGTCCCTCCCACAACACCTAGGAATTCAAGAAGGGATTTGGGTAGGGACACAGCAAAATGATATCACCATCTCTCTGTCCATGCTTGCCCATGGCTTGCCCTCTGTTCCAGCCATGTCAGCCTCCTTGCTGCCCCTCTAATACACTGCATGGCCAGGGCTTTCCCCTTGCTGGGCCTTCTCCCTGGGATGCTCCCCTCACCAGAGATATTGGCATGACTTCCCCACTCCCTGTCTTCATCCAGTCCTTTGCTTAAATGTAACTACATTCAAAGACCTTCCTTGACTACCTTTTCTAAAACAGCAACCATTCTCCCACTCTGGCATTCCAGAGTCACCTTCTTTTACTTTATTTTTTCTCCTCAGAACTTACCACAATCTTTCATAAATTTATTTTGCCTTTCCCCACTAGAATGAAAGCTCCTTTGGGCCAAGAACTTTGTCTGTCTTGGTTACTCCAGTGCCTGGAAAGGTGCTCAGCACATAGTAGGGGCTTGATGAGGAGTCACTAAAGAAATAAGAGAATGGGTGGAATCTTTATTTTACTAGTTCGTCCTAATCTTCCCTTCCCTGCTTTCACAAAGGCTTGGAAGCAGTGTATACAAATATATATGTTGGCTGGGTGTGGTGGCTCACGCCTGTAATCCCAGCACTTTGGGAGGCCGAGGGAGGTGGATCACCTGAGGTCAGGAGTTCAAGACTAGCCTGGCCAACATGGTGAAACACTGTCTCTACTAAAAGTACAAAAAACTAGCCGAGCATGGTGGTACACATCTGTACACCCAGCTACTTGGGTGGGTGAGGCAGGAGAATTGCTTGAACCCAGGAAGCAGAGGTTGCAGTGAGCCAAGCTCATGCCATTGCACTCCAGCCTGGGCAGCAGAGTGAGATTCTGTCTCAAAAAAAAAACAAAAGCCAATAAATACATATGTTAAACCAGGGCAAAAATAAATGTAGAGATAAAGGTAGAGAATGAAGAAGCCTTCTGAAGTGCCTCCTGGTTGCTTAGTGGAAGACTATGTGGAGGATAGAGACATGGCTGTCAGCAGGGAGGTCTATGTTCTATCATTGTTTAGGATATTTTAGTAACCAGCCTGCTCTTCTCCTACTCCCACCCCACCCCTGATCCCCTACCCCACCCCCTACCTCCACAGGTGCCTGTGGATGAATGAGAGTTTGCTGCAGGAAGAAAGAGGTCCCTGAGGTGGGGATAAGCATTTTTAATCACTTTTCTTCTTTTCCCCTATTTGAGAACTCCAAGAGCTGCACATATATGCTTACTTCCTTAGAAGAATAGAATTAACCGGCGGGAGTAGAGATACCCCCCACCAACGATGTTGTTAAAGACGTTTCTTTTTGGAAAGGTGCTCTGGGTCCTGGAAAGGTGCTCTGGGTCATACATCTTGAGTTGTGAGCCTATTGTGACAACAAACTTGAGGATACGGTTTGCTATGTTCAGTCTCAGTGGTACATGTCTTCCCCCCTGCTTCCAGTGCTGCACATATGCAGCTGTATGAGGCAAAGCTCCTGCTCCAGCTGTTTGCCAGTGCTTTCCCCTAGGATCTTGGACAATAATCAGGACACAATCTGTTGCTCTCTTCCCCTGTCCCAGACACGTGTGCCAATATTACGGCTGGACTCTCCATAGGAGACTTGCCGTTCTTGAATCTGGCCCGTGCCCTTCAGAAAGCTACAGCGAGTCACTTCCAAGCATCCTAGGCAAGGGAGAGCAGAAAATCTGATGCAGACCATTTTGCTGTTTGCGCTAGGAAAACAGAAGACACAAAGCTAGTCAAATGAATCAATTCTGAGACAGACAACAGAGTGAGACCCTGGGCTGGGTTATTTTAGAGACACAACTTTTTCCTTGGAGCTTTTAGCAGAAGAGATTTGAAGATTTTCTTGAATGACTTTGTCTCTCTGGGGGCACTTAGAGAAAGCATTCAACTTCCAGAACCTTCTGCAAAGTAGCCTTTGTGTCTGAAGGAGGGTGCCTTGCCAATGGCTGGGCTTAGTGATGCCTTCAGGGACCTAGTGTATGGATCTGTGGATCCAACTCATCATGATAACATGTGAGGAGGGAAAATGCTTCCATAAGTAGAACCTGCTATCAGTGACTGTACTCTGGCCCTCTGCTTCTATGTGCCTCCTAAACAAATATATTTTCTCTATAAATATCATTCACTGTACCAGCTTTGTGTTCAGGACACATTTTCCTGAACCCATTCCCATCTTCCTCTGTACCCTTGCCACCAAATCACTATATTCATGAAAAGAAGAATCCAGTGGGGAAAAAAAAGATTTTTTTTTTTTTTTTTTTTTTTGACACAGGGTCTTACTCTGTCATCCAGGTTGGAATGCAGTGGTGCCATCAGGGCTCACTGCAGCCTCTACCTCCCTGGGCTCAGGTGATCCTCCCTCCTCAGCCTACTGGGTAGCTGGGACCACAGGTGCACACCACCATGCTGACTAACTTTTGCATGTTGTCCACAGTAGTCTTGAACTCCTGAGCTCAAGTGATCCACATACCTGGGCCTCCCAAAGTGCTGGGATTACAGACATGAGCCACCATTCCTGGCTGAGATCTGGTCTTAACAATGTGGGGTAACTTGTGAGCTGAGGAAATAGTAAAAGCATTTTAGGAACTACCTCTTGTAATTACTCACATTCTAAAATTTTAAAACAAAAACTGCTACTAGCTGATGCTGTTAGCTAATTGTCAGACAACAGACAAACACACTGCAGCCAGAAAAATCCCCACTGAGTTTGGGCAGCTGATTTCTCTGGCATCAAATGAAAGCTTTAGCTATTGCCCCTGAGGCCTGGCTGAGCAAGCCCTGCACCCGAGCCCTCCCTCTGTGTGCCCCCCCTTCCCCACCACTATGGGCCGGAGCGGGTGTTAAGTGTGTGTGTGTGTGTGTGTTGGGGGGATGGGGGTTGAGAAGAATGCAGGCACCCTAGCTCACAATCTTAGGCAGCTACACACCCCACTCAGGACACCACACCAGCATGATTCATCCCACACCTCACAGCCAGGGTGAACTCGGCCTCAATGGACAACAATTTGGAGGCATTGTTTACAAATTAATTTCCCCCTCTAAATAGGCTGTTATAAGAGTGGACCCTTCTGCTTGCCTAGCCTAGGCCCACCTGTCACTGGGACTTCCTAACCAGTGGTCACACTGTATTGATCTTTTTAATCCCCTCTCTTTGAAACACAGAGCCAGCTGATGTGGAGTTCCTCAAAAGAAAGACTCTCCCACTGCCCCTACCTCAACAGGTAGCTGCGGATCCGGGGCTAATTCCCTACTAAAAAGTCTTAATTGGCTTATGGGGAGCCTGAAAGATCTCCCTTGTGTTTACAAGGTGAAAGGAATGATAGATCCCAAATGCCCTAGTCTGTCTTTATCCATTTCTTGGTGGAAATCAGGTGCGTTTTATTTTTTAATTGTTTTTGAAACAGGAACAGAGGCTTTGGAGGTGAGTGGGATAGTGTTTCACTTTAGTGGTTGAGCCAGCAGGGAAAAGCAAGAAAAGCCCCAGAGACACTAATATTAGGCAAGAAACTTGGCGACTTATTTTTAGTTTTTATTTACATGAAGCGTCTGCAGTACAAAAATGTAAACTTTGATAGCTCATAATAGAATAAACTCTTTATGTACAAAAATACATTTTCATATGAATGAAGCATCTTGAATAAATTAAAGTACTCTCCAGCCCTGTGCCTGAATAGCTAAGCAAGAGTCTCCAGTTCTTCCTAGAGCGAGTCTGCAGTGGTGGGGGTCGGGATCCATAATGCATGAAGCCCACTCCTTGTCTCTGCTTTTTAAGCCTTTTCATTGTATTGTCAGCCGGCTCAAACCGAATTTTCATGCTCGTTTTTCTTCATTAGAGTTCTACAAATTGTAAAATTGACTTTTCACCTCGTCTTCAGGGGCTGATCTGTCCCTTTTCTAAATCACACTGAAGTGGTGGCTGGGGTCAGTTCTGAGCCAGTCACAAAGGAGGTTTTGTGGAGTTCAGAAAGTGCAAAAGGAAAGGCCGTCTAGGGGCGGGCAGGAGGGGCGCTGGGCTGAGGGCCGGAGAAACAGACCAAGAGACATCCGCCGCGAGGGTGCGGCGACCTAACAAGCGGCTCAGGTATCCCCGACTGCTTTAAAGCTCCCGCTTCCTCCCTCCGCCTGGAGAGGGGGTCCCGAGGCGGCAGCTGGGGCCCCATCTATTGCCTGCTGACTAGGGGAGGGGGAAAGTAACAGTGTCTACAAAGGGCCTAGTGGTAAGGAATGAAACAGGGCGTTGTGTGGAGCAAGTCTTTGGGCAGGCTTGGGAAGGAGAAAACAGGGTCGCCGGGGCGGTAGGTGAAGTCTTCGGAGGCGGCTGGGCTACTGGGGTCAGAGAGCGGGGAGGCGGCGGCGGCACCTGAGCCCCAGGACTCCGCGTCGCTGGCGGGGCTTGGGGGACCGGGCAGGCAGGGGACGCACTGCGGCGGCAGGAGGCGCTCCCGGGCACCGCCTCCGGGCAGCCCTTGATCCGCCAGGCGCAGTGTCTCGGCCAGAGCCCAGATGTAGTTGTAGGCGAAGCGCAGCGTCTCGATTTTGGTGAGCTTGGTGTCGTCGGGGAACGAGGGCAGCACGCTGCGCAGTGCGTCCAGGGCCGCGTTCAAGTTGTGCATGCGGTTGCGCTCGCGATCGTTGGCCTTGACGCGCCGGCTCCTGCGCAGCGAGTGCAGCAGCGCCTCGGAGCGGACCCGCGTCCGGCCGCGGCGCCGCCGCCTCTCCTGCTCGTCGTCCTGTGCCCCTGGAACCTCAGACGCCCGGGAGATATTGGGCGCGCCCCTGCGGGCCGGCGCGGGCGGCCCCGAAGCGGAGGCTGCCTGTTGGAGTCTGGCACAGTCTTCCTCGTCGGTGAGGAAGCCGGATAGGTCACTGCCGCTGCTGCTGGCGCAGTCGAGGTCGGAGATGCAGGTCTCAAGGCGGGCTGGCATCGTTGCGCTGTGCAGGACCGACGGACAGATAGAAAGGCGCTCAGAGCGCTGCAGCCCGGACTGAGGGCAGAGCCGCCAGGGCGCACTTACGTTCCCAACAGCCTGGGGTTGTTACTCTGTGCCAGTTGCGGGTGCGAGAGCCTGGAAGGGTGCAGGGGCGCACGGAGAACTTGGCCTGGCCTCCTCGCCTCGCCTGCAGGGGCCACGCGCCCGGCCGGTCTCCTGAGTGATGTCGCCGGCGATCAGATCAGCTCGTGTGAGCACCGAGTGTGGCACACGACTGGCCTCAGGACCCCTTAAGTACCCGGCGCAACAATGGGCGCCCCCCTCCCTTGCCACCTCCGCCCCCGCGGCAGCCCGGGTGAATGGAGCGAGGCGGCAGGTCATCCCCGTGCAGCGCCCGGGTATTTGCATAATTTATGCTCGCGGGAGGCCGCCATCGCCCCTCCCCCAACCCGGAGTGTGCCCGTAATTACCGCCGGCCAATCGGCGGCGTCGCGCGGCCCCGGGAGTCGGCTCGGGCTAAGCTGGCCAGGGCGTCTCCAGGCAGTGAAACAGAGGCGGGGTCGGCGGGCGATTAGCGGCCGAGGCACGCTCCTCTTGGGGCGGGCTGGGCGCCCCTCGCTGGGGTGGGACGGGGAGGCGGGGCGCGAGCGCGAAAGTGTGAGCCGCCCAGTGAGTTGCGGAAACCTGGAGGGTACTTGGAGTTTGGGTTCGCATCCCCTCTCCAGCTGCTTAGTGGTCGCGTGACTTTGGACGAGTAATTTAACTTCCCTGAGCATTGCTTTCCCCACCTGTAAGATGAGACAAAAGTTTACCCTGTGGAGGATGATCAGATATAATGTTTGTGGAACACTAAATGTGCAGCATCCGCTGAACAGGGTGAAAATCATTTTCAAATAGACTGGAGAGTGGCCATGCCAGAGGCACAGGGCGCAGGGCAAGGATAAGTGTCGCTGCTCCGTTCAGGCTGATGAAGAAACGGGAAAGAATCTGACCTTCATCTGGGGAGTGCGAAGAGGAGAGTGGAAAAGAGGATCGGGTGATTTCCCAGGTTGCCTTGAGTCTTGGTCTCACCCTTCCCTTCTTTCCCTTCCCTTCTCCACCCTCCTCCGCACCTCTGCCCACAAGTCACCTCAAGATTCTTAATAAGAATTAATAATATGAGAATTTATATAAATAATAATATGAGAATATAATTATTAATATGAGAATTTCCTTTTCTTTGGCGTTCCTGAAACCTTGCCTGCCCCATGCCCGGAGAAATCCGTTGCACACCGTCTCTTGGAGCCCTGCTTGCAGCCTCTGTGGCCCTCTTCAGGGTGAGCCAGCCAGGGGATCCAGCTCCCCTGGCCCGAGAGAGAGCTGGCCCCTGGAGGGCAGCAGGTGACAGTGGAACCCCTTTCCTCCAAACCCCCTCCCGCCTTCGGTGTCTTAAACTCGCCTATTCCAGCAGGTCTTCCCTCTGCATGTCAGGAGTTACTTTTCTCTTGTCACCTACACTCACCCAGGAGCCACAGGGGCCCAGACATCACCCAACTTTGTACTTGGAGGATAAATAGTAAGGAACAGCACTCGATTATAGGATGAGGGTATTAAAAACAAAATGAGCAGCTTTCAGCAAAGTGCCTGCCCCCCACCTGATATCCAAGTGGTAGCCTCAGGCCGGATGCCTGGCCTGCTGCCATGGGAGCCTAGCTGACTCTTTGGGTTGGGGGGGGATTGGCCCCTTTGAGAAAGGGGGCTGTGTAGTGGCAGTTCCCACCTCGACTCACTGACCAGCGCTTGCCTTCTGGCTCAGGGGACTCTGCCCAGCTGTCCCCTTCCCCGACTGCACCCTGCAGGTACCCCTGATCTCAGTGGAAGGCTAGGACACAGTCATATATAAGGGCTCGAGATTTATTAGAAGTCACAGAAAGTGGCTTCGACCAGCTCACTCAGGAAAGGGCAGTTGTTGGATGGATACGGGGGCTTCTCAAGAACTCAAGGGCTTCGAGGACTTGTGTAAACCAGCAGGAGCCCAAGGGTCCTCTCTCTGCCCCCCACCTCTGTTTCTCTCCCTGTGTCAGCTTCCTTTCTTTGGACTGCCACAACAAAATTCCACAAACTAGGGGGTTTAAGGCAACAGAAGTTCATTCTCTTACAGTTCAAGAGGCCAGAAGTCTGTAAGCAAGTTTTTGGCAGGGATGGCTCCTTTTCGGAGGCTCTGAGAGAAAATCTGTGACATGCCTCTCTTGCAGCTTCTAGTGGTGGCTCCTGGCCATCTTGGCCATTCATTGATTGGCAGCTGTGTCACTCCAATCTCTGCCTCCTTTCTTCATGCGGCCTTCCTCTCTGTGTCTTCTCCTTCTCTGTCTCTTGTAAGGACACTTGTCATTTGATTTAGGGCCCAGCTAATCCAGGATGATTTAATCTTGCAACCCTTGCCTTCATTATATCTGCAAAGATGCTTATTCCAAATAAGGTCCCATTCTGAGATTCTGGGTGGACATATCTTATGGAGGCCCACTATTTCAACCCACTACAACAAATGGTTTTCCAAATTCCTGAATGAGAGAATTGGTTTGGCCAGTGTCACTTTTTTGGCTGACAGGTACGTGAAGAGCTTTCCTGTTGAGAAATTTGAATGCATGAGAACCCCTTCCCCATTCCTAGCAATTAGGGTGTGGCCAAAAGATTTTAGTACAGGCAGTTAGCTGCCCCATTTGCAATTTAGGCTCAGAGCTGGTGACAGTCTAGAGTTCACTTGTGTCATGGCAACAACCCGGGAGAGCCAGTGACCAGTGGTGGAAGAGGTGGCCAGGAACCAGTGGACATCCTGTCTGAACTCTTCCCAGGGCCAGCCCTTGTTCCATCTGTTTTTTGAGCCTGGTTCTCCAGCCTTCCCACTGATTGCATGAGCCCTCCCATAGCGGGCCTTTCGTTAGTGGGGCTTTTCTGCTTCAGATAGCCAGGATTAGTGTCTGCGGTTTCATAAATAAAACACCAAGTTAAATCCTCAGGTTGCTGAAGCATAGAGAATTATCCTTGTATTATTTTGAAGTAATCCATTGGCTATGTTGATTGCCTGTGCTGGGCCAGGCACTGTGCTGGACACTGGGGTGACAGGGGTGATAAACTTGGCTGATGGGTATCATGGGCTCTGAGTCTTGCAAGCCAGGGTTCAGTGCCAGCAGAACCTTTGGAAATTATTCATCTATCCACTGCACCTCATACATGGGAAACTGAGGTGGGAGATGGGGAGGTCTTTTTTCCAGGTTACCCCAGGGATCGCTGGTGGTCAAACTAGGCCAGACTCAAGAGTCCTTTCAGGCCCTACTCTATGTTCTTCCATCATAGTCAATCAACAAATATACATGGAGAACCTACTGCATGCTGCCCTGTGTCAGGTGCTCTGTGGAGTGTGAAGCAGGCCTATAGTCCTAAAGGAGAGGAGATGTAGCATTAGGACTAGAGAGGTGTCGAGGGCCTATTAAGGGAGCAGATCTGAAGAGCATTGTGCACCTCCCAAAGGGAAGGCTTCTTGGCAGAGGGGGGACTCGCGAAGGCCTTGAAGGATGGGTGGGATGCGAATAGACAATTTAAGGAAAGAGAGGACTGGGGGTTACTATAGTGGCTATGTGGGTGCTGGTCTGGAGGATAGGGCTTCTGGGTGAACCCAGTGGAAAGAGGGTAAGGGGGCAGTTATGGTGGCCCTTGAATGGCCAGGGCAGCCTTCCTTGTTCCATTCCATCTCCTCCTCTTGCTTCTTTCTCTGAGCAGGGCTGTTAAAATTGTTCTAGTCATTCACTGTACAAGGACATCTGGTAGAGGGGGCAAGTAAGGGCTGAAATCTAGCCTCTCTACCACCCGCCAAACCATGCACCCTGACATGGGCTACACCTGTTCAGAGAGGGCACCTTGTCAAATATGTCCAGACGCACCTTATGAGCTAGCAGTAGGTCTGTGCCTTCTCCTGCCATGCTTCACTCCCTTTCCTGAACCTTAGAGAGCTGAGCAGGCAAGCATCCAAGCCTTGCCCTGCCTGCTCCTGGCTCTTGGGCAGGGCATGTTGTGGCTCCTTCTTGGCTGTTAGTGCCTACCCCTTGTGCTTTTTATAAGTGCATCTGCAGGGGGCCCTCCTATAAGTGATCTACTGAGGATGGAACTGAGCCCTGGCAGGATGAGAATGAACGGGCAGCTTAAGAGGCCCAGAGCCTCTCCTCAAGAGAAAAAGGCCAGGCCACAGTTAGAAGGATGTGCATGCTTGCCAGGGAAGATGAAAGTTTCTCCTGCCCCTCGAAGCCTTCTAAGCATAGTACCTGAGTGTACCCTCATTCTCAGAGTATAATAGAAGGTGATGTGGGCATGTAATAAATCCAACCACAGCAGGCGCTGCTATGGTGAGCACCATACCAGGTGTTCTGCCTGATGTGTGGACATCCAGCTGCCAATCTGCTGGGGGGCAGGGGAGGGTAGCCAGATGTTCCAAGGTGGGGCAGATGTTCCAAGGGACTAAGGATTAAGCTGGAGCTTCTTACACTGTGGTTACCTGGGGTAGTAGTGATGGTGGGGGTCCCCACCCCGTACCCCTGGAATCAGAATCTCTGGAGCACATGCTAAAGTCACTATTGACTGATACCTAGAGCCAATTTATTCACACTAGAATCGATATTTTGCATTAGCAACCACCCTCCTATCCTGTGCTTGCCTCAGCTCTTGAAGCAGGTCAAGTACATTTATGTGACAGCTAAGATGAGCTCTAAGGGCATACCTGTTCCAGGCAGCCCTAGGGATCTGACTCAAGACTCTGGTGGGACCAGCAGGGATGTGATTTTACTTCATCATCAAGAAGGCCTTTCTGGCATCGACACACTGATGAAGAAACAGCTTTCTTGAGAGGTGAGAGGGAGGGACTCTCAGGGTGCAGCAAGGTGTTGGATGCTTCCAGGGTCTTGAGAGACTTGGTTTATTATTATTTTTTAAATAAAGGCCAAAATAGGGGAGAAATGGTGGTAAATTATAAAAGTTTACATATAATAAATCAATGTGGTTAACAAATAAAAATATAAAGGAGTCTGTGCTGTTCACAAGGCAATTTCAGGATTTTAAAGTGACCATCAAATTATAGTGCCTGTAGGCATAGAGATCCAGGGATGGATCCAGATTGGAATTTGTGACGGAGCATCTTCCTCTACCCTGTCAGTGTCTCAGTGACCATGTGTATGTCCTCGTTTGGAGTTAGAGTCCATAGCCTTCCAGCCCTTTTGTAAAAGCAAGGTTGAGCCAAATAGCCTCTCTGCTGGTTATCAGAAACACTTCAACCTGGGGTTAAGAGATGCTGTAACAGGAACTGGACTGGAAGGTTAGTGTCCTGTAATAACAAGTACTGAGATGATAATCTGAAGGGGCTGAGGGGAAGGGGACACTATCACATTTCATACTTTCCTTGCTAAATTGTTTTAGCTCAGATTGATTATTCTCCATCCCCTCCAGTTGGTTAGATAGAATATTAATTTCAAGAGTGCTGTGGCACTTCCATGTAGACCTGAGTTTTGTGGGGTTTCAAAGCAAAGTTGTTTTGTTTTTTACAGTACACATGAACTTGCAGATGCAGCTTATGACAGGAGACGGGAATGTTGTGGGCACCTTACTCAGCCACTCACGTATTGGGGACAGGGCAGTCAATGCACTGCACCGAGTTTGTAAGGCCACTGGGCAATGCTGATATCTACAGCGGCATCCTTGTTGGGGAATTTTACACAAAGTGAAGTTGTGGAGAGTTTTACACAAAGTGAAGTTGTGGAGAGGGCCACCCTTTATAACAAGACTGCTTGACTTCGATGATGATTTTCTTTCTGAAGCTATCTGGGGGGCATTTGTATTGGTTTTGTGGGTGGCATTTTAGAAAGAAAATGTGATCTTTATAGAAAAGAAGGAAGAAAAAGATGCAGTTCCTCAAGAGGAAGGGATGAATGATGAGGCTGGACACAGAGCTCGCAGGTTCCTTTCAGTGCATCAGATACACCCAAAGATATGCAGTTGGGTTTCCATATAAGAGAAGAAGGGTGGGGTTGGAAAAGAGAAACAATTCTCTATTTTCTTTACTGATGACCCATGACAGTTGTGGAAGGGGGGGCAAAAGAGAGGGGGGAAACGAGGCAGGAGGGGGGAAACAGAGGGGTCTTTCAGTGACAGAGCAAGGAAAATGGCAAATTATCCATGGTTTCTAGAAATCCGTGGAGGCCCCCTCGGCCCCTGCCCTGCTAAATACAGTGCCGTCTGTATGCATTTCCCAATTTGGAGATGTCGGCTTGAATATTGCTCAGCATTGTCTGCTGATGGGTTTGGTGGAGTGCAATCTGCCTACATGCGGGTTGAGTCCTGGGCTCCAGCGGAAGCTCTGGCACACATCTCCTTTATTCTGTGCTATGTCCAAAATGCCTCCCCAAATGACACTGGGCAATTCTGCAGCCAAACACATTATTTCCACAAGCATCTGTCAAGTTTGATTGGGGTTCTCTAGCCTGCACTGGTATGGGGGGACAGCATGTGCTTGGGTTGGCCAAGGTTTGAAGTGTGTTCGTGGTTAGGGCCAGTCTTGGGTGAAACAATGTCCTTTTTGTGCCCAAAGGCCAGTGGGGGAGGCGAGGGGGGTGTGCACACTTGTGCAGGGAGGGCCCACGAGGGAGGGTGCAGGCCCTGAAGAGGGGGTAGGTGGAGGTGATTGCCCCACCCTTCCTCAGCAGTGAGGCCTGCAGTCATTTTCACATCAGCTGCTAGAGGCTGCGAATCCTTCCAGACCCACCTTCAAAGCCTCTGAGTTTGGTTCTCTTAGAGTACTTGAAGTTAAATCTTCTGTGCTCAGATAAAAACAAAAACCCTAACCATAGCCCTGCTGTTGCTGTCACTAGGTTTAGCTCCCCAAATCCAGGCTGCACCTGCCACAGGAAGTTGCTAAAGCCAGGGTGAATTTTCCTGAGCAGTTTCATTTTTGCCAGCTTCATTTTTGAATTCTTGAGAAGGTCTTTACTAGAGATTATAAACACATTCCCACCCACCCCCCGGCCCTCCGCATCCCTGGATGCTTGTGGGTCAAGTGTGGGAAAACTGTGTGAGGGTGTTTTCTTCTGTGTGTACAAAAGAAGTCACAGTGAAATGTATCCTAATGGAATCTGACTATTGGTTTATGGAAAGAATTCAGAAATAAACACAAAAATTGCTAAGTGTTTTCTTTTTGCTTTTCTCTACCTTAACACTCAGCTACATAAATTCATGTTGGGTTCAAATACAAATGCATTTTGTTTGTAGTAATTAAAATGTTTTAATGAGACAACCATAAAATCCACCATTAATTATTTTATTTCAAACACTTCTGCCTTCTTTTGAACCAGGTCTATTTAGAAATAATTTAGAGAGTGGCCTGCAGTTTTATTCTTTCCTCTGCATTATACACAGGAGTGGAGAAGTCATTTATAAATAATTACACAATGTTTTGGGTCTTTGGGCTTGTATAATATATCAAAGCGATTAGTACACTTATTGTTCCATTGTAAAAGCTTTTTTTCTCCTTTCAGTTTCACTTGCCTTGTCTTCTAGCTAAACCTTTTTCTGGAAATCTTTTGTCTTCTTCATTCTTTTTGCTTGTTACAGTCCAGGAGCATTCTTCTTATTCAAACACTCGCAGCAGGGGCAAAGAAAGCGACTTCGGCCGCATCTTAAGTTTTACCATAACTTTCTGGCATTTTCTTTTCTTCCAGTTTTCCCAGACTACTTAGGGGCAGTGAAGAATTATAACATACATGAATTATTAGTACTCCCCTCGAGTTAAAGGGGGAGGAAAGCGCCTCATTTTCTATGCCCCCAAGGGACGGACCGAGCGGGCAGCCTCTAAACAATGTATTTATCACTTTGCATCTCTTTGGGACGCCGGCCGCGCCCCCACCCTTGCCGCCGCCGTCGCCGCCGCCACTTCGGTTTTGCTCTGGCTGGGGAGACCCGGCGTTTCTGGATTTCTTTTATGCAGCCACAAATAAAGGCTCCTAGGCTGGAAGAAGGGGATTTCCCCCCAAGTCTTGAGCAAACGACCCTAGCGCCGTGGCTCTTCCTACGGCGGGGGCCTCGGAGAACCCGGCGGGGCGCGCGGGGGGACGCGTGGGCACTGCCGCGTGGGCGCCCTGACCCCGCGCCCGCGTGGAGCGAGAGCCGGGACTCTGGGCCAGCAAGTTCCAGTTCCCCGATGGGGCCGGCTCGCCCGGAGCCGCGTGAGGGGATTAGGGCCGCACGAGAGGCGACCGCGCCGCGGCCTCCAGCCACGTGAGCACAGACACGGCTTCAAACGTCCCCAACGCACTAATCCTTGTTATCCGGCAGGATAACCGCGGCCGCGCCAGCACCCGGCCTGCCTCCTCCGTCTGGCTGCGGGCGGGGAGTGCGCCTGGCTCCCGAGCCCCTGACACGGATTTGGGGCCTGCAATGACGATCTACCCCACACCATCCACATTCCTGGGACCCTCGGGGCAAGGTCCTACAGTCCTTGGTGACCACCACGCCTGCAAAAAGCGGTGGGAAAGTTGTTACGCTTAGAAAACTACCAACACGCGCATGCCTGTAATCCCAGTTACTCGGGAGGCTGAGACAGGAGAATCGCTTGAACCCGGGAGGCGGAGGTTGCAGTGAGCCGAGATCGCGCCACTGCACTCTAGCCTGGGAAACAAGAGCGAAACTCCGTCTCAAAACAAAAACAAAAACAAAACCAAAACCAAAACAAAACAAAACAAAACCTGCCGCCGCTCCGGAAGAGCTGGGATGGAGAATAAGGATGAATTCTGGAGGGAAATCCGGCAAAACGGGCATTGGCACTAAAATAGGACATTCGTTAAGGAAACAACAAAGATGGCTGAAGAATGGAGTATGGCTGAAAAAAGCCCACTGGAGAGGTGCAGATAGTCCCCTCTGGGCGCCTTCCGAGGTTGGGAGGGCATTCTGGCCCCCGCCCCTCCCCGCCGCAATCTGTCGGGACCCGCCGGGTTTCCATATGAAGGGTCGAGCCGGCGCCTTGGGAGCGCTGAATGGCCGCTCGCGGTCCGGCGGGCGCGCACGCCCCGCGGCCCGGGCTGGATTTGGCCGCATTTGCATAGCAGGTGCTGATGCTTGTCCATTCTTACTTAAAGAAGTTTTAATATGGGATAAATTACCAGGAACTAGGAGCTGACGTGGGCGGGAAAAAAGGAATCGTGTCGCCAGCCAGTCTTCTTACCGCTGCCTGGCCTGGAAGGATAGGAGGGGCAAGGAGAGAAATGCGAAGTAAGATTCGATTTTAAAAGTCGTCACCTTAAGAAGCTACAGCCTCTCCCCCTATCGCCCCAAAAGGAGTAAAGAGAAGACAGGAGGGAACTTTAATCAATTTGATTTTAGAATCTGTTTTGCAGCGAGTAAAGCAGTAATCCCAGGGATAGTAATACGATTAACCAGAGATCTTTGAGTCAGAAAGTCTGGCCGAGTTTAAAATGTTAATCCAGGCCCTAATCCGCCCCGTTGGCGGGGGTGGAAGTGCTGCACCACAAGGAGAGATTGTGTTTTCTTCCCCTGCTCTTAAAGAAACATCCGCGAGGTCCGCACCGGCCCATTTCTAGATCAGGACGAATTCCTTCCCTGGAGTGCGCTCCCAGGGCTGGCGGCCTCAGGGCTACCGGGGGTCAGGGCGTGCTCTGGATAGGTTTCTCTCCCAGGGAAACCAGGCCCCTGTGGCTGCCTGGGGATGGCGGTGGCCTCCGGGTTAATTCCAAGTGTTTGGAATCTTGCAAAGGCTTGGAGCAAAATGGAGTTTCAAAGTGGTGGGATTTTGAAGAGATAGAGGCTGGGGTGGCTTTCACGGCCCTGCCCCCCAAATCCCCTTTAAACTGGACACATGCGTATCCTCAGGGACAATCTGGTTTTTAAGGTTTTCAGGGTCTTGGGGACTGGAGAAGGGGAATGGCAACCGCACACTCCAGCTGCCAGAGTGTGCATCTGCTTATTGGCTTCACGGGAGAAATGTCTGTAGTCTGGGGACCCCTGAGAAATCTCCAAATACTTGTGGCCCGCGAGGGGGCCAGGGTGAGGAGAGGTGGACTTAGCCTGAGCACTGCTATCCCAGGGTCTCCATACTAACATGCTGTCAGACTCATGGAGCCAACAGACCACCTGCTCTCTGAGGGGTCAAATACTGAGGCTCTTAATTCCTTTGCCCTCTGGCGCAGGACCCTTCCTCCTCCCCTCCTGGGCCCACACATTGCTTTTTAGGGTTCAGCCTTCTCTGGTCGCTGGTGGTTCCTCTCTTCTGGCCCAGTTTGACAACACTTTGGGGCGAGTTCGCACCTGGATCTTGCAGCAGGCCTCTAACTTGCCCCAAGTGCTTCCCAAGGCCTGCTTTCCCTGGAAGGCAGTGTGAGATGCCCAAATGGACCATATGGTTTAGAGCGAGAGCCTTGGAGCCTACAGACAATGGGAAAGTGAGAGGCCCAGGTCAGTGGCGGAGCTCGGAGCTCGAGAGGCTGCAAACCTCCCTTTCAGCCTAATGAAGCTGTTGTCTGGGGGTAATGATGCAAATGCCTGGGCCCTTTCTTGCCCGTGGTAGTCTAGAACGTGATTTGTCATACAATCTGAATCTTTGGGAGGACTTTAGACAGAACCTCCCCCAAAGATGGAGATGAGCCATATGTGCACTTTGCATCTGAAGTGGAGATGGGGGAGGGTGAAGAGGGGACCCCGCCCACTCCGACTTCCCTAAAGGACAGCGTTCTGGCTGGGGCCTGACAGCCAGGAGGACGAGGACGTAGACCTCGATAAGCCTAGGGCTGCCTGACCCTGGGGGCTCATGAGTGGGTGCAGAGCCACAACATCTAATCACAAATTAGCAGTGTGTGTTGGAAAAAAATGTATGCACAATCTGGATATGCTGAGTGGGGTGGTCGTTGCTGCCCCCTCATTCTTTGTACCCCATGCTGGGAGATGAGGACAGAGAAAAGGACATTCTGAATGAAATACTCCCTTAGTGACAATGCTTAGATTTCACTTCTTTGAGTGCCCCGCTGATGTTAACTGGGGCCTGGATGAACACTTTATGGAGTATTTCTGAAACAGAATTAGTAAAAGAGAAGCAGGGACCAGGTGACAGGCATCCAGGCCTGGGGAAGGTGGGGACAAAAGAGAGGGGAAGATACAAACCCAGGTGAGGCAGACAGAAGGAAGGTGGGAAAAGCAGCTCCTTGGTGAGAAAGAGAAAGTTGGCATTGCTCCTTATATAAGGAAGAGAGGCAGCTCCCAATTGCAGCTCCAGCTCTGGGCACTGTGGGTTCACCCGAAGTCTGGGGACACAAGGACATTACTCATTGTCAATCTAAGTAAGCCAGGTCACAGTGGAATGAATTAATCCAATAGCCCTTTTTGGGGGCAGGGGATGCAATAGAGAGGCACCAGTGCCCCAACATGACTGGAATCGGAATAGCAATGACAGTGAGTGCTGGGAAAAAAGATGCCTGTGGGTGGAGTCTACAAAGGTGACCTCTCCACATCTGCCCGCAGACTACCCCTTTTTCTTCTGCACCACCCTTTTCCGTACCCTCAGTGCTTGGCAGTGCCTAGCTTTTTCCAGGTGCCTGTTTGCATGAGCACTGGGAGTGCCCAGGGCCAGGATGCTCAGTGTCAGTCCCTCTTCTTGACTTCATCATCATCACCATCATCATTCATATCCTTTGAGTATAGTTGACGCTCAAGGGATATTTGTGGAGGGAATGGATTTGTGCATGGGCACCAGGTGTTCATGCCTGCATGGGTGCTGACATGCATGGATACATGCGTGCACATACATAGCTCTTCCTCACCTTAAGGGGAGAAGAGAAGGGCATGGGGTGTTGGATTGCACCACTTCTCCAGGATTACTCCACCTCCTATAACCTGAGAGTTGGCCCACAAGTTGGCACCAGCAGCCCCAGGCCCTCTGTGATGGGTGCTCAGCACTTGGCTAGAAGAGGGCTTGCTGGGTGGGTGTTCATTCACCCATTCTGTGGTTGTGTGACTTTAGGAGATAAAAGTGGAGTGGGATGGGAAATGGAGGCACCGTAATCTGTGGAGGAGAGGTCCCTAATTACCCCTGCTGCTGGTGGGCGTCAGGCAAGGGCAGATAGAAACCCTGGCCACGCCTTTGCTGCTGCGGATCACTCCCATGGCCACAGTTAGTTGTCACCAAGCTGTGCCAAAGCCCTGGCCACATGATACTCTTTCTGCTCCCTCAGACGCCTCCAGCCTCTTCTCTGGACACTGAGGGAGAGAGAAGTGGGGAGTTGTCACGGTGACAATACCAGCTCTCAAAACCACAAGCTGCTCACCGCAACACCTGCTACCACCCAGAGAGGTGTCCTGGAGTGGGATCTGGGAGGTGGCTCTCTTAGGGTTTGGCACAGGGTGGGGTGAGAGTGCTGGGAACCTAGCAGGACCAGATTTTCTGCTAATTTGAGGGCTACGCAGAAAACTTTGTTTAGAAAAGCAGGAATCTTTCTAGAACATCCCAGTCTTCCTTCTTTCTGGCTTTAACAAATATGTCCCAGGTGCCTGTTTGCATGAGCACCAGGAGTGCCAGTGTCAGTCCTGCTTGACTTCCTGACTCCATCATCAGCATCACCATTCAGATTTGTATAAAACCATTTGTAAACTAGTTTTGTGAGGGAGACACTCAGCTAAGCCCTCAGTATGTGGATTATATTAAATCCAGACACAAACCTGTGACTGGTGTATTTTGTCTGCCTTTAAAATATGGGGAGACTGAGGCTTGAGGAAGTTAAGACTCATGTCCAAGGTCATAGGGCCAGCAGGCAGCAGAGCCCGGGATGGAACTCAGGGCTCTCTGGCTTCAGTGCCCATGATCTTCACCATTCACCATCCTCCTTCTGCCCCATTATGTAAACACCTGCTCTGTGGCCAGCTCCAGCAAGGTGCTGGGGCCGTGGGGATGGAAGCCGTAGTCCCACTCTGTGAGGGAGGGCAGTCCTCAGCTGTGGAGGTGGGTAGGGCTCTGTGGGGAAGGTGGAGAAGGTCTGTGCTTGTCTGCGGGTTGGCTGCTCTTGTGGGGAAGGGCCCTGACTATGGGCACACAGGGGACATTGCTGTGTTTGGAGCTGGTCTCTGTTCCTGTTATCTTGGTGAGAATTGGGAGGTCTGGGTTCCCTCTGCTACCTGGAAAAAATCCCTTTTTGAGCCTCATCTTCTGAATGTCAAAAAGAGATGATGAGGGTGGGAGGTGGAGGGGTATAAAGGCATCCTCCAGGGACTTGGAGACCAGCTAGAGATCTCCAGGATCCTGGGAGCAGCACTGCCTTCAGCTGAGATCTTGGGGAGGCAGCTCCATGTGTGATATTAAACTATCTGCTCTCCAATCTGTTTTCCCTACCCACACAGGGGGTCGAGTTTATGAGGGGCCCAGAGAACTAAATGGGCAGTTTCTCTAAGCAGTGGAGGGAACATTCGGTTTGGTGTGGCATTCATGGTTCTAGAGTTTGTGGGCTGTCCTGAGCTTCTTGTCTCTATGTTCCTGCAGAACTCAGCATGACCTTGGCACCAAGAGACCCTAGGTAGCATATGTTTATAGATTCAGAAGTTGTTCATTCAGTTCTTTTATTCATTCATTGCCATGCTGTTTAATCAACTTTTTCTGGGTAAAAGATCACTTAAATTCCCCACCTAAAACCCTTCAAAAGTTTTTCATTACACTTAGAATACCTCTGTGTCTTCATTTTAAGTGTGATTAACAAGGCTCTGGATTACCTGACCCCTGCTGACCTGGGAGGGAGGTGGTATCTCAGCCTCATCTCCAGGTCCTCCCCCTTTGCCCTCTGAGCTCCAGCACACTGGCCTTCTCTGCGTTTTTCACACTCCCCGGGGCTTTGCACTCGTGCTTCCTCCTGCCTGGAGTGCTCCCTGTATTGCTCCTTCTCAGTCTCCAGGTCTGGCCTCAGAAGCCCTCCTGATCCTGGCCAAAGCCACCCTTCTGGCCCCAGCAGTCACCCCCATCGCATCACACTGCCTCCACTAGCAAGTCAGCTGGGAGCAGTTTATATATTTGTTTACCTGTTCCTTGTCTGCCTCTTCTACTAAACTGAGAATTCCACATGGTGGCAGTACCTTGTTTAGCTTATTACCTCATGTTCCCAATGTCTAGAACAACTTTTGCCACGTAAGAGGTGCTCAGTATGTTTTGTCGTTGAATGTGGACATGGATCTAACGTGTTTTAAATGATAAAGTGACTGCCCTGCCATGACATATGGAAGCTGGGAAGCTCCAGTCAAATCTGTCTGAAGGGGAGAATGAAGCCTGTGTGAGTGATTTGCTCCACATTTGTGAAGCTATGTGCTTCTAAGTGGGGTGTGTCCAAAGTGAACATGGGGCATGAGGATGTTTTCTGACTTGGTGGACAGAATATGGAAGACCTGACTTCCATAGGGTGATTTTGTGTCAAGCATGCACCCATGGGAGTCTCTGAATCATATTGTGTGTGCTCAGAGGAACCCTCTGCACTTGCCAGAGTAAATATGTCTTTTCATTGTGAAAAACAGCCATGCAAGCAGCTTCTCACAATGTAGGAAAAGACATGAACAGGGTTTCCAGTCCACATCAGAATGCTCACCAGGGCCAGGGAAGAGGAGGGCCTCCTCAGAGTGAGAGGGCACAGAGCAGTGGCTGAGTGCGGGGCACACCTGGGTCACAGCATCAGCAGCAAGAGGCCTGGAACTGGCTTTAAGGAAAGCCACTTGTGAGCGCACCTCCATCATTCCCAGGAAGCACCCTGAGGTATACTTGGGGTGGGGGAGTGTGAGGAGCTCTGGCCCCATTCTAAGTCCTCAGCAGCCCTCTGAGTTGCTCCCCAGCACTCTAAGTCCTGGCTCTTCCCCGTGAGCACTGGTGGTGGGTCAGCTGAGGGCTGGTGGGAAAAGACTCCACTCCTGCCATCAGAGAGGTGGTGGTTGGCCTGGGGACAGGAGGAAAACAGGAGCATGCCAAGGAGCCAGTGAACGAGATGCAGCTCTGCTTACACATGGCCATGCACTCACCTGACACCCGCCAGCCACTGATGCGCCTCCCAGGGGCCGGGGTCACCATGTGAGGTGCTGGGAAACTGGAGAAAACTTCATGGAGCTGCTGTCATGGAGCTCACATTCCCATGAGAAAACAGACCCCAGTCACATAAATACACACTTCTGATCACAGCAGGTGGCAGCAAGTGCTAAATGTACAGGGTGACATTGTGGGGAAAATCAGGAGAGACCTACCGCAGCTGGGGTGGCAGGGAAGAACTCTGAGATGACTTGAAGCTGAGACCTTGAAGGATGAGAAGGAGCCAGCCATGGGGTAAGCTAGAGGGAGAGCATTCCAGGCCGGGCACTAGCAGGTGCAGACTCTGGAGCAGGAACGAGCTTCTAGTGTGGGAAGAACTGTGGAGGACCAGTGGGTATTAAGAAAGCCTTGCCTTGAATCCCAGCACTTTGGGAGGCTGAGGTGGGCAGATCACCTGAGGTCAGGAGTTCAAGACCAGCCTGGCCAACATAGTGAAAACCCGTCTGTACTAAAAATACAAAAATTAGCCCGGCATCGTAGTGGGCGCCTGTAATCTCAGCTAGTTGGGAGGCTGAGGCATGAGAATCACTTGAACCTGGGAGGTGGAAGTTGCAGTGAGCTGAGATCGCGCCACTGCACTCCAGCCTGGGTGACGGAGTGAGACTCCATCTCCAAAAAAAAAAAAAAAAAAATAGCTTTCAGGAGCACAGGAGCAGGATGCAGAGACAATTTTGAACAGACTATGCATAGCCACATAACATGGACAAGAACAAGTGTCTGCTGAGCACTTACCATGTGCCTAGCGCTGTGCAGATGTTGCACACAGCGTCTCATTTCCTCCTCACACCAACTCCACAAGGTGTGTGCTGTTACACTCCTTATTGTGCTGAGGGCAATGGAAGCTCAGACAGGTGGAGTCAGTTGCTAGAGGCCATTGAGTGGTGGCATCGAGTTTGGAACATAAGTTTGATTCAAGAGGCCAAGTTCATAACCACTAGGCGATTCTGTCTCCGATTCTGTCTCCCCGTATATAGGGCAATACAAACTGCCACACACCTGCTCAATGGAATGGGACGGAAGAGGGTGATACCAAAGAAAATTGCAGTGAGGACCTTGGGCTGTTGGAGGGATTGTGTAGAAAGCTGTGTGGACAATCACACGAACAAAAGTCATCATTGAAGCCACATCCCACCCTCAGGAGTTTGCTCTCTCAGGAGGCGGCATCCAGCAGAGCTAGCGGCCTTAGCTGTCCAGAGGTGGAGAACAACGCCACCTGTTGGTTGAATAAGATATGGCCGCACAACAACTTGGCATTGATCTGTCACCCATGAAGTGTTTATTAATCATCCATTGGGTACAGGACCCACAGCACTGGGCTGTATGTATAAGACTGTGGGAAGAGAAGTGGGATGAGAGGTGAGGGGAATGCAGGAGAACTTGGAAGCACAGCTCTGCCGCGCAGAACCGAAAGGTGTGAGTTGGAGCCTGGGCCGCCCATTTCTGTCCTTTCTTGTGGGTGCCTAAAGATCTGTGAAAATAAACTGAAGGAGAGCGGAAGAAGTGAGGGACCTGGATTGGCCTGAGAAGCTTAGAGAGGCTCCATCAAAGAGGCAAAACCTGAGCAAGCAAGGACTTGGAAAAGCAAAATGGTATTTCTGCACACCTGTGAAATGATGTATGTACAAGCTATTTGCTGCAATGTTATTTGAAATATAAAAGTTGGGAATGGCCCATGTGTCCATCAGTAGAGGTGTGGGAGAATAAAGTATGTAAAAAATGAGCAGGCTCTTTATGCGTTGATATGGAAAAGTCTCCAAGGTGTATTGAAAAAGCAACAACACAGCCAGTTTCTCTCCACCTCAATTCCAAAGAGGTGGCTTTTGCTGCTTATTTTACAGGGGGAGAGGTCACAGTGTAGTTGGTAAGGTCCCCTGATCTTCTGCCTATACCCTGCCTCCATTATCTGCCACTGTCTCAGGCCTAGCCTGGTCTGTCCATATGAGCAGCTATGGCACTGCACTTTGGGTGCAGAGAATGGGGTTGGGACCATGCCTCAGTTTCCATGAAACTCAGCTTCCTGTCATGACATAAAGCATGATGGGGGGAGCCTCCTTGGCTATTGCCCCTGCTCCCCAGCTCTTATAACTAGGCTGCGTTTACCTATTTGTGAAATGAGAGGGTTGGGCAAGGTGACCTGCTGGAGGCCTTCCAGAATTTGGTCTCTACAGCCTTCGTGTTGAACACTTTGGAAAGCTTATGACACTTCTCAGAGAATGGGGTCCAATGATATTCTGGTGGGTGTGGCCTCCCCCTCTTTCTGTTACAGTAAGAATGACCTCCCTCTGAGCCTTAGCTAGAGACAGTGTGGCTTCATGGAGAGAGTATTAGACAGGGGGCTGGGGAGGGAGGGCGTTCTAGGCTGTGACTTTGCCCCTTCAGGACCTCAGTGTCTTCATCTGAGTCACTAGGAGGTGGGTGGACAGGGCCCTCCCCAGCCTTGCCTTTGTAAGAGGCATCCTTGGTTCTATGGTGGCAGGTGCAGAGGCCAAGTCCTCTAGCTCAGCTGATCCCGGTCAGTCTCTCTCCCCTTAGCCTCGAGATGAGTTTGCTAACACATCTGGTGAGAATGAGTTGGAACTCTGTATCTGTGCAAGTGTCCTGCCGATTACTCAGTAAGTGCTCCATAAAGGGAGGATAGGAGATGCAGCAAGGATGGGCTGCAATTGAAACTTTAACATTATCTCCAGGGATTTAGTGTATAAATAAAAATAACAGGCTGGAGAGAAGCCAGGTATCATACATCTCTGTTTCTAGACCACACCATATTATATTATGAATTAATATTTTTTAAGAGCCTGACAAAATCTCAGAGATCCTGTGGCAAAATCTCATTAGTTTTGCAGGAGTTCAAATCATTTATTTATTTCATGTAGACCAGAGATGTGACATTTTGCTTTGGCATTTTGTCCTCTTGAGGACCTCAGCAGATGGGCATGGCTGTTGTCTGAGGGCCATTGATGGGCTCTCTCCCAACCAGTGGGCCCAGCTGCTGGGGAGCTTCTAGAAGTTGATATGCAGCTATGATCCCAGATGGGACTTGGGCTAAACTTCCTCACCTGGCACAGCACTGAAAAGGAGTGATGGAGGAGGAAGTGAAGGTGTCCCATGAACTTTTAGGTAACGTCTTTATTTGGAGCATTTCCAAGCCCTGCATTCACTCTGGAAATCATTTGCCACTTCCAGGGAGCTGTTTGAGCAGCCACGAGGTGGAGCTCAATGCCTGCCTCCCAAGGGCTCCTCTTCATTCCCGGAAGCCTTTTCCAGACGGGGAGGGTTGGGAGGTGGGTGCAAAAGACTTGGAAAGAAAAGTGCCCAGAGGGCAGCTCACCACCCTCCCTCGCCCCTGTTCCTTGATGGGGATTGTAGAATCTCTGCCTTGAAGGGAAATCTCTTCTTGACACTCAAACCAGACCCCTTCTGCCCTGCCAAGTTAGCAGGGGTTTCCTTTCTTCTTTCTGTCCTTCCTTCCGTAAACTGAAGCTTGAAGTGGGTGCCTCATTCTCAGAGCCGATCTGGGGCAGTGTCCAGCTCCCAAGTCTACAATTTCTCCTAGTGTGAGTTTCTCTTTGTGTTGAGGTGGCTTTGGTATTTTCCTCAATGGATTGCTGCATTGCATGATTCCACGAGGCAGTTTTGTTTTTTTTTTTTTTTTTTTTTTTTTGGCAAATGTTGCTCCCTGAAGTCGTGTAAATATGGCAGTCAGTTATTGTATCCCACCAAATGGAGAACTCTGTACTTAGCAGATACTCTAAATATGTAAAGAAAGAAAATTATTGCTATTAAAAAAGACCTGCTTCCTTTTAAAAAAGAAGTATAAGCACAGGAATAAAAATCAGACATATCAAAAGAAGTATAATTAAAAGAAAGGCCAAGTGCAGTGGCTCACGCCTGTAGTCCCAACACTTTGGGAGCCCAAGGTGAGAGGACTGCTTGAGCCCAGGAGTTCCAGAAAAGAAAGTCTCCCTCTGCTGACTTCAGCTGTCTTCCCTGGAGGCAACCAGTTACTCGGGGGCTCCTCCAGAAATATATGTGCTAGAATGTGCACAGAATTGTGGGTGCTTTTTAAATTCTTAATTTATTTATTTTTGAGGCAGAGTCTCACTTTGTCACCCAGGCCGGAGTGCAATGGCGTGATCTTGGCTCACTGCAACCACTGCCTCCCGGGTTCAAGCCTGTAATCCAGCTACTCCTGCCTCAGCCTCCCAAGTAGCTGGATTACAGGTGCCCGCCACCATACCCAGTTAATTGTTGTATTTTTAGTAGAGATGGGGTTTCACTATGTTGGCCAGGCTGGTTTCAAACTCATGACCTCAGTTGATCCACCTGTCTCAGCCTCCCAAAGTGCTGGGATTACAGGCATGAGCCACCGTGCCTGGCCTTATTAACTTTTTACTTTAGCATGGCACATTTGTTATAATTAATCAATACAAAGACATTATTATTATTATTGTTATTATTTTTGAGGTGGAGTCTTGCTCTGTCACCCAGGCTGGAATGCAGTGGCGAGATCTCGGCTCACTGCAACCTCTGCCTCCTGGGTTCAAGCGATTCTCGTGCCTCAGCCTCCCAAGTAGCTGAGATTACAGGCACCTGCCACCATGCCTAGCTAATTTTTGTAGTTTTAGTAGAGACAGGGTTTTGCCATGTTGGCCAGACTGGTCTCAAACTCCTGACCTCAGGTGATCCGCCCGCCTTGGCCTCCCAAAGTGCTGGGATTACAGGTGTGAGCCACCATGCCCAGCTGAGACATTATTATTAACCAAACTCCATAGTTATTCCAATTTCTTTAGTTGTCACTAATGTCACTTTTCCGTTCCAGGATCCCATCCTGGAACCACATTGTGTTTAGTCATCATGTCTCCTCAGGCTCCTCTTGGCTGTCGAAGTTTCTGGCTTTCTCTGTTTTTGATGACTGTGACAGTTTTGAGGAGTACTGGTCAGGTATTTTGTAGGATGCTAGAAATGGGCATTTTAAATGATAATACATTGTGTCAAACTATCCTAAAGAATGCCTGGACCAACATTACTTTTGGATCTCAGGATTCCCCAGCTGGGTTTTTGTGTACAATCAGTAGGTGACTGGAATAATAAAGAATAGAGTGTGGAGTTCCATTTTATCTGGGGAAATTGGTCAGAGGACATTTATTTGGGAGCAGCCCATCTGGGTGGGTCAACTGAAAGCTTCTTGAAGAGGAGGAGGAACATTTCCTACCTCAACATCAGTCTGACCTACAGACTCATAGATCTTCTCACTAGCTGAGCCCATGCTTTGGAGAAGAGTAGGGGTGCCGGATGTTGGGGCAAAGAGAATTCATCTGGAGCCTGGCAGCTTTGGCTTGACTCCTTACTTTGCCACCTGTTAGATATGTGGTTCTTCAGAGCCTCAGAGCCTTAGGTTCCTCATCTGCAGAATAGGGACAAGTATTCCTATTATCTGGAAAGCTGGAGGGTTTCATGAAATAGTCACATATTTCAGGCTGGGTCTGGCATATTTTAGCAGCTCTAGAAATGATAGTTTTGATGATGATGATGATGATGACATGATGATGATTGGCCCAGAGAGGAATTCCAGGCCCAGAGAAAGCAAGAGATCTTTGCTTTTAGAAGCTGCTTATTCTTCATTGAGCTGGAAACACTCCCTTTCCTATCTGGGAGAGCATATCTGGAGAATGGACTTTTGGGATAAATATGCTCTTTTAGGACAAGTATATTAAACTCACTTCCACTGAGTGGCTTCTTCAGAAACCTGCCTGTATTAGTCTCTTCTCAAGCTGCTAATAAAGACATACCTGAGGAGGGGTAATTTGTACAGAAAAAGAGGTTTAATGGGCTCACAGTTCCGCATGGCTAGGGAGGCCTCACAATCATGGAGGAAGGTGAAGGAGGATCAAAGGCACGTCTTATATGGCAGCAGGCAAGAGAGTATGTGCAGGGGAACTGCCCCTTACAAAACCATCAGATCTCATGAGACCTACCCACTATCATGAGAACAGCAAGGGAAAAACCCACCCCCGTGATTTAATTACCTCCCACCAGGTCCCTCCCACAACACGTGAGGATTATGGGAACTACAATTCAAGATGAGATTTGGGTGAGTACACAGCCAAACCATATCACTGCCTTTCACCTTATTTTTGAGGACTGCAGTTGAGGCTTGTTTGTGAAACTACAACGCGTCGATTTCTTTGATTTCCAGGCACTTGAATTTAAAAAAACTTTCTGAGTGTATTGAATTTTTCCAAAAATGAGCCTTTTGGTGTTCTAAAAAAACCGGCTGATTCTACTAGAATGGGGTAGAAAATGGGAACTGCTCAATTACTCATGAAAATCTTCTGCCAACAGTTTCTGAACTCAAAGGAACAACCATGCGATGTGGAGGAGAAAATGGATCCAACGTTTTTTCCGGGGATTAAAAGTGAGTCGGAAATTGCCAGGACTTGGGAGAAAAAGGCTCTTGTTGAGTTCCCCTTTGAATCACCGAGTCCCTTTCTCTCAGAGTGCTAAGTGTTGAGATGCAGCGTCCTTACTGCCTAGAAACCCAACAAAGACTGGCTTGGTGGCTGCTTTCAGGTTTCAGTTCTATGTAGAATTTTAACCATGAAAAGATACAAAGATTGGTTTCTTCTGAGTCCTTAACTGAACACCACAAAGAGGGACAATTAGAGGGGCACTAGGCTACTGTCTCTCACCAGCTGTGCTGCTGCTGTTTGGAATCTTGGGACCCTAGGAGCCGCATGGGGTACACCATCCCAGCCCCCTCCATTCCCAGTGCTCAGACACACACCACAGACTCAACCCTCCAGGGGTGGCGCTTGCTGGGTGCTGGGGAGGCTGCCTGCTGCAGTGGAGAGAGGATGGATCTTTACTTAGCTTTGTAGGCTGGTGTGTCACTGACTTGTTGGGTGTCCTAATCTGTAAAATGGAATAATAACGCCTGGATTGGAGGCCAATTATTAGGATGAGGTGAGATAATCATGGATACTGTTGGCATAGTGTATGAAGGCAATAACGGTAGCCATTTATATAATATAGTTGTTCTCTCCATTGTGCCCACCCTTGATTTATAGTGCAGATACCCTTCTGCCCATCTTTGAAAGCCCCCTCTCCGCCCACTACCGCAGACCATTCCCAGCTCCCTATACTCTGCTCTGACTGAGCGGGTCTCCATGGTTTCCCCTGTTCATCTGCTGGTTACACATGTGAATAAGGGGCTGGTGCCCCTGACCTTGAGCAAACGTCTCGATCTTCCTTATAAATGGAAAGGGATTGTGACATCTCCCCCCTAGGGATCACTGCAAAGGAAAAATTAGACAGTGGAAACCAAGTACCTAGTACAGGGCCTGGCCCCTGGTAGATGCTGAATAAAACCCCCTTCCGCCGCCTCCCCCTAGAACGTGAGCCAGAAAGGACATCTGAACAGACAAAGCAGCTCCCACAAAGGCCATGCGCTGCCTATACGCATAACTTAGGAGGCTCTCTCAGCAGCTCACCTGGTTTGTGGTGTGCAGCAGAATGGGCATGTGTCTAGAGTTTGCACTCAGACTACTAGGTTCAAATCCTTCGTCTGCCACTTTCATCAAAAAGTTATAAATTTCTCTAAGCCCTAGATTACTCGCCTAAAAAAGGATTGTAAAAAAAACTACCTAACATTTAAATGATTCCAGGATGAAATGTCAGGAAGCATGCAAAACAGCCCATAATCAAAACGCAGCAAATTATTATTGGTGTTCAACAAATATTTGAATAAACATTTCTACAGTTTTCACACGAATAGTTTCACTAGCTACATATACTTAGTAAAATTGTGTGCTATAATATACTTACTTGTATCCTGACCTTTGAGTATTCAGTTTCCTTTTATTTTTATTTATTTATTTTTACCTGTGGTAAATGATGCTTCAGTGAACATCTCCATGCAGCTATCAATTTCTTCCACTGAAAGTCTTCCCTGAGGATAGACTCCTAGAA